>NC_000001.11:33928835-34553835 GCF_000001405.40 Homo sapiens
TGTTGTTAAATTTGATCAACACAATGGTGTCCAGCATGCAGTGCCCAGACCCTCTTTGCTATCTACAGTGTTGCCCTCTTATGCCTTTCCCAGATCTCTTTCTAGCTTAGGACTCCTTCCAGCTGCAGAATCAATGCCCCCATTTGGATGTCTCACAGGCGTCTCAAACGTTACCTGGACAAAGTGAGCTGTCTTGCTTCCCTTTAGGGCACATGCTTCCTGCCCTCTGTGCCAGTCATCTCCATCTTGGTCATTGGCATCCCCACCCACCAGCCCTCCAGGAAAAGCCTAGGAGTCAACTTTGGCCCTTTATTCTATCAGCCATCCAACCCATCTATAAGGTCTGTTGGCTGTATCCCCAAAGCACAGCCCCAATCTACGCCTGTCCCTCCACCTCTACTCCGGCCACCCTCGACCAAGATGCAGCAACTCCAGCCTGGTTGCCCATAATAGCTGCCTCCTAACTGATCTTCTTATTGTGGCTCTTGCTCAGCTAGTATCCAGAGTGATCTTTTAAAAAAATTAAGTTAAATTGGACTATACTTCTGCTTAAAACTCTCCCCTGGTTGCCTCCTGAACTCAGAACCAAGCCTATACTTTTTTTTTTTTTTTTTTTTTTTGAGATAGAGTCTTGCTCTGTCACTCAGGTTGGAGTGCAGTGGCATGATCTCAGCTCACTGAAACCTCCACCTCCCGGATTCAAGAGATTCTCCTGACTCAGCCTCCTGAGTAGCTGGGATTACAGGCATGTGACACCACGTCCAGCTAATTTTTGTATTTTTAGTAGAGATGGAGTTTCACCATGTTGGTCAGGCTGGTCTCAAACTCCTGATCTCGCGATCTGCC
This sequence comes from Homo sapiens, assembly GCF_000001405.40. Taxonomy (NCBI): domain Eukaryota; kingdom Metazoa; phylum Chordata; class Mammalia; order Primates; family Hominidae; genus Homo; species Homo sapiens. The sequence goes on from NC_000001.11 coordinate 33,929,682, forward strand.
CGCTTCAGCCTCCGCTTTCTTACCTTGCTTCACCCCATCCCTGCCCTCTCCACCCACCCCTCACTCTACTTTTGCCACAGGGGCTTGTTTTCTGTTCCTCTAGCGTGTCCAGTACTTTCCCCCACCTCAGGGCCTTTGCACTTGCTGCTTCTTTTGCCAGGAATGCCGTTTTCCAGGTCTTCACACAACAGGCTCCTCCTTGTCACAGGACTCATTTCAGAGGCCACCTCCCCACAGAGGCCTCCCCTGACTGCTCCGTCTAAAGTAGCCTTCCCCATCACTGGCTAAGACTTTACTTCCTCGTAGCTCCTACCACCACCTGTTTATTTGGCGTGTGTATCTGTTTTCTGCCTCCTGGCTGCTAGAATGTAAACTCCAAGAGATCATGGAATTTGGTCAGATTTGCTCATCATTCCAATTCTCTGAGTCTAGAACAATATTTGGCACTGTATAGGCAGTCAATAAATGATAATTGAATTAATGACTGGCTGGCTCATAACAGGCACTCAAGAGAAAGTTGTTGAGTAGCCAAGTGAATAAAATGAGGACACAATCAGCCCTGTAAGGCTGCTACTTGTGTCCCACCTTTAAAACTCAGAGGGGTTTAGCAGCACCCCTGGCAACCACACAGCTAGGGGCTGGCTTACCTAGGGTTGAACCCAGGCCAGTCTGACTCTATGCACTGTCCATACCCGACACCACTGCTTCTTTTTCACATTCTGCAGGTTTCTTCCCCTGGGGCCAGAAAATTTGGAATACAGCTCAGCGCTTGCAGTCCAAGCTTCTGCAGACCGTATTCCGTCTTCCCCAGGTATGGTGACAGCCTGCCGTGTTTGGCTTGAACCTCAGAGGCTAAGCACTTCTTGCTCTGGCCAGCTTTCTCCCTACCACCTGCCTCTCAGTCCCCAGTGCATATGAATTCCGTCACTTCCCCATGCAGCCTTCTTTGATCCAGGGCCAATGGCCCTCATAAATCAGAGGCCTGTTGCTGAAATCCACATGATCTTCCCTCTTGTGGATCAAAGAGATGACACAAAGCTCAGCACCTCCCAGGGACCTCTGCTTTTGAAAACGTGCCCAGTGTGACACAAAGTGAAGGGGGGTCACAGGCCCCATCTCCTTCCCTCTGTCAGCTGGACCAAGCCTTGATGGGTCAGGATCTTTGGGATGGGCCTCCTTGGGGGTCGGCCTTACACCTGGCTCCCCCCTATTCCCAGCTGTTCCCTATTCCCCCACTCCTAGTCTGTGCTGTGTCCCCAGACCAAGTCCACCCTCCAGCTGGGCACATGACATTTCCTAGATAAAACAGACACACACGGCTTTCCAGTCTGCTCCGGGAAGCTTTGGACTTAAAGAGATTGTCACTCAGAGCTACTGGGCAGGTGGGGTAACCCAGGCTAGTAATTTCCCTTTCGGGCTTGTATGCTAGCATGATTCTGATGGTGAATTAGACCCATCCAGACAGCCGTTCATTCAGCAAATATTTACGGACCACTGCCCAGTGGATGAGGTTTACCCACTCGCAGATGCCAGCTCTTGAGAGTTCTACACGAGAGGAAGAAAGGCCAAAAGGCTTTTAATGCTTCCCAAGTATGAACCTGTTCACTCTGGCATGACCACCACTCCTGGCACAGGATGGGTGTATGGTGGGTACCCTTTGTTCCTGTTTAGCTTGGCCTCCTAAGGAAGAACAGTTTGGGAAATCACTTTTATAAAATCACTGACATTATTGAGGATGTTTCTTAGGATATTCTTGTAGCTTGTGGGGATTATAATAGAGATGAACCTGAAGGTAGGGAGGTGACTGGGGGTGGGGGGAAGCCCTAGGGGGTCTGAGAGTTGGAAAGTCATTTTATTCTCTCCCAGCCTTTGAGCAGAACCACATCTCAGACCCCTCAGGCAGCAGGGGGCTGGAAGCCCTTCTAGAAGCAGGATTTGACATCCTCAGCTGGCTTCCCTAGGGCGTTTGGAAGGGAGCATTCTCTGGTGTGGCTAAAGTGGAAGCTACTTAAAATAAGTCTAAGAGACAGACTGGAAAGATTGGGGTGGGGCTCTTTCTGGAAGAGCCTTCTGCTCCATGCTAAGGAATCTGAACTAGACCCCGTCAGTGATGAAGAGCCACTAAGGGACTGAGCCACTCAGTTTTGTCAGATCTGTGCCTTAGCAAGTTCTCCCTAGCAGTACAGGTAGGAATGGGCTGGTGTGAGCAGGAGAGAACTGGGGCACACCTGCCTACAGAGGGTCAACCTTCAGTGAGGCAAGTGAGAGACGAGAGAGCCTGGACCATCATCTGAAGAGCAACAGAGATGTGGAGGGGGTAGGCTGGTGCAGAGGGACATGGGGGCCGATGATGCGATGTGAACAGCAAGAAAAGCAAGAATGTAAGATGCCCTGAGGGGTTCAGCTTGGCCACTGTTGGTGGGGACACTTTTCACTGAGCTGGGGAAGGCAACAAAAAGAGCAGGTTTGGGGAAAGCAGGAAGAGTGAGGTTTTCATGGGCCAAGTTTGAAACAAGCTGAGGAGAACTTTAGCATAGTTCACTCTCCACAGGGGCCTGAAGCTCAGGACAGAGAATGGGGTTGGAGGTGGGGATTGGAGAGTTGCCCCCTAGTAACAATTACAGCAACACAGTAGATGAGAAATTCCAAGAGATGGAAGAAATCCCCAGAGAAGAGGCCGAGCTGGGCCCTCCAGTATTTAAGGGGAATGAGGGTGGAAAGTCAGTGAAGGAGAAGGAGGGAAAGAATCATCATCATTTCAGACGACGAAAAAAGAATTGGAAGACTTCAGAGAGTCGTGCCACCAAAAGACATGCCACCCCCGCCCAGGCCCATGAATTACTGTGTGGTGTGAATGCCAGAAGAGTGGTATCTCTCCACCCTGCTCCTTCCCTCGGAAGGGCCAGCCCTTGCTGCCCGCTGTGCCTGGACACAAAGACACTGGGTTGTGAGCCTTGATTGGACATGAAGACATCCAAGAGGTAGAAGACCTCCATGAGGTGCCCCTCATCACTTATCTCTGGCTGGTGGGGTAACAAAAAGATATGTTAACATCCAGCCCCAGAGTGTCTTATAGAATGAGAGTTCTCTTTGTTCAGGAAAATACTACCCTATACCTAAATAGCTTGGAGGAGGAGGGGAGACATTAGACTGCAAGGAGATGACAAAACCAAGAGGAAACCAGGCTCTTGTGCCTAAGAAGTTGATGGAAATTCTGAAATGGGCTCAAGGTGCAGGCAGCACCAAGGTGGAAGAGGCTGGAGAAAGAAGAGAGGGTACAATGCACATCACAGGGGAACCTGGAGCCTGCCAAGACAGAAGCCAGGGAGAAGCTTCCCGGGAGGAGGGGCCAAAAGACTGTGAAGCTCCTGGTTGCTCATACTTTCATTTTAAGTCATTTGCATTGCTAAGATGTAAGCTCCTTGCATTGCCACACCTTCCATAAAGCCTGAACTACATGCAGACGCCTTCGTTGATGTTTTTGTTTGTTGGCTTGTATTTTGTCTTTTGGAGAAGTAGGGGATCCAAGAAAAATGGACCCAGTTCCCAACCTAAGTTGGCAGAGCAGAAGCAGGGGTAGGGAGACAGGGCATTGAGTTCAAGATTCAGAGGAAGCTAAAGCTGACAGATTCCTGGAGATATTAGGAGGGTTAGTGGATTTCCACCATATTAGCATTGGATATTGCTGAGTATTTTACTTCCCCAAGCAGAGTGATACCCCCGCTGCATCCAGTAATTGGATTACATTTGTTTCTGGTTTTTATCTTGAACAAAATAGCATGGCATTTATAGTGCTGCAAAAAGAAAAAGAACTGCAGTTTATATTTCATAACTTAGACACTTGATTTTATTTACTATCATATTTCATATTCTATCATCGTGTCACAACTCTGACACCCTCCTTGGAAGATCAGAATGTTAACGGTAACATCCTTAAGGCAGGGGGTGGGTAAGGATGCTATAAGGAAGGGCAGATACAGCAGCTTTCAGGCTGTGGTTAGGCCACACACCTGTGTAGGGGCCAAGGTCTCACCTGATTGGTTTGGTAATTCCTGAAGTCCATCATGGAAAGAGGCAGTTCCTGAGTTAGGAATGGGGCCTGGGAAGATGGGACTTAGGAAAGCAGGAAAGGGAACTCTAGTTCCCTTGTGGTCCACCAAGAAGGCTCAACATGGCCAAGGCCCATTCTATTGGTTGAGGAGAGGTAAACAAAGGTGAAGTCAAGTGGCAACTCAGATTGATTGGCTGTGGCTTGCCTATTGGGAGGGAATTCACAGCTGTGTCTGGACCCAAGCAGAAAGGGTGCAATGAACAATTAATTATGTCTGCCATGGGATTGGGAAGAAGGGGAATAGGTATACATGCCATGTAATTTTTATCCTTGGTGTCAATAACAAAAAGTGTGTGCATGTGGCAGGAAGAAGGAGTTGCTTATCCCTGGAGCTAGTCTTTTACAGTAATTACAGAAAATCTTCCTCCAAAAGAAAAATAAAATTTGAACTAAAGGAGGAGCTAGTTATTCCAATGACTTCTCAACTCCTGGAAATGTTCCTCCCAGACTGATATATGGATGTTCAGGATCCATGGAATTTAGAGATGAGCGTTACTAGAAGAAAAGAGTGGTCAATAGTGCAAAGGTTTCTTAAGAGGTCAAGAAATACAAGAGCCAAAACAATTCCCATCTGATTTGGCAAAATGATGCAAATATTGAGGGCAAAGGCCAGTCTGCAGAGGAGTAAATGAGAAGGGAAAAGGAGGGACAAGGCTGGATGGAGCTTTCAAGATGCTGGGCTATGTTGATGGCATGGGAAATCTTACAGTGTGATGTGATTGATTGTTTTTCAAAGGTGGTTAAAAATTGTCTGCATGCATCATAATCTCAATTTATGTACATATTTGTAATATATGCATATGTGCAATACGTATTGGAAGAAGATGGAAAGGACATACATTAAAATCACAGTTAAAACAGGTAAATTTTCTTTCTTCTTTATTCCCTTCTGTATTTTCTAAGCTTTTAAAAATGATCGTGTGCCACGTATGGTGGCTTATGCCTGTAATCTCAGCACTTTGGGATGCCAAGGCCGGAGGATCATTTGAGCTCAGGAGTTCAAGACCAGCCTGGGCAACATAGAGAGACTCTGTCTCCATGAAAAAAAAAAAAAAAAAAAAATTAGCCGGGCATGGTGGCACATGCCTGCGGTCCCTGCAACTCCAGAGGCTGAGGCAGGAGGATCGCTTGATCCCAGGAGTTTGAGGCTGCAGTGAGCCATGATTACGTCACTGCACTCCAGCACGGAGGACAGAGGAAGATCCTGTCTCAAATAAAATTAAAAAAAAAAAAAAAAAGAAAAAAGAAAAAGAATGAAAGAAAAAAGAAAGGAAGAAAGGAAAAAAAAAAGAAGATTGTGTAAGGAATAGGCTGGGAGTAGAGTGACAAATGTCTCTGTTGCCTGAAACTGAGTGGGTTTCCAGGATGCGGAACTTTCAGGACTAAAATTGGGAAGGTCTTGGGCAAATATGAACAAGTTGGTCAACCTAGCTGGGAGGCTGAGGCCGACACAGCATAGAAGAGAGGTGTTTTTCTGGGGGAGGGGGTTGTTGGAGTAAAGAGATTTTGAGCATATTTGGAGGCTGAAAGGAAGAAACTATTAGATAGGGAGAGAGGCTGAATTTATAGGAAAGAGAAAAGAATAATTCCTACAGTGAGGTCAGTACGAAAGCTGTTGGGAAAGTGATCTGGCTTCCACAAGAGGAGAGAGGGTCTGCAATAGGAAGAGAAATGATGTTTCTTCTGAGACAGGAGGGCTAGAGGTAAGGGAAGACTGGCTACATATAAGTTTGTTGATACAGGGGAAAAAATGAGGGAGTGCACACTTGAGGGTTAGGAGGTCAGGTGAGGTTGAAATACCCCTAGAACACTTGAGGACCCTGAAAACCCTCTGTGCTGTCCAGACTTGGGTACCCCCCTCCCTGCTGGGGTGTAGCTTTGCCCTTTGAGACTGGATGTCACTGGAAGCTCCAGCATCACCTCCCAGCCACTGCCCCACTCTGTCAGACCCCTTGCTGGCCACCTACCTCTGCAGGAAGGCAGGGGGAAGTCCCACGTGGCGCTGTTCTCAGAGCCAGCGTGGCAGGTGAGCACGGCGTGGCCCTCCAGGAAGAAGCCAAGGTTGCAGCTGTAGCGGACCTTGTCACCGAGGTTGAAGGTTGAACCCTGCTGGATGCCATTGGGCAGCCTCCCTGGGTTCCCACATGTGTGGCTGGGGAGAACTGTGAGGAGAAACAGAGAAAGAGACGGGTACCCCGTGAGCTGGGCTGGAGCCCTGACACCGGGCTTCCTAGTAGCAACTCCCTAGGCCACTCGGGCTTCCTGGAACTCATTTCTTCTTCTGTGAACAGCATTGCCCACTGCTGATCTGCCCGCTTCTCAAGGCTGTAGATTCCCTGGGAATGGGTTACTCATAAGAGACAAGGGTTACTCAAAATCTCACACATGAGTTTACAACTGGATGTCCAGGTCTCTTGCCTTTTCTAATGCGCAGCCATGGATGTGAATTATGTTCATCCTGATCACTAGAGATGCAATTCCAGGAATATTACTTTAACCTCTTGGGCATGGCTGGCCTGATTTCAGACTCCACACTCCTCACTAAATACCATGGAAGGGACATAAGGCATGGCATAAGAGTAGGTGCTCATTAAATCCAGTGTCCTTTCTTTCATGTGTGATCCACCCTGGCAGCCAGAGGGGCACTTTGGCCCCGCAGGTTCAGGGGAGTTGAAAGGGTTGGATTAGGCAGAATAGGCAGTGAAGTGGGAAAACAAGAACCCGGGTTCTCATCAGCCTGACTGGTTTAAAGGGGGAAAATTGGGAGCCAGGAAACACCATGCACAGTGTGTGGCCAGAGCCAAGCAATCATGGTCACCTGCAAGTGTGCTCTCATGAGGCAGAGGAAATGGTCTTGGGGAAGGTGCAAGAGCACCATGACCTGGCAATAAGGAGGGAGGGAGGACACAGATTCTCTGTGCCCATAAGTCAGTCACCTGTTCTAACTGACCCAGCTTCCCCCTGCCCTCTGCCTTGTCCCCCAGAGTTAGAACTGCCTGTGCCTTAAAGGTCAACACCTCCTATCATTCTAGGATACCCCCATGGGGTGAGGAGTAGGGGTCTTAGTCATGCCCAGACTACCGTTTAAGTACCTCTCCATTAATCCACCTGGCAATGACTTATTGAGGCTGTCTCTGAGAGGCCATGCAGCCGGATGGTGGTAAGTGCAGACTTGGAAGCCACCGTGCTTGAGTTCACTTCCCAGCCTGAAATCTTACCACCTGTGGGACCGTGAGTAAGTCTTTTAACCTTTTTGCACTTTAGTTTCCTCATTTGTAAGATAGGGAGCTCAACAGCACCTTCCTTATATCAAAATAATTGTTGCAAGAATTAAGCCAGTTCAGGTATGCAAAGTGCTTAGGACAGAGCCTGATGTACAGTGAGTACAACGCAAGTGAATCTAACCCTCGGTACAGTGGGTGCTGTGCACAATTAATGGCACACTAAGAGTTATGATGGGACAGGAACAGGTAGGGAACCAAACCCAGCTGGGGGAGAGGTCAGAGATCACTTCCTGGAGGAGGTGACATCTCTGCAGAACCCTGGGAGATTAGTAAGACTTAGCTAAGCAAAAAAGAGCAAACAGCATGTGCAAAGGCCCTGAGGCCAGAGATAACCCAGGAGCTGAGGGAGCCTGGAGTAAAAGAGTGGGGTGGCAGTGATGGGGAAGTGGAAGTGGGCAGGCCTGGACTCTAAATGGCCCCCCTAGTCCTTGCAATACCCTCTTCCTGCCAATGTTGCTGTTAGTATCTGCCTTCCAGAACCCTCTACCAGCTCTGATGATCTCAGAACCCTCTGAAAAAAGGTATTCCCTCCCCCTTCCTCTCTTCCTCCTCTGAGAGGAAACAGCTCAGTGTAGAGGGTAATGGTAGACTTTGGAACCAGCCTGATCTGGGTGTGAAACCAGGTGCCATCATGTCTTATTCTGTGTGACCTTGAGTCACATGAACTCTCTGAGCCTTAGTTTCTTCAAATGAGAAAGGAGTGAGGCCAATAATATTTAGCGGTTGAGGGAGTTACCAATATAAATGCTGCATGCCTGGCACAACGCCCAGAACATAGTAGGTGCTCACAAAATGGCAAATGTTCTCATTCCATTGGGCCACAGGGCCATGAGGGCGTGGGCCTAGTCTGGTTCATAGGTATATCCTGGGAGACTAGCACAGTGCCTGGCACTTGTAGGGACATATGTGCATGTTCATTAATTAGTTATTTGGAGAGTTACTCATTCATGTATTAATTCCTTCATGCAACAAAAATTCATTGTGGGCTTACCGTGCTTGGCACAGTGGGGCCAGCCCTCAGAGGCTTATATTTTTGTGAGAGTGAATCTTAAAGACTGAAGAGCTCTTCCTTGCCCATTCTTTACCTGTGCCAAGTGAGATGATCTAGATGAAAAGATTTACCTCTATTGCCCTGTCCATTGGCCCAGCTTAGCATTTCCCATGATCCCACACTGCTAGTTTACTTAGCATTTCCCATGATCCTGTGCTGCTGGCTTACTTAGCATTTATCATATTCCCCTGCTGCTGGCTTGCCTGGTGTTTCCCATGATCCTGTACTGCTGCTGGCTTACTTGGCATTTCCCATGATCCCCTGCTGCTGGCTTACTTGGCATTTCCCATGATCCCATGTTGCTGGCTTACTTGGCATTTCCCATGATCTCACACTGCTGGCTTATTTGGCATTTCCCATGATCCCCTGCTGCTGGTTTACTTGGCATTCCCTATGATCCCATGTTGCTGGTTTACTTAGCATTTCCCATGATCCCATGTTGCTGGCTTACTTGGCATTTCCCATGATACCATGTTGCTGGCTTACTTGGCATTTCCCATGATCCCCTGCTGTTGGCTTACTTGGTACTTCCCATGGTCTCCTGCTGCTGACTTACCTGGTGTTTCCCATGATCCTGTACTGCTGCTGGCTTACTTGGCATTTCCTATGATCCCACACTGCTGGCTTACTTGGCATTTCCCATGATCCCCTGCTGCTGGCTTACTTGGCATTTCCCATGATCCCACACTGCTGGCTTACTTGGCATTTCCCATAATCTCCTGCCGCTGGCTTACTTGGCATTTCCCATAATCCCATGTTGCTGGCTTACTTGGCATTTCCCATGATCCCTTGCTGCTGACTTACTTGGCATTTCCCATCATCCCATGCTGCTGGCTTAGTTGGTACTTCCCATCTTTTGCTCTTGGCTTACTTGGCGTTTCCCGTGATCCCCTGCTGCTGGTTTACTTGGCATTTCCCATGATCCCATGCTGCTGGCTTACTTGATACTTCCCATGATCTGCTGCTGACTTACTTGGTGTTTCCCATGATCCTGTACTGTTGCTGGCTTACTTAACATTTCCCATGATCCCACACTACTGGCTTACTTGGTACTTCCCATGATCCCCTGCAGCTTGCTTATTTGGTGTATCCCATGAGATCCCATGCTCCTGGCTTATTTAGCATCTTCTATGATCAGTCCCTGCTGCTGGTTCACTTGGCATTTCCCATGATGCCCTGCTGCTGGCTCACTTGGTGTTTCCCATAATCCTATGCAGGTGTCTTACAGCAGAGGCAATGACTGTGATGTGTGTGTGCTTATGAGTGTGGGGTGGGAAGGGCAGGTCAGGTAAACATTTGGAGAAAAAAGCAAGCTAAGGTGAGGGGAGGGAGCCAACTAGGGGAAATGAGCTGAGAACTGGTGTAGAACTAACGTGTCATTTTCCGCAATGAGACGCAAAGACCCAATTTAATTAAATTACTAATGTCAAATTTTTAATGAACCTGCTTCTGCTTTGGGCTTTCTTCCTTCGAAATTAATGACTGGAACATCACTATAAATAAAAGTCGATTCTTCTTAAAAAGTCACTCTCAAAAGCTCACTGCTCTTTACTTAATGAGCTGTTCACAATCAGACCACTCTGACCTGATGCTTCCATTGGGACCTGGGTGTAATGAATGGGGCTCATTTCCAACCCCACCTGCTTTTTTATGCCAAGCTCCACTCCTGAGAGGTCCCACAGTGGATGGAGAAAGGCCAGACTTTAGGCTCAGAGAGACATGGGTTCAAATCCCCGATCTGGCTGCGCAATCTTGAGCTGTAAACTTTCCCTCACTGGCCTTCAATTCTTCAGAAACTGGGGATACTTTTTCATCCTGTAAGGGTGTTTTCATTTGCTAGGACTCCTGTAACAGCACCACAAACTAGGTGGCTGAAAACAACAGAAACTTATTTTCTCACAGTTATGAAGGCTAGAAGTTTAAAATCAAGGTGTCAGCAGAGCCATGATCTCTTTGAAACTTGTAGGTGAATCCTTCCTTTTCTCTTCCTAGCTTCTGGTGGTTTGCTGGCAATTTTTGTTGTTCCTTGGCTTGCAGATGCGTCATTCCAATCCTCTGTCTTCACACGGTGTTCTCTTGCTTTGTTTCTGTGTCTGAATGTCCCTTTTTTATAAGGACACCACTCATATTGGATAGGGTACACATCCTAATGACCTCATCCTAACTTAATCATCTGCAAAGACCCTGTTCCAAATGAGGTCATATTCACAGGTACTGGGGGTTAAGTCTTCAACATAGCTTTTAGGGAGACACAATTCAACTCATCACAGGGCTGTTGCGCAGATTAAAATTCAACTTATAATACCTACCCCTGAGTGCCTAGTACGTTTCAGGTCCTGGACTAAAAGCTTATTTTACTTTTAGTCCAGGACCTGAAACATACCAGGCACTTTATCTTGTGGGATATGGAGTATCCTCATTTTACAGGTGAAAAAAAAACAGGCACAGAGAGCTTCATTCACTTGCTTGCCCAAGGCCAAACAACTAGAAAATGGCAGAGCTAGGTTGAGGACCTCGGTCTTTCTGCCTCCATTGTTCAGCACTCTGGAATGTGAGACTGCTTCTGACAGAGGCAAAGCATCCAAGCACATAGTGGGTGCTTAATAAACAAGAGTTCCCTTACTCCTTTCATCATTCTAGGCACTGCAATAAGATGAAGAGAGATTACCCGACTGTCCAGATTTAATAGTCTGATTTTTTTCCCAGTCTGATTTGCCAGTCCTGTACTTTTTAATAATGTCAAGGGCAACATTTAAAGTGTGGTCTTTTGTTATGTGTCTAATGTGCAACCTGCTGGACAGACATAGGAGATTGGAGATAAGCTACAAAGCGAATCCTTTCTAAGGCACCGTGTTCTTTGATTTTTTTTTTTAGAATGTCCGTGTATTTTTTAGCACAGATACTATAACCGTTCATGCTCTCCCATCTATAAAGCTTCCCTTTGATTGCTTACCAAATGAAGAGGGGGATATTTACATCCAACGCAGCCCAGAACAATATTATTAAAGCAGTGCCTGACATTGAACAATTCCATTGTAGATTAGCTGTGGGGAATTTTTGTCTCTTCTACAAAGCCCGACTCTTGCCAATCAACGTAATATTCTCAGTGATTGCATGACAATGAATCTCCTCTGTGGCTGAAGTGCAGCAAAAGCTACATCATGCCTTCTTTTATTTTTAATTTGAGACTTTGGTTCCCTTATTATAATGAAGAGTCATTTATGCTCTCTGGACAAGCACCCTCCATATGTTTTGATTTCTTCTCTTCCATCAAGTAACTTGTTTCATCTCCATGGCCATACGATTGATACCAAGTGGTAGGCTAGTTGGGAAGAAGAATTCAGGGAGAAGGATTTAGTCTTCCCACAATCCTCATCATGGAAAGAAGAGAAGGTGATGCCTGTGTACGTGTGTCCATATGTGTGTGATCTGGGGGCAGTGGGCAGGATCAGGGAGGGAAGAATAAAAACTACTCTTTTTTGAGTCCCAGATCTGTGCTAGGCACTTCTGCATCATATATTAGCTTACTTAATCTTTACGACTCCCTTATTTTTAGCGGTTTGGCCTTTTAAACATAATTCATAGCATACTTACTCTGTGCTATCCTTAATGTCAAGTGCTTTTCATATATTTCCATCCCCAAAGAGTTTTCTATACTTGCTGTCTCCATTTCCTCTCCATTCAACTGATATATATTTATATTTTATTATACATGAGATATATAATTATACATTTTATATATGTCATATATAAAGTTAATATACTTCATATACTACAAATGATATGTATTTTTGCTTGATACATCCATCTGTTTATTGTTAGTCTCACCTTGCTACAGTGTAAGCTCCATAAGGACAGGCATTTTTTGGTCTTTTTTGTTCAACGCTGTTTCTCAGTTCCAAGAACAGTGCCTGATGTATAATAATAACTTCATAAAAGCTTACTGAGAGACTTAATGATCTTATTTAATCCTCCCAACAACCTATCGAGAGAGGTGCTATTATTATCATCACTTGTTGAGATAAGCATAGTTGCCAGAGATGTTGGAGCATTTATCCAAGGCCACGTAGCTCACTGCAGGGGCAGAGGCAGGTTTTCACATCACTGTCTGGGATTCCACATTTCTGCCTGCAATAGGCCATTCTTGCACAGTCCATTCCACAGGAAGTCCATAGTGACTACTGTACCTTGAAACATTCTCACAAGGAATTCACATGCATTCTCCTGAGGGAGAGGATTTGGGGTGACAACCAGGCAAGCTGACCTCTAGGTTGGTCCTGTATATTTCCTGCTACCTGTCAATCAAATAGAGGCAGAGGTGCCAGGGCATCAGATGGAGGATGCCACCCACAACTAGTCAGAGGGCCCCGCCCTGCTGGGCTTTGCCCTAACCATTGTCAGGCAGAAGCCCTCCGCCATAAGCCTATTCTCTCGACTCATGTTTGTGATTCTGCAACCTTCAGCATCATGGTTATGTGGAAAGTTTTATAAAGATACTGATGCTTAGACCCTGTCCCTAAACCTGCTGAATCATAACGTGAGAAACAGAGCCTCGGCTGCTCCAGGAGACTGAAAAGCTGAGATTGAGAACAACTCCCACTAACCTATTCATGTAAGTTATTCCACTGGCCCAGCTGGGTTTATCTCTCTGAGCTTTAACTGCTCAATCTCCAGGGCCTTTCTTGTTTTTAGGTTTTTACTTCTGACAGCAGCAAATGTGGCCTCTCTCCTAGAGTTTCCTGTCCTCCATAAACCACACTAGCCCTATAACTTCCTTCTCATTTGAAGACCCTCATGGTCTCTTCCCTGGACTTCTGTGCCCAACTCTGATCTTCTCACTGCTGGCCTTGCCCTCTCCAGTGCATTGTCCTCAGCAATGCTGGAGCCAGCATTCTAGAATGACAAATTCACCATGGCCATGCCCTATTGACCCTGCCAGGAGCCCACATTATAAAAGTAAGTTCCTTACCACCAAGGCACAGGCAAACACAGAACCTATGGTCTTCTGGGTGACTCTCATGAGAATACATAATAATTTGAAAGATTAATTTTTAAAAAAAGGAAATAAAAAGAAAACCTTAAGAACCTCTCTGTTGCCATCAGTACGAATTAAAGCTTAGGCCTAGGCTGCCCCCATCCTTGTGATCTGACTGTTGCTGACGTTTTTTCTGCCTTCTCTCATCTTGTCCTCTCTACCTTTTCTCTCAAATTCTTCATCTGGCAAACTCCATCAAAGCCACACTTAAATGTCACCTCCTCCGTAAAGCCCTCCTTGATACCCTAAGTGTCTTGTATAACCCATAAGATCCCACAAGAACACATCTTGATTGACTATAAATACTGTCACAATGTCATTGGCAATTGGCTGTTAGAATCCTGAATCTCCTGGCCCATGAAATAGGCAGGCTCCCTCTGTTCATTTTGTTAATGTTGCAATCTCACAAGCCCACATTTTACATGATTGGGTTTTTTTGGACCCCATCTAAGGAGTTACGTGGGGGTTTCCTTGCGCTTCAATTCCTGCACTTTGTTGTACATTGTAATTCATTCATTCATCCACTTATAACACCCTGGCTTCCAAACAGGAGCTGAGCCTGCTTGTTGTAATTGTTTCTTTAGGTGTCTATTTTCATCTCTGGACTCCTTGAGGGGCAGGAACAGTGCTGTATTCTTTATATATCTAGCATTTGATTTCATGTCTGGCAGGAAGCGAGTGCTTAGTTGAAGCCGGAATGTGTTGAGTGAATTAAATATATATGTATACATAATAAAATATATATTATATATTAATCAGAATTACACACACACACACACACACACACACACACACACACGAAGCAATAAATAGTGTAAGAATTGGCAAACATTTTCCATACAGGGCCAGATAGTAAATATTTTTTGGCCTTGCAGGCTATATGGTCTCTGTCACAGGGACCTGATTTTTTCCATGCAGTGTGAAAGCAGCCACAGGCAATATGTGTTCTAACCAAACTTTAGTTATAAAAATAGCCAGCTGACCCACAGACCACAGTTTGCTGACCCTGAACTAGTGTTTATTCAGTTATGTACTTATGTGAGGCATATGATTCATATCTCAGGAACGCCCCCCCCCCAACTCCTGTGATAAAAGCAAGTGAGGAAAGCTCAGTTTTGATGGGAGTCAACGATGGGAAGGGACTGTGGGGCGAGTGGGCTGCACCAGGGAAGGTGCTGGACAGAGGTGACTAGCAGGTACTGGAAGAGACAGGCAGGTGGCACTTGAAGATTGAGACCTACATCAAATTTCCTTTTCCCTACCATTTGGCCCTGGGGACAGGTGGGCATTGTGCTGACTGCAGGGAAGGGCTTGTGTATTTATAGCCTCCACCCTTCCCCATTAAAATAGGATTCATTTTTAGTCTTTATAGCTAATCTTTAGGTTGGTAAAGATGACCTCATTTTACCAAAGAGAGAGTTGAATTTAGAGATCCGAAGGGTCACACAGCTAGTAGGAGTAGTGAAAGTAATAATAGTCACGGCTTGAGTGTTTACTATGAGCTGGGCACATTGCTTAGCATTCTTCTATTTCATCTTATGCGGACGGAGGTACTACAACTGTCTCCTTTTTACAGGGAGGAAACTGAGGAACAGCCGGGCTAACTCTTACCCGGGGCTACAATGCAGGTTGGGATCAAAGCTGGGGTTAAAACCCAAGCTGCTTGATCTAAGGGCTGTGCCTTTTACCATGTTGTAATCTTGATCTCCCAGGATTCAAGACCCTTGTTTGTTTCACTGCTTCCCCAGTGTGGAGTCCATGCTCTTGGTAACTTCAGAGTTCCTCTCCTTGCCAGGCCTAGAGGATTCCCAACCCACATCCAGTCAGAGCTCTCCTTGGCCCCTTTCCTCCAACCTAGACTAGCTGGGGCTGCAAAGACATCCATCATTGCACCAGAGGGGCCACAGAGAGGCTGTCAGAACAGAACTCTCCTTGCTGCTTCCTAACCACAGAACCCATGGCTTCCTCTCTTCCACCTGGGATTCTTTAAAGAAGCACCACCAAGAAGGAAACATCATAGGCCCCAGAATAGAGCTGCCAAGTAAAATATAGGACTCCCAGTTCGATTTGAAGTTCAGAAAAACACAAACCCTTCTACAGTATAAGGATATCCCTTGGGATATTTGGAATATGCTTATACTAAAAAGACTTTGTTATTTGAAATTCAAATTTAACTGGGTTTCTTGTATTTTAATTTGCCAATTTGGGCAACCCTGACCCAGAGGGAAGAGGTATCTCTTCTGCGTCAAAGACTTCAACCTCTTAAAAAGTTGGGGCCATTTCTCTGGGGAAATGGGGCAGAGGAAAAGGGGAAGAGCTAGACCCTGCCTTTAAGGAATTTAATATTGAGCTGGAAGAGTGGATGCAGAGGGGGATGTTTCAGGGCCTCCTAGGGTAGGACCTGAGAAGGTTTGGGATACAGCAAGATTGCAGGGGAGCAGGGAGCCACATTGCCTCCTTCCTGCTCCTGTCACTCTCTAAGGGAAGTTCAGTTTTTCCAAACCAGTAACACGTGCTGCCCCTGTTTCAGAAGACTGTGGCAAGCCTTGGTCCCTTGGAGGAAGAGCATTAGGCTGGCACCAGGTCCTTCATCCTGCGGCCTATGTGAACCTCTCCAGCACCTGCCCTGCTGCCCCCTGCTCAGCCCGATCTGCCCCGACAGCACCCTAGCCCAGGGATGATCAAATATATCTAGACAGAAAAACACATGGAAAATAAGTGGTACCCTATGGTGAAACATGGCTAAATACTGTTAGTATTAGGCTTAGAATAGCTAAATATGCAATTTGAGGCTAAATTTGATTAATTGCATAGTGGGGTAGAAAATTATTTTCCGGTGTGTTCTATGATACACTGGCTGAGAAATAAACTTAATAAGAAAAACATTCAGTGTGTCAGGTAATTTTAAAAAATACAACAGAAACTCCCTCCCTCTTGAAGAAACCAGTGCTCACAAGTTTATCTGAGAGTTTCTGCAGGAGAAACCTGCTTAACCTTGCTTAATCCAGAATTTCCAAAAATTTGACTACATAATCACTGCCCTGACTTTGGAACTTTACTCTCAGTAATGCCTAATAAACTCTGAATTGTTCTGCGAAACACATTTTGGGAGGTGTTGGATTCTGGAATAAGATAAACCTGAGTTGCTTTACTTTCTGTACTAGTCATTATGAAAATAAAACAACAATAGCAAGGGTACTTGACGTTTACATAGAACTTTCCAGGTTAATGTGAAAATGTTTTTCTTGACAAACATGTCTCCCACTGGAACATGCAAACAACTGTTTGTTCTGGGGGCAGGATTGGCCTAAGGTCTTCTATGACCCATTGGCTAGTAACTTGTGGTGGTAAAATCAATTCTTACAAAAGAAGTAAACTTGTCACTTCCAGAGGAATGTAGCATGTTAAGAAAGGACAAAGAGGACAAAGAGATACCTTCTTTCTTTTCATCTGACAACTTTTTTTTTTTTTTTTGAGACGGAGTCTTACTCTGTCGCCCAGGGTGGAGTGCAGTGGCATAATCTTGGCTCACTGCAACCTTCACCTCCCAGGTTCAAGCGAGTCTCCTGCCTCAGCCTCCTGAGTAACTGGGATTACAGGCGCGCACCACCCACCATGTCCAGCTAACTTTTTTTTTTTTTTTGTATTTTTAGTAGAGATGGGGTTTTTACCGTGTTAGCTAGGCTGGTCTCCAATTCCTGACCTCAAGTGATCCACCTGCCTTAGCCTCCCAAAGTGCTGGGATTATAGGCATGAGCCACCCCGCCCGGCCACCTGACAATTTTTATAGCAGGATAGGTTTTCTGTTTGTCTGGGTCAGAATGACCCTCAGGCTTTGGGAGGTTTATGGCCAGGGCTGCCATGTTTGGCCCACATCCCTGTCCAGCTGCAGATAGAATGTCATCTCCTATGGCCTCAGCCCTGAACCAATCCTGGCAAAGGAGCTCAAAGAGGAGGAGGCTCTGAACCTGGCTGGAGGGTCCTGCCTTGAGGCTGGGGTTTATAACTATTGGTGAGGCTGCACACCTGGAAGGTTACTCTATCCCTTGCCAGGGCTGTCCTAACAGACTGCATAACTAGCCTTGTTATCTCCTTAACCTCCCCCAGGGTGGGAGCCCTGCTCTGGGCCAGGCTCTGCTGCCCCTGCCCAAGGCTGAGTCTTAGTCCCCTATATCCTGCTGGCTGGTAGGGAAGTATTGCCTTGAGGACCTGCATTACTTGGGATGCCCATAATGATGTCCCACACATCAACTAATCCCTTAGACAACAGAACTCCAGAGCCCCTATTTCCTCCACTTGGCTCCCCGTCCACGGCCCTGAAGCCCCAGCACACCTCACAGCCATCTCTCTTAAGGCAAGAGACAGCTGAACTTGTATTTTACTGGAAGAAGCACCATGTTCCCAAGGCTCCAGACCCACGGCCTCTCTCCTTCCAAGAAGAGTTAGACAGAGGGGCCCAAAGAGGAACTGAGGAAGAGGCGTCTGACCACCATCAACCACCTTCTGCAAATGATGGTGAACAGGGCGACTGCAAAAGACAGGGATTCAACGTGTGGTGCACTTGAGTTCCCGTAGGGTGTCCTGTGAATCCTCATCCTCCTCACTTCCTCCTTCAGCATAAGCACCATCGCTTACGGACCACTTCTATGACAAACTTCACACTTAATCCTTTCTCATTTAATGCTCATAATAGCACTGAGGTGGATACTGTGCCCATTGGACAGGAGAGGAAACTGAGGCGCAGAGAGGGTGAGTCACTTGCTCACATTCACACAGCATGGAACCAGGGGAACTGGGGTGTACACCTAGTCAGCCTGACTTTGGCACCTTCTTTCTTAGCTGCTGTAGAAGTGAAGGAAGAGTTGGTGAGTCATAAGACTATCTTGCTGGCTACAGAGTCTGCTTTGAGGCTTTGTTTCCTACAGGTCTCCCTAACTGGGCCAAAGATGGTACTTGGTGAACATTTTGCAGTTTGAGGATCAGGAACAGTAGGAAAGGAGAGCCCCTGCCTCATCCATTAATTTTCACTCATCTCTGGAGTCCAACTACTTCTCCAAAGGCTTCATGGAGGACCCTGTGCAGGGGGAAGCCATCTGTTCAGGTCCTCTGAAGTCATAGAGGCAGGTGGTAGAATGGACTCTACCCTCTGCCTTCTGCCCTGGACAAGCTCCTTAATTGGAAGACCCAAAAATGTCTTACACAGAAACACAGGCATACTAACACACACTCACACTCAACATGCACAAATCCATCCATTCACATCCCCTTTACATATTCCCCTTTACAAGAGACATGCACACATGTACATTCTCATACACATAAACATGCATATATAAAAACAGGCAAATTCAGGATGCGTCTGAACACAGCTCTTACATTCACACACATGACAATGGATACAACACACTTACTCTCCCACACATTTGAATAAACCACTCATGTTTATGTACAAGCCACGTCCATCTCAAGATACCGATCCATTTCCATATAGCCTCTTTGGATTAATAAACTTTTGCACAGGTATCTCTTTATACAACCAGAACAGCCCTCAGAAGCCAGTGTTATATCACACACTCATGGGGCCTGCCTGACACTTGTGTTTAAGCTCCTGTTTTCCCAGACACAGTACAGAATGCAGGGATAGAGGCGCAGAGGTAGATCTGACCCTAGAGACGCCTCAAGCATCTGCTGGCTCAGTCTGTGATTTCAGAGGTAGGGATCAAGGGCTGTCAGGGTCAGGGAGACACAGGGCATCATGGTCCAGAAAATGTCTCTGGTGTCCCATAGACCTGGGTGTGAATTCCATCTGTGCCTCTCCTGGCTGTGGGTTACTGGTTGTATAACAGGTATGGATTAGGAGAGTGGACTCTGGAGCTGTACTCTGGGTTCATGGTCAAACCCCAGCACTGTTACTTAAATAGTAAGCTACTTCACCTTCCTGCATCTCAGCTTCCTCAGCAATAAAATGGGGGTAATAATCGCACCCAGCTTAGAGAGCTGTTGAGAGGATTAAGTCCAATAAACCAGGCAAAGTGCTTATCTCAGTGTCTGACACACAGGAAGTGCTCAATAAGTTTAGGATGTGATTACATATAAGCCCCTGGATTCCCTGGGAGAAGATGCCAGGGCAGTGTGGGAGAGGCTGGAGCTGAAAAAGAGAGAAGCCGGGTACAGTGGCTGGGGAGGGCAGATGGCCCCAGGAGCCAGAACATGGGATGCACCCTGGCTCTGCCAGGCAGGCGGCATCCCTTAGACCTACACTGCTCTTGTTGAGCCAGGGAGCGGTCTGTTGCTTTGAATTCTAAAGACCTCCCGTACAGCCTAATAAGAATCATTCGTGAATAGTCCTACCCAGCTGCAAACTGAAATGCAAGAGGAGACCCTGTGTATCAATGGACTCAGACCTTGTCCCCTCTCTGATCCTCGCCTCAGCTGCCCTGTGCTGCCCTGGCTCACCAGCCAGTGGCTCACAACTTCAGGGATGAGGGGAAGGAATAATTTGGAGAAGTTTCCTGGAAGAGGCATTTGGTATGGTCTTGACAGAGAAGGAAGGATGTTCCAGAGACAAGAAGTGGCACATGGCCAAGAGTACAGAAGCCCCCACTGCTTGCTTTCCAGGCTCTTGTTCCCAGGGTTAGTGACTCCTAACTTCCTGTGTGCAAAATCCCAGCCCAGACCTTCCTCCTGACTCCAGACCCCAAGTCTTGCTACTTTCGGGCTTCTCTAAGTGAAAATCTCAGAAGTGCCTCCAACTGCACATGGCCCAAATTACTCTCCTGCCCTTGCCCCAAACCCATCTCTCCCCTGGGTTCCTTGCATCTGGGACTGGCCCATCATCCAGCCAGCCATCCAAGCTGAGACCTCATCTGGTCTCACACCCAGTCTCTTGAATTACCTTCCTTCCATCTCTCATATCTGCCCCCACCCCATTGCTCAGGCTCCAGGACCAGGCCCTACCCTATCTCAGTTTCTTCTCTTGGACTTGGAGATAGCCTCCTCATTGTTCTGTCTTCAGACTTGCCCCAATCCAACCCATTCTCTAAACAACTAGTAGGATCATGGCTCTTCCCTCCTAAAAGCGCTTCAGTTGGTGTCAAGCTCTAGAATATCACTCAAGGTCCTCCATGAGCTAGCCCCACCCATGTCTCCAACTGTACGTACCCGTCTCCTCCTCACACCCAATGTTCCAGCAACAATGGCTCTCCTTATTTCTCCTCCAGCAGAGAGAGAGAGAGAGAGAGAGAGAGAGAGAGAGAGAGAGGAGAGTTTGTGTCTATAGTCATGCTGGTGTGTTGGTGTTACATGAGCATGTGTGTGTCTATATATGCATGTAAACTGCATAACTATGAAATGTGTGGGTATGTGGGTATGTGCAGGGACATGGCATGTGGGTATTCAGGTAGGAGAGCCTGTTGAGGATGGGCATTGAGGGAAACGTGGTTGAGAAGCCAGTGGTTGGCATAGTTGGGCAAGATGACATTTACAGCAAAGGCTAGGCTACTGACAGGCCCAGGAACTCAAGGCCTGGGAGTTAGGTGTTACCAGGCCCTAAATCTCCCCAGGTGAAAAAGAGGGAGCTGCACTCCACACTCTCTAGACCTGGCCTGCAACTGTCCTGGGGCACAGGTCATATGCATAGAAGAAGCCTTATGCCATGTCCCTGGGTATCTTGTCTCCCTCCTTCCTATTCAGCCAAGGATTGGGATGCGTCTGTCTTCATGTCTCTGAAGAGCTGCTGTTGACCTCATTGTTCCACCATGGTGATTGTTCACCAAAGATAGAAAGCTGTTAATTCCAGCTCCTAACTGATTACAGCATTGAGTCGGGCATCATCCAGAACCTTGGGTGTTTTTCTAGACACCTGAGAACCCCAATTTCTCTTTCCCCTTGGTCCTCTATCTGACAATCTGACCCACAGTCATTCCTGACTGACATTGGCCAAGTCTCCAACCTTCCACCCTCTTTTCCCAGGCCAGTCTGTTAGCACACATCTCCAGGGCTGGAGAGAGGCTGCGGAAGCCAGCCTGGTTCTCTCTTCCCTCCCTTGAGCAATGAGACAAGAATTTGTCTAAATGTTAGGGACATTGCACTCCATTCTGTCATCTGTTCAAGAGGCACATGGCTTACTGGAGCTGCTCATTCATTAACTCATTCAACTGGTGTCTTCACACCTTGGTGGTTTGCTGGGATCTGATGATGAATGTCCTCCCTGCCCTCATTATGCTTACACTCTACAAAAGGTGCTCTTGTATTTAAAAAACTATCAGAGCCCATCCCGGGCTGCAACCCCTAAGAAGAGGTGAGGCCAAATGACCTTTAAGGATAGGCTCTGTGTCAAGCAATTATGCCAGCCATTTACATCGTTGACTGCCAAGAAAAATCAATCTCTTCCCTGGCTTTCTCCCACCTACCCCCTCGCCCGTCCTCCACTTCAGGTTCCCTGCCAGGCTCACTTCCTTCTCCAATCCTCGCTCCAACACTCACCTGCCTATAAAACAAACCCAGGCACCATCCTTAAGCTTCTTGTGACTCTTTGATGCCGGCAGAAGAAACTGTCTACTTCTTAGCAAGACATTTAATGTCCTACACAATCTGGACTCAGCCATCTGTCCAGGTTTTCCTCCCGCTACTTCCATCCCTACCACACCCTCAACCACGCACACTCCTGCTCCTTCGTCACCTCTCCTTCTGTGATCTCTCCTTTGTGCCCTTTCACGCCCCTTGGCCTCTGCAGTTGCTGGCCCCACCTCTGAAGTACTCTTGTGATTTTCATCATCTGGCAAATCCTTCTCAACCTTTCAAGACTCAGTTCAAATGTCACCTCTGGGAAGACATCCCCCTCTCCTCCGTGGAGCCAAGTGGTCCAGTGTGCTTTGTACACACCTCCATGGACACTCAGCATGGTGGGGAGGCCACAGGAGCCAAGGTAGAGAGAAGGAGAAGAGCAGTTAAGGGCTGAGTCCTAGGAAACTCTGACCAAGAGGCTGTGATGACCCCAAGTATCTTGAGAATGAAAACTTGGCTGGCAATGTGTGAAATGCCACCAAGATAGCTAAAGCCAGAACAGGACTGAACAGAGCTGTTGAATTTGATGGTCCAGTTACAGAACCAGTGGTATTAAGCAGAGGAAAACTAATAGAGCAAAGAGGTAGAGGTCTGAATAAGAATAACAGTAGTGATGGTGGATAATCTTCAAGTACATGAAGTTCTTCTCTGCCCCAGGGCCTTTACACAATATTCCCTGGCCCAGAAGTTCTCTGTCTTCCATTCTGCATTGCTCATTCATGATCGTTTTTCAGCACTCAACTCAAATGTCACCTCCTCAGAGAAGCCTACCCTGACATTTAATCCAACCTCAGCTATTCTGCCTCACCACCCTTTATTATACCTTCAGACATTTAATCCTGACATTTA
Organism: Homo sapiens; assembly: GCF_000001405.40. NCBI lineage: Eukaryota > Metazoa > Chordata > Mammalia > Primates > Hominidae > Homo > Homo sapiens. Next base: position 33,952,577 of record NC_000001.11, read on the forward strand.
ATCCAACCTCAGCTATTCTGCCTCACCACCCTTTATTATACCTTCAGAGCATTTACAGTCATGAGTAATCATTTTATGTGGTTCTTGTTTTTGTTGTTTACACACACACACACACACACACACACATGCACACACACAAACATTTAAGCTCCATGCAAACAGAGACCTTGTCTGACTTTTTTCACTTTTGTATCCCAGCATATAGCACAGTGGCCAGCACACAGTAGACACGCAAAAACTATTTCTTGAATCAACGACTCTATGAATGAATGGATGTATAAATGAGTGGATGGATGACAACCTCAATGAACTTAGCTTTCTGTGAGATTGTCAGCCATATGTTTACTGAACTCACGTCACAGGGCTTCTGTTCCTTAAACATTCCGTAAGGCATTGGGCACCAGCAAATGTTTGCTGGATGGCTGCACGTGGCAAAAAAAGTCTAGCTCCACCAAAATTCCATCTTCCCTTCTTGGGGCACACAGCTAGACAACCTTTCCTAGACCTCCCTGCAGTTAGGTGGACCATGGGCAAAAGTGATACAGGCCATGGCCAGGCTTAGCCCATAAAAACCTCCATGCAGCCTCCTGCATGTTCTTCCTACATTGGCTGGATGTTGTTGATCAGACCCAAGGGGATGTGTGTCTCCAAGGTGGAAGGAGGCTTTATCCCTGAATTTCCAGGTGGAGTAGAGCTCCCCACCATATTAAACACCTGCCCAGGACAGATACATGAGCAATAAATGAATTTAAATTTGCAGAGCCATGGCCTACCCATTCTCTGCTACACAGCCAGAACCAGCTTCTCTCACATGCCCCTGAATCCTCGCACAGTCTGTCTGTCCTGCAGCCTCAACCTGTGCCAACTTGCAACGTTTCCATGATGCCTACAGCCCAGCTGACCCAGGAACCTGCCCTCTCTAAGCTTGCAGTAGAACCCAATCTCTGTAGCTCATAGTCCTTATAGAGTCTGTAGCTTTTTCTGAGATCCATGGGCTAGAATCCAAGTGGGTCTTTACCAGTTTGGAGTCAGGGATCTTTTGAGAGAAGATAAAACACATGGACCCTCCTCCCAGGAAGAAAGGAGCCACAGGCCCCCGAGTTCAGGCATAGATTCCTAGTGCTTTTGCCCAGCATGGCTCACCTGACAGCCCCATTCCAAGCTTAAAATGTCCCTGCCAGAAAAGGGCCTTGCCTGTTCAAGCTGACCCTGCTCCCTGAGAGATACGGATTGATTTTATTGACTCAGGAGCCAGCTATGAGCATGTCCAAAATTTATCAGACTAGCCTTCATTTGCAGGGCACTTCCCATGGATAAGGGTACAAGCCCAGTGCTCAGAATCCCAGTACCACTGCCCAGTGATTCTGGTTCCCTGCCATGCTCACTCCCTTCTCCAATCCCCCATGCTATCATGGTACCTCGAGCAAGTCCTTTCCCTCCCCAAGACTCAGTTTCTTCATCTATAAAGAGGATAATAATATAACTACCCCTTAGGGTTGCTATGTGGACCCAGGCAGATAATCCATGCAAGGCACCTGGCACAGACCTAGGGCTAGTATTATCTCCTTCAACCCCCTCCCCTGAGAGTCGAAGTAGGTATAGTACTATCATGATCTTGTTTCTACAAATGAGGAAACGAAGACCGCAGAAATGAACTAACTTGCCCTAGGTCGTAAACCTTGTAAGTAACAAGCCTGGACTCAAACCCCTAAACTTGACTGCCTTCCACAGCTGATTGGTACTGGGTTGCTATGGAAACCTGTAGGGCCCAGGGTAAGATCTAGTGGAGGCCAAGTGAGGGGTATGGGGGTGGCAGTTCTGTTGGTGGTGGGGGGAGGGAACACTGACTTAACTCCGGCCATCCAAATACCCACAATTATACAATTGAGGGTAGCCAGGGTTAAGTCAGCCTCCGGTAAAGGAGAAGGAGGTATGTTCATAGGAGCACTATCACAACAGCCAAGCGGGAGAAGCAACTCCAGTGTCCATGATGGGTGAATGGCTAAACAAAACATGGTACATCCGAACGACGGAATGTTATTCAGCCTGACAAAAGACGGGAATTCTGACACATACTACACAGCATGGATGAACTGTGAGGACATCATGGTAAGTGAAATGAGCCAGTCACAAAAAGAACAAATACTGTATGATTCCACTTATATGAGACACCTAGAGTAGTCAAACTCATTGAGAAAGAAAGCAGAATAGAGGTTACCAGGGGCTGGGGGAGAGGGAAAAGAGGAGTTAGTACAGACTAAAGGGTCAGAGTTTCAGCTTGGGAAAATGAAAAGGTTCTGGAGATGGATGGCGGGGATGGTTATACAACAATGTGAATGTACTTAATGCCAATGAACTAACTCCACACTTAAAAATGGTTAAGATAATGAGTGGTGTTATGTGTATTTCACCACGATTGAAAATAATAATTCTTTTAAAAGGAGGAGGAGGTCAAGGTGTTCATTTATCACCCGTGGACCCTGTCTCGCCATCCCAAGGAGGAAGAGAGGACGATCCCGAGTAGAACGGGCTGCTGGGCCACACTGCCCGGATCCCCATCTGCCTTTCTCCTGCCTCATTTCCAATTCCAGAATTATTCATCATCAAGGAGCTGCCAGAGATGGAATGTGAATTAGGAGCTCAGCTTGATTTTGTTTTATCTTATTTTCCCCCACGAGGCGCCGCCTGAGTGGGGCGGGGTGGGAGTGTGCCGAGCTTTGTTGTGACTTGTCGCCAAGCAAACGCGGTGTCAGCTTCCACGCAGGAGGCTGAGCATGGAGCATCCTGGGGCCTGTGCAGAGGATGCTTATTCCAGGAAATAATTACCCGCGTGTCCCTTCAAGTTGGCCCAAAAAATAGAACACTCAGGAGTGAGTGCTGTTATACCTTCTTAATTAGTTTCCTCATTTAACCCGGGTCATTACTAGAAAGGCATTCAGGCTCTGGAGACAGACCACGTTTTGATCTTTTACTCCCGCTTACTCATGGGCAATCTTAACGAAAGTCACTCAGCCTCAGTCTTCTCATCTGTAGAATGAAATGTAGAATAATGAAAGTACCTATATTGTAGGGTTGTGGTGAGGATTGATAAAATGTCATGTGTGAAGGGCTTGGCACTGATATGCCAGTGTGTGGAAGCTGACTTTGTGTCACCCTGATCATCACCACCATCACCATCATCATCATCATTTCTATTGGGTTGCTTTGTATATGCTGACACTATTAGACAAAATAAAGTGCCGGCGTTCAGTCTACTTTCTATTGTTCATCTCTCCATTCAAACATCCCACTTACAGGTGCCAAACCAGCCACACCTGGGGGTTGGTGTCCTCCTATGGTGGCCACACCAGTGCATGATGTAGGCTGATCTCCACCTCGACACTGGTACCATGAGGGAGCTCACATCAAGGCTGGGGCCTGTGTTCCTGGAAGCAGGGTGATGCGGCAATTAACACACCAGATCTGAGTTCAAACCTGGCTTGGCCTTTTACCAACTATGAGATCCTGGCTCTGTTCTTTTTAATTATAGTAAAATATACATAAAATGTAGCATCTTAACCATTTTTAAGTGTAGTTTAGTGGCATTAAGAATATTCACATTGTGCACATGTACCCTAGAACTTAAAGTATTAAAAAAAAAAAAAAGAATATTCACATTGTTGTGTAACCATCACCACTATCCATCCACAAAACTGTTTTCATCTTGCAAAACTGAAACTGTACCCACTACGCAATAACACTCCATTTCCCCCTCCTCCCAGGCCCTGGCAACCACCAGTCTACTTTCTGTCTCTATGAGTTTGACTAGTCCAAGCACTGCATATAAGTGGAATCATATCGTTTTTATCCTTTTGTGACTGGCATCCTTCACTTCGCATAATGTCCTTGAGAGCCATCCATGCTGTAGCAGGTGTCAGGCCATTGTGTGTCTGCTTTTTAAGTTATGCAGTGCAGAAAACATCACAGCTTAGAGTTGCTCTGAAGATGGAATCTCTATCTACCCTCTTGCTCAGACCAAAATCTTAGGAATATTCCAGAATCCTCTCTATGTTCCACCCCCACACCCACACCATCAGTCAGCCCTGCTGAGCATACCTTAACCCAAGCACTCCTCTTTGGCTCCTGTGCTACCTCCGTGGCCCAAGCCCCAGTCTCCTTCACCCGGTGTCTCCAAAGGTCTAACTGAGCTCCCTGATTCCACTCTTGCCCCCACAGCCACTCTTCACACAGCAGCTAGAGGGATCTGTTAAAATACAAATTAGAGCATGTCTCTCCCCTGCTTAACACCCCCCTAAATCTTCTCATCTCCCTTTAAATAAGAATCACCCTCCTGTCCTGGACCTGCAGAGTCTCCGTGGCCAGTCTCTGCTGGTGCCCTTGATTCCTTCCTCACCATGCTCCAGCCACTGTGGCCCAACTTTCTGGTCCTCAGGCTTACCAAGTTCCTACCTCAGGGCTCTTGCATTCACCTATCACCTCCCCCGAGAGGCCTCCCCTCACCACACAAATCAAAGAGGCAGAAGCCCACAGGTCCTCTCTCCAAGGCTGTCTTATTTCAAGTCTTTGCATGACACTTATCACAACTGGCTGTCTTTCCCCCCTTTGTTTACTGTCTATCTTCCCTACTAGAAGGTACGCTCCATGCAAGCAGGGAGCCTCTCTGACTCATTCATTAGTATAGACCCAGTACCTGGCAGAGAGCCATTGCTCAATAAATACTTGTTGAATGAACTGACAAATGAGCAATGAAACCATGTATACAGAGCACTTTGCATGCTGCCTGGCAAGACGTTGTACTAGATGGCAGTCATTATTATTATCATCATTGTCATCATAATGATTACCCTGGGCCTCCTGCCTCATTGATCTGCAAGGCTAGACCTCGCTTTAAGATTTGGGACAAGATCAATAAGTGTCCAGGACTTTCTGTGTCATCAAAGGAGCTGGAATTCATCAAAGGGGCTGTGAGTGAACAAGTTTCATGCCTTATAGGTCTGTGTGTTCAGGCTTAATGTCAATGAGTTCTACACAATCCTATCCCACTCCCAGGTTGGCCAAAGACACTAAGATTGCTGACATGAGAAGGTCTAGGAAGGGCAGGCAGGGCTGGAGCTGGAAGGATAAGCCAGTGGGAGGAGACAGAAGGGGCAGCTGAGAGACAGTCTCTCTGGACCCACAGTGACTGAAGACCGACAGCACCATGACCATCAGGACCTGAAAGGTTCCCAGATCTGGGTTCCCTGCAGTAGAGACACCGAACAGAACCCTGATCCTGCCAATAAGCAATTCATTTATCAATAGACCTTCCAGATCTCCTGCCATGTGCCTGTACTAGACCCATTAACTCAGTCACTGTGTGTGTGTGTGTGTGTGTGTGTGTGCACGCACGCATGTGTGTGTGTTGGTGCTGCTGCTAGGTGACTGCAGATGCCACCCTGAAAAAATAATCAAACAGCTCTTTGAGGGATGCTTCATGCAGGGTTTCCATGGCAACGCTTTATGAAACAGCAAGGCGAACTTTGGTAGGCTCGCTCCCACCCCCACGCCTTTTCCTGACTGCCACAGGGATCCTCATTCCATGAGGCTGTGTTTTTCCAAAGCACTGGGTCCTCTTGGCTGTGGGACCTTGACTTGATTACTTACCCCCTCTCTGCCTCAGTTTCCTCACTTGTAAATGAGGACAATGATAGTACCTATCACATAGCATTGTTCTGAGAATGAAATGAGTTTGTAAGTGTAAAGCACCTCTTCCATGGTTAGTGTGATAAGCAGAATTCTGAAATGCCCCTCAGCATCCCACCCCTTGGTCCCATCTCCACAATCCCCTCCCTTTGGGTGTGAATAGGACCCGTAGAGATGATGGGCTGTCACACCCATGACTAGGTAAAGTTATATGGCAGAGGTGAAGGGATTTTTTTTTGCAGACATAACTGAGGTCCCTGATGAGTTGACTTTGAGTTAATCCAAAAAGAAATTCTCCTGGGTGAGCCTGGTCAAATCAGGTAAGCCCTGAGGGTTTAGAGGTTAGAGACTTGAAGCAGTAGAGACTTTTCTGCTGACCTTGAAGAAGGAAGCCATCCTGATTTTACAGCTGTAAGGAAACCATTCTGCCACCAATCATGTGAACTTGAGAGAGGCCCTCAGGTCTCTGATAAAACCTCAGCCTTAGCTGCCCCTGGATGACAGCTTTGTGAGACCCTTAGTAGAGAACTTAGTTCAGCCATGCCTGGACTTCTGACCCATGGAAACTGTGCGGTAGTAAATGTGGTTTAAGCTGCTATGTGCGTGGTGATTTTTTTTATGCAGCAGAAAGAAAGCTGAAACAGTTAGTGTTTAAGAGATGTTCATGCTTGTGGATATGATACCCCTCTGCCCACACAAGGCCCTCGCCATGCTGTGTTGTAGCTGCCTATTTATCTCGACTCCCTGCTGACCTGTGACCTTCCCACACAGGTGCCCAGTAAAGGTGAGCCCCTGCTCAATTTTCCAGATCAGATAACATGTGCTTCCCTCGTGGTCACAGTGAGATGATGTCTGGAAATAGCAACCTGCTGATCTAGGTGGAGAGGAAAGGCGCCTGCTCTGAAGACTATGGATGCTTCTCTTTGTTTATTCTGAGCCTAGATAAAAAATGCCACAGAGAAGGCGTGTGGTGACACGTGTGACACTGCTGGCTTAATTGCCAATGTGAGAAAACACAAAAGCCTGAAACTCCGCAAAGGCAGGGATCGTGTATGCCTCATCCTTATCAACTGCCCAGCACAGTGCCAGACACACACAGATATTTAAGTCAGAAACGAGTTTTTGCCTTCCATTTCCATTCAATGTAGAATAAAACCCAAAGTCCTCCCTGTGACCTCAGAGGTGGGCCTGCGTGTTCTCGCCCCAGCAGCCTCTCTGTCCTCAGGCCCTACCTCTAGGTGACCAATTTAGTCCCAGTTTGCCCGGGACATATCCAGGTTTAGTACTGAAAGTCCCGTGTCCCGGAAAATCCTCTGTCAAAGCAAAGCAGCACAGTTGCTCACCCTGCCCCCTCTCCCTCCTGCTGCCCTTGACTCCTTCCATAGGGGCCTTCAGGTGGCTCCTCACACCTGCCAAACTCAAAGCCCTTTGCGGTGTTTGCAAAAACTCCTGGCTTCACATCTTTCAGGTCTCTTTTCAAGGGTCAGCTCCTCCAGGAAGCCCTCCCAGACTGCCCTGTCCCATGTAATGCAGCTCACCACTCTCTTTCCCTGACCCTGCTTTTGTTCTGCATGCCATTTATCCCAATCTGAAATTATTTTTTGATTGGCTTGCCCCCTGGCTGTCTCCACACCAGAAGTCAACCTCTACAAGGGCAGCGGCTTTGTTGCATTCCTGCTGGATCCTAGCAGCGTGGGCATAGGTCAAATGAATGAATGAATAAAGCTTTGTCTGGCAACTTGACTTTCGGCCCCTTTCCAAATCCTGATCCCCACGTGACAGAAGCCCTCTGGGTCTCAGGAGGTCACAATGGTCCACAGTGAGGACCCTACCCTGCTCCTGCCCCCAGCCCACTCTTACCATCCCTGGTGCCTCCAGGGCTGTGCTGACTGTCGTCTTCCAACTCAAGCTGGCCTCTTGCCCCACCCTATATTCTTCCTCAGGTGGACCTCCTGGGAATCCCCAGAGGCCCACCCCCATGGGATGGGTCTCGGCCTCAGACCACCTCCTCTGTGCTGGAAACTGTCTTTCATTTGTCAGAGGTTTGAGCAATCTCACATCTGCTCTGCCCCTGGCATACCTCACTCAATTATTCAACACACAAAATCCACGGGAGGTAGATTCGCTCACACAGACATTATCAGACCACTGACTTGGAACCCTGATGCTCTCTGGAAGCAGTTTCTTCCTAATTATTCAATAATTTATTTTATAACTCTGTGGAGCAGTCTGGGCCAGCCATCGGGGACAGGGACATTGATCAGACATAGGTCCTGCCTTCAAGGGGCTCATGGTGTTGTGGGGGAGACAGATGTGCAGCCAAACAATTACAGAGAGATAAGGGGGTGCTGCAGTGGAAGCCTGTGCCAGGCACCATGGAAGCCCAGGGGCACCGCACGCATTTCCCATGGAAACAGAGACTCTCATTTGCCAACCTTTCTGAGCTCAGGAATCAGACGCCTCCTCTCCCAGCTAACAGGATCTCTCTGGGGGATGAGAGTTTTGCATTTCAGTCTCAGTACTTAGCAGAAGTCTATGTATATGATGTCTTTAGAAAGCGCCCACTGATTAGGGACATATCTGGTTTGAGGGCGACTCTGGAATTAGTGAGTTATTGGGAGGCAGTGATTCAGGAAGCATGTCCATGGCAGGTGGGGTCTGAAGTGGGCCACATCTCCCATCCTTTTCCTGATCCCTGTGTGGGCACAGACAACCCCAGGCCACAATTTCTGACTCCATCTCCTACCATTCTCTATTGTTTCTGGTTTACTGGGCCTTATATGAAATCCAGGCCATCAATGCGCTACAGCGCATCAGCCCCCTCCCCTGCCAATCCCCTACTTGCCAGCTGTAGTCACACTTTCCAAGGAGGAGCACCCACAACTCATGGCTTGGCAGCCTCCCTGCCTGGTCTCACCATTGCCCCAGAGCCCCCTGCAGGTGCATCAGTGGGTGTCGAAGGCTTTGCAGCTGATGTCACTGGGCATCCTAACAAGGGCCTGTGCTTCCCCCAGTTCAAGACCAGCCTGATCCCAAACCCCACCTCTTTCTCACAGCCTGCCTCTGCCTCTAAAATCCCATTAGGCCTGTGTAAGACTGAGGAGCTGCGCTCACTGGGACAGGAGTCTTCTGGCCTTGCATGCCCTGTCCTGCTTGGAAGGCAAAGGAGGCCAGTATCTCAGTGACATCTGGGAGGGAGTGGTAATGTCATGGTGTGGTTCCAAGCACGGTTCTGGAATCAGATAGGCCTGGGCATCCACCTTAGCTGTGTGACTTTGAGAACTACACTGTACCTCTCTGACCTTCAGGGGCCTCATCAGTGAGATGAGAGTGAGATGGTTTGAATGCGAGCCTAGTGAGAGGTGTTTGGGTCATGGGGGTGGATCTCTCATGAAGGCTTTGGTGCTGTCCTGGCAGTAATGAGTGAGTTCTCACTCCATGAGTTCACGCAGTTGATCGTTTAAAGGAGCCTGAAATCCCCTCCCTTTCTCTCTTTCTCCCTCTCTTGCCATGGGACACGCTGGCTTCCCTTCACCTTCCCCCATGACTGTAAGCTTCCTGAGGCCTCACTGGAAGCAGATGCTGGCACTATGCTTCATGTACAGCCTGCAGAACCATGAATCAAATCAACCTCTTTTCCTTATAAATTGCCCAGCCTCACATATTCCTTTATAGCAACACAAATGGAAGAATACAGGGAGTTATTAAGACTTGGGGATGTTGAGAAGATTAAATGAGATAGATCATGTGAAAAACACATGTCACAGACACTGGCACCTAGTAAGGACTCAATAAATGGTACACTAGCTGTTTGGGATGGATGGAATGGAAAACATTCCAGCAAATTCATGCGGTCTGGGCAAGAGAGAGGATGCTCAGGCTCCTTTGCCCAGGACTCGTACTGCAGGGCCAGCAGCCTCACTCACAGTTGACATCTTCCTTGCATGCTTCCCTCCCTCTGTTCAGGCTTCATCCATTTTTAATGATGAGGAGCATGTCTGCCTGAAAGCGGTCCCTGGGGAGGGGGAGCGAGTTCTATATGTGGGCATGTTGCTACTTAGGGGGCTTGCTCTTACCCAAAAGAGTTGGGGGTTTAGGGGGCCACAGAAAGACTTCATTTGAGTAAAGCATGTGCAGCATCTGTGCAAACACACATGCTCTGTGGAATCCAGCCACTTTCAAGCAAGGTCAGCCCAGGTTCTCATAGGGGATTTGAAGCAGGATTCACTTGACAAACATCTGATTTACAAGGAACCTTGAGGGAAAAAATTTATTACTGCTTCTCTACTCCAATGCCCCAACAGCTTCCCCTCTTACTCAGAGGAAATGCCAGGTCCTTCCAATGGCCTGCAGGGCCCCAGGTGAGTTGCTTCTTCCCTGCCTTCCTCTCTACTCCCTCCCTTGCTCCAGCCTCTGGACCTTTGTACTTGCAGCTCCCTCTGCCTGGAATAATCTTCCTCCCCCAAATCAGCAAGATTGACTCCCTCATATCCTTCAGGTGTGTCCGCAAATGTCTGCTGCTCGGTGAGATCCTCTTTAAAATTGCATCCAGACCCATCTCTCCCCACCTCTATTCCCTGCTTCCTTTTTATTCATAGCATCTAACATATCATGCAGAACCTGTAACCACACTGTTTATTTTCTCTGGAATGCAAACTCATGAAGGAAGAGATTTCTGTTTCCTTCATTCTTGTCCTTAGGGCTTAGAGCAATGTCTGGTACGTAGTTGGCCCTCAGTAAATATCTGTGAATGAATGAATAAGGGAAAGGAAGAATGAAGAGCAGGTGTCACCTGCCTGAGAGTGCAGATCTTGCTGTCAAAAGATTGAGAGTCTAAAGCCTGTCTTCCTCACCCTGGATCCAACAACAGTGTCTTAAATGCAACCCCAGCCACACCATTCTCCTCTCAAAGCCCCTTATGGGGCCCCTCACCTAATCTGAATACCTACCCCTGGCTTATGCAACAGTCTCCTCACTGCATCTGCTCTTCTGCACCTTGACAGCCCATTGGAATCTCTGAGGAACTTTAAAATACAGATGTCTGGGTTCTACTCCCAAAGATTCCGATTTATTTGGTCTTGGATGAGGTCTCAGCATGGGCTCTCTTACAGCCTTGTTGAGGTTATAATTGGCATATATTTAAAGTGTACACACTTTATTTTAACAACAAATATTTAAAATGTACACTTTGTTACATTTTAAAGTATGTATACTCCTCTTAAACCATCACCACAATCAGGATAATGAAGGTATCAATCATTCCCGAGATTTTCCTCTGGACCCACCCCATGCAGTCCCTTTCTCCTCTCCTCTCTATCCTCTCTCCCCAGGCAACAACTGATCTGCTTTCCCTCACTCTCAACTAGTTTAAAATGTCCAGAATTTCATATAAATGTAATCATACAGGACTCATTTTGGTCTGACTTCTTCCACTCAGGATAGTTCACTTGATATCCATCCATGCTGTTGCTTGTATCAGTTCCTTCTTGTTTATTGCTGCATAGTATTCCACTGAAGGGATATACTACTATTTATTTATTCATTCATCTGTTGATGGACATTTGCATTATTTCTAGTTTTCTGTTCTTACAAATAGAACCACTATAAACATTTGGGTACAAGTCTTTGTGTGGACATATGTGTTAATTTTCCTTGCAGTAAAGCCTGGAAGTAGAATGGCTGTGTCAGATGGCAGATGTGTCTTTAACTTTTCAAGAAACTGCCAAGCTGCCAAGGTGTTTGTCCAAAGTGGTTGTGCCATTTTGTCTTCTCACCTACAGTGTACGAGAGTCTCCCTGAGGGTGCAGATTTTTAAAAGATCCTTGGGTGGTTCTAATGTGGGGTTGGGGATTAGAACAACTGCTCTAAACAGTAAGATCTTTGAGATTGAAGTGGTGCCATGGAGTGGTGGAGAGAAGGCGCTGCAGCAAGACTGTCCGGGTTCAAATCCTGGCTCTACCACTTCCTAGATGTGGGACTTAACCTCTCTATGTCTCAATGTGTTCAGCTATAACATGGAGATGATAATAACAGTGCCTGCCTCACAGGGCTATTGTGAAGAAAGAAGTACATAGAATGTACTTAAATCAGCCCCTGGCACATGATCAGCATCTCATCCATATCTGTAATTCTCTTTGAATCTCTGCACTCCTAGTCCCCAGTAAAACGTGCTTGGCACATGTTAGGCTCTTTGGAGGTAATTGCTGGATGAATGAAGAAATAAGCAACTGGAATAGGACAAGGGCAGAGGTTCTAGAAGCCTTAAGTTTTGTATATTCCAGGTTTCTGACTTGTTTTGAGATAATTTTAGGACTCATCCTCCCACTCCCAACAAGACTTCTGCTTTTTTGTTTTTATTTCTGAGGATGGGGACCCCAAGCCTCTTCTCTCCTTCTGATCTGTCCAGGCAGATGGATGCACAACCCCTCCCATCATATGAAAGCCCCTGCTCCCAGACCCCAGAAGTGAGGCCTTCCTGGCCCTAGATGGTTGAGGGGTAGGGCGCTGCAGCACTGGGAGTTCAGGTTTCAGCACCAGGTATATCTGGCTTTATATCCTGACTCTCCCCTTAACTATCAGCTGAGTGACTGGGGACACATCACTGGACCTCTCTGTGCTCTGTGTCCTCGTTTATGAAATGGTAGTGCTCATAACACCTCTCTAGCAAGACTATAGAGGATCAGATGAGAACTTGCATTTAGCACTGTGACAAGTAGCACATGGAAAGCACTCAGGAAACTCAGGAATTTACTATTCTTCTTCACACCTCAAAGGTGCAGAGGCAGAGGGCTGCTTGGCCCAGGCACCTGGACTGACTCTGTCCCTCTAGGTTGCCTCAAATCATCAAGCTTCCCCTTGGTAAACCTTATGGAGCTTGAATCAAAGTCACCCAGGATGGGGTTAGAATTCTTCTCTCCACTCATCCTCTTCCCCTCGACCGTGGAGTGAAGAAGGCCCTCCTGCTTCCCACTTTCCACAGAGGGCCTCTTGGGGGAAGGCCTGATAAAGAGCTTATGGTGATGTGTCTTCCCTGATTTGCAGGGCCTCATCATTCTTGTCATTCCTAGCTTTATAATTTCACTGTCTGGCTCTGAAATTATGCAAGAGAACAAATGCATGCCACACTTAGTGCCATAAACACACAATCTCCAGGTTCTTGTTGAAGGGTCCTCTTGGGTGCTGGTGACCCTCTCCATACTTTCAAGTTGCTCCAGCCAAGGCCACGGGGTAAGTGTGATGGTGAAGGATGCCCTTGTGCCTCGGCTTGATGCTGGGTGCTATCAGGAAGTGCTCCATAACTGGGGTCCTTGCCTTCTGGGATTCTCATCTAATGCTACATTGATATTAGACATCTAGGCACAACAACCCTCTAAAAATACTTCCTGTCTACCAGTTTATTAAATACAGGTAAGAATGGCTACCTAATTTTCAGGGCACAGTGCTGGATGAAAATGCAGGGCCTCTTTTTCAAAAAATGGTTCAGAATTTCAAGATGGTCATAGCAGAGCATAATACCATGCATAGGTTCCTCGGTGACCTGTGTGACCTCACAGTTTGTGAACCCAGGAAGCTGGCCCTGAATGCGGATAGCCACATTAGAAGCACATCCTTTCCATAAGCCATATGACTGGCAACAGAATGAATGAGCAGGCAGAGTCCCTTCTCAGGGAATCACAGTCTAATGCAGGATGCAGAGACGGGAGAAACCAGCAGTAAGCACAGCACAGGGAATAAGTCCAGTGGCCAAGGAACGAGGTGGAATGGCATGAGCTTAGTGGAAGTAGCTCACCTGCTCTGGGGAGACAAGGGAGAGGTCAGAGATCACTTCCCGTAAGAAATGATGCAAGACCCAAATCTTACAGGACAGGAAACCTACATGGCTCCCTGAACTTCCAGGGAGTTTCCTAATCCAAGGAGTCCAGCCTTGAGCCTCTGGTCTTGACTCCAGATTCTGCCAGCCCACCAGCAGTGAAGCCTTCTTGACTGCAATTCTAGGCCAACCTTGATCTCACCTGCCCATCCCTAGAAGCAACCATGAAAATTTTCTGCCCTGATGGTTGCAAATCCTTGAAGGCCTGGTCTACATAAAGTAGATCTTTGATCCAGGACGTAATTCCCAATTATGCTGAGGCTTAAATGGGAATCACATGTGCCAGGAGGCTGGCATGTGAGGGAGACACTCAGCTAGTGAAGAAACCTTGTTGACCTTCTCAGGATCTTGGGTTCTAGGGGGTTTGTTGTTGGGGCTTATGTGGCAACTCCTGTAAAGTGATAAGAATCTTCATTTTATTGTGAAAAATCATTTCCCAAAATAGAGCCAACTGCCCAGGGTGGTGATGAAACTGAAAAGTAAGCGAGGGAGTCTAAGGAAGTAATGGTTTTTAGCAAGAAAATAGAAGCTGCGGGTGAATTAAGGAGTGGATGTTGAGTTTGATGGTGGCTCTGATTTGCAAGTGTTTGAAAACAAGAAAAAGATGATTTATGAAATCATTTCAGCAAGTGCTTCAGCCAGGGCAAAAATTGCTTATTGAGTGGGAATGAATACTTTTGTGACAGCTAAAAAGGCGGTTGAGAGTGTTGTGAGTATATGCCCAGGAAACCCATGACTCTCTGTGGAAATGCGCCTAGACAACAGCTGGGAGCCACGTCAACATTTCCATAAAGCACCAGGTGGTGGAGGCAGTCCTGTGGCTGCTGAGCTGACCTTTAAGTACGAGAAAAGGTTTAAACATTTCGCAAACGTTTTCCCTTGCCACAGGAGAAGTTAATAGGGGCGTGGTATTATTATTCATCACGATTCTATTTAGTCTTAGAAGCTTTAGTTAAACTCCATGCGAATGTGTTGGTCATAATGATGTGGGGTGAGGTAGAGGAGAGTATATTTTAGTGGAGAATTGATTTTAATATTTTATAAATGGCTTTGATCTCATATTTATGGAATCATTAAAGGTCTGAAGAGGTCACCAAAACACTTTTTCTTAAGTACACACTTCACAGACTTTTTTTTTTAAAGCGGGGGGTGGGGGGTAGTCTATAAAGATATTTGAGGATCTGGGAATGTCAGGTTCTCAGGATATGCCTGGCTTGAATTTCAAGGCTCTACACACACAGGTAGACATCCACACCCCAGCGTGAACAAATGCATGTACACTCCTGTTTAATCGCCCAGCACACCTGCACCCACAGGTGAACCCAGGCACAAGTGTGCACACCCTCTTTCCCTACACCATAAAGGTATCTCTATTGATTTCTTTATCTCCGTAGTGATCCACGTCCCCCTCTGCACTCCCCACATCAAATCCCAGCCAAACGTCCATGATGGTCACCCAACAGGTGTTCTAGAGGTATCATGAAAAACAATACATTAACTCTTTGTAACCAGGAAGTCAGGGCTTCCATCTGGGAGGGAATGCCTCACGGGGCCTTCCCGATGAGAGTAGGGCCAATAGGTTTGGGGGGCCTCACTCGGGGCAATGGGTCTCTGAGAAGAGCCCAGATCACATTCTTTGCTTCAGTTTTATTTGCACTTTCTGACCTCCAGTCTGTGAAGAAGAACCTCCACGGGGCAGGATAAACCTTGAGATGAAGGAAGGAGGGCTTGTCTGAAGAGCCCCATCCTCTAGGGTAACAGAGAGTCAGAAGGATGCCATGTCTTCCTTACATGGTTTTCTGCAAGGCGGTCAGAAACCACAGATGAGATCCCATCACTGCAGGAGTATTCTTAGATGCTAAAGCATGGAAGCTGCCCATCTCCGCGACTATTTTCAACCCCTGGCTAACTATCACTGGTCAGCCTTGCCCCATGAGCCTAGTGGTCTCCTCTTTAGGAGGAAGATGAGAAGCCCGACCCATTTTCCAGCCTGGCCCTGTCATAGTCCCACACTTCGGGGAGCCTGTCTAGAAATGAATCAAGCTGGTTCTTTGAGTCATGTTAGGTGAGTTATCTTTGCATCTCATGCTTCCTTAACTTAGAACTCACATGGGAGCTGGGGTGAGTCTTAAGCCCGCTAACCTCTTGCTGTCCATCTTTAGAGTTTTTTACAAATTCCAGGTGGCAGATGGCCCCCAAGGTGACTCCCAACAATCCTCTAGCATCTGGTGTTCATGGCTTCTTGTATTCCCATCCCCTTTGGTATGAGTGAGGCCTGTGATTTGCCTCTCACCAACAGAACATGAAAAAGGGGATGGGATGTCACCCCTATGATTATGCTACATTGTGTAAGACTCTGTCTTAGCAGATTAGAGATAAGATCTGCTTGCAGGCTTGATCAAGGAAGGGTCCATGTTGGAGATGCCATGTGGCAAGGAATTGAAGTTGGCCTCTGGGATGAAAGGGCTGCCTCTAGAACCTCAGAGTGGCCTCCACCTGACATCCACCTGTCAGACACCTGAATGAGCTTGGAATTGAACTCCTCCTCCAGATGAAAATGCAGCCCCACCATCACTTGACAGCAGCCTTTTGAAACCCTGCACTGAGGACCCACAAGGCCATACCCAGAATCCTGACCCACAGAAACTGAGAATGTACATGTGTTATTTTAGGCTACTGAGTTGGTGACAATTTTATAACTGTGATTAACTATAACTGTGATCGTTGGTAATTTTGATAATTTATTGGGAACAATAGGAAACTCATACACCCAGCTTGTTCTGGGACTTTACCACCTTGATGCTACTTTTTCAGGCCTCTGCTAGCCTTCAACCTTGTCAGTCACATGTCCCCCTTGGCATGTTCTGGACACATCCTGTCTGTTCTCTAGCTCCCAGGAGTAGGTCCTGTAAGTCACTCCCAGCGTTGTTCACTTAGAGGTGATCATTGAAACGGTGGGAGTCAGTGAGATCATAGGAGAAAGAACATGGTCAGAGAAGAACAAAACAAGGACCAAATCCTGGGGAATGGCCACACTGTTCAAGGCAGCTGCTCTGAATTGAAATGTGCTTTAAGCATAACATACACAACCAATTTCAAAGACAGTGTGAAAGGAACAATGTAAAATATTGCATTTTACATTGGTTACATTTTTAAATAGTAATATATTGAACAGATGGGGTTAAAGTATACTACTGGATTTGATTCACCTGTTTCTTTTTCAGTCTTTTAACATGGCTACTAGAAATTTAAAATTATACACATGGCTCACATTTGAGGTTTAGATCACATTTCTACTAGACAGTGCGATGGATGGATGGATAGATAGACAGATAGATAGATATAGAGATTTTGAAATTATTTATTGCGTAGTTACAGATGCCATGCACTATGCTAAGTGATTTATAATACTATCTCATTGGACCCTACCTGCAGCCTTGTGAATTAGGTATTATTATTTCCATTTTACACATGTGAAAGTTAAGGTTTTGAGAGTTAAGTGACTTTCCTGAGATCACACTAAGAATTAATGAAAAGGCAGAAATTCAGTCAGTCCCATCTGACTGCAAAGCCTGTGCTCTTAGCCACTGTGCTGGCTGGCTCCTTAGATGAATGAATGAATGAGTGAGTGAGTGTGTATGCTTCAGATTGTAAGTGGCTTTCCTCAGATCACACTAAGAATCCATGAAAAGGCAGAAATTCAGCCGGGCGTGGTGGCTCACGCCTGTAATCTCAGCACTTTGGGAGGCCAGGTGGGCGGATCACCTGAGGTCAGGAGTTTGAGATCAGCCTCAACATGGAGAAACCCCACCTCTACTAAAAAAAGATTCAACCGGGCGTGGTGGTGCATGCCTGTAATCCCAGCTACTTGGGAGGCTGAGGCAGGACAATTGCTTGAACCTGGGAGGCGGAGGTTGCAGTAAGCCGAGATCACGCCATTGCACTCCAGCCTGGGCAACAAGAGTAAAACTCCATCTCAAAAAAAAAAAAAAAGAAAAGAAAAGGCAGAAATTCAAAGGCAGTCCCATCTGACTCCAAAGCCACTGTGCTGGCTGGCTCCTTAGATGAATGAATGAATGAATGAATGAGTGAGTGAGTGTGTATGCTTCAGATGGTGAAGAAAGGTGGAACAGTTTCAGCTCTTACACACCAGACCTCTAGGCAATAGCAGGCCCCATGTGGTGATGGTGCCCAAGACTCAATCCCCTCCCTCTTTTTCTCCCTCCCTCAGGAATCCCTGTGTCCGCAATCGCTAATCCCACCCTCATTCCAGATCTTGCCCATTGTCTCTGCTCCCGTAAAGTGAGGCCAGCTTGTGGGATCTCAAAGTGACATCCAATGGCACCCAAGCCTGAGCTCAGGCCTGGGCACCCAGGAGCAGATGATACTACAGGTGCTCTCCTGGCACATTCCTGCCCCCCACCCTTCCTGGCAGGAAAGATCAGATGCCCACTCAACAGGGCAGCTCTCCTTCCCAGCCCGGGCCTTCCCCAGAAGGGAGATGGCTTCCTCTGAGGCTCATCCCCAGCCTTCAGGGCCTACCTGAGTCCAGGTGCGTGCAGGGACAGGGCTGGGCCCCTGGGGAGGGGCCCCTATGTCCATATGTGTCCACTTGCTCCCTCCTGCTTCCCTGAGCCTCAGAGCAGGCAGGTGATTTTCCAGGTCACTTAACTGGTAAGTGGCAAACTCTGGATTTGAATCCAATTCTGTGTAACCCCTGAATGTGTGCTCTGTTTACCGTAACCCATGCTGCCTCTCTCCTCAACCAACCATGTGCATTGTTGCTTAATTCCCTCTGCCTCAGTTTCCTCATCAGTAAAATCAGGATGATAACAATCAGGTTGCTGGGAGGATTAATTGGGGTAATGCATATAAACAGCTTAGCACAGTGCCTGGCACAACATAAACACTCAGCAAATGAGAGCAATGATCATTACTAGAACCATTATCATTATCATTATGGCAGCCCTTGCGGTGTCTGCCGGGACTGGTGGGAAGTCACTAGCAGTTAACAGGATCTCCTTCAACGCTTCTGGCACGGCCAAGGACACCTTCCCAGAGAGCAGGACTCACGATTAACATGCTGCAGATGAACACCAGCCTTTGTCCTCCCTTGAGGCCCCACCTGGGCCACATTAGCTGTGACCTCTAGACTCCCTGAGGCCGGCAAAAGTGTCTCATGTGCATGGGTGAGCCAGTGTGGCGGCTTCATGGAAATGCATGCCCGCGACCAATCTTCCTCCGGCCTTATGGTGGGGCAGCCACTGGGTCCAGCCCTGACACTGCTCACAGGCTGGGAGATCTGCAGGGCCTCGGGAAACATCGTGCCTGGCTCAGGTCTTTCCCCTGATCCTGGTTGCTTCAGCTTTTGTGCAAAGCCAGGCACATTCCAATGTCTTTTCTGTGCTGTGCGTGGGTGAGAGCAGAGCCAGCAGCTTCCGAGCAGCTCTTGGAGTCACATCCTCGTGAAAGGACAGAGCTGGGTTTTCCCCGTGGAGCCCAGTGGCAAGCAGCTGATTACTTCTTTGCCTTCTCTGCAAGCTTGGGAGGGTCATGTGGGATTGGTTCAAGTGCCTTCGGCAGGTTGGGCGGGTGCCTGTTTTGGGAGGTGGGTGAGAGGGGGTGCCTCCAAGGAACCCAAATTCTACCTGACTTCACCCTCCCAGCTTGGTTCCTCAGAGTGCCCTGGGAGCCATGGAGAGTTGACGAGATCTATTCCTGTAAGTCTTCCAAAGAGGCAAAGGAGAATTTGGGTGGTTAGAGAGAGGCAGCACAACTGACTAAATCACAGCTCGATACTTCTTCCAGCCCAGGAGACAAATACTTATAATATTGATATTTCCATCACTGGTACTCCCTAGGGAAGCTAGTCCTCAAAGGACTGCTGCGTAGGAGGTGAAAGCATTGCTAACATTCACGACAGCCACCCCTTAAGGATGTTCCAGGCTGGGGCAGGGACCGCGGGAGTAGGTGGTGGGAAACTGCAGAAACGGACTCCCTGGGGACTTCTGGACAGCAGAGGGGGCAGTGGGATGAACAGGGCTTGAGAGAACAGAGAAAAGAAAAAGGGGAATGTGGCCCAGCCCTTGCTGTCCTCGAGGCTAAGCCAGGTCCCTGTGATACTTTGACAGCACAGTGCTGCTTTGTGGCTGGTGCCATTAGAGTTCATAGTAATTCATTTATTTGATGATTAATTGATTCATAGTTTTAGATTCAACCACACTGTGGCAGGCTTAATAATACTCCTCACCCCCACCCAAAGATGTCCATGCCCTGATTTCCAGAACATGGAAATATGCTGCTTTACATGGCAAAAGAGACTACAGATGTCATTAAGTTAAGGATGAGGTGGGGAGGTCATCCTGGATTATCCTGATGTGTCCAATGTAATCACAAGTGTCCTTATAAGAGGGGGGCAGGAGGATTGGAGTCAGTAATAGGAGCTGTGACCGTGGAAGTAGGAGATCAGAGTGACGGGAGGACGGGGCCATAATCCAAGGAGGTGGCTTCTCCGAAGCTGGGAAAAGGAAGGAAACATATTCTCCCCTAGAGCCTCCAGAAGGAATCGGCCCTGCCAACACCTTGACTGTAGCTCAGTGAGTCTGATTGTGGACTTCTGGCCTCCGGAACTGTAATAGAATAAATCTGTGCTGTCTTAAACCATCATGCTTGTAGAGATTTGTTACAAAGGCCATAGGAAACCAACACACAGACCACGACCTGCACGAGCGCAACTGACTCATCTACTGATGTTTCTCCAAGGCTCTGCACAGGACCCGAAGCAGCAGGATGAGCCTTCACAGCTAAAAGACTATGAGTCTCCATTCAGGCTTCTCCCTTGCAGACTGAGAGACGGCTGAGGTTCAGAGAGGGTAAGCCATCCATCCAAGGTTGCCCAGTTGCAAGTAGGCCTCAGCCTCTGACCCCAAGACTCAGCTCCCAGCCACCCCTCCAGACCCAGGCCCTGTCTTTCTTTAACCCTCTCCTCAACCAGATCCCAGGCCTGGCCGTGCCAGAATCCAGCCCTGCTAGGATCCTCCCCTGCCCACACTATCTGCCTTAGGATGTGCTGGGCCTATTGCCCAGCACGCTGGCATGTCCCCAAGCTGTGTTGACAGCAGGAAGAACACTCAATGCCAGTAAGCAGACTCGGAGGAGGAGGCAGTGCAGACAGCTGAGAGGGGACATTGCTACCCACTAGGGAGGCCAAGGGGCTTCCTGCACAGGAGATGGGGTCTGAAATGGAATGGGAGAAGGGTCAGCATAGAAGCTAAAGCTGGGTTCCATTATTCACTCATTCATTCAGATATTCATTGACCCCATGCACTGCCCCAGGCTTTGCAGACCCTGAGGGGGTCCTGGGTTGAATCAGAAAAGCTTCCTGCCCCAGGGGACTCCCAGGTCAGGGTACAAGGTAGCTGGGTGTGATAACTGCATTGAGAAGGTGAAGTGCACCTGGTGAGATGATTCTTCTCTTCTCTTTCTTGCCTGCCTGTTAGTGCAGGAAAATGCACTTGAGGGTAGAAGGAGCCTAAGAGGAATGGCCATGCACCCTGCCCTTTAGCACGTAAGAGCTGGCTGGGGAGACAGGACTCCTACACGAGAAGGAAGAGCCCCCAGGGTGCCTGAGCAGGGACAGGCTCTCTAGGCAGATGCACTGAGGAGAAGGTGCCTTCTAGTTTGGGGAATGGGGAGTGACCAGGGCAGAGCTCAGGTAAAAGCCTCAGTCTTTATAGGAAAGACGTCAACACACTGAGAGGGGTAGGAAGAATCAACGGATGAATCAGAATAATGGGCTGCTGCAGTCTGAGCAGAACTGCCCTCTGCTCAGCCACATGGATGTGCTGGCCACTTCCCTTCTTCTGCTGCAGCCCCTGCAAGGAGTCTGCAGAGCTGACAGCCCTGAGCAATGGCCTGGATGCTGTAAACACACATCATTCATTTGCCTACCTTAAGGGCAGCTTGTAAGTCTTTCTTTGTGTGTGTTTTCATCAAGAAGTAATCCTTACAGCCACGAAAAATGTCCAATAACATTTCTCTCCCTTGGCAAACATCCCCGGTATATCAAAGGCTCAAATACACAATGCAGCGGCTCACAGGGACAGGTGTTGGAGACTGCTTTATAGCAGCCTGAAGAACTGTCTGTTGGTCACATGGGCTCGCACAAATCTCACATGGTTCCAGAAACTGATAACCCAGCAGCATACAGAGGAGATTCCTCCCACTGCGTGCTCATTCTGCCTTTCTTCTGGAAATGCTCCTCTGAGCCAGGCATAGGGCCAAGCACTAGGGACACAGACATGAGCCAGTCAGGCTGTCTGTCCCCAAGGAGCAAGTTTTACTGAATGCTGTGTTAAGTGCTTTATATATTGCAAAAGTCCCAGAAGGCACTCCAACGATCCCCATTTTACAGATGAGGAAACAAACAGAGACCTAGAGAAATTTAAGTAACCTGCTTGATGTCCCAGGGCTAGTCAGTGGCAGAGGTGCTTTGCTTGCATGGAACTGTGAGTGTCCCAAAGTCAGAGGCTGAGAGTTACTCATCTCAGCACAGGGCTCGACACAAAGCACACTGCAGGAGAATACTGGCAAGTGTTTGAGCATGAGCTTGAAAGTCAGATAAGGCCCATCTCAGGATCCAATTCCTACATTGCACATTAAAGCCTCCAAGTCCCACAGAACGGAAGGAGTATCTCCAAGGAATGACCTTCTTAGGACTGGAGCTTCCTGGCCCCTTCTACAAGAGCAAACTCAGATGACTGCACACTTTTCATCTTTGAGTGTCCCTAATAAGGCAAATGAAGAGGGTACTCTATGGACGGAACAGCCACCCTGAGTCAGCCATGATGCCAGATGCTTAATGCCTCCACCCAGTTCACCTCACAACACTCTGAAGCCAGGCACTTTCCACTGCACAAAGCTCTGCTCAGACTGCCCCTGGCTGGGCAAGCTCCCACCCTTTCCTTCAGGAGGCTGGCCCCAGGCTAGGTGTAGGAAGGAAGGCTGGGAAGAATCAGTGTGTCACTCTCCAGGGTACATGCCCAGCACCAGAGGGCCTGGCTTCTGAGGGCATCCAGCCTACACTCAGACCTCCTCTGCAAGGTGCAGTGGATCCAGGGGTACCCCTCACTTAGACTGGAGTCCACTTACTGTAATCACAAGGGCTCCTGACAGTTTTAGAGTCATGTATTTATTTTCTGTCTCCTGGGTTAGAGTACAAACAGACTTTTCTTCACTGCTATATCCCCAGTGCCTGGAACAGTATCAGGGACATAATACACGGTATTATTTAAATAAATGAATAGATCCCTTTTAGAAGACATTCAGTAGATCCACAGATCCTCCCTCTCCCAAGTGTACACACACACACACACACACACACACAAGTGCATAAATGTCCCAAGTCCACCGATTAGGGAATCTCACACAAAGTCTGGCCATCCACCCAGATTCCTTCTGTAATAAGATTCCTGACAGCCAAAACCTGGTTTATTCCAAGCAGAGATGATGCTACACAGGTGCCATCGAAAGGAACCACCAGGGGGGAGGGGAGGGCCTCCCCTCTGTAGCAGGTGAAGGGCATCTGGAAGCTGGTGCAGCCTGGTTGGACTCCACTGACGCTCCAGTGGCCTGTGCGGATGCTCTCTGTGTGCATGGCTGTGGGCCTGCTTTGGGGATGTCGAACTGAATCTGAGCTCTGCTTCCCTCTTGATAGGGAGAAACCCAGCAGGTGGAACCAGTGTATTCCTCGCTCCCTCCACCATTGCCTCTAAGCATGGCTAATGAGTATATTTGACCTCACATGCTCACCCCAGCAGCTCCACAAACGTCACTCAAGATCCCTCCTGACATCCAAATGCAGGGGGCACCGCATTTTAAGTTAAAAGTTATATCCTCACATATTTCATTTCTCTATTCTCAACAGCAACTTGCTGATCATTCCCAACCCTTCGATGCTGAGCCAAGGGACCCGGGTTGCTGTCTCACCTGAGTAGAATGTGCTGGTTTGACTTTCAGAGCTAGCTCAGGATGTGGATGGCTGCAGGTCTCCATTGCCATGGTGAGACACAGAAGGGGAGCTCATCTGTCTTGCCCAAGGGCTGTGACCAGGGCCAGAGTCATGCACAGGATCAGGGGCAGCAGATGATTGAGGACTTGGTAAAATGGGTTTAAACAAAGGCTGATGGATCCAAAAGGGGGTGGTTGGGGATAAGGAAACAAAATCTCAGAACCCACCTGGGGATTCCCAGCCTAGGGTGTAACTTTAGCCCCGGGGATCTGGCCTCTGGCTTCATTTCTCCGCTGGCTCCAACCCACCATTGCAGCACTATCTCAGCAGGATGTGGGATGCCCTCTCTGCCTTCCTGGAGCACCATCTGACCCAGGGAGGTTCACGGAATCTACTCCAGCTCAGAGCAGGGCTGTGGATCAGGAATCCCTGACCCAAGGCAGAAGCAATGGAGGCAACACCACCAGGGCATGATGCGAGTGGTCCAGGAGTCTCCTTATTCCAAATCTTTCCCGCTGCCCCCTCAAAATGCCTGAGATTCCACCATCAGAGAACCATTCTTTTGATGAGGCCTCTGGCTCTGCCACAATGTGACACTGGGCAACTCTGAACTGCTCTGACCCTCATTTATAAGGTAGGACACTAATACATTCCTCTTTGGGCTGTTTGAAAAGTTAAATGAAGGAATCCATATAGAGTTCCCAGCATAGTTCTTGGCATATGAAAGCTGTTTGACTGGTATTGGTTCTTTACCCCTTCCCTTTAGGTTCTTCAAGTGTCGTGGAGTTCAGAGCTTTTCCAGAAAAGAAGTGGCAGTTTATGGGATATGGGGGAGGGTGTAGGGGAAACAGAGGACAGAAATTAATTCACAGCACAGGCTGTTATTCAAGCAAAGAGGCAGAGAGGGACAAAAGCAGGTAAGAAAGTTCAAGTTAGGAGGAGAGGGGTAGGAAGTTAGCAAGAAAGGATGGAGGGAAACAATTCCACCTACTCTGAGCCAGATCCTGTCCAGGGTGCTGGAGGTAAACAGCTGGCCGGGAATGACTACCTTCCCATAGAACTCCCAGCCTGGCAGCAGGGCTGGGTGGGGAGTGGGCAGATGGGCAAACAGGCCCAGTGAATGTTGGTGGTGAGGGAGGTGAGTGGGCAAGAATAGGACCCTGTGGGAACAGGAGATTCAACCTCATGAATGTTCAGATACCCTCCCTATTACCCAGCAAACTCTCCTCAGTCCATCCCTCCATCAGGGCAGAACAGGACCCTGTGGGAGCAGGAGATTCAACCCCATGAATGTTCAGACACCCTCCCTATTACCCAGCAAATCTCTGTCCATCCTTCCATCAGGGCACTCTCTCTTAGGTCTCACCTGCTCAAAGCCCTCAGTGGTGCTCTGTTGCCTGCAGCCTAGATTCCAAGCAACTTCCAGGGACCCTCAGGACACCCCATGACCAATCCCCTGCCAACCCCTCACTGCACCTCCCCATCCTTTACTGCAGCAGGAGCACTGAGCTGTGCTCTTGCCAGCTCCTGCTCCTGCTGCTGCCTCTGCCTGAGATGCCCTTCCCTGACCCAACCCTTCCACATGCTGACCCTGTGGAATAAGAGCCCAAGAAACAGAATCTACAGTGGTGGGACTGGAAGCCTCAACTCAGATGTCCCCTCTCCCCAGCCTTCCTCTTGGGTCATTTGTTTTTTGGTCAGGACATAAAAGGATATAAACATTAAATTAGAAAAAAATCGCAACAGCTTCTATAAACTACTGAAAGAGTCAACAGAAGCGGGCAGGGGTCCCGGTCGGGGCTGACACGATTCACAATGTGGGAAGGGCAGGTGTGAGGTGGAGCACACCTCTAAGGAGGACTAAGGCTTGCTGAGAGCTCATCTGGGCCAGCCCTGTCTAAAATCTTTAAGTGTGTTGTTTATCCTTGCAGCAACTCAGCAAGGTGGAGACTTTATTATTCCCATTATATGGATGAGGAACTTGAGGAAGAAAAAGGTTAAGCAATTTTCCCAAGGTCATGCAGGTACTGGGGAAGGAGATGAGATTACAACACAGGAAGTCTGACTCCAGAGCCTGTACTCTTGGCCCCACCACATTGAGCATCTCATTATGTCTGGTGCTTCAAATTTTGTCTTTGAGAAGCAGCTGGGTGTAATGGGACAATATTCTATTATTCAACATACAAGTCGTTATTTCATTCATTCCCAACTTATTATTTAGCACCGTGTTCCAGGCTCTGTGAATCTCTGGGGATTCGGTGCTGAGCATGACACATCACAGAGGGCAGACAGGTAGACCCGCAACCCACTCCAGGGCGAGAAAGATCATGATGAGCTGTATAGACAGCCGTGGGAGCTCTGAGAGGAGGCTTTTCAGCCAGACCTGCAGGGTCAGGGTCAGGAAGGGCTTCCCGGGCAGAGAGAGGTCTAAGTTTGACACCTGAAGGATACGCAAGAGTTAATCCAGAGAAGAGAGGGAAGAGTGCTCTAGGTGGAGAGAACAGCAGATGCAAAGGCCAGGAGAGGACACCGTACCTAAGAACCCTAGAAACTCAGAGTGGCTGGGATGATGCAAGGATGCTTACGAGCCACCTAGCCCTGGCACAGACCCTTCTGTCTCTCCTGACCCCGCTGCATCTTCATCCTCCTCATTGTTTCCAGGAATGAGAGCTAACATTTATTGCATGTCTATGATATTCCAGGCATCATACTAAGCTCTTTGCAAAATTATCTCACTAAATCCTCTTAACAACTCCAAGAAGTGAGTACTATTGCCATCTCTATTTTACAGAAGAGGAAACTGACGCACAGAGAGTTAAGTAACTTGCCCAAAGCCACATCACATAGTCAATAAGAATCAGAGTCAGGATCAACCACAGCCATCTCCACCCTCCCATCATTGCAGGTACATATACCTTTCTGGAAGCTCCTGGACTTGAACTCCACGTTTCTGTTGCTTTGTGTGCCCATCTGACATGCTCCTGTCTCACCTGCTGGTTTACTTTGCCCTTCTCTGTCTTTCTGAGGTTCTCCTTGCCCACCCCATGCCAGATCCCCTGCCAGTGAGATGCCCAGGGTGGCTGTGCCCAGTAGGACCTGGCCCCGTCACAGCTGCCCAGGTTCCCTTCCTCCTTGTGTCTGAAGCAGGGTGGAGTAGGGGTGGTTGTCAGTGCAGAGAGCCAGACAAGCCTATTTTGTGTTTTCCTAGCAGGTTTCCTATGGCATCTTTGAATTAATGGGACAGAGATGAAGGAGGCATTTCGGCTACCATCCAAAGCGTCGTCAACCTGCTGAGAAATAGCCCTGCCCCTTCCTCCTACTGTGGGTACCAGTATCCAAGGGCACTACAGGCTCAGTGCTTCCCAAGCCTCTTGTCCAGACTGGCTGGCAGAGCGACTGTGAATGCCAATCCATTTGAGAAACAGACTGGTAACAAGAGACCCTTTCTGGCTTTGTGCAGAGTTCTTAGCCCACAGAGCCTAAATCACTACAAGAAAGGAAAGAGAAGGGAGACAGCAGCCATTTTGTTGCCTTCACTGGAAAAGCTTGTGTGTGTTTTATGTGTGTGTGTGTACTTTTGTGAGCCTGTGTGTCTGGTGGTGAGTGTGACTGGATGTCTCAGACTATGATGCAGGGGTTAAGAGCAGGGACCCCAGAGCCCATCTGCCTGGGTCCAAAGCCCAGCTCTGACTTACTAGCTGTGTGACCTTGGGCAAGTTCTTTAACCTCTCTGAGCTTCAGTTTAGAGCAATGCCAGGCATCTAGCCAGTGCTTTATAAAGATTGACTATTGTTATTTTTGGGGGTTTTAGTGGGTTTCTGTGTCTGTGTAAGTCTGGGTTCTGTGCCCGCTTTAGAGATCTGAGATTCTTGTAGGCAACTTGGTAGATAGAACAAGTGTCCTGGAACCAGGGGAGAGCCTTCACTGTGGACCCTTTCCTGGCCAAGGCAGTGGGCACCAGTGGCCAGAACCCTCAACTCTTATCTGGGGCTGGGACTCTGGAACCTGGCCAGTTACAAAATAAAGATATAAGGAACCTCCTGAGAAGTTTCACAGACTCAGACTATCCCACCTGGCATGGTCCTTAGGGATCATCTTAGAACCCAAATCCCTCTCTCATAAATGGGTAAACTGGAGCCTCAGGACCACTGGCTCCTTCCTTGCTGTTATCTGAGGTAGGTTGCAGGAAGGGTAGCTGTCAGTGCAAAGCACTGGCAGGAATATTTTGTCTTTTCCTAACAGGTTTCCTAGTAGGTCAGGTCTCACAGTGAAACACTGGCTGAATGAAGGAAAGAATCAAGATCTTCTGACTCCCTGGAGAGACAAAGAATGATTCATTCATATACATCCCAAGCACTAACAAGAAAGGGATGACTTGTTCCAGGGCCAGGTACACAGTAAGCACTCAATTAAGACAGTTGTTTTATTTTCTTCGCTTGTGCCTTTGAGGAACTCTCTGTCCACTCAACCATTGCTCCAGTTCCTCCATTCATCCTTCCATCCATCTCATATTTATGAGCACCTACTACGTGTCAGACCGTGGACTAGGTGCTAAGTCCCTGCTCTCTAGAAGATTAGAGTCTAGTAGGGGTGGTAGGCAGTCATCAGAAAGCCCAACAAGTATATGCAAATGCTAATCATTGTTCTCACTGAAGATGATGAAACGAAGGAAAATGGAGAAGGATAATCTGATCTTGTCTCTCTGATAAAGTGGTATTGGAACTCAGATCTGAAGGATGGGGTGGGGAACTTCCAGAAGGAGGGCCTGGCATGTGCAAAGGTCAGGTAGTGGGAGGATACAAGCCTATCTGAAGAACTGAGAGAAAGTAACATGGTGGAGCATGGGAGGGGAGGGAAAAGTTACTTCAGAATAGACCAGGCGAACCAGTCTTATTTGTGGGCCCGTGAGAGATACCCCTGGGGTCTCTTGGGCACACTTCTGTTGGGAGAGAGGAGAAAGTGCAGGGACCCAGTATTGCAGAGGCAGTGGGTGATGTGAGTGCTCCGAAGCTCTTCTGCTCCCCAGATGCAGCCTCTGCTCTGGTTGTTTTGCAGTCCTTACTCCCGGTTGTTTGCAGTTCAACATTCCAGCTATTTGCACTCACTTCCCACTTATTTGCAGGCCTTATCCTCAGGAGTGTGCAGTCACAGCCCCAGCTGTTCATAAGCACTTTCTCAGCTGTTTGCAGCTTCCACCCTCAGCTCTGTATAGTCCCTTCCAGCTGTGTGCAGTTGCCATCCTCGTTATTTGCAATTTTCATCCCCCTTTGGGCATCAGGTAAGGCTTGCTCAAGATTGGTTCTAACAACAAGACTCATTACTAGTAGCTTATAATTGAGTATCTGACTTGTGCTAGGGGCTGTTTTGAGTACTTTTACCTATACTTTCTCATTTGATCGTCATAACAACCCCTTCATTTGTTCATCACGTATTTCCGTCCTACTCTATATCTGGCCCTGGGCCACGCACTGAGTATACAGTAGAGACCAGAACTAGATATGTTGCCACTCTCCTGGAGCTTTCAGTCTCATGAAGGAGACAGGTGCTCATACAGCAATGACACTGCCAAGTATGTAATCATAGAGCCAGACTGGCCCATGAGGGAAGCAAAGGCATTTGGGCTGGACAGGCCATCAGAGGAGAACCCCTGGGACAATGAGTCTGGAGCTGAGAGCTGAGGAATGGGCACAGTGAGGTTCTGCTGGGATGGGGCTGCAGGATAAGAAGCACCCCCAGGTGGAAGGGGTCCCCTGTGCAGATGCTTCAGAGGGAGGGCTGAGAAAGGGCAGAGAGGGCAGTATGGGAGGCCTGTGGAAGTCACACTGGGTGCCCTGATCAGAGTGGCTGTAAGTCTGCTGATTTGTGCCGAGGGCATGGGTGAAGGCAGAGAAGGCAATTTAGAGCTACCATAGCTGTCCAGGTGAGACAAGATGGAACCTCAGGCTAGTGGGTGACAGGACGGTGAAGAAAAGTGGAAAGTGGACAGATGTCAGAAACATTCAGAAGGCAAACAGAAGTGGGTGATGGAGAGATCAGTGGCCAAAATGACTACCAGTTTTCTTGGGGGGCTACTGGATGAACAGACGTTCCATCCTCTGAGCTGGGAGCAACAGAGGAGAACCAGGGCGGGAGGAAGGAGGAGCAAGATCACAGGAGACATTGAGAAACAGACCTTTGCAAAGGGGCTGCACAGTGGCACAGTGCCACAGTGCCCAAGCCCTGGGCTCTGAAGCCAGACTCTGTGCTCCAGTCCTGACCCTCTACCTTCTAGTAGTTTGTCCTTGAGAAAGCCATTTAACCACACCGTGCTTCAGTTTCCTCATTAGCAAACTGTGGAAGGGAGGAGAGAGGTTATCCTGAAGCTTCTTGGACTGGGAGTATTTTAAATGAGTTGATGAATCTATCACAGGCACTGTACGTCCCCAGACTCTAGCTTAGTATGTGGCACATGGTAGGAACTCACTCAATTCATGTTGAATGACTGAATGAATGACGGACCTGTGAAGAGACTCCTGGAATAGGTTATAGGAGACCTGCCAGTTGGTGGAGGAAAGGATATCCCTGGCAGAGGGAGCAGCAGGTGCACAGGCAGAGATGACCGCAAGGGCATGGCACCCTCAAGGCGCTGGATCTACTGTGGCCTTGGTGGAGCACAGGGCACAGGGAGGGCTGGCAAAGATGTGGGTGAAGGGGTAGGCAGAACCCAGCTCGTGAAGGCTTTGTACATCCAAGACATTTGGACCAGACCCTAGGAGTCCAAGGGAGTCTTGAGGGACTCAGAACAAGGGATGGCAGGGCTAGGAGCCCAAGAAGGATGAATTAAAGGGGAGTGAGATGAGGAGGGCAACACTTCTAAGAAGGCAGGGTGTGAGCAGAGACCTGCAGGATCAGGGGAGTGGGGACCCAGCTGTCTACAGATGGGCTGTTACAGGAAGAGCCTGATTGCCAGAGCCTCCCATTGCCAGCCCAGCTTCTCAGACACTCCCTTAGGGGTCTACAGTTATGACAAGGGCCCTCTGCAGAGGGAGACTGGAGGCAGGGAGCTGCTTAGAAGGCAGTGCAACAATCCAGGTGGGAGATGGCTTTTTAAAAAAATATCCGATGATTATTTTTTGAGCACTTAGCAGATGCCAAGAACTTATTTATGGCCTCATGCTCAAGGATGTGGGCAATGCAGCAGGTCTAATCACCTGCCTCTCCCCTCCTTGCCACCTATCTTGGGGCATCTCTCTACTTGGGAACATTTTTCCCTGTGGGAAGTTCTAGCGGGCAAGAAGGGAGGAAAGAACTGACATCAAATCCTTGGAGACTGGTTATGTAGAAAGTAATTTCAAAGAGTCTGCAGGAATATTTGCAGATCTGGTCTGTAATCTGCAAGACTTCCTCTTCTTGGGGACAGACCTGGTTCTCACAGAACGTCTGCTGTCTTAGTCTATCTCTCCCTGTAGCAGAAGGATGTCTCGGTGGTCAAGGCTAAAGTGAGAACTTGTGAAGCTGCAGGTCACAGGCATGCTTTCTCCCCAGCCCATCACCCATCCTACTACCTCTGAGGTCAGGGACATCAGAGGACAGGATCTCTGTAAAGGAGAGAAAGACGTTTTGAGGAAGCTTGTTTCTGTGCATGTATTGGGCAGCCTGCCTCCCTGAAGCTGTTAGCCGAGAGTGAACATTAACATCTCAGGGCAGACGAAAGACTTGCACCATAACCAGGGGTGTTATGAAAAATGGACATAGGCCGGGTGCAGTGGCTCATGCCTGGAATCCCAGCACCAAGGGAGGCCAAGGCAGGTGGATCACCTAAGGTCAGGAGTTAAAGACCAGCCTGACCAACATGGTGAAACCCTGTCTCTACTAAAAATACAAAAAATTAGCTAGGCGTGGTGGCGCATGCCTGTAGTCCCAGCTACTCGGGAGGCTGAGGCAGGAGAATGGCGTGAACCCTGGAGGCGGAGCTTGCAGGGAGCCGAGATCGCGCCACTGCACTCCAGCCTGGGTGACAGAGCGAGACTCTGTCTCCCCCCACCAAAAAAAAAAAAGGACAAAATGGACATAGCTTGGGCCTTCCCTTACTCCTGAGTCAGAATCTCATGGAGGAAGCCAGGGAATCTGCATTTTGACAAGCTCCTCAGTGATCCTGATTTAGACTAAGGCAGTGCTTCTTCAACAGTGTAGAGATCACTTGTGGATCTTGAAAGTGCAACAGGTTCTATTTCACTCGGTGTGGGGTGGGGGCTGAGTTCTGCATTTCTAACAAGCTCTCAGGGGGTGCCCATGCAGCTGCTTCTCAGATCACACTCAAAGCAGCAAGACACTCAAGTGTGAAGCTCTGGTTTCCAAACTTGCTTTTTAAGAAAACAAATCCCTCCCAAAAGAAATCTTGGTCTGGGTGCAGTGGCTCACGCCTGCGCTTTGGGAGGTGGAGGAAGAAGGATTGCAGGAGTTCCAGACCAGCCTGGGCAACATAGCGAGACTCTGTCTTTACAAAAAGTAAAAACATTACCCAGATACGGTGGCATGCATCTTTAGTCCCAACTACTCGGGAGGTTGAGGTGAGAGGATCCCTTGGGTCCAGAAGTTGAAGGCTGCAGTGAGCTGAGATTTTTCCACTGCATTCAAGCTTGGGTGACAGAGTGAGACCCTGTCAAAAGAAAAAGGAAAGGAAAGGGAAAGGGAGAAGGGAGGGAGGGAAGGAGGGAAGGAGGAAGGAAGGAAGGAAGGAAGGAAGGCAGGCAGGCAGGCAGGCAGGCAGGAAGGAAGGAAGGAAATCTCACACAGAACCCCAGAACCCCAGTGTATAAAAGAGGTGATGTTAATATAAAAGTATTGCACAAATGGGTAATGATTGCTTATTATAAAACCTCTCAAAGAAAACAAGGCAGCTTTGATGAAGGCAGACGTGTGGCGTTAACGGTTCCCATTGCTATCGTACATGGACCTCAGAATCCATCATATTCAAGCCAAGTGTGTGCAGTAACGCAATGCCACAGCTTCAAGGCTTCACCAGCAGGTCGATGGAGGGGAAGCTGTCCTGGAGGGATGGAGCCCTGGGCTGTCTCCCTTTCACTATGGAGACTCAAAACTCAGGACTTAGCCTTCCTTCCCCATCCACCCCACCCCTCCCTGGGAAGTAGTCACAGCTAAATTTAGCTGGGAGCTAGGCTTTCTAGGGGAGGCGAGAGTGAGAGGGAAACTGTGAGGAACAATGCCAGGCACACTAATTAGTGGTTTGGCAGCTGGGGAGGACAGGAGGGACTGCGGTGGGCCAGGCCCTGAGGCTGCCCAGGCTCCTCTGGAGGAAGGCAGGACGTAGCCACGTCTGCAGGGCTTGGCAGAGAGGTGGAAGTGGTCCATCTGTTGGGAAGGCATGGGGCTGGCTTGGAGGGTGCTTGTAGGAAAGATCAAGCCAGTGGAGTCGAAACGTACCCGAGTGTGAATCCTGGTGCTGCCACTTGCTCACTGTGTGTCTCTAGGTAAGTTGTTTAACCTCTCTTGGCTTTGGATAAAAAAGGGACACTCAATACTTTAAGGAGGTTAAGTAGGATAATGTATGTGAAAGTCCCTGCTCCCCAGTAGATCTTGTGCCTTTGTTTTCCCTGGCTGGAGGTCAAGGTCCTTGGTGCACTGCCAAGCTTAGTCCTGCTGGTACAAACCTGTGCTCCCTTTCAAGCCTCCAGTCTATAGAGCGGAGGCCTGGAATCTCTTTGATCGCCCCACCCTTAGAGGAATGCATGGGGCCTCAGTCCACTCGCAGGCTGCCAGGGCACAGCGACTCATGTTCTGGTGGAAGGAGCAGTCACTCTCTGCTCTGAGCTGTTTCCCTTGTCCAACCCCTGAGCATCAGTTAGCACCCTGGATGGAGATGCTCCATTAATAAGTCTGACTGCCCCAACCCAGGGAGCTCCTTGAGGGCAGAGGTGGCACCTCATTCACCTTGGCACCACCCCAGTCCAGCCCAATGCCTGCCGCAGAGCTGGCAGCAGCCAGGATTACTAGAATGACAGCAGCCAGTTCCTTTCCTCTTTACATATTTATGCCCAATAATCCCTTCACCTTGAAGCTTTCCACTCAGCTCCGGCTTCTGGGGATACAAGGCTCAGGCCCTTGCAGCAACACCCTCCTACCTCTACTCTCTCAATCCATGTCTTTCTGTACCTCTCCAGCGCTGCTGAAAGCTTGCCTTCTGCAGGAAATCCTCCCTCCTTGGGTAGGCAGGGGAAGGGAAGGGAAGCTAACACGTAACATCCTTGGCATAGCAAGGAGTCCTCACATTGCCCCTAGAAGGGATGTATCCTTGCCATGCCCATTTTACAGCTGAAGAAACTGAGGCTCAGAGAAGCATGAAATCTTGTGACAGAGCGAGTAGGTAGAGCCAGGCATCCAGCCTGGGCCTGCTTGTTCTCAGTGCCCTCCCCAGAGCTGGCTGCCTTCATGCTTCCCTGCCAGGCCATGACTCAGACTGTTCCCTAATCCCAGTTCCTCTCAGAACTTCTGGCCTCTGTCTGTGCTGTATTTGCTAATAGCTTAAAGTCCTTCCAAGTCTGCTCTCCTGGCTTCAACCCCAAGCTGCCACAGTCTCTCAGACAGGGCTCCTGACTAGCTTCTCTTCTCCAAATGGGACACCTGGAGCGTAACTCAGGGCACTGGGCATGAAGGTAAACAGACCTCTGTCAGCATGGACTCCAGGGCTCCTTTCCTCCTCTGTTCTGGGACCAAGGCACGGACATGCAGCCCCTGATTGCAATGTGGCACAGTAGGTGCAAGCATCTGGAGGAGGTGAGAAAGGCAGCATCCTTCTCGTGTGTGTGTGTAAGGCTTGCAGGAGGGGCTGCAGGGTCTGCTGGCTCCAGGTTGCAGGTAGAAGATACTAGCCATGGCCGATGGCACAGCAGGGATGGGGGCTTAGCCAGGCATTGGAACCCCTCTGCCCAGAGGGGCTAAGTTCATCAAGTAGCCAATGAATGCACAGACCTTTATCCCCCAGTAGAAGACAGCCTTGAATGGTAGACTCTGGAGACACACAGGCCTGCATTCAAGTCCTTGTTCTTCCACTACCTAATTCCATAACCTTGGACAATTCCCTTATCTATAAAACAAGTAATGATACCCCCTATGCTATAGGTATGTTAAAGGATATTAGGATCAACTAACATTTACCAATCACATGGTATTACACTATTCTATGTGCTATACACATACCAGATAATTTAATCCGCATAATACCCCAGAAGGTAAATTTATTACTATCAACATTTAGCAGAGGAATATAGAGTTGAGTTGACTTGCCCAAGGTCACCCTGCTCGCAAGTGCTACTGCTAAAGTTTTAACCCAGGGAGTTGGGCATCAGAACTCAATGTCCTAACCAGTATATTAAACATTTAGTAGCACGCCAGGCAAAAGTCTGACACAGAGCAAGTATTTGTTTAGATACCTCCCAGGAGCATCTCTTCCATCTCTGCTGTCAATTATAATTCCTCTGTGGATAAATTGCAAGGCTTGACCTCCCACCCAGATCTCCTTCATGAGCTTCAGACCTTCAAGTGAAATTAAGTCCTAGACATTTCTACCAGGAGCACCTCACCCTTGCCGTGCCTCCAAACAGACTCTTCATCACTTTACCCATGCACTCACCTATTCCAGACCTGCTCTTCCTCCTGTGTCCCCTAAAATCAGTAGCACCACCATGCCCCTGTGTTCAAGTTAGAAACCTGGATCATCCAACATTCTTTCTCCCAGCCCCCACATCTCCACTGCTTTAATTCACACCTGCATCATATCTCACCCGACCTATTGCAACAGTCTCCTAGGATAAACTCTCCTTGTCTCCCATTCCTCACTCCCCCAAATCCAGTAGCTTTAGCCATTCATGGAGCTCTCCTGTCTGCAGAGCAAACACTTCATGTACCAAGTGCATTTAAGACTTTTCTTGAGCTGGCTCCTGCTGAAGCCGTAACTCAGGTCCATTCATTTGTTCATCTCTGTCTCCCCAGAGTCTAGCGCAGTGCCAAGCACACTTACTGGGCTTAATACATACCTTTTAATTAAAGAAATGAATGAAGGAGTGAAATCTGCGAAAGTCACTCCCTGCTGTCAGATGCAGCTTTGTGAGCAGTGGCTGGAGTAGCCAGGACATGGAGGAGACCCGAGTGACATGTGATGGCACATGAGCTCTGCAGAGGGCCCTTGTCACAACTGTAGACCCCTAAGGGAGTGTCTGAGAAGCTGGGCTGGGAATGGGAGGCTCTGGCAATCAGTCTGTCCCCTTAACAGCCCATCTGCAGAGAGCCAGGCCCTCACATCCCCCACCCTGCAGGTCTCTGCTCAAACGCTGTCTTCTTAGAAATGTTGCCCTCTCTGTTTCATTCTGGAATGTCCTGCCACTCTCTGTTTCCTAACCCTATTTTAGTTATCTTTCTAGGGCCAGGTCTACTATTATTATTTTGGGTTAAGTTGTTGTCTCCTGTGGCTAAGCCACGGTCTCCATGAGAGCAGGGACTTGTTCCACTTTATTCAGGACTGATGCCCAGCAATTAAAACAACACCTGACATGTCACAGAAACTCAACAAATACTTGTTGATGGAAAAAAAAAATACTAAGACAAGGAGGGGATGCTGATAGGGAATCAATCATGTTGTATCGGCATCTTATTCAAAATACGATCTGCTAATAGCCTTTTCAACCAATGATGCTAGAACAACTGAATATTCACACAGGGAAAAAATGAACCTCAACTCTCACTTCACCCCATACACAAATATTAACACAAAAGGAATCATACAACTGAGTGTATATACAAGCTAGAACTATAACACTTCCAGAAGAAAACAAGAGAAAACCTTCATGGCTTTGGGACAGGTAAAAATCTCTCTCTCTCTCCATATATATATATATATATATATATATATATATATATATATATATATATATATATATGGATGCATAAACAAATTATAGTATATTAATATATATGAATTATATAGAAATAAAACACACATATATATGTAATCTTATAACTCACTAATAAGACAAATAATTCAATTTAAAAATGGGCAGAAACTTGAATAGATGATTTCCAAATGGTCAATAAACAGGTGAAAAAATGTTTATCCTCATTAGCCATCAGGGAAATGAAAATTAAAACCACAATGAGATACCACCACATACCCATTAGAATGGTTACAATGTAAAAGAATAAAGATACCAAGTTTCAGCAAGGGCATGTCCACCATACATGGCTGATGGGAATGCAAAATGGTATAACTACTTTGGAAAACAGTTGAGCAGTATTTTATGTAAACATACACTTACCACACAACCTAGTAATTTCATTCCTAAGAATTTACCCAGAGGAAATGAAACATATAATCACACAAAGACTTATATTTCAATGTTCATTCACAGCAGGTTTACTTATAATGACCCCAAACCAATGACCCAAACTTTCACCAAAAGGATATTTGGATGGATAAAGAAATTATGGTATATTAATAAAACTGAATAGTTTTCAGCAGTAAAAAAAATGAATGAACTCCTGATACACATGACAACACATGAACTAATCTCATCACTGTTATACTGAAAAAAGTCAGACACAAGAGTATATATTGTATGATTACACTGTACGATTTTGCTATGTGAAACTCTAGGAAAGACAAATCTAATCTGACGTGACAGAAAGCAGATCAGTTACCTGCGGTCAGGGATGGGAGGAGAATGACTAAGAACCGGCACAAAGAAACTTTTGGGGGCGATGGAGATGTTTATGTCTTGATTGTGGTGGTAGCTAGATGGATGCATGAACTTGTGAAAACGCACCAAACTGTACACTCCAAAATGGTGTATTTTATTGTATATTAATTACATATCAATAAGAGTGATTTAAAAAAGACTTTGGGAGGCTGAGGCTGGCAGATCACCTGAGGTCCGGCATTCGAGACCAGCCTGGCCAACATGGCGAAACCCCATCTCTACTACAAATACAAAAAATTAGCCTGGCATGGTGGCCTGCGCCTGTAATCTCAACTACTCAGGAGGCTGAGGCAGGAGAATCACCTGAACCTGGGAGGCGGATGTTGCAGTGAGCTGAGATCGTGCCACTGCACTCCAGCCTGGACGACAAGAGTGAAATTCCATTTCAAAAAAAAATTTAGACTAGGTATCAAAAAAAGTGATAGGATGTAGTAGTAATGTAAGATATGTAGTAGTCAGAAGTCCAAAGATCTATTCATGGGCTGTGAGCTCACTCCTGGAAATGGAGTTAGAACCAATTAAACAGTTATTTAATTGGAATTAATGAGGATTCACCCCATTTAAGGTGATGAGAGTGTTGCACGAAACACATTACTCTCCCCTCACCCCACACTTTCTGCACGTGGAAAGCCCGGTTCTGATAGGCCTATCTCCTCACACTCTTTGCTGCTCTGGGGCTGTCTCTTCCACACCCTGGGGAGAGGCTATGAAGAGGAGAATCAGTCACCCCAAACTCAAGGGACTTGGGAAAAACAATGGGCTCTTCTATCAGACCTATCTTGATCCAAACTTCAGCTCTGCCAAGTCACTTGATCTCTTCGTACCTTACATTCTTAAATCTAAAAATCTAAGACATTTAAACAGTGCCAGCCTTAGGTTGAGGCCAGGGGTGAGCCTACTGAGCTCACCCAGTTACCTCCTACCCTTTCCTGTCTCCTCCAGATTAGGGTTGCCAGATAAAATATACAATCCCAGCTAAATCTGATTTTGGATAAAAATGAATAATGTTTTAGTGTAAGTAAATATT
The DNA here is from genome assembly GCF_000001405.40 of Homo sapiens. NCBI lineage: Eukaryota > Metazoa > Chordata > Mammalia > Primates > Hominidae > Homo > Homo sapiens. Next base: position 33,990,913 of record NC_000001.11, read on the forward strand.
GCATGGGTCATACTTATAATAGAATATCGTATGGGACATATTTATGGTAAAATAGTGTTTGTTATTTATGTGAAAATCAAACTTAACTGGGTGTTTTGGGTTTTTTTTTTTTTCCTCTTTTTTAGAGACAGGGCCTCTGTCTGTTGCCCAGACTGGAGTACAGAGGCATAATCTTAGATCACTGCAGCCTAGAACTCCTGGGCTTAAGCGATCCTCCCAAGTAGCTAGGACTACAGGCACTCCCCACCATGTCTGGTTGATATTTTTCATTTTTTGTAGAGACAGGGTCTTGCTATGTTTTCCCAGCTGGCATGGAACTCCTGGCCTCAAGCAATCCTCCTGCCTCAGCCTCCCAAAGTGCTGGGATTACAGGCATCAGCCACCTCCCATGGCTGTGTCCTGTACTTCCAATTGGAACATCTGGCAACCTGATTCCAGGTGGCTCCTGATACACAGTCCTTGAATCTTTAGGGTTCCAGAGAACACTGAAACCTTTTAGTTTACCGCTGTACATCCTACATGAACTTGAAAGTGTGGGCTAGAAAATCTTGGAAATTCTTCCATCGAAATTGAGAAGAGAAATGGAACAGGTGGAGTAGAACCCAGCAACAGCCATAGTCATAGGTTTCCCTGCCTCAGCCAGCTTTGCAACAGGATCAAAGTCAGCTTACTCCAGGAGTGCATGCAATTAAAAAATCCCCCTGAAAGGGAGCCAAAGGAAGACACGGTCTTGCTGTTCTGCAGAGGAATACTGGATCTGGTGAAACACCACGGGGAGTCAGAAAACAGCTCTAGGCAGAGGGACCTTGGGCAAGTCATTTAAGCTATCTGTCTCTGACTCAATAAAATAGGCCTCAAAACAAACTTAAAATACAAATTACAGAGTAGGAAAAGACAGCCATAACATATATAATGGACAACACAGTGATACCAAGAATATATTAAGTGGTCCAAGTCAATAAAAAAAAAGCAAATACCCAACAGAAAAAAAATGGGCAGGAGATATGAACAGGTAATCCACTTGAAAAAAAAATCACAAACACAAATGGAGGATAAGTATATGAAAAGAGGCACCGTGTTGCTAATCAGGAAAATGCAAATCAAAACAATGAGATAGCATTATTTGACAATCAGATTGGCAGAAATGAAAAAGCCTGATAAAATCTAATGTTGGGAGAGGGTAGGGGAATCAACCCAGGTGGTTAGTGGGAGTGTAAACAAGCTTTGGAGAAGACAGTCTCACAATAACAAAATTACAGCCCACATAGTCTTTGATGCAAAAATTCCACTCCTCACTTTCCATCTGACAGACATTCGTATATAAGCTCATAAAAGTGCATTGATGATGGTACTCATGACAGTACGGCTCACTGAAGCCTCGACCTCCCACCTCAGCCTCCTGGGTAGCTGGGACTATAGGCGTGCGCCACCATGTTCACCAGGCTCACCATGCCCTTCTACTTCTTTGTATTTTTAGTAGAGATGAGGTTTTGCCATGTTGCCCAGGCTGTTCTTGAACTCCTGGGCTCAAGCAATGCACCCACTTCAGCACCTCAGCCTCCCAAAGTGTTGGGATTACAGGCGTGAGTCACTGCACCCAGCCCTAGCATGGCTTTTTTAACAGAGATCACTGGAAGCAACTTCAATGTCCATCAATAAAATGTTAGATAACTCGGCCGGGTGTGGTGGCTCACGCCTGTAATCCCAGCACTTTGGGAGGCTGAGGTGGGCAGATCACGAGGTCAGGAGATCGAGACCATCCTGGCTAGCATGGTGAAACCCTGTCTCTACTAAAAATAAAAATAAAAAAAAAAATTAGCCGGGCGTGGTGGTGGGCGCCTGTGGTTCTGGCTGCTCAGGAGGCTGAGGCAGGAGAATGGTGTGAACCCGGGAGGCAGAGCTTGCAGTGAGCCGTGATCGTGCCACTGCACTCCAGCCTGGGCGACAGAGTGAGACTCCATCTCAAAAAAAAAAAAAAAAAAGTTAGATAACTCATGGCACAGAGATCCATAGATCCACCAGGAAGAATGAATATGAATAGAGAAAGAGCTCTAAAGACATATGACATGAAAAAAAGCAAGTTTCAGAATAGTACATCTTGTATTGTCCCACTTATGTAAAAAAGTATGACTGTGTCTGCATATGTATATGTGTATTGTGTGCACATGTATGTGTCTCTATATATGTATATGTCTGTGTCTATGTATATATCTCTATCTAGATACATTTACAGTGCTGTGAATGTATAGAAAAGAACCTGGAAGGTTACGCATCAATCCATGAACCCTATAAACCTCTGAGAGGGGAAGGCAGGAGAGGGCTGGTGAAGGGGGACCCTCAGTTTGTAGTTTGCATTGTCTGAAAATTTTATAGCAAAATATACTATTAACATTTATTTTTATTATTTAAAAACTTGGTTTACAGAACCACAACAGGTCACACTGGCTCCCTCCCTCACCTTGCTTCTGTCCATCTCATTCCACTAATGCCACTGATTTCCACTTGCCTTTTCTCTCAAGAAGGGCTTCTCTCTTTGGGAGTCCTCGGACTTGTGTTCTCGACCCCATCTCAGCCGCCTCTGCCCACTCTGTGTCTCCTGGGCCCTTCTCTATCAGCAAGTCCACACTTCTACACCCTCAGCCAGCCTCTCCCTCTCTCTCTCGTCACTTCTTTTTTCCTTTGCTACTTCTACCTCCAGCCACCATCTTGCTTTGCTCTCATGACCAATAATATTGAAAGAGAAATGCATTCCTTTGCCTATGTCTCTCATAATTCATAACTCTATACTATCTAGTTTCTATCTATTCCTATCACATTAAGGAAACACTTCCTTGGAAGTCCCCCTCCTGGCTGCCCCACCCAGTTGCTTTCTCTCAAAACTCACTCTCCTAGACCCCCTTGGAAATATTTACCACCACTCTTTTGCTTGTTTGCAGTGGCCTCCCCTGCCCGCACCTTATCTCCATATCCATTCTTCTTTGTACGGCTCAAAGGCTACCCCTTCCAATAAATCTAGCCCTTTCTTTCTAGTAAGTCCAATGTGTCTAGCTTATAACCACCTCTAAATGTGAATGGGTTAAATGAAAAAGGTCACGTTCTGTTAAGAAGGCTTTTGCCCATGGGTGGAGACAATTGTTTGACTCCAGGATGTGTGAATTAGTGAAGGGAGACACTGGAGGGCAATATAACAGTGAGGATACCCTTAAAGGAATCTAGGGGAGAGATAAAAAGATAATTGAGGCAGAGCCAGTAGGGAGATCTGAAAAGGGTGGTTAAATTTGAGGGATTTTTCAGAGGTAGAATAAATAGGACATAATAATCCATTGGATCCAGCGGGGTATGCTTTGGGTTATGGGAGTGGGGTAGGTGAGCGAGAGGAAGAAGGGAGAATGAGTGACAGGCAGGCAAATTTCATTGAGCTGGGAAGGCCTGTCTTCCCCCTGATGAGTCCCCTCTTCCTCCAGAGCTAGCTGAGTGACCACTGCCTCCCACTAGGCCAGCTCTCCCAATCCCACGCTCACAGCACCATGGATGGCCGTTTTCACAGTTGTCTTTTACATATGTTTAGGGGCTCCTTGATTAATGTCTGTCTCCTACTCTCTCCTTTAAGATCCATGAAAGGAAGGATTGTACTTATTTTTGTTTTTCATTATATTTCCAGAGCCCAACTCAGTACCCAGCACATGGTAGATATTCCATAAATATTCATCTTAAAAAAAAGGAATTTAGTTAGTTCTTAGTTAAAATGCCCTTCACCCTAGAACCACTTCCCTAAACCCACTTCTACTTCTCAAACACTGATGGGCCCAGGAATCTAATCTCATTGGCCTCATTCATAGATCAGTTGGTTTACGTAGCTAAGCAGTATTTCCACCGGGCACGGTGGCTCATGTCTGTAATCCCAGCACTTTGGGAGGCCGAGTTGGGTGGATCACGAGGTCAGGAGATCGATACCAGCCTGGCCAACACAGTGAAACCCCATCTCTACTAAAAATACAAAAATTAGCTGGGTGTGGTGGTGCATGTCTGTAATCTCAGCTACTCAGGAGACTGAGGCAGAAGAATCGCTTGAACCAGGAAGTCAGATGTTGCAGTGAGCCAAGATCGCCCCACCGCACTCCAGCCTGGCGACAGAGCAAGACTCCGTCTCAAAAAAAAGAAAAGAAAAAAAAAAAAAAGAAGTGTTTTCCATGAGCTCTCATCAGTCCTGAACCCAATGGGTTCTTTGCAAATGTTTCCAGTGATGAAGAGAAAGAGAAGAAAGGTTCTCCAAGAGTGTAAATTATCCACAAGTGGATCCAGCAAGACTCCAACGAAGTCCACACTTGGACGACTCTGCTGTCTTCGCTTCTCACAAAATGACAAGTCCCAGTTGTATATGCACGTGGGGTCTTTGGCTTTACCAAAGTTGGACTCACCCAAGTTAAGCCCTCAGCTGCAGGACTACGACACTGTCACCATCAGAGGCTGCCAAGTAGATGATTCAACAGGGCCTAGTGGCTTCAGGGCTAAGCTCTGGGACATCGGACCTTGTCTTTTTGGACTCCACTTGTTACCAGCCCAGCAATCTAGGATCAAAAGCCAGTCTGGCCTCCTGCTTCTGGGATATGGTCTCTGCAACCGGCCTCTGGGTCAAGACCCAGGGCTTGTGCAAAACTTCGATTCCTCCAAAGGTCTGAGATCCTGCTCAGCTCTCAGGAGACAGAAAAACATGGCAGCTATCTCACCAGTCCCCACTTCTGAACCACCCCCTCATGAGTTTGTTCAAATTCAGCTTCCAGCTACAGCAGAGCTATGAGAGTTTACCATATCTCTGCTCTCTTTTCACCCAGGAAAGAAATGGACTTATCGCGAATAGGAAAAGCAACACTTTTAAAATTCCAAAGTCCAGTTGTGTTCATATTCAGTAACCGGGAGCAGTGGTTCATCTAGATTTTTCTGTTGATATGCACCTGATGGATATTATTCCCAGGTGTGACTCCAACTATCTTTACTGATGTGCACACCCTGGTGCTGATGCACCCCTCGCTGAGGTCACTTTGTGGGAAATACAATTGACAAGGTAGGGACAAGCAGCCAACTAAAAGAAAATTTGCACAATAGACACAACAAACAAAGAACAAATGTCCTAATATTATTCAGACCTCCTGCAAATTACTGAAAAAAGGAAAAGAAATTCAAATGACCTATGAAAATGGGCAAAGGATATGGACAGAAAATTCACAGCAAAGGAAATATAAATGGCCAATAAACATGAAAAGATGCGCAACCTCACTGGTAATCAGAGCAATATGCAATCACCATGCCCTCTGGCTGGATCTGCCACACTTTCCTTCTGCCCCAATCCTGGACACACAGTGTCCACCAAAATAAAACTCGGAGAGGGATGAAAAAGTGTCAGAGGATGATGACAAGCCATACTCGGTCAAGCTTTGAATCCCTCCGCCCTGGCTTTTCCACGAAAACCTCTTTGCCTACCAGCCTTGGCACAGGTGTGTGGATTCTGCATATATCAGCTGTCAGGGCACAACACGCAGGGAACAAACAGAATGTCTTGGCAGCAAGTCCTACTCATCCTGAAGCTACTGAGAGCTGGGCAGACAAGAGGACTGAGCCAAGCCCTGAGGAAGGAGACCCAGGAGCTTGCATGGACTGGAAGGAAAGGGTTGCTCACTCAAGGGGCCACCCCTCTAGGCAGGCAGCTGGGGCATCCAAAGGACACCACCATCTCTGGACTTGTGTGCCTCTCCTGGAAGATCAAATTAGATAAATCATGGAATCAGTTCTATGAATCAACTTATAGAAAACTGGAACCGATTCTACGAAGCAGAAAAGAAAAAGGAAGGAAGGGAGGAAAGGAAGGAGAAAAGGGCGGGAGGAAGAGGAAGGGGAGGGAGGGAGAGGGGAAAGCAGAGAGAAAGGCAGGAAGGTAAGCAGAAAGGAGAAAAAAGGGACCGGAAGAAGAAAGACAATAATAGATAATATTTATTGCATCTGGCACAGTTCTTTGCACATATTATCTCATTTAACCTGCAGAATAATCCTTTGAGAGAATTATTCTGCACATGCAGAAACTGAAGTTCAAGTCACTTTCTCAAGGTCATACAATGGGTAAGGACCATGTCAGTTCATCACATACTGGGTTTTGTGTTCTCAACCCTCAGGCCACACTGAATCACTCTGACACCCAGCCTCTCTGCAGGGCTCAGACCTAGGCACCAAAGGGGCTATGAAGAAACGAGAGTCGGTTTCCCTGCTCATCGATGCCTTGGAAGCTGCCTGGGCAGGCTGGGCCCAACAGGAAGGACTTGGAGAGCTGCAGAGGCTGGGATCATGTGGCAGATTTGGCCCCAGTGGAATGGCTCAGTGAGAGAAGCCAGGTCATGACTCGGTGTCCAAATATGATTCTCAGTCCAGGTATGTCTCCTGCGGGTCCCTGCGGGTGCCTGCGTGTCCTTAGTAACGGCATTATTATTCTCCTCTTTCTGCATCTGGTCTGATTAATCTAATTTGCACATGTGAATGAGAAGCTGCTCTGATCCATTTAATATGTTGGGACCGCATCCCAGCTCATTTGCATGGTGGGCCTGGCCAACAGAGGTAGCTCCTGTTCCCTGTCTTCCTCCCCTCTCTCAGTCCCACCCTCCCACCAGGCAAATTCTTGCTGAGCAGGCAAACGGTGACCCATGCTGTTGCTTTTAGGTCTTAAAACCCATTAGGAGTATATTAACAAACGTGCTGAGAGCTCATTTGAGTAATAAAAATCTTTTTTTTGTGTGCAGCTAATAAAACAGAAGAAAGAAAAGAGAGAAAGAGAGAGTTGGAGGGGAGAAAGAAGGAGGCCATCTTCCCACCACAGTTAGCTAGGATGAAATGCGAGGATCTGTCTGCATATTTACTGGAACTGGGCTCCTTTGCTTCAGTAATGTGACTAGTGATGGGAGAAAAATGTAGTGGCAATCTAAGGAATGCCTTCTTTTCTCGAAGCCTCTGTCATCAGGGTGCAGTCCAGCAAGATAGGATGGGCATCTCCTCTGCCCCTGAGGTGCAGACCAAGGACCCTGTTATGATTTTGAATATTTGTTGCCTTTACAATTCATGTTGAAATTTAATCCCCAATGTGGCAGTATTGAGAGGTGTGGCCTTCAAAAGGCGATTAGGTCATGAGGCTCTGTCCTCATGAATGGATTAATCCATTCACGGATTAATGGGCTAATGGGTTAATGGATTAATAGGCAAGCATGGGAAAGGAACTGGTGGCTTTATAAGAAAATTAAGAGAGACCTCAGCTAGCACATTAGAATGCTCAGGTCTCTTGCTCTGTGCTGGATGGTGCCCTGCATCTCCTCTGGACTCTGCAGAGTCCCCACCAGCAAAAAAGCCCTCATCAGATGTGGCCCCTAGTCCTTGGATTTCTCAGCCTCCATAACTCAGCCTCCATTCCTTTTTAAATAAATTTCCCAGTTTCAGGTACTCTGTTATAAACAACAGAAAACAGACTAAGATCTCCAGCTCACGTACATGCAAAATGACCAGTCTGTAGTAGGACCAGTTGTGGCTATAGGCCCAGAGGACAGTCACCTTGTCCAGGTGTCCTTCTGTCTGCCCAGCTTCGTTAACTTTGCTGCTTTTCTCACGCAACGCTGCTCAGACTGCAGCCTGCAGATCTGTAGACTCCTAGCCTGGCAGCCCTCAGATCCAGTTCTCTGCTTCTCCCTGTGGCAGCCTCAGCTGGCACAGGTGAAAGAGCCTGGTGTTGTGTCTGGTACATGGAGGACCAGCTACGTAATCAGCATCTAGTACACAATGAAAAGGCAGGGCCCCTGGTTAAAATATGATTATTAATTTCAAGAGGTCAACAGAAGAGCATTAAACCAAGCTCAGGGTTCTTCCCTGAGCAGGGCCCTGTATGACTGCATAGGTCAGATATCTATGAAGCTGGCTCTGGCTACCTGTTAGATACTTAATTATTTGTAGTTGATGTGTGGATGCCCCCAGAGAGTTGATCCTCAACTTAGGAAGTCTAAATATCTGGGTTGCATAAACAGCCCAGGCTCCCGGATTCTGTCCTTAATAAGGACATTGAAGAAGAGGCTTTGGAAGGTCCTCCCCAGGTATGGCCAGCCTCTCTGATGCCTCCTTCTGGTTTGAGTGGCCCCAGATGTTCCACTTTCCCCTAACAGCCCATTAAGGCCCCATAAGCCAAGACTTATCTAAGTCCTTTTGTGTGAATCCAGGAGAAAAGCTGCATAGAAATCCTCTTACAGTTAATCCCTTTGAGAATAGGGGCTAAATCTACAAGACTGCAATGCCAGAGGAGGAGGCAATAAAATTGGAGAGGACGGGCAGTGGGAAGGGTCTTCCCTGAGATGAACAAAGAGGCAGGGCTGTGGCAGGCTGGACAGCTTTGAAACGGATGTCTCAAGGTTGAGCTTGCATCCAGGTGTATGGTAACTAGATACTTTTTAAAAATTTTTTTTTATTTTGCTATTTTTTTGAGATAGGGTCTCATTCTGTCATCCAGGCTGAAGTGCAGTAGCGAGATCATAGCTCACTTACTGCAGCCTTTAACTCCTGGGCTCAAGGGATCCTCTTGCCTCAGCCTCCTGAGTAGTTGGGACCGCATGCATGCACCACCTCACCCAGCTAATTTTTTTTTTTGGTAGACAGGGTCTCATTATATTGCCCAGTCTGGTCTCAAACTCCTGGGCCCAAGTGATCCTCTTGCCACAGTCATTCAAAGTGCTAGGATTACAGATACATAAGCTGCCATGCCTAACCAGAAACTAGATTCTTGGCCCTGGGCAAATCCTTGAACCTCTCTAAGGCTTTTCCCCAGTTCTTTAAAATATGATGAGGATAACTGGACATACACTCCAAGATATTCATCATAGCCTTGTTTATACTCAAAAAAAAGAAGAAGAAAAGGAAATAGCATTAATGTCCTTCAAGAGAGAATTTTAGTAAATGTTACTATATTTGCATAGTGGAATTCTGTATAACTATTAAACAACACTGAAAAGGGAGATTTCTTTTTAAAGATGTCCAGTGAAGGTATTTACATTTTTTAATCTCTCTTGAAATCCACTGACAACAAGAACAAAAATACAGAGGAGTAGAAACTGTATCTTTAGGGAAACAAGGAAATGGGTCTTGACCACAAACCATTAGGCATATTTGCCAAATACTGAGAAACGTGAATCTAAACAAGAAGTGTTGACAGTCTACACAGTAATCCTCAGACCTTCAGCGAAATTTTCTTAAAACAAAGTATCTCAGTCCTCAAAAGGACTTCAATAAACTTTTTGATGAAAGTGACAAGATGTGGGAATGTGGACCAGCCATGGGAGTGTCCCGCGGAAACCTCTTCAGCATTTCAAGCAGGAAGGAATGTGAGGAGACTGAAGGAGAGACCATGTGCCTTTTCACCCGAATGATGGACGGCCCTGTCTCTGTCCTAGAGAGGCTGCAGAGTAAGGCAGTGGACAAATGAGACATCCATCCCCAAACCACCACACGCAGCAGCTTTGGCACAGAGCAAAGAGAAATGCCGGATCTGGTGAGAGGACAAATGGACCACAAAACCATACCGGCAATGCAGAACCGCTCGGTTCATAATCCCCTTTCCCAGGCCCCAGAGTTCTGCACACTATTCTTTGGCAAATATTTGGTCCAACTCAAAAAAAGGGAGAGATAATTAGTAGGGAACTAGCCAGAGAAGTGTCATAGAAATTACAAAATAAACAAACAAAATAAGAAAGGAAGAAATGAATAAAGTAAAAGGCTATGGAACACATAGACCTCAGAGGGAATTGTCAAAGGAAGCAAGATGAATTCAGAAAACCACTGTTGTCTAATCTCAAAGAAATTGCAGAGTTTTTAAAAAGGAATTCAAAGAAAAGTTTCAAGGACCTAAAAGAAAAATTGTAAGATAAGCGAAAACCATGAAAGATGAGCTGGGAAAGAAAAAGAAGTACCACACTGAAAACAGCTAAAACAGGAAGAGAAGAGAGAGGAGGTAGAAGGGGAGGTGGAGGAGGAAAGGGAGTAGAAAGAGGAGGAGGAAGGAGGGGAGAAGGAGAAAGGGGAAGGAGGAAGAAGGGGAGGAGGAAAAAGAGGAGGGAGAGGAGGAGGAGGAAGAGGAGGGAGAGAAAAGAGGAGGAAAAGGAGAAGGAGGAATGAATTAAACATATCTGAAAACTCAACTCATGAACTTGGCAAGCAAACTTGGGAAAATTAAATAAATACATGGAAAAGATCAAATATATAAACATGATTATATGGAAGATCACAGATAGGGAATATTGACAAAAGAAATTCAACATATCCATAGAGAAAAACATACAAAGATATAATCGACAAAAACATCCCTGAAATAGTGAAAGTTGAATTTCAAGATCAAAAGAGCACATGAGGTCTCCAAAAATTTTATATATAGCAATCACCTTAAAGATGTATTCTGGTGAAGATACTACATTTCAAGGGAAAAGAATGAATCATATGGACATCTAGGCAGAAACACCAAGCTAAACAAGAGAGAAATAAGTCTGGTTGGCCTCCAATCAAGCCATTCGAGCTCCGAGGAGAACTGCAGCTTAAGAGGTGTATACTCATTGAAGTTGTCATTTACATATTTAGACAACAGGTGGACATTCACGAGCATGAATTCAGGGAATACAACACCCATGAACCTTTCTTGTAAGAAGTATCTGACAGTGGACTCTGGCAAATGAAGAAATCAATCAAAATACAACACTTGGAATGTAAAATGTATGGCAAGAAAATTGGTGGTGAGTGTTAAATCCTATTAAATATGGAACTAAGATTACACAACCCTGAGGATTGTACAGAATGGAATATAAATGTTATAGATCTTGCCAAATTAAAAAGAATTTAAACCAGGAAAGGGAGTTTATGGAAATAAGAACAAATATACATGCGCTAACCTCCTCCTCTTCAATGCAGGGGTGGTTAATAAATGCTGCAAAAATAATAATAATAAAAAGGATAATAATGACTGCAACTTCTTAACATGCTGTTTGAACTTGGTCTTAGCTTCAGAGGTATATTTGAGGAGCTAATGTCTAATGATCTGAAGTTTAATGATTCCTTCAACCTTTGTTTTTTTTTCCATCTGTCGAATTTAAGTAAAATTTTGAAAAGTAAAAATAAAATGGTGGGTATGTAGCAAGCTCACTTTGTTTTCTTGAAAAATCTGTCTTTCCAGCATTAGCATTAGTTTGTTATCCCTCTAGATAGCTAGATGTCAAGGGTGATGCCCTGAAAACCTTAACAATGCTCTACTTCTGGAATGTTGAATTGTGAGTAGTGATTATAAAATATCTCATATTTATATTCTTACTGTATTGCTTGAATGCTTAAAATAGACATGGGTCATTTTAAAAAATTAAATCATAATTCCTGTTTACAAGCTGACTAGGTGGCTTCTACCAGGAGGCCTTGTCTTGTGACAATGGCAGGGCCTAGTTCTGAAGTTCTGGGTTCAACACTCCCCCAGACTATTACTCTCCTGGTGCCTCAGTTTCTCACCTGTAAAATGGGCACATAATAGTTAATAACAGCTACCTCTGAGGATAGTTGTGGGGTATATGCAAAAAAATTATTATGAGGGGTTGGGGCGACTTAAGTGCTTAATCAATGTTAATATTCAGGGTGGCCACAAAGTCTCGTTGCATGCTAATTAGAAGTGATTTGTATGCTGCCTCCTATTAACCACATAAATTTTAAATTTTCCCATGTTCTTTGGGGAGCCATTGCTGATTGTTTTCAGGCAGAGTTGTTGTGAAACAAATAATTAACAAAAGGCCTAAGCCCACACATGGGGATTTAGTGGCCACTCTGAATTGTTGTATAAGCATTGCCACATAAATATACTCTTGCTACATCTGTTAATGGAAAAGATAAATTAAAAAAAAAATTTAAAGTGGTTTGCAAACAGTATTTGTAATTAAATGGCAATGGGTAATGGGCCCAAGTTTTGTAAAATGAGCCCTGGATCTGCAGTGGGCCAGGAGAGGAAGCCGAAAGCAGGTGCAGCTGCAGGGAGTGGTCAAAGTGGGTCAGGCTCCCTCATTGGATAGCAACCTATTTGCATAAACAGTACCTCTGGGGCTTTGCCCTGAACCAGTAGAGAAGGCCAGGCAAGGTCTAAGCGAGCTCCAAGGGTACTCTCCTGCCTCTTCACACCAACTCCCTCCTTCCTTCTCCAACTCCCATTCCCCTCCCTCCCTCCCATCCATGCCCAAGTCCCAGGTACTTAGGAGCTGGAGGAGTATTATCCCAAAAGCAGTGCTGAAATCTGTTTGAATTACATCTCCTCCTTCCCCTTGAGGTCTTTACAGTGGAATTGGATTAATCTCTGAGAACAAGTGCTCTTGTTTCTTAGTGGAAAAACAGAGAAGCTTTTGATTTCCATGAGATAAGATCCCTCTGTGGTAACATAGTTTTGCGCCTTTCTGTCATTGCTTTTTACAAGGTGACTAATAAATAATCCCCATTACACAAGCACAGCCTGCATCCATCATGCCCAGACTGCAGGCGCTGAGGGATGATCCCTAATGGGTAATAATAATAGCTACCATTTATTGATTGGACGCTGGGTGCCAGGCAATGGGCTAAGCATTCCCATGCATTATCTTCACAGGAGGATGCAGTCTCTCTCTGGCTTCTTCCTTCTTTGCTGGCATGGATTAGGTTGCTCTAAGCCTCTCTGGCTGTTTTGCTTCTTCTCATATCCCCTTGGTGGGGACATGTCCAGAGGCCAACACCCTGGAGGGACTCTACTGCACCATCCAGGCACCACACCCTGCCTCTTCCTCTCCTTGTCCTCTGTCATTCCAATGGTCTAGTCTAGACTGGCCTTTCCTCAAACAGAAGTGGTAAAAGTCAAGTCTCAGATTGAGCTTTAGATGGAAGAAGTCTTGGTCCGAGGCCTTTCAGGCTGATCCAAGAGTGGACAGCTGTTGCTTTTATTTGTCCAGCATTTCTCTTCCCATTGGAGAACTGCCCTGCCCCCATCCCATGTGGCTCTGTGCAGACTCTCAATCAAATCACAATGCCTACCTGCCCTCTAGCCCCAGGAGACCAGCCAATATGACACCCCATCCCTTAGTCCGCTGGGATTTCTCTTGAGGTGTGGCACACAACCTGAGTACAGCCAAAAACACTTCTTCCATGACTTTAGATCTGCAGATGTCTGGGGAAATATAATCTCTCTCTTTCTCTAGGATCATGTGAATCCAAAGCTCCCAGAAGCCATCTTGTTGCCACATAAAAGAGAAAAAACAGGACTGAGAGATGAATGAGGTCCCAGTGACACTGGATCCAGCTGTTCCTGAGGCCACACCCGCCACCCTTTGGATTTCCCTGGAACTTAAGCCAATAGATTCCCTTTCGTGTTAAAATTTATTTGAGTAGGCCTTCTCTCATACAGAAAAATCATGGAAGTAGGCTAAAGACATTCTCATTGGCATCTAGCCAGCTTGCTAGAGCATTTGGAGCCACAGCTTTACCTAGTAATCAAGGTTTTTTTTTGTTTGTTTGTTTTTGTTTTTTGCCAGCGCCATTCTTTGTACATATACTATATTTTCTTGATTCAAGCACGCCATCAATAATAACATGTGTCGTCAATTTAATTAGGGCTTTTTGGGAAAAAGAGAGAAAGAAAAACACAGCATAAACTGCATTTGTTGATAGTAAGATTTGTTTTGATTTCCAAAAGGTTAAACTATTGGTTAGGGTGTAGGAGGGGAGGGAGTACATCTTGCAATTGAGAATATATGAAATCTCCCTAGGGGGCTTTTTAGAACGAGATGGCCTGAGGTAGGGTCCAAGTATTCCTATGGCCTGGTCAAATAGCATCTTAATTCCACCTAATCTATTATTTCCAACTCTCTCCTACATGTAGGAGCTTGATGTTGTTCTGAGAGTGTTCCCCATCTGGCTCTGGACTTGCCAATCCTCACTCGCTCTCCTTCTTCCTCAGCAATTACCTCTTCTCAATCCTTTCTGGGCTGGGCTGAGCCCTGACCTGGGGGTCATTCGACAATTACCCCTGAAGACAATGGGCATGGATGGCTCAGCAGCTGTAGAATCCCCCACCACTTTCCATCAGTGGCTCTTCATGCTGACATGGGAAACCCATGAACAGAGTTCCCATTTAAAGAAAGTGACCTCTCAATAAGAAAGCTAATTAGATACGAGAGAGAGAAATCTTCCCAGAGTAATAGGAAGAGCTCCCAAACCCAAGCACATTCAGCTAGGGAGACCCTCTCTGCCTTGGCCAAGAGGCAGAGGGAGAGTGAAAGACCTACTTCCTGGGCAATGACGGGTCATGTGCTCATTTCTGGCTTAGGCATTTTATGGGTGCATCTGTGATAGTGAAAATACAGACAGTGCTTAGGCTATGGGAGAGGATTAGGTGGGGAGAGAAAAGAGAACTTTTAAATGCTCCTAATATCTCACTTGCCAGGAATCCTCCACTTCCCCTTTGTAGAACCAATCTGTGATTTATTTATGATTAGGTGTAACCCATATGGCTACTGCAGGCTCTACCACGCCCAGGCCTTGAATGTGGTCCTGACTAGGGCAAGGACATCATTAGAAGGTGGAGTCCAAATTAGCCATGTGGCCACAGGCCCAATATTATGAGTCAAGAGGAGCCCATCAAGCTTGAACCTTCCTTGCACTCACCGGTTTGGTATAGTGTCTATGACTGAGTTTCTGCCTCAGTTTCCTTGACTCATGCTATAGGTCTCCTAGCACTGGAACCTTGTCAGATTCTGGTCACCAAGGTTTGGGACACTGCTGAGCTCAAGAGTCTTTCTTCCATGGATGGCTCCTACTCCTCTGATACCTCAGATTTGTATTCTAGCAGAGCCTATGCAGCCTGCTTCCCAGGTATAAGCATCAATCATGCACACTGTTATGATGCTATCCTCTCTGCCATCCAGCAATATGCTCTGTGATGCCTGAGGTCAGAAATGACACAAATAGCACATGTGCCACTATTTTGCTCATCCACCCCCATGCAGACATCACTAATTGATCTCTGCCCTCTTCTCAGTGAATCTAGATGTGGTCTGAACACATGGTTTTTGTCAACCACAACCAATTGACTGATATTGGCAATACAAGACAAAGTCCATTTGCCCTCACTACCATATCCTTCTATCAGTATATACTTGGCCCTCTTAGAACTCCAGCCCATCTTGGTTCATCACTCACTCCATCCTGAATCCCAGCCAAATACAAAGCCAAGGTGCCTCAGTCTAGAGAACCTTTGAGACAGTCCTCCCAGACCTCATCAGGGTCCCTTAGTCCTTAACTCAGAGATTAATATCTTGCCTAGAGGATGGGGATGCTGTACGTTGCACCTGGAGAATTCTGTGTCCCCAAGACCCCACCTACACCTGCTTCTATTATTCCAGGAGCTTCAACCTAGAGCCGCCAATAGATCAACTGCTCCTATTCCACCCCATCCCACCCCAGATCTCATTACCTGACCCTCTCACCACCGTTCACCTCCACACTGTTTCCAGAGGAACTTCTCTAGAGTATAAATAACAGATAAAGATAGGTGAGTAGCCTGGGTTTCCAGAGCCTCAGAAAGAAATTATTCTAGGGCTTATCAAACACTTCATTGTTTTGCAATTGCTGGTTGACAGGTTTGTCTGTCTTACTTGTGAGCTCCTACAAGTCACCAAAAGACTTGGTCCTGTTTATCTTCATTTTTTTTCCATCTAATAACTAGCACAATGCAAGGTGGGATGAATAAGCAAATGAGCCACAGTTCATTCTTGGGTACTAGGCTCAGGAAGTTCATGCTCTCTGCCTTCTCATCCCCTATAAGCCACCAGCCATGTCCAGTGTGGAGTCGTAACTACCCCAAGGTTCCCCAGGTCCAAGACAGTAAAGGCCCCCAAGGAGTATGCAAGTGCTGGTGAGGAAGGTGAGTGTCCCCCAGGGATTCCACTGCCAGACTCTCTCAGGCATGGAAACTGTGACACGCTCCCATCTAGCCATAAAAAATGTTCTCTCCCGGGGCAGAATGCTAGCTCACTGCCTCTGGAGATTCTGCATCTAGTCTGGAAAGAGGCATGCCCTGTGAATGACCAGAGCATCCTGGTGCCCACTTCTGGTGGAACCTAAAAAAGGACCTTTATTTAAGTCGAAGTCCAGAATTGCATCCAAGATGATAAGCAGAGGACTGGCCCGCCTCGACCTGAAGCTCCCTCTCTGTCTCCAGGACTCAGACACCCCTGAGCATCACGCCTGACCTCAGCCTCATGGAAGTGACCTCAGCCTCATGGAAGTGCCCACTCTGGGGAAAGCATACAAGGAGCACTTACTCGGTCCTCTGTGGATGGGAAGCAGGCCAGACCCTGGCCATGGAACAACAAGCTTCTGAGAAACAGGAGTTCTGCTAAGAGTCCTACAGCTGTTGGGATATGGGCAATCCCT
Source organism: Homo sapiens (assembly GCF_000001405.40). Taxonomy (NCBI): domain Eukaryota; kingdom Metazoa; phylum Chordata; class Mammalia; order Primates; family Hominidae; genus Homo; species Homo sapiens. Next base: position 34,007,395 of record NC_000001.11, read on the forward strand.
CAAGATTGGCCTCCTCTGACCCCTGTTGTTGAACCACCTTTTACCCATCCAATTTTAAACTAATTGGTTTAAAATTGTTAATATTCAGTGTTGGGGAGGGAGTGAAGAAATGGGTATGCATTACTGATAAGAACATAAATCTCCCTGGAAAGCAATTTGAAGCCACATACCAAAACTCTTTGAAATGGCCATGCCCTTATAGATTTATTCTAAGGAAATAATCAGATGCATCCCAATGATTTATGTATAGGAATGTTTCACGACAGCATTATCTGTCAAAGGGGAAGAGTAGAAACAATCTAAATTTAAACACAGGGGATTGGCTGAATAATTATAGCAATATAAATAGCATAAATATATATATTTCGAATTTTATGCACTAATATGCACATATATGCCTGGAAGAATAAATTACATATTAATTGTGGTTATATCTAGGGGGTGTGATAATAGTTGATTTTAATTTTCTTCTTTGTGCTCTTGTGAATGTCTCCCATTTTCTTCCATGAACATGTAACACAATCTGTAAAAGCAAGACATGTGGTCTTGAAAAAAGATGAGCATATCCAAGGCTGGCTGTCAAAATGCAGTTTGAGTATAAATTGTTTGACTATTTGAAAAAGCCTGGAGATCTCACTTAAACCAACAAATAATTATGCTTTATGGAGTGCGCAAAACCAAATCAGAATTCTGAAATTTGCTGTCAATTCTCTGCACTCATCTGTCACTGGCTCCAACTCCAAGTGGGCACAGGTGAAAAATAAAACCACAGACGTGCTCCATACTTTACGTTTACCACCCATCTCCCCACAGGTTCCTTCATTTCACCTTCCAAAGTACCCTGTGAAGAAGGCAGAGCAGGTGTCAGGATTCAGCCTATTTTAATGCAGGAAGAAATGAAGGTCCTGAAAGGTTAAATGTCTCATTCATCTTGTCCCCCTAGTGAGCAGCATGGCTGGGACTTTAACATCGGGTTTTCCAACCCCAAATCCCAACTCTTTTAGTTGTACCATGTTGTTTCTTCTCATACAAAGTACTGTGGATGGGCAGAAGCTTCTGTGAGTCAATACAAAGAACTGCTAGGTCTGAGTACTAATAAAAAGATGTAGGTTAAGTCAGTAGACTTGCGCCCATCTGAAGGTGGTCTCTAGTTTTCTGCCTCAGGGCTCTATCATGATGCTGTTCTGTTCAACAGAACTAAGGAGAACAATAGGTTCACGTTCAAAAACTCTTTCTCACCTAAACACACAGATGGGCAGCTTCTAATAAAGTTGGAGCTTTGTAGGAATATAAGTGAAGTCTTACGATATTCATTTATTCATTAATAGCTTTGTATTTATCTGTGTGGTTGCTTGTTTAACATCTCTTCCCCTACTAGGCTGTAAGTTCCATGAGGACAGGGTGTGTGTTGTTCATGACTATATTCCCAGTGCCTCTCAAGTGCTTTGCATACAGTGGGTGCACCATAACTATTTGCTGAATGAATGAATGAATGTTGATTTGACATCTTCACAACCCTTCTCACCTCAGCCTGTTATGGAAGAAATTGAGGATATTTTGGTGTGAGCTCCCCAGCTTTCTTTGCCTACCCCATCCACTTTGCCTACCCCATCCACCCTCTGACACACACACAACACAACACACAACATACCACACAAACTCACCCATCCTTAACCACTTGGAGCCAGCTGCAGAGAATAAGGGGCTCTTCCTCCTTCTCAGGACCCTTTCTCTCTCAGGACTTAGTGATCCTTTTCTCTTTTTTCCAGCAAGCTCCATTGGTTTTTAAACTCACCCTTGTCTCTCCTATGAGAAAAACAAAGCCAAACAAACCCAGAACCCCAGCTGGCCCCACGTCTCCCCTTATCATTTTAATGTCCTATAAGAGGTGACCAGACACCCTTCTCTACTTGCTCACCTCCAATTCTTGCCTCAGCCCCCTGAATTGAGGGTCGGGGGTGGGGGAAGGTGGAAGGGCCTTCCACAGTGAACTCTGCATACTCCAGGGTAGCATCTGAGAGCTGAAGCCAGGAGACACTGTGCCGCCCTGATCTTTCTGGGCCTTTACCCTGCTGACACCACTCCTGGAGCCTCTGACCCCAATATCTGCTCAATCTACTCCCAGCTCTCCTGGGACCTCAGTGATGGTCCCTCCATGTAAGCCTCTTCCTCTGCCTGCCCTGGGTCTCTCCCAAGACTCCCTCGCTAACCACTGCCCTCCCCACTGAAACTGCCTCTCCCTGAGTGATCTCACACCCTCCTGGAGGGTTAACTAGCATATAGTAGCGCTTAACTCCTAAATCCATCAGGAGTTTCTTTCCAAAAACTGCTGACTTCTTGGACATTCTGCACATTCCTTTGCCTTATTGCTTCCTCCTACCCCCACTCCCCCACATTTAATAAAATATTAACTCCTGCTGATTTCACTCCTATGTGACTCAACCCTAGTCTCTCCCCTACATCCCATTCCCATGGCCATTATCCTAGCTCACGTCTCATCATCTCTTATCTGGACCAAGGCAATGTTTTCCTAAGTGGGCTCCCAGCCTCCAGTCTTGCATCCTTGCAATCCATTCTCCCTTCAGCAGCCAGAGTGATCTTTTGAAATGTCTAATTGTGTCACCTCCTTGCTTCTAAGAGCCCTTCAGTGGCTCTCCATTGTCTACAGGACAATGTTCAGATCCTTAATATTCATACAGGTCTGTCTGCTGTAGAGCCTTCCTTGCCTTCTGATACTATTCCCAGAGACTGAATCACATGCAGCTTTCCACCACTCTATGTGGGCCTTGGCCTCCAGTCTTTGCTCAGTCTTTCCTCTTTCTGTCTGGAATCCCTTCCTCTCCACTTCTTCATCCTTCCCTTAGTTCACTGACCCTCTTCCTGTAAGACTCAGCCACAGTGGTGCCACCTCCAGGAAGCAGGGCCTGTAAGGGAGTTATCATCCACAACCCTCTACCATACTGGATTATAAGGATAATCCATCATCTACGAGCATTTAAAATGTGCCACATAGTTTACCTGCATTCTCCTGTTATGTCCTTTTAACAGTAACTCTGTAAGGTAAGTTCTATTGTTAGTCTCATTTTATAAACATGGAAGCTGAGGCTTAGAGAGGTTCAGTGACTGGCCCGAGGTCACAAAGGGTGTAACCAATGGAGCTGGACCCGAATCCAGGTTGATCGTCAGCAGGGCCTGCCACACTGACTCTCTTGATTTTTTTTTTCTTTTTTTTCTTTTTTTTTGTGACGGAGTCTCGCTCTGTAACCCAGGTTGGAGTGCAGTGGCACGATCTCGGCTCACTGCAAGCTCCGCCTCCCAGGTTCACGCCATTCTCCTGCCTCAGCCTCCTGAGTAGCTGGGACTACAGGCGCCTGCCACCACGCTAGGCTAATTTTTTGTATTTTTAGTAGAGACGAGGTTTCACCGTGTTAGCCTCGGTGAAGGATGGTCTCGATCTCCTGACCTCGTGATCTGCCCGCCTCGGCCTCCCAGAGTGCTGGGATTAGAGGCATGAGCCACCGCGCCTGGCCAGTGATTTGTTTTTGAGCTTCCTTCTGCCTTGGGAAGGCCTAGCCACCTTCTTTTCATCCTTTAGGTCTTTACTTCCTCTAGGAGGCCTTCCCTAACCCATTCACCTTAAGTCTGGCTTGGATGCCCTTCCATTTCACTCCCATGGTCCCGTGTCAACCCCTTCACAGCCTTGGTCACTGTGTTTTGACTACTGGTCTAGCCCCAAGCTGGGCTGGGGGCTCCAGGAGGTCTCAGGGAGAGGCTGCCTGTGCTCATGAGTGAATCCCCACTGCCTGGCACTGTGCTAGTAATTCCTGATCAGATTACTACATGCTTCCCTTCTTTTTCCCACCAGAGGCTGAGCCCCAGTCTAATAACTCTTTCTAATAACTTCTACATATAAAGGTGGGTTGGGGTGGACTGCTATCAAAACTGACAAAAGTCCGGAAATCAGTTTGGTAAACTGGCAAAGGAGTCCCATTTCCATTTGCTCTGAGGTGAGGTAAACGTTGCAGTGTTTCCATCAAGATGGGAAACAGAAACGAAGAGAGGCTATGAGCACGTGCCTAAGAGAGTCCATTCTTTCCCCACCCTAGTTCCCGGGGCCTCTCCACCAGTTTTGTTTATAGCTCATGTCCAATAGTGAGTGAAAAGCCTATAAGTGTATTCTTTTTTTTAATTTTTAATTTTTGTTGAGTACATAGGTGTATATATTCATGGGGTACATGAGATGTTTTGATACAGGCATGCAATGGGTGATAATCACATCATGAAGAATGGGGTATCCATCCCCTCAGGCATGTATCCTTTGTGTTACAAACAATCCAATTATACTGTTTCAGTTATTTTAAAGCATAAATTAAATGATTATTGACTATAGTTACCCTGTTGGGGTATCAAATAGTAGGTCTTATTCATGATAATGATTTTTTCAACCCATTAATCATCCTCCCCTCCTCCCTCCCCACTCACAACCCTTCCCAGCCTCTGGTAACCCATAAGCACGTTCTGAGTGACGAGATGAGTTAAATGAAAAGGAGTAATTTGGACATCAAGGCACCTGAGTGATAGAACCAGGTCTGCTACTGACAGTGAGACTATAAACATCGCTTTGAGTGGCTAGAAGCCGTTTCCTCATCTGAAAAACTGGGAATTTGGGCTGAATGGTTCACAGTTTTCTTCCAGTTTTAAGTCTATCAGGAACTGTCTTGTGGCCCCACAGCCTCTCCGATTCCACCATCTATGCCTCTCTCCCCACCCATCCCCACGAGCCACCCAGGACTCCTTGCTCCTCCAGCAGATCAGGCCCACCTCAGAGCCTTGCCCTTGCTCTTCCCGCTGCCGGGACACTCTTCTCCCAGGCTTCAGTCCTTCACCTCTTTCACCTCTTCACACAAATACCACCTTCTCAAGGTCTTCCCAAACTGCCCATCTAAAATGGTCATCCCTCCACCCCAGATCCGTCTTATCCTCCTCTGTTTCTTAATTTGCTTTGCACATCAACATGTACATACTACACAATTTTCTCTTTTAACTTGTCTATTTTTTTTTTCTTTTTTGAGAGTCTTGCTTTGTCACCCAGGCTGGAGTACAATGGCGTGATCTTGGCTCGCTGCGACCTCTGCCTCCCAGGTTCAAGTGATTCTCCTGCCTCAACCTCCTGAGTAGCTGTGACTACAGGCATGCACCACCACGCCCGGCTAATGTTTGTAATTTTATTAAAGACAGGATTTCATCATGTAGCTTGTCTATTATCTGCTCCATATACTAGAATGTAAGCTCCATAAGGACAGAGAATTTTTATCTGTTTTATTCACTGCTCTGAGCCTAGAATTTCAAATTATGCCTGGCACACAGTAGTAAGTACACAATAAATATATGTTGAATGAATAAAAGATTATCCTTCAAACACACACAGTCACATAAACAAAGCCAGTGAAATATAACCAAGTCCCATACAGCTTCCTTCAACATAGCTGCCAGGGCCTGGGCACAAAGGGGATACATTTGCCTCTCCAGGCTTGTCTGCATTTTGTTTTCCTGGGGTTCCCATCTGCAATGGGCCAGCAAAGCTTCCTTTTTGTGAACCAACGATTAGCCTTTAGGAAGAAGCCCAACACTAAGCCCAAGCCACAGATTGATTAATTGTTCTCTAGGTGTGAACGCTAGCAAGCTGGCTGAGCGTTATGGCCATCGACAAAGGCACTGAGATGGGAGCTGAGGGCAGTTCAGCCTTCCGGGGAGGGCTGCTTTGAAAGCAGACGTTGCAGTTTCCTTTCAAGTATTATCAGTCATCATCGTGCCATTATGGAGTTTTCAATCCATCGTTCCCTGGGCAATAGGTGCCTGCCAGGCAGAGATGAGCTTCTGTGCTCTGTGCCATGGGCGAGCCTTTGTCTGCGCTGCCATCTGCTCCCTGGCACCCATGCACACACACGACCTGCCTCTCTCCCTCAGAGGGGCATCCTCTTGACAACACAGTCCTTCTTGCTTCTCTCAGGACCGCGGGGTAGAACCCACCAGCTCTCCTGAGACCCCAAATCCCTCCACTCAGCCAACATGTGCTGAGCTCCTGCTGGGAGCTGGGCACCTGCTTCAGGGAGATAAGTAGGGAGCTGGGAAGCCCTTCGGGGCAGGGGCTAGGTCTCCTTTGCCAGGGGCGGTACTGTTCTTGGTTCCCAGCTCTCTACAGCCTGATCTGCCCCTTCTTAGACCTCTGGAAGGAGCTGACACTACAACTGCTGCAAGAACCAGAAACAGACATAACTGTTTTCCAGGTCCACACCTGGGGAAAAAAAGGGGCAAAGGGCACTCTCTGAATACCACAGGCAAAGGCAGCCTTGGGGAGTAAAGAGAATCCCTCTTTTCTGTCTCTGCTCCCTTGCGAGGTCATCTCATCTGACCTCATGGCTTTCAATACAATCTACACGCTAAGGATGCTCCAACTTACATGGGCAGATAGGTTCTCTCCATCCAGCTGCCTACCCACCAGTTCCTCCCATATTCCTGGCAGGCTTCTCACACCTAACAGTCTGAACTGAGCTCCTGATCTCCGCACCCCAAACCTGCTCTTCCTATGGGCTTTGCCACCTCAGTTAAGGGCAGCTCCATACTGCCCGTTGATCCCCCCAAACCCTGGGAGCTAACCTTGGCTCCTCTCCAGCACCCACTTCTAATCTGCCAGCCAGTTCTATTAGCTCCACCTTCAAACTGTCTGGAAGATGCCCACTTCTCTCCGCCTTCACCGTTGCGGCTCTCACCCAGAGCGCCCCCTGGCTTCTCACCTGCATTGCTGCATTAGACTCCGGGCCAGTCTCCCTGTTCCCACTCTGCACTCCTTCAGCATATTCTCAGCACAGCAGCTGGTTAAAGCTAGGTCAGACCAGGTCAGCTTCTGCTCAGAACCTGCCCATGGGTCCTGATAAACTCAGTAGAAGCCAAGTTCTTCCCATAATGTAAAGGCTGTGTGTGACCTGGTCCCTTGTCTCCAACTTTATCTCTTCCTACCACTCGTCTCCCTCACTCTGCTCCAGGAGCACTGGTTGCATCTCTGTTCTCCAGATATGCCAGGGGAACTCTCACCTTGAGAGGTCAGAAGTGCTGCTGGCTCAGAGCCTGGGAATTCCCCAGTAGGCCATGGTGTGGAATCCACAGTCGCTCTAGTGTGATCTTTTCCTGGAGCCTAGGCAAGCGACCACTGTGCCCTAAGCGCTCAGCTCTCCAGCAGTTGTCACAGTTGTCTGATTTTTTATCTGTCTCCTCCACTAGACCATGATTGCCCAAGGGCAAGGGCTGGTGCTACCCATGTGGGTTTTTCCAGGCCTTGTTCAGAAGAGGTATTCAAGGCATATGAATGGATGGATGGGTAGATGAACAACAGCAACAACAAAACACCTAGGTTTGCATAACCTTTATAGTGTTTGAGGACATTTCCTCCTGTTTGTTCTTGGTTGGACAATGAGAAACAAAGATACTCTCTGTACCAAGAAGCCTCAGCCAGAAGCCAACCAGTCCATGTGTGCCTCTAAGCAGGGTCTGTGCTTTTCCCCAAGACAGCTGGGTGTGCAGCACAGGAAAGAAAATATGTATTCTCCCTGGCTTATGAAGGGTGGAGCTGCTAAAACTACAGTCTTCCAGGCATATTTCTCAAGAAAAGAAGGAAGTCCTCCTGTATCTTACCCCTCATTTGAGACGGACACAGAAGCTTTAGGAGAAGTGTCCCATGACCATACTAGCTGGAGCCCCCAGAACCCAGGTGCATGTACCCACATTCTTTTCCTGCTGAAAATTCTTTTCCTTCCCAGGGCAAAATGGGATCTTGGAGGGGAAGCACACTCGACCTCACTGGGCATGGCTGTATGTGAGCTCTGCTGTTATCTCATTATGCTCATACCCCTATTTTACAGTTGAGAAAACTGAGCCTCAGAGATATTACAGAGCATTCCACAGTGAGTGGTAGATTAACCCAAGAACTCTATGATTCCAAAGTGTAGGCTTATCCTATTGTCCCAGCAGTGTCCTTTCTCTTCCCTGCCTCCAGAAGTGGGTGGGAGACTAGCTAGGTGAGAGGCATGAGGAGCCACCATGGCACTGGGTCTAGGCTTACTTGGGCCTGGGGAAAGCTAATGCCTGGGTAAAGCACCCATCCCTTCCCAGGCACTCTGCAGATTCCTGGATCACAAAGGGCTGTAGGGGTTCCAGAGATGCTGGAGCTCTGGTACAACAGGAGGGCCACAGGCCTGGATCCCTGCAGTCTTATTGTTCATGGCATCTGAGAGGCAGGGCCTAGACCAATACTAGGGATTAGAAAGCACTTTGGAATCAAAGTCAATGGAATGAGTGGATAAGGAGTTGCTGATTTAAAGTATTATAGATCCATTGGATTAGCGACTCCTAGATTTGTCATGGATTTTAGAAAGCATCTAGAGCAAGCCCCTATGCAGTTCAGCCAAGCTTCTCACACGAATAAATCTTCAGCAGGAAAAGAATGTGGGTGCATGCACCTGGGACATGGGGCTCAAGAAAGTATGGCCAGCCACCAGAAGGATATCTCTGAAATCTCCTCCTCTATCTTTTGAAAGATGCCCATTTACACTGGACTCCTTGCTCTGTGTGTGTGTGTGTGTGTGTGTGTGTGTGTATGTGTGTATTTAGTTTATGTGCATGAATATTTTATTTATATACATATATTTAGTTAAGATTTATAGTTTATCATTTTATTTATAGAGAAACATATACGTTTTTAAATTTTACTTTAAGTTCTGGGATACATGTTCTGAATGTGCAGGTTTGTTACACAGGTATACATGTGCCATGGTGGTTTGCTGCACCTATCAACCCGTCATCTAGGTTTTAAGCCCCTCATGCATTAGGTATTTGTCCTAATGCTCTCCCTTCCCTTTCCCCCCACCCCCAATAGGCCCTAGAGTGTGATGTTTGCCTCCCTGTGTCCATGTATTGTCACTGTTCAACTCCCACTTATGAGTGAGAACATGCGGTGTTGGTTTTCTGTTCCTCTGTTAGTTTGCTGAGGATGATGGATTCCAGCTTCATCCATGTCCCTGCTAAGGACATGAACTCATTCTTTTTCACGGCTGCATAGTATTCCATGGTGTATATGTGGAAGACAGTGTGGCGATTCCTCAAGGATCTAGAACCAGAAACACCATTTGACCCAGCAATCCCATTACTGAGTATATACCCAAAGGATTATAAATCATTCTGCTATAAAGATACATGGACATGTATGTTTATTGCAGCACTATTTACAATAGCAAAGACTTGGAACCAACCCAAATGCCCATCAGTGATAGACTGCATAAAGAAACATATTTTTAAAATATATATTTGGTTGAAATATATGTATTTAGTTTACTATTTGATATAGATAGATAGATAGACAGATAGAATGATTGTATGTATATTTGCTTTACGATAAGATTAGAAAACGTGCCACATTTAGCTTGTAGGCTTTGGTGCTCCCATCATGCAACCCTCAGGGCTATATTGTATTTCACAGTTTTTTTTCACATATAAACAATTCAGAAATTAGAATGAGTATTACAACCAAGGGTACGTGATCGTTTAACTGGCACTGTTTTCTTTCTTAGTGGTGCATAAAATAATGGTACATCTTACAGTCAATAGAATGTCAACTTTGATAAAATCCAGTATATATGCCAGTTTGGAAAGTATGTTAACAGAATCCTTGGCAGAGCTTGATCAATCAAAGCCTTGCTTGATCACCTCCAGAAATGAGGAACTCATTACATCACAAGGCAGCCTACTCCAATTTAGGGTAATTAAAGCTATATAAAACAACTTCTTGATTCTTGGCTGAAATTCACCTACTTTTAACATCTTTCCATTGGACATTGTTCTACTCCCTGCAGCAATGCAGAACGAATCCTTATTTGTCTTCTGTGAGAGAAACTCTCTTGTCACTTCCAGATCTTCTCCTTAACTATTCTTTGTTTCATAGTTACTTGTCTCATTAATTTCTCCCAAATACCTACTTAGTTTTGGGTCTTGTGCTAGAGATACAATCCATGACCCTCAAAAACATCTTGTGGCCAGGCACAGTGGCTCATGCCTGTAATCCCAGCATTTTGGGAGGCTGAGATGGAAGGATCATTTGAGCCCAGGTGTTTGAGACCAGCCTGAGCAACATAGCAAGATACCATCTCTACAGAAATTTAGCCGAGTATAGTGGTGCACACCTGTAGTTCCAGCTACTCAGTAGTCTGAGGCAGGAGGATTACTTAAACCCAGGAGGTCAAGGCTACAGTGAGCCATGATCACACTATAGCACTCCAGCCTGGGTGACAGAGTAAGGCCTTATCTCCGTAAAACAAAACAAAACACCTTGCTACTGATCAATGCTTTATTACATGAATTTCCTTCTTCTGAATGCATCCACCCTCCAAGATCCAGAGTCTATATTTCCATTAATAGAGCCATGTGACATTTGATTCATGTTATGTTCATAGCCAACTGACACCTCCACATAGCTTTCACACAAGCCAGGACTTCACTGATGTTGGTTTGAGTGTTAGTTTACTCTGATTTTGGTTTTTCTCCCATTTGCTATTTATCACACAAACAACACTTGAGTAGCCATAAAGAGGAACTTAAAAAAAAATTCACCCACATCTCACTGCCTGCCCACGTCAACTGTTTCTTTTTTTATTTCCATCCAGTCCCTGTTCATATAAGACCTACTTTACATGTTTGTAATAAATATGAAGAATCCATTTTGCATTCTGGTTTTTTCACAGAAAATAATATCATAAACATCTTTCTGTATTGCCAAATAATGCTATTATACTTTTAAATGACTGCATAAATCTATTAGGTAGATCTACCATAATTTGCCTGGCCATGCCCCTACTGTTGGACATTTTTACAGTTTCCAATTTTTCATCATTATAAATAATGCTGAAATCAACACTTTCATGCATATAACTTTCTTCTTCTGTTGAATTATTTCCTTAGGATATATTCCCAGGAGGGGAATTACTGGGTCAAATGACATGAGCATTTTATGACTCTTGATACATACTGTCAAGCTGGATTTCCAAAGGACTAATTTACATCAGCACCAGCCATGTGCGAGTGTGTCTGTGTCTTTGCCACCACTCCAGCACTGCATCATACCCACCGAAGTTCTTCAGCCTAATTTAATAGGGATAAAGTGCCATTTCATTGTCTTAATTGACATTACACTGATAACTATCAGGACCAGGTAGTGCTGCTATGTATTTATTTGCTGACTCTATTTCCTCTGGTGTGAACTCCTTGATACCTTTCTTACCACTTTGTATGGGTTCATTATACAATGCAGAGGTTAACCCTTTGTTGCCACATTTGGTAGAATATTATTCAAGTCAGTTGTTTCTCTTCCCATTTTACATGATTTTTATTGTGCAGAACTTTTACATTTGAATATAGTCTGATCACTAATCTTTTCCTTTTGTTAGATTTTTTAAAGTACAAAGCTTGACACTGCTCCCTATTATAGTGGAATATTTAATTTGGATCCAATAGTCGCAACTATGTGAAATTATTTTATTCCTTTTTGTAGACTGAAGTCAAACTGTCTGGATTCAAACCCACACTTTACCTCTTACTAGCTGTGTGACCTCAAGCAAGTTACTTAACTTTCAGTGCCTCATCTGTAAAATGGAGATAATAATAGGGCCTACCTCAAAGGACTGCTTGAGAATTAAATGTTAAAATGTAAGGCACTTAGAAGAGTGCCTGGCACCTGGTAAGAGCCCCAGCAATGCTAGCTTTCATTATCATCCTGACGATCATCATCACCCAATGCATTTGCTATGTCTCCCTGCCCTGACTCCTCTGCATAATTTCCCAGTATGATCTCTAGGGCTCCACCCACATCACTCACAACTGGAGACCCCAGCACTTGAACATTCATCTATTCAGCAAGACTCTTCAGGTGAGCTTGTTCAATCAGTTACAGTCACATCTGAATGTCAGCAGAACAGACAGAAATATCACAAACAACTGTGTAAGCAATTGTGAAGGCTAAGCTGCTCCACGTAGAGGGCATTCCTTCTATTCCAGCAGTGTAAATGTCCATCCATAAAGGCAATGTAGGGAGTGAGCCCTGGGCTTGGTCTCCCCTTGTCCTGGCACCATCCTCAGTGCTGGTGAAGGTTCAGAAACATTCTATGCTCGACAGTGGTCCCTGCTTTGCCTCCTGTGACTGGTTTCCTTCCCCGCAGTCTGCCCCTGCTCTCCCCAATGTCTCTAAAGCATAAATCTCACGGAGCCACTTCCCTGCCTAAGACCCTTCAGCGATGGTCCCCTTCTTGTGAGTAAGGCCCGAACTCCTTCCTGTGGCCTCCTAGGTCCTACATGAGCTATTCCCTGTCCCTCAAGCCAGTTCAGCTCCGGCCACACCCCTGCCCTCATACTCCACAACTGCCCTTCTTGCAGTTGCTCAAATGCCTTTGCTCTTTCTTCTGGTCTTTGATTCCATTCATTCACCAAATATTTACTGAGTACCTAACATGTGACAGGACCTGTCCTAGGAGCTGAGGAATCAGCACAGAACAATAGTAATGCAAAACAACACAAAGCTCCTGACCCCAGGAAGCTCACATTCTTGCAGAGAAGGACAATAAGCAAATAAATAAACAGTCATAGCATATGTCAGGAGGTGCTAGGGAGTGATGGGTAACAGGTGCTGTGTTATATACAGTGTGGTCAGAAAAGGCTTCTCAATAAGAAGACACATGAGCACAGAGCTGAATGGAACCAGGGAGAGGGCTTTGGGGCCACTGGGTACAGGCAAGGGGAACAGAATGTATGGAGGCCCTGAGGCTCAAATGTGTTTCACCTGCCCTGTCCCCTCCACTTCCCAAGATTAGCTCCTGGTCAAGTAATTCATTACCAAGCCCAGTCTGTTTACTCTGCAAATATAGCTGGATAAAGGTCTTGAGGGATAACAGGAAGCGGAGAGCTGGAAGGAAGGATGACAGAGCTGGGAAGCAAAGCCACTGTCCATGAGACGGGTCTCAGGCAGCAACAACGCCCTGAGCAAGGCCAGGGCTGGGGACCACAGGCTCAAGGAGATGCCCCAGCGTCATGCTGCTGGCCCACCCGACTCTCCCAGGCCTCTCCTGCTGTGGGGTAGGGGTAGGCGAGTGGGGCAGGCCTGGAGAACTGTGCAGGGCTTATTTTCAGCAGGAACACGGTGGAGAGTGTGGGCTTTGGAACCAGACTGATTTTTAAATTGTGCATGACCTTTAGGTCCTGGTTCACCTCAGGCAAGGTAACTCACCTCTCTAGGCCTCAACTTCCTTATCTGTAAAATGGGGATCCTAAGGCCTTGCTCACGAGGTGGTTATGTGTCGGTTGTTGTCTATAAAGCCCCCACCCCTGCATTGCTGAGCATGTCGAAGGTGCTCGACAAGTGCCAGTTCCTTTGTTGTCTTCATCTCAGAGGCCCTGGGCTATGGACCCTGCAGCTTGTATGAGGATAAAGGACTGTGAAACAACTCCTATCATGTAACGGCATCCACAGGGGAAGGACAGGGATGCCATCTGTCCACCGCCAAATCTCCAAATCAGAATCTCCTACCTAATGCGGTAAGTGCTTTTCTCTCCTGCTGTTAAAATGAAATATCAGTGGGTTCAACTCTCAGTTATTCACATTAATGAAGGAAAAGGTAGAAAGAATAATCCAAAACAGTGGTTAATCACTCCTGAGTTATTCATTAATGGCAAGAGGTGGGACTGAAATATTCAATTTGACACTTCTGTTTGGAAGTGTTCTCTCCCCACTGATGCTGGGCTCATGGGTTGGGAAATAAGTCACCCCAAGGAAGAGGTGGCAGAAAGGCATGCATCCCCTAAACCTCTAGGGCTGGGGTCAGTGGAGGAAGCTCCAACAGGGTCACCTGACCCAAGGGCACAGGAAGGAGACAGATATGCATGTCCAGCTACGGTCCCTACCAGAGCAGCAGTTGAAGGACAACCCTCTCCCCTTCTATCCACACGGGAGAAATCACATCCAGGTCCCCACCCAGTGGTTCTTCGGTACCAAGGGATCCATCCTGGGAGGGGCTGGGAGTGGGCTGGCAGTGGTCCTGAGCTAGCCATGTTTGGGGGTCTCTGGGCCCCCCTGCCTTGAGCACGGTTATGGGAGGCAGGGTCAAGCCTGGGGCACCCTGCTGCTTCCCGTGAAAAGGGTGTTTATCAGCTAAAGACCTGTGCTAATAAGTGTTAAATAGAGTTCAATGCAGAAAATTGAGAAGTAATGAGACTTGGAGCCAAGAGAATAAATTAACAGGTGATCACATGGTAAAGAGTCCCCACCTGAATGCTGAAAAGGAGGAATCCTGACCATCAGAGAGCTCTGGGTCAGAGAACAGGTTGGAATGATAAGTACACCTCAACTGAGGCTAAGGGGTGGTTAGGAGCAATTAAGCAGTTACCATATTTCATCGGTTCTAGGGTGCAAGCTTTTCCATATTTTAATATCTCTGAAATTAGGATGTGTCTTATAGTCAATGGCATGTCACACTTTAATTGGCAGCATTTTTTTCTTTCTTAATGGTACATCAACTAAAGCTGGATCTTACGACTGGGGGCATCTTAGAGTCAAAGAAATATGGTATCAGGTACCTTGAGCCTAAATCTCTTTTCTTGCCTGGGCCTTTCACATGGGGCAAGACGATCATTTATCCATTCACTTGTTTAATCGGTATTTATTGAGCACCTACTATGTGTCTGACCCTGGGCTAGGCACAACTGTGAAGAGTGATCCTAATAGCTTACACATCCACTTAGTGAGTGTTTATTCTATGCCAGGCATTATTAGGAGCACTTGATGTGTTACCCCATTTCTTCCCTACAACAATCCCATGGAGTAGGGTTTATTATTCTTATTGTCCTCCTATGATAAGGGGTCAGAGGAGGTTAAGTGACTTGCTCAAAGTCACATGCTGGCTACTATCTGGACGAGTTGGGAGTCAAGTCTTCCTTTAGACCCTGAGCTCTGACTTCAGTGCTCTATTGAGCGTTCTTCCTGTCCAGAAGCACACACAAGAGTAGAGAAGGTAAACAAGGAACAGAAAATACACGAGTGATGCACATGATAGAAGGAGAAGTGCAGGGAGCCAAGAGGTAATAGAATAGGGCTGTTGTACACAGGGGCAGCCTCTTGGATTTAGTTTAGGCAGAGAACAGAAGAGAAGAGTTGGGTGGTAGTGGTGAGGTGGTTCAGGAGAGGGGACTCAGTGTGTTTGAAAGACAAGTGGGAAGACAGAGTATGGTGCATCTGAGAACTGGAAGGGGATGGAGGTAGGGCTCATGCCGGAGGTTTTGATGGCCAGGTAAGGAGTCTGGACTCCATCCTGGAAGCAATTAAATGGTTGGGGATTTCCATTGTTGTTGTTGGTTTGGTTTGTTTGTTTGAGACAGAATCTTGTTCTGTTGCCCAGGCTGGAGTGCAGTGGCGCAATCACAGCTCACTCCAGCCTCAACCCCCTGGGCTCTAGTGATCCTCCTGCCTGAGCCTCCTGAACAGGTAGGGCTACGGGTACATACCACCATGCCTAGCTAATTTTCTTTTTAATATTTTGTAGAGATGGAGTTTTGCTATGTTACCCAGGCTGGTCTCAAACTCCTGTCCTCAAATGATCCTCTGGCCTTGGCCTCCCAAAGTACTAGGATTACAGGTGTAAGCCACCACACTCGAAGGATTTAAAGGGCTAAACCCTTTAACCCAATTAAAGGGTTTCAAGTGAAAGCTCTCTGAGATCTTTGCTCCCAAGCATCCAATGAATCTCTGAATCTTTTGTTGGATAGTGAATGACCACAGACTCCCAAGAGGACGGTTCTGAAGTAAAGCTCCAAAACCTTCAAGTTGTTCAAGTTGAGTACTGCGAAAGTATGCCCAGGCAGAGGGGTGATAAGGATTAGAACCCAGCCTATACGCTATCCACTGAGCCATATGCTCACAGGACAGGGTCTTCTCAGAGTAGCCACTTTTGTGTTGTACAAAAGCCTTATATAGACTAGTAGGGATCCAGGTCAGGAGATGCAAGCAATAGCTACCATTGCAGGACTCCTACTGTGTGGCAGGCCCTAGACTAAGGTATCATGGTGGCAGAGAAAACAAAAAAGTAAGTGATAGTTCTTGCCCTCGGAGAGCCACAAGATTTGACCAAAGGTTTTGTCAGGGGAAAGAATTGGGTTTTTTTCACTCCCATAAAACCCACCATGCCTTGTTATATTAGCTTCCTTTTACTGAGTGCCTACTATGTGCCAAATGTCACCCTAGATTCTTTCTAGACCTTGTCATTCATGCTCACAGTCCTCTTGAAATGGAGAGAAAATTACCCCATTTTTCATAGGAGGAGTCTGAGAGGTGTAGTTCCTTATCTAAGGGCATACACTGGGGATATGGCAGAGCTCAAACTTGATCTCCAGAAACCTAACCGGGCATGAGAGCAATTTTCTCCACGTGGTAGACGAATTGGTTGTTTTTGAATAGCATCTCTGTGCCAGGCACTTGTCACGCACTGACTCTTTAATCCTCATTACAACCTATTAAAGTGGGCATTATAGTTTCTGTTTTGCAAAAAAATCATTTCAGGGAGGTTGGGAGACTTGCCCAAGGTCTCACAGCCAGCCTGAGGGAAAGCTAGGGTTTGGATCCACATCTCCTGTCTCCTGGGCTTATGCCCTTACTTCTCTCCCAACATTTTTAGGTTTCAGAGCTCCTTGAATGTAGGGGCCACTTCTTATTCTTTCTTGTATCCTCAAAGCCTACTTTGGGACTGATATATAGCAGGTGTTCAGTAAATATTTGTTGAATGAATGAAGAATGAATGAATGGGGACAGAGAAGTGAAGCAGAGGTACACTGTATCTGCAAGCAGGCAGCTGCGTGAGAATGCTCCTTCCTCCTCATCACTGTTTCTCCTGACACCCTGACAGGAAGACGGTCATGGCACTAGAGTTTGGCATAATATCATCTTAAAGCTATGTTAATACTCTTCCCCAAAGGGGTAAAATATTACTATGCATGATGAACTATTTGTGGGATTATTGAGGACGTGATATGAAAATCATCCTGATTCTCCACTTATTGAGAAGTGCTGCCCAATTTGTCTCAAATGTCACGTCTCTATGTATTAATTTGCTACTCCACAGTACTGATTAAAATGAATGTTCTCCAACTCCCAAGGCAGAGCCATCGGAAATGGAACAGGTTCACTCAGGAAGCACACACCATCCCTCCTGAGCGGAGGAAATGGACATCTATCACCTCCCTCCCTGGAGGAGGGCATTGGCCTGCTGTTCTGCTGTTCTGGCCTGGAGTGGCTTAAATGCTGCAAATTGCATATTCAGTGTATGTCTATCTATATATATGTGATCAAATGGCTTCCATTAGCCCAATTTTGAGATGTCTGCATCATGTCCCAGAATTGGGGAACTCTTTTGGAATGAGGAAATTGTCTGAGAGGCTGAGGCCGAGAGAGAGAATCAGCAGGTCTAATTACAGGAAAAAACAAAACCAGGAAAGGCCCATTTCTCCCATGTACTTGCTTCCAATTCCATCTCTGGACCCCAATTTATCTGCGTGCACAGTGGCATGATCACCTCCAACCCTACTCCCACCTCCAAACATCACAGAAGCACACTGTGTTCTGAGGCTTGCTCCTAACCTGCGTCTCCTGGAACAGCAAAACGGGCAGCTCTGGCTCCATCTGTCCATCCCTCACAGATGAGTCTGTCTACCCTGTTGCAACACGCTGTGGTCCTTATACAGAGATGATATTACCGATCTTCCATTGGTAGCAAAAGCATACCAGGGTTTTGTCTTTTTTTTTCCAGAAGTGACACTAAGTGGAGCATGTCTTCTTTCTCCCTGCTCCCCTTTGGGAGGGGAGATAGACTAGGGAGAGAGCACAAATCGTGACAATGAAAATGAAGCTTGGATGAAAGTCAAGGACTGCACACAATATGTGCCCAGTAAATATTAGCTCAATGAACGAAGAAATCTCTACCATCAACTTAATGTGTGAGGTCAACCTCTCTGGGCTGTTTTTTTAGGTGAACTAGGGGATCGGGGTGGCCACAGGGCATCTGTAAACTCCCTGTGAATCTTATGGAAGAGTTGTATTTGTGTGAGTACGTGTACATGCATGTATGTGTGTGTGTCACAGTTTTCAAATCCATGACCTCAAAAGCCTAGGGCCTATTTGACTTCTTACTAGGACCCTTAGCTCTAAAGCCAACATCTCTGATACAAAGAGAAGAGGCCATGAACAGACTAAGTTCCTGGTTTGGCCTCATTAGCTCCCATCCACCAAGTGACAAAACCTGAGACTTCATCCCTATCCAATGGACACAGGCTCAAGCAGTGCCAGAGGCTCATGAATATGAAGAACACTCTGCTTCTTCCCTCCAAAAGCCACCGTCTGGCTGTAAAGCTAGACACACCACGAACAGCTGGATTAAGGATTTTATGCAAACTCTGGAGCCAGGGTACTGGGGTGGGGCTGGGATTGTGAACTATGAAGTTGACATATTCCTTCCATCCCCTGAAATAATCCCAGTCAAGTAAGGTTAGGATGAGAGTGACTTAATTAATTAGCTGACATTTATCAAGCGCTGACAATTTGCCAGGTCCCATACTGAGCACATCTTGTGACTTGTGCATTCTCTTCCTTAATCCTCACAACAGCTCTAAGAAGTATTATTCTTATCCTGATTTTATAGGCACAGAGGCTGGAGCTCAATGAAATGACATAACTTGTCCAAGGTCAACCAGCAAGTGAGTGGCAAGATAGGATTTGATTCCAGGTGTCTGAATTCAGAACCTGAGATCTTAATTCTTGTACTATGCCACCTTTCCCCTTATGGTTACCAAGGAGTCCACAAAAAATAAGGGAAAATAAGGGTACCTCATCCTTCTAAGATTCTTCATAGAGATCATTAGTGGAATAGAACAGGTCTGATTTTTAAGGAAGCCTATAGTTTGATAGTGAGATGTCCAGATCACAGTTAGACTTAGCTAAACAAAGAAATACCTGTTTTGAGAGCTAGAGTATTAAGTAGATCTAACAGACTGAGACCCGACACTCAGAGATGGGCTCTCCTTCACAAAAGTGTCAGAGTGCACGAGATCCATGCTGCTAAAATGCAGAGGTGCAACCAGGATTAAGCACTAAAAACCTGCAGAGACTCTTCCCTCATTGGCATTTCTGATCTGCCCATCACGCTCGCTTACCTGGCGATCAGTCTGGAATAATCGGAAACAATCTCATGCAACAGTTGGGAGTTGTGTGTGGGGAAGGTGGGAAGTCTGGGGCTAGGGTGAGAAAAAAATGACCAAATGGCAGGAAGACTGGAAACATCAGATAGAGACACACTGGGGGTAGAGTGGGGAAGATGCAGGCTTCCATGAACTCGGAGTGACACATGGCAAGCATCAGAGAGCCAAAGACAGAAAGGGAGACACAGAAACCAAGATCAACACATCTGGGTTCCAGGAGGATTTAAAAATAAACAGTAAAATAAAACTAAAAGAATAAGGTGAGCCTTTAAATGAACATTTATCTAATCTTCACACAGAAGAAGCCTCTCCAAGCATGGCACCAAAAATAGATAGCATAAAGGAAAAATTAAAAAATTAAAATGTAAAATGAGTGGCATAAAAATGAAAACTGCTGTACCTCTAAAGGAAACCCATTACATTAATATCCTTAATATGCAAAAAGCACTTACAAAGAAGATAAGAAAAATTCTAACACCCCCATGGAAGAGTAGGCAGAGACCAAGAGAGAGGATTTATACAATTATCAGTACATGGCCAGTAAGTGATGACAGGTGCTTCACCTTACCTACAATCAAAGAGATGCCAATTATCGCAACAAATGGGATGTCATTTTCCACCCATTTTAATCCATGAAACTGACTTGTAACACTGGCAAGGTGGGAGGAATGGGCTCAGGCCTGCTTGTGTACTGTTGGTAGAAGTGTGCGTTCGTATAACCTTTCTGAAGACACGATGGAATTATGTATAAAATGGAAAATCTACATACTCTTTGACCCAGCAATTGCACTTCCAAGAATTTATTCTAAGAAGATAATTAGATGAGGGCTTAAATTGTATGTACAAGGATGTTCTTCACCTAAATGTCCACAGAAGATGACTGGTTAGATAACTATGGTATATGCAAACCACAATGGCTTCCTCAGTGATGTTCATTAGAAAGACAAATCAGGGCTACTTTTATTAACACAGAAAAACGTTGGCTTCATTAACCAGATTACAGAATTGCACAGATAGCATAATCCCAAGTGCACACGGATCCACACCTGTGTGCATATGTGTGTGAGCAGATAGATGTCTAAATGTATATTCATTGGAATGGCAGAACTGAGGCTAGACCTGGGCAGACAGCCCTACATGGGCAGACAGCCCTACATGGGCAGAGCAGGACATGGGCAGACATGGGAGTCAGGAGGAGGAGGAGGAGGTAAGTGGGGCGAGGGCTCCTGGGGCCTATTTTCAGACTCTTTGCTGAAAATGGGATTGTCAGTTCTAGCAACTGAAAATGCAGGATGCTCAGTTATATTTAAATTTCAGGCCCAGTGTGGTGGCTCATGCTTGTAATCCTAGCACTTTGGGAGGTCGAGGCAGGCAGATCGCTCCAGCTCTGGAATTCGAGACCAGCCTGGGAAACATGGTGAAACCCTATCTTTACCAAAAATACAAAGAAATTAGCCGGCTGTGGTGGCGCGTGTCTGCGGTCCCAGCTACTTCAGGGGCTGAGGCAGGAGGCTGAACCCAGGAGGTCGAGGCTGCAGTGAGCTGAGATCGTGCCACTGGACTGAAGCCTGGAGGAAAAAGTGAGGCCCTATCTCAAAAAACTAAATAAATAAAATAAAATAAGTATATTTGGGGTATACTTACACTAAACATTATTCCCACTTCAAAAATTTGAATAATTTAAAATTCAGATTAACTGAGTGCCCTGTATTTTATCTGGTGACCCTAGCTGAGAAGCTCAGGAACACATCTCTTGTTGCCTCCATGGATGACCCACACCAGCCTGGAAGTTCCCACATCCTCCCCTGCCTCTGGCTTATCTCCAGTTTACCTGCCTGTGAAATGGAGTCACTAGCCTCTGCCTTACTCAAAGAGTTTTGCAGAAAAGCCACGTTAAAATTCCTGGCCATCAGGCCCTAAGCTGCACACAAAACTTCCCTGAGGCTCAGCATGTACTTCTGTAAGATGGATAGCAATGTCTGTCCACAGGGTTGTGGTGGGGGATTAAATGAGATAATGTATGTAAAGTGCCTGGCATACAGTCGGTGCTTAATACAGGTTGATCCCCTTCCCTCCCGTCCAGCTGCTGCGGCCCACGCTCTTGCCCCCGGGGATTACAAACCAAGCACCTTCTGTCATCTCAGGGTTTGACTACCGGCCTTTTTGATCTTTTCCTTGCGGCGGCAGCAGCCGTGGGCTGACACTCATCACCTGACTTCACCTTTCTCCAAAATCCCTAGCAGCAGTTCAGTTCCTTATCTATACTTTTCACATTCTGGATGAGGGTGGAGGAGGATCAAACTCGCTTTGATAGCAGACATTTGGGGATGTCAGCCAAGAGGAGCTACCAAGAGCAGGGCCCTGATGCCATTTTGAAACGGACACAACAACATCATGAATAGCGAATATAAGGAAACCATCCTGACTGGGGGCAGCCTAGGCTGGAAGTGGGGGCCTCTTCTTTGAAGCCTGTCTGTCATTCTCCCTGCTTGCCACCCAGCACAAATGTCCAAGGGGACTCTGCAATGGAGGAAGGGGGCTGAGCTCCTTCCCTGAGAGCCAAATCTTCATAAATTCCTTTTGACTAGTGAATCTCCCCTCCTCCACCCCACAATGAGGCTCAGAGAGCTTAAAAATCTGCCCAAGGTCACCCAGTGAGTCAGGTACAGGTTCAACCCGATTCAGTTGCCTGTTGAATAAGCTCAACGATAGACATCCCAGGGCATATATCAGGTAGGTATGCTCACAGCTGTGGCTGACCCTACTCATGCCTCCCACCTTCCATCCTTGTCCATCCACTGTGGGTGTTCCAAAAGTAAGTGCAACTCACATTTGTCCAGATGCATGAATTGCCACATAGCCCAGTCCCAAATCAAATTAATGAGCTTCAGTGATAGCCACAGCCTTGGCTTATGGGTGTCTGACTCCTTTGTTAGCACAGACACCTGTGACCCACTTTACCATGCAGTACAAAACAGCCAGCCACACATCCTGCGTAGTTTGCAGAAACCCTGCAACAGGTGACTGCATAGAGACTCGCTCGGCTACAGCAATCTGTTAGCATTGGTCTAGCCTTTGCAGGGGCCTTGCCTACAAGGCTTTATTTCCTTAGTGCCAATGACTTAGACACCTGACATCATTATGTGGCTGAGGTGAAATAGGCTGTTCCTTCTGCCCTGTGAGTCTTGCTGTGGAATGTTGAGCATTCTCATGCCTGGACTGCCTCACCTGTGCCAGGCAGGTGGGAGGAGGGATCCACTGGCCTCTAATTTATCCCTAATGTTTTGCAATCTCTTTTGAATCACCGGCCTCTTTGTGAATCCGATGAAAGCTCCAGCTCAGCTCTGTCCAGTAAAATTTTCTGCAATGATGGAAATATTCTGTATCTGGGCTGTTCTACATGGCAGACAAGCCACATGTGGTTGCTGAACATTTGACACAAGGCTAGTGTGACTAAGAAACTGAATTTTAAATTCTATTCAATTTTAGTTAATTTAAATGTAAATAGCCATATGTGGCTGATGGCTACTGTATTGGACAATACAGCTGCAGACCAGGGGTAAGTAAATTTTTTCTGTAAAGGGTCAAAAAGTAAGTATCTCATTGGCTTTGCATAGGGTCTCTGTCACAATAGCTCAACTCTGCAGTTGTAGTGCATGAAGACAGCCACCAAACACATGTCAACGAATGGGCATGGCTGTGTTCCAATAAAACTTTATTTACAAAAACAACCTTCTGGCTAGATTTGGCCAGGGGGATCTGAGTTCTCTAATGCCTGCTGTATATTCTCCCTAGAAAAAGATATACCCACCCTCAGAATTTTTGTCTCTAATGTCATGGAGTTTACAGACCTCCTGTTGCCCAACTACAGACCCTGCTCATGATTTCCAGGTGACAGTGTCTGTTTTCACGGGACTCTGAATGTGCCCTCAGATCTGCTCTGCTTAATGAGAAGTGCTTGTGCCCCTAACAGGGCAGTGTGGGCAGGGACACCTTTTTCCTCAAGCCTCAGGGAAGCCAGGGCCTCAAAGATCGACCAGGACTGAGAAATGAGGGCACCATGAGAGCCTAGGGCCCGGCCAGTTCCCCCATGTGTCAGTCACTCCCAGCATCTTTGCTGGCACCTCTTCTAGTGTCCCTGACCCAGTCTCCCTTTTCCTGGCCCCGGGTCCCAAGTGCAGTCAATGTCCCCAAGGCCAACCTATTGTGGAAGGAGCTAATGGCCAGACAGACTTTAGGAAGCTTCTGAAGAGGCTTCTCCTAGTGAGGAGCTTGTTGCTCAAACTTGGAGAGAATTACTTTGGATTCAGGGCCAGGTTGAAGGAATAAATAGGATGACAAAAATCACAGGCTTGATATTGGTAGGAACTTTTTTTTTTTTTTTTGAGACAGAGTCTCATTCTGTCACCCAGGCTGGAGTGCAGTGCCATCTCCCAGGTTCAAGCAGTTTTTGTGCCTCAGCCTCCCAAGTAGCTGGGATTACAGGTGTGTAACACCATGCCCGGCTAATTTTTGTATTTTCAGTAGAGACGGGATTTTGTCCTGTTGCCCAGGATGGTCTCAAACTCCTGGCCTCAAGTGATTCACTCGCCTCGTCCTCCCAAAGTGCTGGGATTACAAGTGTTAGCCACCACACCCGGCTGAGATCTGATCATTTTTTAAAAAGAAATTAGGCTATTTCAGGAATCCTCACTTTAAGGACAGGTCAGTCTTTGTCAGGAGCCCTCAGTTAAGGTAAAATAGAGTTATGTCAGAAGCCCTCAGCAAAAGACAGGTGGAACTTTCTCAGGAGCCTTCTCAGCAACCTTTAGTTAAAAATAACTGAAGCCTTCCCAGGAGCCCCCAGTTGCTCAGGTTAAAGCATCAAACCATCTCCCCTATACCCCCTGCCACCAGGGGTGGTTTTTTGCTAAGGAGGCAGAACTTGTCCTCTTTATGCATTACACCCCTGGCCAAGACAGGGAGTGTCTGTTTCTGTATTGCTATAGCTTCTTCATTGAAGAAAGCATCGCTTACTCTTTAAGTTCTTAAACAAAGGCAAAGGCAAAAAAAAAAAAAAAAAAAAAAAGCTTTTGGATATCTGGCGTGCTTTACTAGGGTATTATGTCATTACTGTTATTAATTATCATTAACAGTCTTAAAATATGCCTATTAATGATCTTAACACAAAATAACAGTGCAGGTCTTAGCCAAGAGTGGCATAATTACCTATTAATGAGATGTAAATTTCCCAGGGAAATGACAGAGATCTAGAAGTACCACCTTCTGAACATAATAAAGTTAATAATAATAATAGTGTATAATCTGAAGATATTAGTGTTAATTTGAATTCTAACACCATATTTAAACAGACTGAGAGAAGTACAAATTATTTGCATAGCACAAACCAAAAGCCCCTAATCCATGCTATTAAGGAAAAATCGATTGTTCTTCTCTGAATGATATAAAACTGACTCTTGGCAGTCATTGTATGGTGTTTTCAGTTGCTTATTTTATTTCTTTTACTTAGGGTTTATATGTCTTTTATTTTCAAAAACAACCTGAGGTACCTTATACAATGAAGCCCAATATAAAACAGAATTAAAAAAATAAAAACACAACAAAACCCAGTTAAAGGGGACAGAGAAGTAGATGTTACCAGGCCCTCAGGATAAACTACTGCACATGAGCTTTGATTTCAATTCTCAGTTTCCTGGGAACCAAGAGGGACAATTTAAGTAACTGAGTTACTGGTTAGTAACCAGCCTTGTCAGGACAGGCGCAAGCTCTGGGTCTGAAGAACACTTCCCTGCATCTGTGAGCAATGCAGTCCTGCTTGTGGCTATTAGGACATCACATCTCCGGCTCCTGTGGCCGATGAGGGAGGCACTTACCTTCATAGGTGGCGTGGAAGCCTTGGGCACTGACTGCATAGTCGCTGATGAGGCGCAGAGAGAGGGTGGTGGCTGCACTAACAATGGTGGCTGGCAGCTGAAAGCCTGTGAGCCTGAAAGACAAAGAATTGGATTAGGGAGAATGACCCCCTTGGGAAACTACACATCCACGAAGCATTTATTGAGTGCCTGCTGGATACACAGTGCTGATCTAGGCACACAGAGGGTGTTCAAAGACAAAGTGATTCTCAGCAGAGGTGATGAAAACCAGCAGGCTTCTGCCCCAGAAACATGAGGAAGTGACTCCGCCAAAGCCATGGTCTAATCCCCAACCTGGAGGCTTGCCTGCTTCCTTTGTGTTTCCTCTTTTCTCCTTTTCTGATTTCTTTTCCTGTCTCCTCTCTTTCTGGCTGAGGTCCTGTGAGGCTCTGGGTATAATTCCCCATGAGTTTACAACTAACAATTGCCAGTAGACAATATTTATTCACATAGTAAGGGAAATAGAGCCAACTCTAAGTAGAAGAATGAGCATGCTTCTTATCATAGACTTTATTCTTTCAAAGGAATGTCTACTGCTTTTATAGAAATAAGTGCCTATTAGTTTTTAAAGAAAGCAAAAAATAAAAAACCAACACAATCTAGAAATAATTATTCCTGACAGTTGACATACAAAGAGATGGTGGGATCAATAGATGGAATCATATTCAATGAAATAATTTCATACAAATGGGATCAAACTGTGCGTGCTATTAAAATTAAAATGTTTAAATTTTCTTTCTGGAATTTAACTGAATAAAAGGAAACAGGTGTGAAGCTAAAGGAATTGTTGAACCTGAAATAATATGCTTTTAGCACAAGATAATCATTTTTAAAGATTCCTCTAAGGGAAAAAGATACCACTGAACACTTGGGAATACATTTAGGAAAGACCTTGTCCACTGCTGGGCATCCATGCCTGGTGACCCTCACAGGGACCTGATTGTGCACACAGGTCATAGTGAGGTGGCCAGTCTCCTACACACCTTTGTCCTTAACCCCCTCTAAGCCTCAGCCTGCCTTACCACACCCAGGTAGGAATCTAGGAGGAATTTCAAGGTTTAACTTTGTCCCCATTTTTAGGTAATTTGAAATATCCGTGGTTCTCCTGGGTGCCGCTGTATACCTCCCACTGCTATACAATATCTTGATGCCCAGGATATCCACTGAAGGGCATGAGTATCGGGCTCAGATGAGTTAAACCAGATATTTGTTAACAGACACTGTGAAAACCCTTATGCTAGATGAAGCCCTTGCCCTTCCCACCATCCTAACCTTGTGGGATTCATGTTAACTCAGAATAGACTCAAGAAAAAGCAAAGAAAAAATTATCAAATTATGCAGCAGGCAACCAAATAAGTTTCAAGGGCATCTTCTCTTCAAATATAAACACATCCAGCAAAAGATCCCTACCTCACCCCATATTCATATACTCTCTCTCATCAAAAATGTATACATAAAATAATGAAATCATACATATTATAAGGAAACAAACTTTGTTTAATCATCTTATGCTGGGGAAAGGCCTCCTAAGCAAGACACGCAGAGGACTCTCTTTGCACCTATTTGCCCTGTCAGTCTTCCATGGGAGCTGTCCATGGCATGGAGTTCTGATGGTACTCCACCTACCCACTAGCCACAGAGCTAGGTAAATGATCAATCGCGACATACTAGCCCTCATTTTTATGGACGGATTCAGGGTATGGGGAAGAGGGAAGAGACCATACCACCCAAGCAGAGTCATTCCGAGTCCTTCTATGGGATATAATATACAGACTCTGAAAGCCTTTTATTTTTGGACCTTAAACTACTACAATATAAGCTTGAGACTCCCAGCAGCCTTTTTATCATCACACAGAGACTATCTGCTTTAGAGAAAATGATATCGCCAGATAGATATAAATAAAAGCTGAGCAGTGGCAAGAGAAGAGAAACAGAACCCTGATGATGTATTTTTCAGATCCTTAATCCATGCAGCGAGATTTATCTCTTCAATGCCCAGTTACATAAGCTAACATTCTTTCTTTACTTTCTTTTTTTCTTAAACTAGCTTGACTTGGTTTTCTATCTCTTGAAATTGAGTGCTAATGGATACAACATAAAACCCCAGAGGCCTTAAAGGAAAATATTGATTAATAACTACATGAAAATTAAAAGCATGTATGTGTGACAAAAAACTGTAAAAGATAATGAGAAAAGTGCAACCTGAAAGGTTACGAATATGTGACAGGAGGAGGATTCGTATTTATAACCTAGAAAAAGTTCTTACAAATCAGTAAGAAAACGGTAAACAGGAGGAAAAGAGCAAAAGATACAATACAAATTAATGATCCACCTAATTAATATAAAAATGTGAAAACTGAAACCCCAAGACTCATTTTTCACCTATCTAGAGTTGGCAAGGGCTAAGGAAAACAGATCCTGCACTTAACAACATGATAATAAGGAAATACTACAAATTACACACATGCATTTCACACATTAAATGAAATGGGCACAAACTTGAAAAGCACAAACTACCGTAAGTTTCCCAATATGAAACAGATCACTTGAATAGCCCTATAACTATTAAGGAGATTGAATTAGTAATTTTAAAACTCCCAAAAAAGAAATATCTAGGCCTAGATGATTTCACTAGAGAATTCTACCAAACATATAAAGAAGAATTAACACCAATTCTACTCTAATCTCTTCCAGAAAAGAAGAACAAACATTTCCAAACTCATATTATGAGGCCAGTATTACTCTGGTACCAAGCCAAAGACAATACAAATAAAGAAAAATGAAGATCAATATTTCACATGCATACAAACACAAAAACCTTAACAAAATATTGGCAAGGAGAATTCAGCAATATATAAAAATATTTTTACACCATAACCAAGTGGGGTTGTGTCTAAAGATGCAAGGCTGGTTCAACATTTGAAAAATCAATCAGTGTAATCTACCATATTAACAGGTTAAAGGTAGAAAAATCACATGACCACATCAACTAATGCAGAAAAAGTATTTGACACATTTCAACACCCGTTTGTAGTTAAACGAAAAAAAAAAATTCAGAAACCTACAAATAGAGGGTAAGTTTCTGAAGTTGATAAAGAACATCTACAAAAAAAAAAAAACAGTAGCTGACATCACACTTCATGGTGAAAGACTGAATGCTTTTCCCTTAAGATTGAGAAAAAGGCAAGGATTCAACAACTCAGTTAGAAAATCCGCAAAAGACATGCAAGAGACATTTCACCAAATAAGACATATGCATGGCAAATAAGCACATGAAAAGATGTTTAACATCACTAGCCTTTAAGGAAATACAAATTAAGAACATGAAGAAATATTACTACATACCCATTGGAACAGCTAAAATAAAACACTATAGTCACGATACCCAATGCTGGTGATGATACAGGAAAACTGGATTCCTCATACAATGCTGGTAGAAATGCAAAAACATGCAGCCACTCTGGTAAATAGTTTGGCAGTTTCTTTAAGAAAAAAAAAACCACATAACTATACAACTCAGCAATTTACTCCAGAGAAGTGGAAACTTATATCCATTAGGCCCAAAAACCTATGCATAATTGTTCATAGCAGCTTTATTCCTAATAGCCCAAACTGGAAACAACCAAAATGTCCTACAATAATAGGTGAATGACTAAACAAACTGGAGTACATCCATACCACAGAATACTACTCAGCAATAAAAAGGAATGGACTATGAATACATGTAGCAATTTGGGTGGACCTCAAGGTCATTAAGCCAAGTAGGGAAAAAAAGCTAATCTCAAAAGATCACATGCCATGTGATTCAATTTATATAACATTCTAGAGATGATAAAATTAAAGAGATGGAAAACAGATTAGTGCTTGCTAGAGATTAGGAATCGTAAGAGGAAGGGAAATGGATATGACCACAAAGAGGTAGTATGAGGAGATCTTTGGGTGATGGAATCATTCTGTGTCTTGATTGCAGTGATGGTTATGGGAATCTGCATGTGATAAAATGACACAGAAGTATACACACACATTGCACCAGTGGCAGTGTGCTGGTTTTGAGAGTGTGCTATAGTTACATAAGATGTAACTATTGGAGGAAACTGGGAGAAGGGTACATGGAACCTCTCCTGTGAATCTATTATTATTTCAAAATAAAAAGTTTCATGAATACAAATCTACCATATTGACTTCTGATTAGCTCCAGTCTTGAGAATGCCTCCTGATTCCTATTTTATTTACTGTTCCTAGCATAAGAATATGTCAATCTTGATGTTTATCATACAAGTTACAGGCTATGACACATACAGTACCCTTGCCTGTTCTAGAGGCTGCTTTTCATTGTCTGGCTGGACACATACACCCTTTCCCTATGGTACATATGCCCTGGGTCTGGGGAGTAACATTGCAGAGATCTACCTGCCTTGTGGCTACCCAAGACCATGCTTCTGTCTGTGAATTTCCCCAGTAAAACACCCTCTACCAATAAAAAATTAAATTTAATAAGTTTTAAAAAATTATATCTATGGCTCATATTATATTGCTATTGGACAGTACGCCAGTCCTCCATTAGATCAGACTTACACTCAGTCTCCCTGGATTGGGCTTTGAGCTTTGTCTTTTCCAGGCCCCTCACTCCAGCCGCCTCCTATCCACTCCAGCCTGTATTGCACCCTCCCCGCCCCCACCGGCGGCACTGACTGCAGCCTTGCTGACTACCAGTACCAGAACTCAGGCCACAGGGCCCCCGTTAGCCTATTCCTTGGCTTCCTGTTGACTTGCCCATGCACCAGTTGCCCTTTCCCTCCCCCGAAATATTCGTATCTTCAGTGACAGACTGACATCATCCCATTGTACCCTATGGATTAAAATAGTAAATTGTCCCCAGCAAGGCCAGACCTATATCTGGTTCCCCAGACCCCATCCTAGCAAGCGCTGGTTGTCTCCATCTCCAGGTGGGCCCAATTCACAGCAGCTGCAACTTGTCTCTCACCCATGTCTACCAGAATTATGCCCTTGGGTGCCCTTCCCAGACACTCAGCCTAGGGACCATCCTTTCCTTCAACTACATAGAGCCTCATGGAGGAAGCTCAAACCTCACCAGGCCTTCTCCTATGAAGTCCTCTCTGAGAATGGCATTCCTCTCACTAAGCAGAAATTGTTGATTTTATTCCCCAACTTAGTTCCAGTATATTTTTGCACTGCCATTAAAGATTCCTAGACCCTAGTTTCTCGGTACTATATTGATGCGAGCTGTGAATAGCTAATGTACACTGTCAACAAACAATTACAGTTTTATCACTTACAATATATGGAATTGCAGCTTGCTAGGCATTTTCTCTAATCAGATATTTACCACTGCTCTGCTCTTTCCCAGGGTTGGTAGATAAATTCCAGCAGGGAGGATTCCTCAAAGGCGCTAGCTAAGGCTGGGGGAGGGGATGGGAAATTGAATCTCCCCAGCTGGATACCTGAATCATCGCTCCCCCACCCACTTATCTTTGAGATCGATTTTAGACACGCTGAAGACCCCGCAGTTAGGAGGAGCTATGGTGTTGCATGACAGAATGAGCAAATAAAACTTTCAGACTTTCCCATCTTTTATCTGACAAGATTAAATACCATATTGAAAGGAGTGAGGTATCCTTCAATAGTGAAATCCAGACTTAGCAGAGAAATGCAGTAAAATGATGGCAAGGCAGGTGAGAGTCCCCTGTTGCTATGAGTTATCCTCCTTGCAGACTCTAAAATGCACAGAGAACAGCATTTTGCAAACAGGTGGCATAGCCAAACGTGTAAAACAATACTCATCTTCTGCTTTACATCAGCCTTATTGTCTTCTCATTTTCTCCACTGTCTTTTCTTTGTTTTTGCCTTCCTGCCAAAAGTAACCCAGAGTCTTGAAAATGGGACGGCCAGGACACCATATACTCCTCATTTCTCAGCTCAGAATCTACCCACAGCCTCCCACTGTTCTTAGGATTAAAGCCAGAATCCCTAACGAGGTTCACAAATCCTGCATGGCTTGGCCCTGACAGATTCTCTGCTCTGTCTCCTGCCTGGCTCCAGCCCCCCAGTCTTCTTTGGTCAAGGCCATCCCAAGGGCAAAGGAAGTGGTCAGCCCAAAGTGCAGGCAATAAGGGCATTAATTTCCTGTAGGGAATTTGAAATCAATAATAAAATGGACTTTAAAAGTTCACTTCTTATCACCATGCATCCATGTTCTAAATAATGTCAGTGATTAAATACTCTTCCCCCGCTTTTCTCCCACTCCCTTCCTTCGTACACCTGTGGTTTCAGTTCCTTCAATTTGCCATGCCCCATCTTCAGGGTCTTTGCACGCACTGTCTCCCATTTAGAACACTTTCTAACCCTTGGGATTTGTCTAATTAACTCTTTCTCATCATTCAAATCTTATCACGAGTGTCTCAACGTTACTTCTAGAAAGGTGCATTCCTGACATCCCAGACCAGCCTATTCTGCATGCTCAGAGGTCCCAGTGAAGTCACTGGTATGGTTCACCTTGCATTTCCAGCTTTCCTTCTAGACACAGAGTGGAACAGCACCTCCCACCCCTGTGGAGGTCAGGCCTGGCCATGACACCAGCTTGGCCAGGGAGATTTGGGTAGCAGTGAAGGTCACTGTTGCCAGGAGGGAGGCTTGAACAGCCTGTGTACCTTTTGCTGAATTCCCTTCCCCTTATCCAAGGTCAGTGATCCTTGGCCTCCGCAGCCACGGTCTCTGAGCAACTCCCCTAAGCAAAGAGCCCCTGCAAACCTCTTTTGAATCTGCAGCATGAGCAAGAAATAAACTTTTGGTGAGTTAAGCCATTTCAATTTGAGGGTTGTTTGCTACCACCATGTTTTCACTTGTAGGTTTTGTTACTACCATTCAGGTATGGTGAGGCCAACAGATCAGAAGACACTGCCGCTGAAAAGATAACACAGTTTCCTAGAGGAAGGGGCATACTATGCCATGCAGGGCCACAAGCATGTCAGAAGCTCCAGCGTCAGTGACAAGGCAGAAGGAGCCTGGGTAAATGTGGGCAAGAGCCTTTATTGTGGTTTTCCCAAGAAGGAATGGGCAAGATCAGGTAAGCAGCTGAGCAGGTTTAGGATTGCCTAGTTTGAATAATTTCAGAGGGCACCAGGGTATGTGGACCACCCTTAGCTGTCTGATGTATGGCCCTGGGTAATTAGGGCAGGGGGATAGTAGATAAACAATGAGATCTCAATAAAAGAGGTAGAGGCCAGGCATAGTGGCTCACACCTGTAATCCCAGCACTTTGGGAGGCCAAGGTGGGAGGATCACTTGAGCTCAGGAGTTCAAGACCAGCCTGAGCAACATGGTGAAATCCCATCTCTATAAAAATGTTTTCAAAAATTTGTCTGAGTGTGGTGGTTACTCAGCTAAACTTGTGGTCCCAGCTACTCAGGGGGCTTAAGTGGTCCCAGCTATTCAGGAGGCTGAAGTGGGAGGATCACTTGAGCCTAGGAGTTCGAAGCTGCAGTGACCCACGATCGTACCACTGTGCTCCAGCCTGGGCAAAAAAGTGAGATCCTGACTCAAAAAAAAAATTAAATTAAAAAAAAAATAATAAAAGACTTAGTTGTGCTCTACCCAATTGGGATCATCAGTTTGCATATGAAAGGCATACTTCCGGGAGAGCTCTTTGCTATTTTAGGTCAACAAAGTCCCAAGATGTCAAAGTATCAGAAAATACAGACAATTAAAAAACCATGATTAGTACACAGAGTATAACCTGACCTATCCTGACTGACATCCCTTTTCTTTTCTTTTCTTTACTAGCACTAACCATAATTCCTAATTAGATGTTTATTGGGGTGAGTAGTTTTCATTAAGGTCTCCCTGACTAGATGAAAGCACCCCAAGAGCCATGGCTGAGTTTGTGTTGCTCACCTTGCATGTGTATTTCTAAATGAATGGATAAATGAATGAATGGCCAACTATTTGGTGTTTCGAGGAGCAGCCACACAGAGTCTTAGGTGACTCTGATGCTGGCAGTATAGACAACAGGAGGGAGAGACATCCAGACTTGGGCTAAGTAACACTTAGTGACATGGCAAATCCCCTTCACACCCATGAAATGAGGCGAGATATAAGGAAAAAGCAGACTGCTTCGAACACCTCCACTTCTTCCTAATCATTCCAGGAAAAATAAAAGGGTGGGAGCTTTTATTTTAAAGAGGGTATTATTAGGCTGTGTGCAGTAGCTTGTGCCTGTAATCCCAACATTTTGAGAGGCCGAGGCAGGAGTATCGCTTGAGGCCAGGAGTTCGAGATCACCCTGGTCAATATAGTGAGATCCTGTTTTTCCAAAAACTTTCAAGAATAGTTGTGCATGGTGGTGCATGCCTGTAGTCCCAGCTACTCAGGAGTCTGAGGCAGAAGGATTGCTTGAGCCCAGGAGTTTGAGGCTGCAGTGAGCTATGATCATGTCACTGCATTCCAGCCTGGGTGACAGAATGAGACCCTGTCTCAAAAATAAATAAATGGGCCATTTATTTATTTATTTAAATAAGGAAGAGGGGACAGAAGTGCTGGACTGTACACAAAAGGACTCCCATTCTAAGCAGAAGGACTTGAACTCCCCCACCAGAATTTGGCTCGGATACAACTGAGCTTCCTGCCTTCAGGTGTCACTGAGGCCTTGAGCACATCAACAATGCCCAGTGTGGACTGAGACCTGAGGGTCTTCCTGGAATGCCAGGTCTATGTAAGACCTTGCTTGGGAGAATCCCAACAGTGGCTGAAGTGAAATTCTTCCCCTTTATGCATGGGACTCAAAGTCAAATTGTTTTTAATGCAGGAATATGACATTTCTTCCACCCAAGTGAAGTGTCTGCAAATTCCTACCCATGGAAATGAAAGCTCATTTTCTTACTCCAGGAGTTTGTGCCCATGTTTGAGAACTTCAAGGCTCTCAAGCTGACCAACTACTCACTTCCTCAGGCTGGGGTCTCTTGGCTTTGACGTGCCAGGCTTGCAGCAAGGAGACCCTAAAAGACCCCTCACCCTGTGGGGTGAGGAACAGTTGAAGACAGTAGGCACGTATAGTCTGGGGTCCAACAGAGTTGGCAAGGCAAAGGATAAGAACTGTCTCCACATCCCTAGGGCCATGCTTGACACACCAATGTCCTCATGAAATGCTTGGCAAAGAAAAAGGACCACAGGACAGAGGCTCCAGAGAGACACACTTGGGCTCCACGCAGAGAAGAACACTGGCATTCACATCTGCCAAAGGTATGAGCGTGCCACCTCTCAAGTTCAATCCAATTTTAATCCCTCAAATATTTACTGAGTGGCAACAGGTCTCAGATGCTGATCCTCAGAGAGGAGGAGGAACATACCTGGTTGAATCTTGGGCCAAGCTCAGAGACATGGCTTTGCTTTTGCCAGTCAGAGAACCAGTGAGAAAGGCCATAATGAAACTCTGATCTCAACAAACTCCAACCTGGAATTATGGAGTCTATTAGTACATTGGGTTGACCCCATTACTGGAGTAAATGTAAGTCTTGATTCCTGCTTGATAGAAAAACATAGAAGACAGGGAAAGACGGAAGAATTAGGCTTTGTCCAAATGTCTTCCAGGCACATGGAACTTTCTGAAACTGTCTGGAGTAGGGCGGCTGGCAAATCAAAACACTATCTGCCAAGACTGTCAGTGTGACAAGTGTTGCTTACACTTACTCTTTTATTCCCAAGGTCAAATTGGCATGTCATTTTTCATATCACTGTTTGATGTGCTAACAGCCTTAAATGAGAACCATTCAATAAAAGCCCAATTTGCTATATTACCATTTATTCCTGGATAATTCTATATTAGTTGGGCTCTTTAAGATTGTCTCTGTGCTGCCCCAAAATCTGGAGAACCATGTGATAAACCCCCACTTTTCATAACTTTCTGAGGATGGAGGCAGAGCCCTGAGTCGTCCCTGAGTGAGTGTTGCTGGGACTGGTTCCCTAGGCCTCAAGTGAAATAAGAGATCTGGATCAGCTAGAAGGACATAATGATCAGGAATGACAGAGATGGATGGCTCTCTGGGTGACGTGGCCCGAGGCTTTGCCTTGCAAGACCTGGCCTGCCTTTCTTTCTACCTCAGCTCATGGCTCTCTCCCCTTTGGTCTTTCCCCCTCTACCCACACTGGCTTCTATTTTTTGAGAAGGAGTCTCGCTCTGTGGCCCAGGCTGGAGTGCAGTGGCGTGATCTCGGCTCTCTCCAAGCTCTGCCTCCGGGGTTTCACACCATTCTCCTTCCTCAGCCTCCCGAGTAGCTAGGATTACAGGCCACCACCATGCCTGGCTAATTTTTTTTTTGTATTTTCAGTAGAGATGGAGTTTGACCATGTTAGTCAGGATGGTCTCGATCTTCTGAACTCGTGATCTGCCCGCCTTGGCCTCCCAAAGTGCTGGGATTACAGGTGCCCGCCACCACGCCCAGCTAATTTTTTTGTATTTTTAGTAGAGACAGGGTTTCACAGTATTAGCCAGGATGGTCTCAATCTCCTGACCTCGTGATCCACCTGCCCCAGCCTCCCTAAGTGCTGGGATTACAGGCATAAGCTGGCTTCTTATACTGTCCTTGAAGGTGCCACATCTCTTCCCATCTCAGGGCCTTTGCAGATGCTGTCCCTAGGACTCTGTGCCCAGATGTATCCCTTTGCCACCCAGGCGGCCTCCACCTTACCTTCCCCCCAACCCTGCATTAGCTTTTCAGGGCTCACTTTCAGCATCAGTTCCTCTGGGAAAGAGTTTAGGGATCCTTGATAAATGTCCTCAGAGAATAGAGTACTTCTACTTTGTAACATTCATCCCAATGATCATGAATCGATTTTCTTACTGAATTGTTATATATCTGTCTTTCCTTCTTGATGGTAAGTCTCTTGGAGGCAAAGACTATCTATAACCTTTTCACTATATCACTAGTGCACAGTACATATTAGATGCAATATAGAGTCAATAAATGACGGTTTCACTATGAGAAAGCAGACAGAAAAGGCCTGACTGCTATCCTTTGAAAGGCCAGCTTACAAGTATAATCCCTGTCTGGCATCTGGGAACCGGGATTTCAGGAGGGTTCCCTCCATTTCCAGTACTTTCAAGAGAGGTCTAAACAATTTGTACAAACATTATGGTTTATGCTGAACACCTGCTTTCCACCTGGGAGCCTAGAATTTTGGTATGTGACAGGAAGAGGGGTCTAGGTAATCATCTCTGTGGGAAAACCCTGGGCAATGAGTCTCTGCTGAGCTTTCCTGGTTGGCAATATTTCATATGTGTTGTCACAATTAGTTGCCAGGGGTTTGAAGCACGACCTGTGTGACTTTGCCAGAAGAAAACTCTTGGAAGCTTGTGCCTGGCTTCTCCCAGCCATCGCCCCAGGATGCACCTTTTCCCCTTGCTGACTTTGCTCTGTATCCTTTCACTATAATAAATCATAGCCATGGGTACAAATTTATACTGAATCCTATGAGTCCTAATAAATCATGCGGGTGGTGATGCAGACCCCCCAACACAGAGACTGACAAATTAATACAACCAGATTTTTCTGGAAAGTACCAAAACTAGGTTATTTTTCAAAGCATGTTTCTAGAATGTTCACCGGTTAAACAGAATTGGGAAATGCTGGGTTAAATAAAGCAGGGATTTTTCAGAAAACAATTAAAAAATAAAATGCGTAGGAGGACTTTTAACAAGCTAAGTCAATGTAAACCTTCAAGGCTGGAATAGATTATGTAACAGATCCCAAACCCATTATATTATAGCCCCTTTTATTCCTAAAGCATCCTGTGGGCTGGGGTTCTGTGGAACCCTCTCTGGGAAACAATAGGCCCAGAGAATGCAGGTTATTATGAAGCTGAGGCTGTTGCTACAACAATCATGAGGCTGTTGCTATGTCAGCCATGAGGCTGCTGACACTCCCTATCTTGAAAGTTCTGAAACCCAGAGTGACCAAAGGTCTGAGATGTGGTTCTGTGCTGCCCCGAGATCTGGAGAACCATGTGATAAGCCTCCACTTCCGAGGGTGATCTATGCATGTCTCTTCTTTGCAATCTTAAAGAGCCAAACTAATATAGAATTACCTAGGAATAAATAGTAATATAGCAAATTGGGCCTTTATTGAATGGTTCTCATTTAAGGCTGTTAGCACATCAAACAGTGATATGAAAAAAGACATACCAATTGACCTTGGGAATAAAAGAGTAAATGTAAGCAACGTTTGTCACACTGACAGGCTTGGCAAATAGTGTTTTGATTTGCCAGCAGCCCTACTCCAGACAGCAGCCACTAGTTAGATACATAAACCATTAAGCTAAAAACAGAACTATCATTACAGGCATCATCTAGTAATTTGCAGGTAATTGATGGACATTAGTCATAATCACACACCATACACACACACACACACACACACACACACACACACACACACCCCTACAAACACAGGTTTTCACTGGTAATTCCCCTTTGCATTTCATCAAGAGCTTCTAAAACTGGGAAATGTGGAAAATCTAGGCTTTTTGTGCCTTTCTATATATACATCATAGACTCCTTTATTCTTAAAGCATCTTGTGGGCTGGGGTTCTGTGGAAATCTCTCTGGGAAAGGATATGCCCAGAGAAGGTAGATCATGGAGCTGAGGCTGTAGCTACATTAGCTATGAGACCACTGACACTCTCAGTCTTCAACACCCTGAAACCCAGAATGAGAGGAAGTCTAAAGAGATTATTCTTGTGCTGTCTCAAGATCTGGAGATCCTTGTAATAAACTCCCATTTAAGAGGGCAATCTTGCATTAGCTAGATATCTGCTGAAAAAACCCAACTTATGTCCAAAGGATCTTGTCTAGAATGTCCCTGCCTCTCCAGAAAACATCTACTGGCTCTGCAAACCTCTGCTTTCAGCTGCACATGTGCATTTATTTTTGGAGGCTGGGATACCTGTCTTAAGTATGACTGGATGGGAGCAAAGCTAGACCTCCAAATCCCCATATACAGTACACTTTCTAGGATGTGGACTCTCTTTAGAAGCAAGATCTGGAGTCACAGCAGACCCACCTGCTGAGGTCTAAAAATAGGGGAGAAGCACTACGTTCAGAATGCAAATCCTCTAAGCACACTCGCTCCATCAAAACTCAGGGGTGTTTCCCATTGGACTGCAGCGTCTCCTTCTGCAGCAGGGAGCCCTCTTGATGTGCTCTACCCCAACGGTTCCCAAATCATGTTGCACAGAATACTATCCAATATGATGTTAGTAGGTTTGCCTGAAAAAAATAAGTAATTTTGGGAAATGCACCATGGTTCCCAAACGGTGCACCAAGGTGCCCCAGGGCATTGCAGTGAGTTTACAAGGGTAACCAAGGACTATTTTTAACTTTCAAAGGAAATAGTGGCACTTAATATCTGCTGGACACACAAACTATTAGCTCAAGGTGGTTCACAATTTCAGTGTAAAGCTACCTTCCGTTAGATGACATCATATCTTTGCAAAGCTTTGGTAGTTGGTGTGATGGGAATTAGGGACCATGTGTGAATCAGTGTGGAACAGGATATGCAGGTGGTAGTGTCCAATCTGAGTCCAAGGTTTGAGAATCTTTGCAATGACCAACAAGGAAACACATACCATTAGCAATCAATTGTTATTTAACAATTATTTAAGGATGAAACAAAAATGTTTTTCTTTCAATTTATATTATCTTCAAACAGATACAGAGTTGTTGGGGTATAAATACTTATTCAGTTATTTGGACCTAACTACTTAATAAGTGGAGCTAATAGGTATTTCTTTTACCCATGGAGCACCGTGGAAACATTACTGAGACACTAATGGCACCTAAGAAACTTTGGGAACCTTTGCATTACTGTATGAAAAGCTTTGGAAAGTCCTGAATAATAGACAAATACAGTTGGATCCAGCGTACCCCACACTTCTTGGTTCAGTACATGCATGAATAGCTTTATTTACGACATCAGTTGAGAAACTAAATAGATGTTACCCATGATTTGTCTCTATGATCTGATAGGTTCACAAAAGAGATTAAGGCTGGCTTATTCCCACCGGTAACAATTACAAATTTTTCTCA
The DNA here is from genome assembly GCF_000001405.40 of Homo sapiens. NCBI lineage: Eukaryota > Metazoa > Chordata > Mammalia > Primates > Hominidae > Homo > Homo sapiens. The sequence goes on from NC_000001.11 coordinate 34,046,728, forward strand.
TCAATCATTCATTCAACAAATATTAATTGTATGCCCTATTAAACGCTATGTACTATGCTTGGTTCTCAGGATAAAAATGCCTAAGACGTGGACTCACTCTCGAGGGATTTACCCTCAAACGGAGGCATTTACATTAATTTATCTAGAAATCCAGCCAGTTCTCATCACCTTCATTACTACCATCCTGGAACAGGACACCTCCATCTCTTGCCTCAATTACTGCAGTAACCTCCTAACCAGTCTTCCTACTTTCCTCCTAGTCCACCTACAGATCCTCTTTAACACAGCAGCTTCTGTGATCATCTTAAGTCAGATCATGTCACTTCTCTGCTTGAAACCCTTCCAAAAGCATCCCACTCGATTTGGGATAAAAGCCAAAGTCTTCATAATGGTCTAAAGGCCCTAGGGAATCCTCTGCTGCCACTACCCGCTCCCACTCCATCACCACCCTCCTTATCACCAACTACCTCCCCCTGCTCACTCACTCTAACCATAACGGCCGCTTGCTGTTCCTAAAACACACCTGGCAAGTTCTGCCTCAGGGCCTTTGCACCTGCTCTTCTCTCAGTTTCCTCCAGCTACCTCATCTCTTCCCCCAGATGTGTATGGCTTGTTCCTTCATCTTCTGCAGGTCTTTGTTCACATACCCTTTACACCGAGGCTTTGATAACTATTCTACTTAAAATTGCAACCCTCCTCCCCTCCTGTCCCATTTCCTGATTCCCCTTGTCCTGCATTTTCTCCTAACACTTATCATAATCTGACTTCCTATATATTTGATCACTCCTTATTTATTACGTCTACCTTTTCCCACCAGTGTGTGAATTCCACGAGGGCAGGGATTTCTATCCACTTAGTTCACTTATCTAACCCCAGTATTGAGAACAGCACCAGATACACCATAGGAGGTAATTACTGAAGACACAATTATAATGCAATATAGTAAGTGCAGTGATAAGGATGCATCCAGGGAACTTGATGCACCAGCCTGAGCTGATCTAAAAAGATAAATTGTTAGCCAATCATCCAAAGGGCATGGCGGGCTGTGGTAGGATACGGAGGTCATCTCAAAGAGGATGGCACAAGCAGAGGAAAGACAAAACCCACTTTACGTGTAATTTATAAAATTGTTCCCCAACTAATGACAGGAGAACAAATGGATACAACCAGATGTTCCTCCTCCACTTGTTTGCCATGACTGCTTAATTACCAGTCTCCCCAAGAGAGGGGATTTTTCTGGAGGCTGCTCAGCCTTCTAGCAGATGCAGACTTCATTTACTTCCACAGAAGCCTGAAAACCCCTGAGCCAACTTGGTCTTCCATGACAGAGACTGAAGTATCCAGCACCACGTGTCAGGAGGTTGGCAAGGATGGAAATGGGGAAGGAAGCTTTGAGGAAGAGAGGTCGTCATGTTCCAGAAGCCTGCCTCCCACTTCGTGGCCAATGCCTTCTGGCAGTGGCTATGCAGCAGCTGATAATAATGATGATGTTTGTTATTAACCCGTGCACAGGTGCTGCCTTCCATATCTACCTCCCCTAAATCAGGCTTAGTGACATCACCCATTTAGGAATGGAAACTGCTCTCTGTCAAGGCAGCCCTTAAAGTTTGGACCACCCCAGGAGGTTTGATGGAACAGCTGAGATTTACCCAGGCCCTCAGATGGTGCCAGGCTAGGATTTGTTCCTTGTGTGCCAGAGAGACACAAACAACAATTATAAAAATATCAGTGAATGGTCAGCAGATTCTGCATCCTGAGGGCTTTGTGCCCACCTACCCCCTCGGACAGCTGCTCAGGCCAACCTGGGGAAGGAGCAGGTGGAGCCTCTGAGAATTCTAAGAAGGCAAAAGATGCTGAACATGCCTGCAAGAGGATGGAGAAGATGGACAGAAAGAATGGGGGTCTTCTCCTTACCTGCTCTGTACCACAATGCCCTTCCTGTTGGCCGCCAGAGCTGGTTTTGAGCACCGCACCTGGTTTGAAAGATTAGGTCTCCATTTAAAGACAGCGCTTTGCAGTGTGCTACAGGCAGCACCTGTGCACAGGTTAATACTAAACATATTATTATCAGCTGCTGCATAGCCACCACCAGAAGGTGTTGGCCATGAAGTGGGAGAATATCAGGCCCTGTCTTTGTGAACTGGACAGAAATGCTTGTTGGCCCACTTGGAAGGGAGGGTCAGGCACCAGGACACTATGCCCACTGTTTCCCATACTCCAGGGAACTAGGAGAAACAGGAGCTTCCAGAACCATGGTCTCCAGAACCATGGTTCCTTCTCCAGAAGGAAATGTGGAGAGACCCTTCTCAGTAAGAGGGGCTCCAGGGTTTTTGCTCAGGCTGGGACTGCAGGGTAGGCTGAGCCCACAGCTGTGAAGTGTGAAACGTGATTACCCAAGCCCAAGTCACACGTTGTGAACAGTGGAGGGTCAACCTGAATTACATCCAAACCATCGATATTTGCAGTTAATAGCAAAGAGGCTTTACCTGTGGGCCTCATCTGTAGACAAGAGAGGGAGGAGCCACAGAGGCAGTAAGAGAGTTTGGTCACTGGAGAGTTTTTGCAGGTGGTTCAGGGACTTTCTCAGGCCTTACTTCCCAGTGTCTGTTGTGAACCTCTAACTCTGCTGCAGCTTCTAGGATTTTTCAGGGCCACTATGTTGCACATCTTTCAGGAGCACCATTCATATTACGGTAGATGACCCTGGATTCTGAACTGCTGCCTTATCCCTGAATTCTGCTTTTCTGCCTGGACCCTTAGGATAACTGTCAGCTGGAATTTGGAACTGGGTTTTGCCCCCCAACCCCAGATGCCATCTTTTGAATCACTTTTAGTGACATACTGTAAAACAGGGACTTGCTCACCCCTAAGATCCAATCCAAGTGTATAGAGTGAGGTGCCACAGAAGAAAACATGAAACCCTGAAGACAGTGGCAAGCTTTAAGGGACTGACATGTGAAAACAAGTGAGGTATCACTTCCCAAAAAGGTTCCATTGATTGCGCCTTGTCATACTCTGCCAGTTGCTCTGCTTTATTTTTCTCATAACAATTACCACTACCTGGATGGCTTAGGTAATGGACTGAGTGTGAACTCCCAAAGTTTATATGTTGAATTGGTATTTGGAGGTGGGATCTTCGGGAGGTAGTTAGGATTAGATGAGGTCATAAGGATGGGACTTCCAACATGAGATTAGTGCCCTTATAAGAAAAGACCCCTTTCTCTGCCTCTCTTGCCGACCCTGTCTGCAATGTGAAGATGCAGTGAGAATGCAGCTATCTGCAAGCCAGGATGAAACCTCTCACCAGAATCAGGCCATTCTGGCACCCTGATCTTGCATTTTAGCCTTCAGGACAGTTAGAAAATAAATTTCTACTGTTTAAGCCACCCAGTCTACGAGTATTTTCTGATGGCAGCCCAAAGAGACCAAAACAGATTTTGGTACCAGAAGTGGGGTTCCCAAAATGGTACCCTTCCCTGGCATGATAAGCCAACTACCCTGGTGGCAGTTAGATAACACTGGACTGCTTCCATTGTAGAAGGAGAAGTGTTTTGTTCTTACTGAAACAGACACTTATTTTGGATATGGATTTGCTTTCCCTGTATGCAGTGCTTCTGCCAAAACTACCATCCTTGGACTTACATAGTGCCTAATCCACTGTCATGGTATTCCACAATGTGCTGCTTCTGACCAATAAACTCACTTTATAGCCAAAGAAGTGTGGCAGTGGGCTCATGCTCATGGGATTCACTGGTCCTACCATGTGAACCCTCCAATCTGAAGCAGCTGGCTAGGTAGAACAATGAAATGGCCTTTTCAAGACTCAATTACAATGCCAGCTAGGTGGCAATACCTTGCAGCGCTGGGACAAGGTTCTCCAGAAGGCTGTATATGCTCTGAATCAGCATGCATATATAGTGTTCTTTCTCCCATAGCCAGGATTCACAAGTCTAGAAATCAAGGGATGGAAATAGGAGTAGCTCCACTTACTATTACCTCTAGTGACCAACTGACAAAGTGTTTCCTTCCTGTTCTATGACCTTATGCTATGCTAGCCCAGAGGTCTTAGTTCCAAAGGGAGGAATGCTCCCACCAGGTGTCACAACAATGATCCTACTGAGCTGAAAATTAATGCTATGCTAGCCCAGAGGCTAGCATATGCTATGCAAGTCCAGAGGCTAGCATATGCTATGCTAGCCCAGAGGTCTTAGTTCCAGGTGTCACAACAATGATCCTACTGTGCTGAAAGTTAAGACTGCTACCCGGGCACTTTGCACTCCTCATACCTCTGAATCAACAGGCAAAGAAAAGAGTAACTATGCTAGCCAGGGTGATTGATTCTCACTACCAAACAGAAATGGGACTGCTACTACACAATGGAGGTAAGGAAGATTATGTCTGGAATAAAGAAGATCCCTTAGGTTATCTCTTAGTATTATCATGGCCTATGATTAAGATCAATGAAAAACCAGAACAACTCAATCCAGGCAGGACTATTAATGGCTCAGGCACTTTAAGTTTAGGTCACCCCACGTGGTAAAGAACCATGATCAGCTGTGATGCTTGCTGAAGACAAAGGGAATACAGAATGGGTAGTGAAAGAGTTAGTTATAAATACCAGCTGTGACCACATAGCCAGTTACAGAAATAAAGACTGTCATTGTTATGAGTATCCCTCTTTATTTTGTTATGAGTGTTTGCATGTGTATATAAGGATATATCTATTCATGTGTGTATATAAATATACGTAAATATAAATATATAAATATACACACATACATATATATTAAGTAATATGTATTTGTTTTCTTTTTCCTTTTTCATATAGCATAAGATATAATAACTTTATGTTATGGTATTTAAGTATTGTTACTTTTACACCATAGTATTTAAGTTGCAGGATATCAGGAAGAGTAAACACCATTCCAAGATTTTGTCTCCTCCTCTGGTGAGGGGTTAATGCAGGATAGTCATGTCATATTAGGCAAAATTGTAAGTTTGTTATTGTCTTTATTTGGCAGTTAAGTGTGTTTTAAGATGTATATAGTGCAGAGTTGACAAGGGGTGGATTTGTGATGGTTAATATCAGGTGCCAACTTTACAGGGCACAGGATGCCCAGATATTTGGTTAAACATTATTCTGGGTGTGTCTGTGAGGGAGGTTCTGGGTGAGATTAACATTTGAATCAGTAGACTGCCCTCACTAATGGGGGTGGGGGTTATCCAATCCATTAAGGGCCTAAATAGAACAAAAATCTGAGTAAGGGAGAAGGTACTCTCTCTGACTGTCTTCAACCGGGGGTATTGGTCTTCTCTCGTCTTCTGATGGGAACTCAGACTGAAACTTACATTATCAGCTTTCCTGGGTCTCCAGCTTGCCAACTGCAGATCTCAGTCTTCACAACCATGTGAGCCAATTCCTTATAATAAAGCATATGTATACACACACACACACACACACACACACATCACACATACACACAGTAGCGTTCCCCATCTGCAGAGTCAACCAACCATGCATTGAAAATATTAAATAATAAATAATATTAATAAAAATAATAAAAATTTTAAAACAACGCAGTACAATTACTACATAGTGTTTGCACTGTGTTAGGTATTGTCAGTAATCTAGAGATGATTTAAGGGATATGGGAGGATATGGGAGGTTATATGCAATTACTACACCATTTTAAATAAGGGACTTAAGCATCTGCAGATTTTTATATCCATGGGGGGGGGGTCGAGAAATCAATCCCCTATGGGACAACTGTGTGTGTGTGTGTGTGTGTGTGTGTGTGTGTGTAAGAAAGAGAAAGAGGAGAGAGAGTATCCTATAGGATCTATTGAGTATCCTATAGGTTCTATTTCTCTGGAGAACCCAGACTAACACAGCTCATTTATATGTGTGTACTTGTTAATTGCCTATCTTCCTCTATCTGAATGCAAACTCCATTTAGAACAAGAAGGACTGTGTCCATCATGCTTACTCTAGTATGCTCAGTCCCTGGCTCAGTGCCTGGTACACAGTGGATGCTCAGTAAATATACACGAGATTGAATGAATGAATGAGGAATTGGTGGTATAAGTGTTTCGAGAAGAATTAGGTCATTGGCAGCAAGCGCTTTTGAGGGGCTTGGTAAGAGACGACTAAGAGGGTCCGTGGATTTGGCAATGAGGACAGTGGTGGTGACCTGCTCGAGAGCAGTGTCAGTGGCAAGGCTGAAACTGGGGGACAAAGAGCAAGCTGGTGATGGGAAGGAAGCATGTGAGACAAGGAGTTTGGACAGCTCTCTCAATAAGTGGCTTTGGAAGGAAGAGGGTCAATGGCGAACTACTTTTAAACAAAAGCCTCTTTTAACCCCTAATCAGAACATGCTCATTTCTACCTCTCTCTACTGTCCATCCCTTCCCACGCCTTCTCTTGGGGCACACACCATCAATCATCTCTCATTACTTTATTTTTTAATAGAATAAGCAAGTTCATGGGCATTTGTTTCAGTCTCATATTCATTCTCTTGATAGGATAATAATTGATACCGTAAGTGACCTCATTAATCAGCAGGGACAATTAGAATGATGTAAGTGGAGGACAGTTTGCCGTGTAGCCTGTCTGGGAAAGACTGAAAGGTCACCAGATCTCGAAGTCAGAATGGGATGCTTCCATGGGTGACTGGCTCTTCTTTAGTCCACCTTCTTGGGTCCCTCCTAGCAAAGTGGACACAAGAAAGCTCCAAGGAAGGTTAATATGTAATGGTGTGTGTAGTTTCAATACAGGTCCATTATGATTGCGGTGCTCTACTACCCTAGAATCCCTCTTTCTCCCTTTGTTTCCTCAGGAAAACAAGTCCGCATTGCTTCAGAGTCTGAAAAGGCATATGAACATGCAACTTTAGTAGATGAATTTCTTAAAATGTAGTAAGAAACATGCTATTTCCAGGCATCCTCCGGCAAATCTTTTGATCAAGTTGAGTTTCTCTGCAAAGTGCACTATTATCATCTTTATTTCCTTTTGAAAAGAGTTACTGGGTGGGAAAGCAGGAAAATACAACAGATATGGAATGCACTAGCTTCAACAAGGCACTTATAAATGCACAAGAAAGGGAAAGATGAGCTAGACTTTATCACAATAAGACCCATTGATTACTGGCTCAACAACTGTACACAGTTGTCAACTGGGAATAGGGCTCTAGCAGCCTGCGGCAGAGCTAAATCCTTAGCCCTGCCCAGCCCACCTGAATTTGTAAATAGACTCCCAATTTTGAAATAATTTCAGATTTATATAAAAGCTGCAAAAATGGCACAGAAAGTTCCTATATACTCTTTATCCAACTATTCCTAAATGTCAACAGCTTACATAACCATGGCGCATTTGTCAAGACTAAGAGATAACATAGGTATTTTACTATTAACTAAGCTGTAGACTTTATCTGGATTTTGCCTGTTTTTCCACAAATGTCCTTCTTCTCTTCCGAGATCCAATCCAGGATACTACATTGCATTTGCCCTGTAATTTTTAATATCTTCTCTGGGAACAGAGATGGCATACTGATCAATTTATGACTAGTACGAAGCCAGCAGGAATGTCCTAGATAATAATTAAGACCAGAATCCAAAAAGTTTCTTCAGGCTTAATCTAGAGAACTTGCACTAAAGACAGGCATGAGTGAACTTTTGTCCTTGGGTCTGAGATCCAAACTATAAAAGTGGTTTCTGGCCAGGTGCGGTGGCTCATGCCTGTAATCCCTGAACTTTGGGAGGCCGAGGTGGGCAGATCACGAGGTCAGGAGATCGAGACCATCCTGGCTAACACGGTGAAATCCTGTCTCTACTAAAATACCAAAAAATAAAAAATAATAATAATAATTAGCCGGGCGTGGTGGCAGGTGCCTATAGTCCCAGCTACTCGGGAGGCTGAGGAAGGAGAATGGCGTGAACCCGGGAGGCGGAGCTTGCAGTGAGCCGAGATCGCGCCACTGCACTCTAGGCTGGGCGACAGAGCGAGACTCTGTCTCTTTAAAAAAAAGTGGTTTCCAACCAGGCCACTGTCAAACATTATTGGAGCTGGTGATTGTCTCTTATCGTGTGAGCTGGTGTGAAAAAAGCTTGAGACTTTAGGGCACCTTCCCAGAACTACGTCTCTGTAAGGAGAGGTGATGATTCCAGTCTATTCTTTGGGTTTGTTTACCTCCTAAATGCTTTTATTTTTTCTAAGTCATTTTCAAAAATAAGAATCTTTTAGAGACACAAGGATGAAGAATAATATAATAAGCACCTGTATATACAACACCCACACAGGAAATAAAACACTGTAAACATAGTTGGAGCCCCTGGGTAGCTCTGCCTCCCCCTGGCATGGTGACAAGACCCTTTGTAATCTGGCCTCTGCTGCTTCTCCCAGCAGTCATCCACTCTCTCCCCAAACAACAATAACAATAAACAAGCAAATAGCCAGTCTACTCCCAACTTTTCAGCTGTAGAAAAACAAACTGTTTTTCCTCTGCTCTCACTCTACGACAATCAACACAGAATACTTCTGTAACCAAATGGAGGTGGGATGGGGTTCCCCACAAACCAAACAAGCAATCATTTCTGCAGTGGATGCAGGCTGGATGTCCTCCAGTGCAATTCAACTCTGATTATCTACCTGAAGTTAGCATCAGGTCCCGTAGGTTGAGGGCTCAGTCTCACAAGACTGCCTCCCACCGCAGATGCCAATCACAAGACCCTGGTTGTTTTACCTTTACTTCTGACCAACTGGCTGTAAAGCAAGATTCCCAGGACCCCCTCCCCCAGATTTGATTAATTTGCTAATGTGGCTCATAGGACTCAGGGAAATACTTACATTTACTGGTTTATTATAAAGAATATTACAAAGGATACCAATGAACACCAGATGAAGAGATGGAGAGGCCAAGGTATGGAGGAAGAGGCATGGAGTTTCCACATCCTCTTTGAGCATATCAGTCTCCAGGAACCTCCATGTGTTCTGCTATCTGGAAGCTCCTTGAGCCCAGTCTTTCTGAGTTTTTATAGAATCTTCATTACATAGGCATGATTAATTAAATCATAGGCCAGTGGTGATCAACTCAACCTTCAGCCCCTCTCTCCTCCAGAGTTTGCGGGTTGACACTGAAAATCCCAACTCTTTAATCATGGCTTGGTCTTCCCAGTAACCAACCCCGGTCTTGAAGATATTTAGGGATGGCAAGCCAACAGTCAACCCATTAGCATTCATAAGATGTGTATCACTTTGGAGATTCCAAGGATTTCAGCAGCCGTATGTCAGGACAAGAGACAAAGACCAAATGTATATTTCACAATACCACACCAGCCATATAGAATGGCATGCAATTCCCTGAATATCACCGTGGTACACTCGCTTCAGCTCCTTTACACCACTGTTCCCCTGCCTGGACTATTCTTCCTACTCCATTTATCCCCTGCTATCTCCCAACTCCCATTTCTTCTTTAAGACTTGTGTTCAAGTGATATCTCCTCAGGAACACCTTCCCTGATTCCTGGTGCTCTGCCTCTAATCTCTCCCAGCTCTGGACACATCCCTCTATGCTGCACTGGCTTGTCTATTTCCTTCATGTTTCTGCCTCAAGACTGAGTTCTCCAAGGTCAGGGCCTATGTCTGCTTCATCTCTGGATCCCAATGCTAAGCATAAGGCCTGGAATGAAGAGGTCTTTGGGGAATATCTGAAAGGCCTGCAATTTAGTATAATAATTAGGAAAATAGTCTCTAAAGCTAGTAGTGCTTTGTTTTGCATCCTGGCTCAGCTGTGTGACCTTGGGTAAGTTCTTTAACATGTCTGTGCTCCATTTTCCCCTTCATCAAATGTACGGTTAACAATGGTATCTACCTTACAGAGTGTTGAGAGGTTTCAATAACTTAATACAGGCAAAATGTTTTGAATGGTACTTAGCACAGAATAAGTGCTCATAGCTATTACAATTATTTCTATCAAAATGTTCAGCACCTGTTTAGCTATATCACCTGGGTTGGATTTCCACTAAAACAAGACCTGTGTTAAGGATTTGGCTACAAGTGAGCTTATTTGGGAGTTGACCCTAAGAGCACAGTGAGGGGAGGGGATATGAAACAGAAAAGAGAAGGCAGCTGAGAAAGGGGACCTGGTCATATAAGGTGCCACTGGGAGTCAATTGAGCTAAATCCCATTGGGGAACACTGGGAGTGAGCATAGAATACGCAACTCAGAGTCATCCTATTACAGGAAGAAGAGGCTGGGGTATCAATACACTAACTCCCTCCTTTTGGGTTGCTGGTTGCTCCTGGGGTCATTAGCTCCAACCAATGAACTATGGATGTGGCATCTACTGGATCTGCTGCGTCTCCCCTCCACTCCCAGTGACACCTGAGCAGAGAGTGGGAGCGAAAGCCTAGCAGCACTGCTGACTGTGCCCTGTGGCTGCTTGGAGTCTTGATCTCCTCAAGTCCCTTGAGCACCACAGCCTCTGCCCTGGTCTCTCTGCTTGATTCCATCCTGACCACAACCTTCCAAGGGCTGGAATCACAGATATGCAACAGCGCTGAAAACTAATTCAGGTGCCCACCCAGGATGCCACGCCAACCTCAGCATAGGCTGATGGCTGGCAGGAAGCTTCCCTTTTCCCTTCTCCTAGACCCCTAAGCCCTGAGCCTCTCGCTGTTTCTATGCTGTTTCCTGCAGCTTTAGAGTGGGAGGCTCCTGGTGGAGGCGATGCCCTGGCAAACTGTCAGGACCCCTCCCCTCCTAGCAACACTACAGCACCTTACACTGATTGGTGTCTCAGTCCCCGCCCCCTCCCGGCAGGCAGCTCAAAGGCTGAGCCAGAGAGAGGTGGGCAGAGAGGGTCCAGCTGCCAGACTCAGTCCTCCAGCCCCTTGCCTCCGCCTCTTGGCCACCGCTTCCCGTTACTCCCTTCCACAAGCCCCCTCGCTTGTTTGTCCCCAGTGCCTGATAATTAGGCTGTGTTTGTTAAACCATGGGCTCCAGCTCTGCCCACCCAGACTCTGCCTACTGTAGATTTTCCTGCAAGGACTGCAGAGATCATAAAAACAACTACCCACCTTGTCTCTCTGGCTTATTTACTAACTTGGCCATAAATAATCAGGGCAATTTGCATATTACTACTTGGCTTTTTATAGCACCACACATCTGAGCACTGGCAGGCAAGCTGGGGGTTGGGGTGAGGAGGTGAGGCACGCTCTGGGCTGGCAGTGACACTGGCCAGAGCTGTTTCTGGCAGGCTTGGCTTCTCCTGGCCTGAAAGCAGAGAGAACTAGCCTGGGAGTAGGGGCGTGGGACGAGGGAAAGCCAGTCATAGTCACCTAGTTGGGACAGGATGAGCACAGCTGTAGTGGGAGTGACAACTCCATTTGCCAAGGATGGCTTGTGAGCTGGGAGAAACAGGGTCCCAGGCTCCTGCATCACATAGGAGCTGGGTAGAGCACGGGTGCACTTCAGACTCCAGCTCTGCCATTTACTTGCTGTGTCACCCCGGGCAGGTCACTTCCCCTCTCTCATCCTTGTTTCCACACCTGCAAAATGGAGATGACAGTACCTACCCCAGATGATCTTTGTGATGATTCAATGGGGTGCTATAGGGAAGGCACTTAGCATGATGCCTGACCTAGAGCAAGGGCTTGAAATGATGATGATGATGATGATGATATAAAAACAAATCCTCTACATTCCTATAGCTATCAAACAAAATTTATGAAGATAAATAAACCAAGACCTACCCCAAGGAGAGGGAAGTTGTTGAGCTACAGCGTGCAAGGCTGTGGCATCAGAATGGAATATGTGAAGGGCCCACAGTAGCAGAGGAAGTCTATATCTACCAAGGCAGACGAGACAGGGAGAAGGCAGGGTTTAGAGCTGGAATCACCACCTATGCCTGTTGTCTGGGGATCTGGGTTTGGAGTGAGTGTCAGCTCTGAGGGTCTGAGTGCCCACTGGGCTGCCCACCCTGGTTGAAACCGCACACCTGGCCTTCAGCACTGTTCGCCCTACTTTATTAGGGCTGGTCAGCCCTGGTCCCCAGAAGCCTGGACCCTGCTCCCCACACCCCAGCCCTGAATTACATGATTGCTCTACCACCTGCCAGACATGAAGCCGTTTTACAAGCTGGAAGCCATGGATGCTATATTTTTAGATCTCAACTAGCCTTGAACCTTGGGTGGGGCCCTTGTCTAAACCAAACTTTAGGACCTGCTGCTTCTTAGGTGGCGGTCAGTGAATGTCCTAGGCAAAGAAACCCAGCCCTGGTCCCCATTTGCAAATCTAGAGACTGGGCCACTTGCTATGTCTCATAGGACAGAAGCATGAGGGGTCATGGCAGGACACAAGTAAGTGAGCAATGACAATAATATCCCCAAGGTCCTGCTAGGCTCAAGGGTTCCCCAAGTCACAGCTCAAGTATTTGGTGACATTATGACCCTAAGGTCACTGCTACACATGCAAAAGGATGGAGCTATCAGTATCATCAGAAGTCAAGGTGCTTCCAGTGACCAGCAAAAGCTACACCCCAAGGGCTGAGAGGGGTGGAGCGAGACCCATGGGCCCTTCTTCTGTGCCTCAAAAGGCCACCACCTTCCTGGCTCACAGCTTTTTGCTAGATGTGCCTCCATCTGACACCCTCTTCCCTCAGCCCCCTCATTCTAACTGGGTCCTTCCTGAATACTCAAGCCACCCAAGTAGGTTCCCCAGGCCATGTCAATTCTAGCACCCTATTTCTTTCCTTCAGAAGCTTATCAAATCTGTAATCATTCTGTCTGTTTCCTAGTTTATTTACTAATCTCCCTTACTAGAGGCTAAGTTTGGGAGAGATGGGAATCTGTGTATTTTGTTCCCCCACTGTTTTTGCGATGCCTGTTCAACCCTGCAGAGTGACCACATGGCCCAGTATAATTAACATATTATATGGTCTCCCTCAGTGGCTGGCCCCTAACAGGTGCTCAGTAACTATGTGGGGAATGAATACGTGAATGAATGAATGAATGAATGAACGAATGAACACAAGCAGTAAAAGTCGACATTGTCAGTACTGTAGCACACCCTGGATCCTGGTGGGTAACTCTTGCTTTCCTAATTCCCCTGCCCAGATCCCTCTGGGCTGAATCCCTGTCAACCACCACTCCCTTGGACTCTTGCCTGGCTGGTCCCATCTCATCTGTGTTCATTCAAATGTCCCTTTCACCCCCACCCTGCTGGACCATCAGGTCATCATAGGGTCACCTCTGGCCTGACAGAAGCCACAGCCATGGCTGCGATTGGCTCCTTGGATTTCATCACATTTGTGACCTCTAGAAGAGAGGGAAAGAAGAATGCCAGGAAGGCACAGGGTGCCAGGAGCTGAGGATGAGGGCCAGGAATGGGAAAGGTCAACAGGAGTGGATGCCACAGAGGAAAAGGAGGACCAGCCAAGAACAGTCCCCTGGGTCAGGGGAATGAACATCCTAAGAAGAGGATCTGCAGGCAAAGGAGGCTCTGAAACATGACTGCAGGCAGCTAAGGAACAGACAGTAGGATTCAGTTTGGGTAAAATCAATGCATAAGTGTGTGAGGGTGTGTTATCAGTGGTTCTTTCTGGGTGCCAACATGACAGCTGACTTTTAAAAATTCTTCTTTATGACAGTCTTCATTTTCCAAGTTTTCTATAATTAGAATGTATTTATATACTGAAAACATATATATCAAAGGATGGGAAGGAGAAAGACCGGGAGGCGGAGGATGCAGGGCCCCTGGGGGAGGACAGGCAACTGCGGCAGCCTGGGGGGAGCTCTGAGGCTGCCTTGCCCTCCCCAGCGTACCTCGCCCCCAGGCATCCTGGAATTCCTTCTCATCTAGAGCCAGGATTGCTCAGCTCCCAGGCAACAAATGCAGGATTTGTGCAAGTCATGGGGTTCCCTGTTTCCTTTTTTTTTTTTTTCTTCTCTCTTCTACTTTGTATTTTGTAAGAATCTAATTTTAAATTCTCCAGATGCCATATTTTTGATCTTTTCAATTGATTCTTTGCAGAAATGGAGTAACCAAAATGTCATGAATCCCTTTAATGGAAAAGGATAAAAAGGCTGTGAAGGCTTGGAAAGCAGTCACTGTCCAGTCCCCTCTCAGCCAGGCCTCATCTTCGTGGTCCCTGTTCCTCCCCTAGCCATGCTTCTGCCTGGTGGTTGAGATGCACAAAGGCCCCACCCACCTGTATCCCCTGGGTCAGAAAAGTTGGCTTTCTGTCACGACTGGAGACAGCTATTGCATAAGAGACCATAATCCGTAGCCGTGGAAGAGTCTTTGGCACAAAGGGAAGCTCGCACTTCCCAACCCCTGCAGCAAGCTTGCTCCACCCCAACCCTGCCTGGGACATTGGCCAATGTCTGAGAACATTTTTCTTCTCTGCAATGGGGAGAGGGGGGCTACTGGCAGGCCACGGTTGCTGCTAAATATCCTACAAGGTGGAGGACCTCTCCTTACAACAAAGAAACTCCATAGTCCTGAATATCGAGGGTGCCATGGTGAGAAGCAGGCTGGACAGTGTGCCAGGCTCTGTGCCAGGCCCTTGTGTGCCACATCTCACTCTGACCACAAGGCAGACTGTGCTCTGATGGCTGTCCATCCTTGGCTGATCCAGACTTTGGATTGGCCCCGTTTCGCAACGGCTGGAGCGGCTGGGACACAGGGCACCAAGGCTGCCTCACCATGGAAGACCATGCCCCTGGCTCCTCTCTAGCACCCAGGGCCACCACTCACTGCTTCTCTGCTATCTGTGTTCTGAGTGGGGCTCAGGGGCTCAACTACCTGACTCATGGGCTCAAATCCCAGCACCACCACTTATGAGTTACTCAATCTCCCTGAGCCTCAGCTCCTCATCTGCAGAATGGCAACACCTATTTCACAGAGTTCTTGTAAGACTTAAAAGGGTTAATATATGCAAAGTGCTTAGAGCAGTGCCTGGTACATAGTAAGTGCTCAATAATAGTAGCCATTAATATTATCAATATTATTACTCAGATGAGTGAAAGAGATTGCTGGGCACCATAGCTCATCGTGACTGCAATGCATCCCCATCATCACACACAAAGGCACAGGCTTCCGTGCTGGATCCTACAAAACCTCCTGGAGGCCTTATAACCTGACACCATTATTGCCGTCTATGCACATGGCCCTAGAGGTTGAAAGCATTATCTTCCTTTTCCAAATGAGGCAATGGTTGGGTCAGCTCAGCTAGGGTAATTGCTTCAAGCCTCTCCATATCTGTGTATGGGATCTGTGTATGGGATCCCCAGATCAGGTCATCAGGATGGGCTAAGACCCCAATGTCATGAGTGTGCTGGCTTCCCCTCTGATGGGGAGTCCAGCAGGATACATGTGGCTCTTTGGACTCTTAAGTTCTTTATGAACTTGGTGAATATAAAATCAGCAAGAGCACATTTTACCACAGCCCTTGACCTTGCTGGGACCCAGGTGCTGGCAATAGCTCAAAGCAAAACCAGACAAGCACCCACCAGGCCCTCTGAGACTCTGCAGAGGCATTCTGAGGTAGCATTTGGACCCAGCCTAAAAATAAACCCTTAAGCCTTCAACTATTTTTATTACCAAGTAACACATGTCATTGACATCCATCAGGGGTGTCCATGGTACACACGACTGGTAGCAAAAGAGTAGCTTATACCTTCTGACAGTCACTTTAATGTGGATGCCTTAAAACAGACAAGCCAGGAAGTCCCGCTGTGGCCATGTTTCAGGACATGCATTCGAGCTGGCAGTGAAGACAGGGGGTACAGGAAGGACATGGAGGACAGGGAAGGTGGTGAAGAGGGCAGAGGGAGGGGCTCCGGGGGCAAGACCATGAGCAAGAGATCCCAAGGTGAGGGTCCATCCCGAGGGTGGGACAGCCAGGCAAGGGAGGACAGGATGGCCAGGGGGAGCCTCCAACATCTGTGGCTGAACCTGGCTCTTCTTTGGCCTGTTCTGCTGAAAGGCCTCCAGCCACACCCTTGCTTCTGCTGGTGTTTGAGACTCTGCTCTCTGATGCCACAACTGACAGTCCCTGGAGAAGCAAAGCAACAGAACTGGCTATAGAAACCTATGGCCAAACCCTTATGGGCAAGAGGAGTGTATTAGTCCGTTTTCACACTGCTGATAAAGACATACCCGAGACTGGGAAGAAAAAGAGGTTTAATTGGACTTACAGTTCCACATGTCTAGGGAGGCCTCAGAATCATGGTGGGAGGTGAAAGGCACTTCTTACATGGCGGCAACAAGATAAAAGTGAGGAAGATGCAAAAGCGGAAACCCCGATAAAACCATCAGATCTCATGAGACTTATTCACTACCACAAGAACAGTATGGGGGAAACCGCCCCCGTGATTCAAATTACCTCCCACCTGATCCTTCCCACAGCATGTAGGAATTATGGGAGTACAATTCAAGTTGAGATTGGGGTGGGGACACAGCCAAACCATATCATTCCAACCCTGGCCCCTCCAAATCTCATGTCCTCGTATTTCAAAACCAATCATGCCTTCCCAACAGTCCCCCAAAGTCTTAACTCAGTTCAGCATTAACACGAAAGTCCACAGTCCAAAGTCTCATCTGAGACAAGGCAAGTCCTTTCTGCCTATGAGCCTGTAAAATCAAAAAGCAAGCTAGTTATTTCCTAGCTACATGGCGGTACAGGTATTGGGTAAATACAGCCATTCCAAATGGGAGAAATTGGCCAAAACAAAAGGGTTACAGGGCCCATGCAAGTCCGAAATCCAGATGGGGCAGTCAAATTTTAAAGCTCCAAAATCATCTCCTTTGACTCCATGTCTCACATCCAGGTCATGCTGATGCAAGAGGTAGATTCCCATAGTCTTGGGCAGCTCCGGCCTGTGGCTTTGCAGGGTATAGCCCCACTCTGGGCTGCTTTCATGGGCTGGCATTGAGTGCTGCTTTTCCAGGCACACACTGCAAGCTGTTGGTGGATCTACCATTCTGGGGTCTGGAAGATGGTGGCCCTCTTCTCACAGCTCCACTAGATGGAGCTCCGATGGGTGCTCCGATCCCACATTTCCCTTCTGCACTGCCCTAGCAGAGGTTCTCCATGAGGGCCCCGCCCGTACAGCAAACTTTTGCCTGGGCATCCAGGCATTTGGATACATCTGAAATGAGGTTACCAAACCTCAATTCTTGACTTCTGCACACCAGCAGACTCAACACCACATGGAAGCTGCCAAGGCTTGGGGCTTCCACCCTCTGAAGCCACAGCATGAGCCCTATGTTGGCCCCTTTCAGCCATGGCTGGAGTGGCTGGGACACAGGGCACCAAGTCCCTAGGCTGCACACAGCATGGGGATCCTGGGCCCAGCCCACAAAACCACGTATTCCTCCCGGGCCTCTGGGGCTGTAATGGGAGGTGCCGCTGTGAAGGTCTCTGACATGGCCTAGAGACATTTTTCCATTGTCTTTGGGATTAACATTTGGTTCCTTGTTACTTATGCAAATTTTTGCAGCCAGTTTGAATTTCTCCTCAAAAAATGGGTTTTTCTTTTCTACTGCATCATCAGGCTGCAAATTTTCTGAACTTTTATACTCTGTTTCCCTTTTGAAATGGAATGTTTTTAACAGCACTCAAGTCACCTCTTGAATGCTTTGCTGCTTGGAAATTTCTTCTGCCAGATACCCTAAATCATCTCTCTCAAGTTCAAAGTTCCACAAGTCTCTAGGGCGGGGGCAAAATGTCACCAGTCTCTTTACTAAAACATAACAAGAGTCACCTCTGCTCCAGTTTCCAACAAGTTCCTCCTCTCCATCCGAGACCATCTCAGTCTGGACCCTACTGTTCATATCACTGTCAGCATTTCAAAGCCGTTCAACAAACCTCTAGGAGGTTCCAAAGTTTCAAACTTTCACAGATTTTCTTGTCTTCTTCTGAGCCCTCCAAATTATTTCAACCTCTTACTGTTCCAAAGTTGCTTCCACATTTTCGGGTATCTTTTCAGCAACACTTCACTCTACTGGTACCAGTTTACTGTATTAGTCCATTTTCATGCTGCTGATAAAGACATACCCGAGACTGGGAAGAAAAAGAGGTTTAATTGGACTTACAGTTCCACATGGCGGGGGAGGCCTCAGAGTCATGGCAGGAGGCGAAAGGCACTTCTTACATGGTGGCAACAAGAGAAAAATGAGGAAGATGCAAAAGCGGAAAACTCGGATAAAACCATCAGATCTCGTGAGACTTATTCACTACAACAAGAATGATATAAGGGAAACCACCCCTATGATTCAAATTACCTCCCACCAGGTTTCTCCCACAATATGTGGGAATTATGGGAGTATAATTCAAGATGAAATTTGGGTGGAGACACAGAGCCAAACCATATCAAGGAGGCTTCCTGAAAGCTCTTCTTTCCCCTAGGCCTTCCTTTGCTCCCCTCCCCCAACCCCACCTCATGATGGTCTCTTAACTCTGAGAGTGTCTTACAGACAGCTTGAAACAGACTTCTTCTTCTCTCCCATGTCCAGCTCTGCCTTTGGGTGCACCAACACTTTCCTTCTTCGCCCCACTCTGCCTTTTTGCTCTCAAAGATAGGGCCGAATTGTTGGGTATGCACAGAATTCATTATGCCAAACTGCAGACTCCATCAGGCATGGGCTGGGGTCCAAATCTCCAAAGGTTCAGGCAGTAAAACAGTCCAGAAGCACACATTCTAAACCATCCCCAAAACTGCCCCTTCTCTCCCTCAGGCCTATGTCTACAAGGGTACCACCAGCCCTAAGCAGGGCCGGCTGCACAGTGCACAGAGCACTGACTTTGGAACCAGCAGAGCTGGGTTTTAGTTCATCTCTGGTGCTTACTAGCTGCTTGAGCTTGAGACAATGACTTGACCTCTATAAACCTCAATTTTCTTATCTGTGCAATGCGGGTGAATGGAAATGTTATGGAAATGTTGTAAGCAAGGTAATTCATGGAAAGCCTTTAGCACTGTACCCAGGACACAGTAAATGCTCAAAAATAGTTTAAATTCCTATTATCATTATTGCCATCTATATGCACAACCTCTAAATCATGAGTTGTTACCCTGGGGCTCAAAGATGAGTTTCAAGTAGTTTGTGAGTCCACCCATAGAAATTAAATGCAAAATTTTAGTTCAATGTGTGTATATTATGGGAGAGAGTCCCTGGCTGTCATCAGAAGTTCAGAGGGATCCATATCTCCACCCTGCCCAATTAGGAACTTGAGACAGTATTACAGAATGGTCAAGACATAATGGTCAACTCTGAAGTCTGACCACCTGGATCAGCCAGCTGTGTGACCGTAGGAAGACACTTCCTCCCTCCCTTCCTTCAGTTCAGTTGCTATTTGTAATATGGGGCTAATGATAATACATTCCCCATAGGGCTGCTGAGAACACTCAGTGAGATGTAGCATTTCAAGCTGAGAAGAGTGCTGGGTGCAAGGATGTGTTATATGTACGAGTGTTTTTTATGCAGACACATACACACAGCACACATACTAATATATACACTGCATATACAAATACTGTATAAGTGCTAATTTTTATGATCAGGAAGCGCTGTTCCAAAGCCTGCAGTTGATTCATCCCACCCTACTCGTTGCTCATTCCCTCCTGCATCCCCCTCTCTGCCTTGGAATTTCCTTTCCCTCGGAATTTCCTCTCCCTCAGCGTTCCCTGATCCTTTGCATCTTGAAACACCAACAAAGTCAGCAGAAATAATGGGCAGAGAAAGGAAGAGGGGAAATAATCAAAGTTTGGGGCTCAGAAACCAGCCTAGTAGAGGGGGGATGCCATGAAGCTCGAGCTGCAAGTCTTGGGAGCTGCTAAGGCCCTGGGGGCTGGCTCTGACGTGGAGTTAGAAGTCAGGGTCTGAGTCCAGCTGCAGAGACAAGTGGGCTCAAGAGAGGCAGGTGGAGTCTTGCCCTAGCCTAGGGAGGCAGGGGTCTGGCGGGCTTGGACGCAGCAGGATGTGGACCAGCCAGGGGGTTGGGTACACTGCAGCACAGTAGGCATCTGAGTGTCCTGGTCCTAGAATGCTCAGTCCTGTGCCGCTCTCTGGGAAAGATGGGGCTTCTCCACAGTCAGGATGGGCTTGGGGTCTGCAGGACAGACAGCACTATCTGCAGCTGAGCAGGAATGGTGGAGAGCGACACTCAATCATCAAATTAGAAACATCACAAATTCCTGGAAATGATAGTGAAGCAATTCTGCTTGGAAGGGGACAGGATCGATGGTATTGGCAAGCCTGTCATGCCCTCGCAGATTCATGGAGAAAGTTGTGGTGCCTCCCTCAGCCTGCAGGGAAGGCACAGGCGAGGATGAATGCCCGCACCAGGGCTGTAACAGGCAGCCAGAGAAGGCTCGCATTGAGGGATGGACTCCAGATACAAGCTCCCTCATACATGAGTTATCCCAATGACTCACAGCTCTGGGTAGTGATTAGAGGGAAAACTATTGAGAAATATATATTTACTCCAGTTCTACACTTGAGAATGAAACACACATCATTAGCCATAAAAGTAGGATTAAGACAACAGAGCATTATTTGCAAATGATAAACAGACATGGGCACAGATTTAAACATGTACAAAAGATGTAAATCTGAGCAAGGAATGCTTAGTTCTATTGCTACTGAAGGCAGTTCTTATGTGCTGCCTGGATTAGGTGGGGGGTGCATTCTTACATGGTTACTCTCCATTCAACAAACTCTACAAAGGATGGGCCAACGGCTTGTACATAAGAAACCAATATTCTGCCATTCTAGGGAGCCAGGAGCCCCAGGGGCTGCCAGGAAGAGCCTCAGGGATTATCCTGACTAGTCCATGAGCCAGTAGCACCAGCATCACCTGTGAGCTCCTTGGAAATGCATCTCAGACTGAATCTGATTGTGCACATTCACAAATTCCCAGCTGATTTGCATGTGTGTGAAAGTTTGAGAAGCCCCTTTCCAGAGCAGTTTGTCAACCTTTTAAAATCAGGGACCCCCTATGAAGATTCACATAAAATGACTGCCTCCTTCTTCAATGTGGTTTAAAATTCAAAATAAAATGAATAAAAACAAGTCAAAGTAAAGGTCACTCTGAAGATGCTTTTTCAAACTGCACACGTACCTCCCTTCTGGCTCCCACTTACAATATGTGATGCAAGAACCACTCTCCATGACTCCAGGAAGTCAGGATTGGGGAGGCACATCCCCAGGTAAAGAATGACTGACAGAGAGCTACAGCCCCACTGTGCAGATGGCATGTCTGTAGCCCAGAGAGGTGCTTCCCTAGAAGCCCCAACTTCTGCACTGGTGCTTCCTGAGACAGGGACCCTCAGTTCTAGACAGACACAAGTGTTAGAAATGACTTGAAGTTTGTTTCCCTGGAATGTACATTTCACAGCCTGAGTGCCACCATCTTATGTCAGCTTTTGACAACAGTCGTCATTTCCCCTAAGAGTCTCCTTCCTTCAAGTGAACAGCCTGAAGTCCTCAAGATCCATCTTGCAACATAAAGTCCTTCCTCATCCTGGTCATTCTCCCGTGGTCCCACTTGAGTTTGTCAATGTCCCTCTTTGGGTATGGGTAGCAAGGGATATACTTAAACTTTTCTCTTTTCTTTTACATTTAATCTTACATTAATCAAAACATGCATTCTTATTATAAAAACAATGTAACTATGTTGCAAAAAACTTTTCAATACAAAAGATTAAAAAATTATTCATAATCAAGCCATCCTCATACCCATGTTATTATTAGCATGTTGCTATATTTCCTTCTAGTCTTATTCACCTGTGTATACATGCTTACATGGTAATGTACATAATAAACAGATAATTCTGTAGCCTGTTTTGTTATTTTTTAACTTAAACATTTTTTATGCTGCAGCAGTCTTGACAATCATTAGCTTCCCATTCCAGTGTGTAACTGAGAACTGAACTCAGTTCCCCAAGATGTTGGTAATGGTTTGGCTGTGTCCCCACCAAAATCTCATCTTGAATTCCCACGTGTTGGGGTAGGAACCCAGTGGGAGGTAATTGAATCATGGGGGCAGGTCTTTCCCCTGCTGTTCTCATAATAGTGAATGAGTCTTGTGAGATCTGATAGTTAAAAGGGGAGTTCCCTTGCACAAGCTTGCTCTTTGCCTGCTGCCATCCATGTAAGATGTGACTTGCTCCTCCTTGCCGTCTGCCATTATTGTGAGGCCTCCTCAGCCATGTGGAACTGTAAGTCCATTAAACCTCTTTCTTTTGTAAATTGCCCAGTCTTAGGTATGTCTTTATCAGCAGCATGAAAAATGGACTAATAAAGATGGTTTGACCAGTTCAGAGGAAAAAGAGAACAGTTTCTCCACCAATGCTTTCACATGGCAGCCTGCATGACATTGTTCATCTTGCACCCCCCAGGGCCTCATAAATGTGGCAACTCTTTGGAACCCCTTCTTTTACTCTGTACTGGTGTCATCTACTTTTAGGGAGGCCTAAATATACAGGGTATTCAACTATTTATTCATTCATTGGGCAAGAATTTGCTGAGACCCCCCATGTACAAAGCAGTGTGCTGAGGTCTCTGTCTGCAGTGGTGAACAAGACAGCTCTGGTCCCGTGAGTTCATGGAACTTTTATGGTGGTGACCTCAGCAAAGCAACAGAGCACAGGAAGGGAAAGAGACAGAAATCCAGTAAGAACCCATCACAGGCTAACCGTGGGTGCTTGGCTTGCATACATCAGCTCAAAGAATCTTCACAACTCTTTTGCATTGCTGATGAGGAAAAAGCAGTTCAAGGGTACTTGTCCAAAGTCAAAGAGGTAGTAAATGGTAAAGGCAGGATTCAACCCCAGGAGTGCCTGACTTTAAAGCTCTTTCTGAATTCCCTAAATTCACATGGAGACTATAAGATGCTCTTTCTCTCCTGACCCTCCAGTAAGCTCTAGAAATTTTAGAAGGCCATTATGAGACACTCCCAACAATGTGCTTCAATTATTTCATAAAAGAAAGACAAAAATAACAGAATACTGCCTGGTCTCAGAGGTGTGATTAGATTTGGAGAAAGGAGGGGAAAGGGGACCTTTTCTGCAGAAGCACATCCACCAGGAGCATGATTTAGACAAAAGTGTGATTTAGATACCTTATTTTTCATTTGACCAGCCAACAAACATTTGTGCAATTTAAATCTTTTCAGAATGACTCTGACAACCAAGTATCCACGGGTTGACTCAGTCTGCTTCTTATCACCATCAGACTTTGAAAACTCCACCTCCCCCTTCATAATTACTCCAGGCAATCAGCACCAACTGATCAATCAAACAAAGAAAATTGCAGGTTTGAAGCTTTAATTAAATCTATCCGGCACTATCTAATTAAAGAAAATCTTTACTCTTCTACATACTCCAAAATAGAAGAAGCCCACTCCTTTGGGGTTCTACAAATAATTTGCCACTTTGAGGCCTTCACCTAACTTACACTGGAGGAAGAGTGCAGTGGAGAAAAGACAGCCATTCCCTCTTCCTTTACTTCTTGCCTAAGTGCAGGCAAATTCCAAACATGGAAGGAGACAGGACTGTAGAATCCCGTCTCTGGTAGGTTTCCTCTCATCTATCTCTGTCCTTTAGGGTAGATGGGTCCTTTTTCTGGCTGACTGTTGCCCAAGGCCTTTCTCCCGCCCTCCACAGGCTCCTGTGGCTGGAGGGCACTGGCTCAGAGCAGGGAGAAAATGCTAAGAACTCAGCCACACCTTCTTAGCATAGGGCTTATGAGCCATTCTGAAGCTCAGCTTTCTCCTCTGCAAAATGGGATGAATATGACACTTCAATTGGATTGTTGGGAGAAGTCAATAACATAATGCGCCTGAGAAGCCACAACAATCAAACGGAATTGAGAGGAGTAACACTGGGCACTTACATGGGTGGAGCTTTGCGGTAGTGGATACAAATCTGCCTCTGTCTGCAAGAACTCTTTGTGTCTGCATTCCCCCACCCCCACCCTTGCAGACCAAGGCAGGTTTGAAAATATCCACTACTGCAAGGCTTCTTGCAGAACTAGAAAGCTTCTTTATTGTCCAGATTTCTTTATCTCTGGATGGTGAGGAATTCCTCTTATAACTGAAATCCAGCTAAACTATCAGAGCCAAGATGCGTCCCCGTTCCTCTTTACTTTGTAGGGTTTACGTAAGTTTAAGATTTGCCTTGTCTTTGATATGTAGCTGTGGAACTTTGGAGGAGGGAGAAGTTGTATGCAGCTCTACCAGCTTGCCAGGGCATCACAAAAGCCCCTAGATCCCTAGTTAAGAGCCCTTTGGGTTAAAATAATCAAATTGGAAGGTGGAGTCAATTGTTCACGCTTCCTTCCTTATGAGACTTAATAAGGCAGCCATTGCTTATGGAAGGACAAAGGTGGCAGTGATGATGCGAGAGACTGAACTGGCACAGTGAAAGACTGCCAGGTGCAGAGGAGCTAGCCACTATAAACTTCGTGAAAACATCTGCTCCTCCAGGCAGGATTGAAGATGCTGCATTGCCAGTCTGCAAGATGCTAGGGGCATCACGTGGTCAGAAACTGCTTCCATGAATTCAACAGCCAGGCTAGTAGTCTATACTGTCTACAGTGTCTTTACCATGTCATCTAGGCAAACCCAGTCAGCTGCAGCTCCTGGGGCAACTGGTGCAGTAATACGTGAGGTCTAAGTTTACATAAAAGTTTATTTCTCACTTATGTAAAATTCAATCAATCAGCAGCAGATAGGGGAGGAGGTGGGTTCTGCTCCATGCAGTCATCCAGGCATCTAGGCTTCTCTCATCTCCTGTCCCAGGGAAAGATAGAAAGAGAGGATTGCAGAGGAGGCTTTCTGCCCAGACCTGGAAGAGGCACACATCATTTCCATCTACCTTCCACTAAGTCATATGGCTCCATCTAGATGCAAGGGGGCCTAGGAAAATATTGTCCCTAGCTAGGCAGCTGCTTCCCACTAACACCTACACTGTGGAAAAGGAGCAAGATTGATGGTGGGCAATTAGCCTTCTCTGCCACACTGCTTAACGTGCCATTGGAAAATAAACTGTTCGCCAAAGACAACTGCTGGAATTGCTGAAACAGCCAAGAGCAGTACCTACGTAGAGTAGAAAGAATCCCAGAAGCTCAGGGATATTTTATAGTCCTTCTATATGCATCTCCAGCATCATTCAATCACACAATTTCAGAGCTGGAAGAAGCTTTGGAGTTCCTCTAGATTTAAATCCTCATATTGTAAGTCAGGAAAACGCAGATGGCCCTGAGAAGGAATAGGACTTAGTGAAGATCACAAGCAAACCAGTGGCCAAGCTGGGACAGAACCCAGCTCTCCATGCCCCTGGTCTGGCTCTTGGCACCACATCTTGTGACAGAGTAGAAATTGATGCAGTAGCAAAAGGCTGGCCTCACTGTTTATGGGTAGTTGTGGCAGTAGACCCACTTAAGGGTACAATAATTTGGCTCTTTTGTCACTTAAAAGTCGAGAATTGATTTAGTTTTAGATTTACTTTAATTCCAAGAGAATGAGGGACTCAATACTTGGGAAGTGTTTATTTGGGTACCGTGTCTGCTGAAAAAGAAACAGAGGGAAGACTAGAATGACAAGTCCAAACCTGCCTCCACCCTGCAGACACCAGGGTCCCTTGAAGAGCAAATTCTGTGGCCCCAGAAGTTCAGGGAGTAAGAGCTGAGGATATAGAAGGGGGAAACTTCCTATCTCAGCAACAGTGCTGTCAGCAGCCACTTGGAAGAGAGGGGCCGATGAGGATCTAGAGGTGGCCAAGTCTGCTCTAGGGGAATGTTGCGTCTTTGACCAATATCTCATGATACTGCAGGCAGGACCAATTGTGAGAAGTGATGCAGGCAGCACAGCCTTTTGGACTGAGACTCTGGCTCCAGGGGGTGTTAAATTTTGGCTGCTATTAAACAGCAGACTTGGTGAATGAGCAAGGTGAGGCTTTGCCACAAATATTGATTTTGACCTTGAACCACAGGGTCCTACTGTGAGTGGAGAGATTGCTCAGGACCCCGACACTGCTGCCCACCTGGCTTTGTGTATCACCTGCTGCCAACCCCTCCCCCACCACGTCTGCCCAGACCCTCCCTTTGGCATTAGGGATGGAGCACATGGCTGCCCCATGGGGTCACTGCAGTTGGTTTCCAGAGCCTCATCCCTGGCAGACCCCACTCCTCCCCTTCCATAACCCCCTTCGGTGCTGGTCAGGTGGTGCTGACCTGTGTGAACTTGGATATCAAGCAGATACCAGGGTCCCAGGTATCCAGCCTCCCACTCCAAAGCCTGCTTTGGATTGTGAAGGAAGCAGACTGCAGTAACCCCACAAAACAGGCCACTTCCCTGTCCCAAGAAGCCCTGCCCAGCAATGATCAGCGGGTTTTGTCTTCTGCACCCCTCTTCCTCTGCCTCCTTATTAACCACAGCTAACTTTCCTGATTAACTACACAGCTCCTACCAACAGGTTTGCCTCCGGATGGCAAATTTGCCAGCATTTAGGGTGAATCAAACATATTTACTTTTCTGATGTTAGGGGTTTGATAAAATCCATAATGCCTTTGGCCTCAAACCCACTTCCTATTAATTATTAAACCCTTGTGTGTTTCAAGGGTAATTGAATCCATGTTTCTAATTAGTTTACACTTAATTCATCAGAACAATTTTTAAAGGTCTGATGGATGTCCCAATAAGCCTCATGGGCAGTTTAATGAATCCTTATTTAAAAAGAAATTGGACACACACCAAACTGTTAACAGCGGTTACCTCTAGGGAGTGAGGCTGGGACAAGGGCCTGGGAAAGGAGGCAGCTGCATTTTTCTCACTCTATACACTGCTGACCTTCTTAAAGCAGAAAATACCTATTACATTTACTATTTTAGAGAAACTGCTTAAAAAGGAAAAAGGAATGGATTTTTAAAAGGAAATTGAATGAATGAATGCAAATAAATCCAAAGCAATGAAAAGGCATTTTGGTATAGTGGGGGAAAGCCTTGTTTCTGGCTCTAGGAGACCCCTGGCCCACCCCTCTTTAGCCACTATGTTAGTCCATTCTTGCATTGCTGTAAAGAAATACCTGAGATGGGACAATTTATAAAGGAAAGAGGTTTAATTGGCTCACAGTCCCACTGGCTGCACAGGAAGCATGATGCTGGCATTTGCCTGGCTCCTGGGGAGGCCTCAGGAAACTTACAATCACGGCATAAGGCAAAGGGGGAATAAGCACATCACATGGCAAAAGCAGGAGCAACAGAGATGGGGCAGGTGCCCCACACTTAAATAACCAGATCTCATGAGAACTCACTCACTAACGTCAGGACAGCACCAAGAGGATGGTGATAACCATTCATGAGAAATCCGCCCTATGATCCAATTACTACCCACCAGGCCCCACCTCCCACATTGGAGATTACAATCCAACACGAGATTTGGGCAGGGATACAGAGCCAAACTATATCAGCTATTTGGCAGCTTAGGGGCCTTACATGCTTGCTTAACTTCTGCAAAGAGAATTAATACTACCCACCTCCTAAAGGTGTTGTTGAATTATTAGATAATGTGAACAATGTCTATTTAAAACCTTTCATTGTGAACCATCTTTCTTAGAAATGTATCGAGCTCCTCAGCAGGGCATACAGGGTCCCTGGTGGAGCTGGCCCGGGCCACTGCTCCACCTTCCCACTATACACCAGCCAAAATGAACCTACCCATTGTCATTCTGCACCTCACCTTTCTCTCACTTTTGCCTAGACCTATGCACATACTATTTCTTGGCTCGAAACACTCTCATCCCTCCTTCCACACTCTATTAGGGATCTCTTCCTCCAGAGAGCATTGATTCATTCACTCCATAAGTATTTGTTTAGCATCTGCTATAAGCCAGACTCTCTGTTAGGCCCTGGAGAGCTACAATGAAAAGTAAAAGAGAAAGAGTTCTTGTCATCAAGGAGTTTACAGCCTTGTGGGGTAGATGGGCATAAATGAAGAAGACACACACACACACACACACGCGTGTGTAAAACCACAAAGGGTGAATGCATGGTAATCTGAGCAGGTATCACAGGAGGGTTTGACCAGGTTGTGAGGAAAGGGTGTCCTGGGCAAGGAAGGGACAACTGAGTTACTTGAGGAATGAGTAAGGGACAACTAAGCAAGGGGCAGATGGAGGGGGTTCATCCCAAGCCTCCAGATGAGCATCCACAAAGATCTCCCCCAAGGCGAGGTCAGGTTCCCCAGTCATAGCACTTATACCCTGATTATTTAACTGTCTCCCTAAAGATATCGTTAAGTTCCTTGAAGGCAGAAGCTGTCTTGTTAACTGTTGTGTCTCTGATACCTGGCATTCCTGTTAGGCATTCAATAAATGTAGAATAAATTACCATGAGAGCATGAACACAAGTGTCCAGCATGGTGGCTGGAACATAATAGCCGTTCAGTGTCCTCATTCCTTTGTTCTCCTTTCCAGTGTCCCCTCTCTGTTTCAATCCTGAACAAAGACTTTTCCCTCATCCCCATGGGTCCTCCCAGCCTCCTTCTGCCCACAAGAGCACATTCCCAGAGGCATTCTGGAGAGCAGACCCTTCAAGGACGTCCCTATTGATGTGCAAGGCACACCTTTTAAGGAATCCAAAAAACAGGTCCTTTGGGGGCCTCTGCTGTGATACATATTCATAAGAAGACAGTAAATCTGGCAAATTTGTGGATTTTTACAACTTCCAAAACAGGTGTCTGACGCCAGTTGAGTGAAATCTGCAACTAGCTCCAAATGACTAAAACTACATTGCACCTTAGGCTGATGACAGAATGTGTATTTCCAATAATTGAGGGAACGAGTTGTAGTGTTTCCCATAACTTGAGCCCAAATGTCTAAATTAAGAGATGCTTAGCTGTGCTTAACTGGTGCAGTCATCACCAGCACCCTATAAACCCTCCAATATACGGGATGCAGTTTATTAGCAGCGTCTTCATAGATTATGTTTGCTCGTGTCCCATTAGAAAACTTCATTCCACATTAAACTGCAATGCAATAGGATGTCTGCCAGCACGGAGAGGCCATCTAATTGTGCAAAAGCAGAGACGTGGGGATTGTTTCAGTAATTCATCCAGGCAGGGCTGACACTGCATTATCTGGAAGGCTCTTTGTTCTTTTCTTGCTAATTTCCAAACTCCTACAGGCTCCCGGCCTTCAGGACCAGCTCCTACTCCCGTTCCCCACCCTGATCCATTATGAGAAGAATCTGATCAGCTTCTATTGTAAATTTAATTTGAAGCAGCCAGACGCTGCCTTCTGGCACCCTGGGATGTGGTTGCTTGTGAATAGCTCCAGATGAAATGTGAGATGCTTTCAAGGAGATGGCTATGAACTCCTGGTAGAGAAAGGGAGTCATTGGGAGATGAATAGCATCTGCATATAGAACAAGCTGTGCGCAGTGTGTCTATTGGCACCTTCTCATCAATGATGCCAGGTGAAGCTGCCAGTACATAGCATCAGTGAGAAGTTCCCATTTTGCTGAGAAGGAAACTGAGGCTTGAATGGGTTGACTCACTTGCCCAAGTTCACAGACATAGAAAGAGGAGTAAAACCCAGGTATGTCTTATGCTAAAGGTATGAACCTCTCAAATCAATCCACCTCACGGTTTTTCAACCTCAGCTTTACTGGCATTTGGGGACAGATAATTATTTACTGTAGACAGCTGTGCTGTGCATTGTGGGATGATGTTTAGCAGAATCCCTGGCCTCAACCTAGTAGATGTCATCAGCACCTCTCCACTTGCAGTTGGGACAACCACAAATTTCTCCAGATGTGGCCAAATGTCCCCTGGGGGACAAAACTGCCTTCAGTTGAGAACCACTGCTCTACCTCATGATTCACAAATTATTTTGTCTTTTTGCTAAATAGTGCTTTCTAATTTTTCCTATAAATGTAGGAGTATTCCTTTTGTTTCTATCTCATCATAATTAAAGCAGTTTACATACTGTTTTAATTTAATCTTGATCAACTAACCTATAAGGTAGATCTTGATACACCCCGTTTATCAATTAGCATACTGTGGATATCAGTGAAAGTGACTTGCCAATGCTATGCAGCTAGGGAGGAGCTGGAGAGCAAACTCATGTCATCTACTGGCAAGACTGGTGTATATTCCACTGTATGGCTCTGTTACAGCAAAGCAAAAAAAAAAAAAAAAAAAATATATATATATATATATATATATATATAGAAGGCTTGACTCCCATGACTCCCAGCCTTAAGGAGCTTAGAATCTAATAGGAGGAAAGTTCATTTCTCACAACACAATCCAGGAGCAAGCAGCTGGAGAAAGGTGAGGTTAAAGGGGGCTAGGATTGGGGTAGGGAGGTAACGTTTCAGCCTTTTGTTGGAACGCATCCATAAAGAAAGAAGACCAGAGTGTTGGAGAGAAGAGAAGAGAGATGCCTTAAAAATGCAGTGAGGTCACGCCTGTAATCCCAGCACTTTGGGAGGCCGAGGAGGGTGGATCACAAGGTCAGGAGATCGAGACCATCTTGGCTAACACGGTGAATCCCCGTCTCTACTAAAAATACAAAAAATTAGCCGGGCGCGGTGGCGGGCGCCTGTAGTCCCAGCTACTCGGGAGGCTGAGGCAGGAGAATGGCGTGAACCTGGGAGGCGGAGCTTGCACTGAGCCAAGATTGTGCCACTGCAATCCGGCCTGGGCTAAAGAGCGGAACTCCGTCTCAAAAAAAAAAAAAAAAAAAAAAGCAGTGAGGACACTTTGGGAGGCCGAGGCGGGCGAATCATGAGGTCAAGAGATCGAGACCATCCTGGCTAACACAGTGAAACCCCGTCTCTATTAAAAAATACAAAAAATTAGTTGGGCGTGGTGGCGGGCGCCTGTAGTCCCAGCTACTCGGGAGGCTGAGGCAAGAGAATGGTGTGAACCCGGGAGGCGGAGCTTGCAGTGAGCTGAGATTGTGCCACTGCACTCCAGCCTGGGCCACACAGCAAGACTCCATCTCAAAAAAAAAAAAAAAAAAAAAAAAAAAATGCTGTGAGGAGACTCCAAAAGGGAGGAGTTTGGGAGGCAGTGAGGGTTGAAAAACTGCCTATTGTGTACAGTGCTCACTATTTGGGTGATGGATACAACTAGAAGCCCAAACCCCTCCATTGTGCAATGTATCCATGTAAAGAACCAGCACATGTAACCTCCGAATCTAAAATAAAATAATTTTTTAAAATGTAGTGAAAGCAGTAATTGCAAAACTTGTACTCATGAAATTTTTTTTTATTTTTATTTTTCAGAGACTAGGTTTTACTGTGTTGCCCGTGCTAGTCTTGAATTCCCAGGTTCAAACAATCCTCTTGCCTCAGCCTCCCGAGTAGTAGCTGGGACTACAGGTGGATGCCACTGTGCCCAGCTCATTAAGTTTTAGACAATAAACATGGAAATCCCCCAGGTGATGCAGGCAGAGAAAAATCTGCTGCAGGCCTCTTGGTGGTCTGGCCCCACTGTCTGTGTGGGAAGGGAGAGGAGAGGAGGCTATCATGGGATCAGTAATGCCATGATACGTACACATTACATACATACACATGATACATACATGCACAATTAATGACTGTTCCTGAGCTCAGTGACTCCTTCAGTGTCTTTCTACCACACCTGAAATTCCCAGTCTAAAATGTCTGATGAGTTGGCCACAGATGAAGTGTCATCACAGGCACTAGAACTCTCTGGAAAGGTCTGAGTTACTGAGTCCTAAGAACAGAAGGGCAGGAAAGGACGTAAACAATGTTTCCGGACCACGTAAGCATCTATAGCTGGTGGCTCACATACAACAACCCTGTAAGGCGGGTAAATGTCACCTCCATTTTATAGATGAGGCTCAGAGAAACCAAACCTTGTATGAGGTCATAGCATTAATAAATGTAGAGCCTAGCTAGGTATAAATCTAGGTCTGTCCCCACTGCACCCTTCTGTCTCACAGGAAAACACTGAGACAGGAGGTGACCTACCTGCTCTATCTACCAGACAAGTGAAGAAAAATGTCAGTGCAGCAAATATCCTGGTAGGCCCCAAGAACACATTTCACTGGAGACTGAAATTCACTGCAGACTGATTTGGTTTGTTTTCTGTTTCCAAGGCAGACACTGCGGAGTCATCCTCCATTCCTTTCTTTTTCTTACTCCCAGTCCACTGTCCCTATACATCCACTACTAACTCTGGGGATAACTCTTTCCCATAGCATCATACACATCCATGCCATCTTTACCCTTCATTGCTTTAGTCCAGACTACTGCTGTCTCTTTCCTTGCCCCACGGTCGCCAGTCTGCCCTCCACCCCAGTGCATTTTCCACACTGCCACCAAATCATGCCAAAATCCTCTGCTTAAAAATTTTTATTAGAAGGGTATCCACAAAAAACCTACAGATAACATCATACTTAATGCTAAAAGACGAAATGTTTTTCCCCTAACATCAGGAATAAGTCAAGGCTAGCCACTCTGACCATTTCTATTCAATATTATACTGGAGGTTCTAGACAGCACAATCAGGGAAAAAAAGAAATAAGGGGTATCCCGATTGGAAAGGAAGAATTAAAACTTTTATTCACAGATATAAACGAACTGAACTAACAAATTCAGCAAGGTCACAAGATACAAGATCAATTTACAAAAATCAATTGTATTTCTATATACTAACAATGGCTAGTCCAAAAACAAATTTTTTAAAAAACCCATTCACAATAGCATCAAAAAGAATAAAACTTTTATTTAAAAAATTTCCATGTCAAGATGAAGAGGAACGATAACATGTTAAACTCTGCCTTGCCTGACCCCCTAAATTCTCATGAAAATGATCTAAAGTATATAAAGAGATGGAATATCTACATTAACTTTGGAAACCAAGGAATACAGATAGATACCTACATGCTACAAACACGAAGAAAATTCTACAAGATAGAGTCAGTAAGACCTACCTAAGACAAAAGCTAGCTAGGCAGGATGTTGACAGAAAAATACAGCTTAAAACATGTTCTAAAGAAGCAACTTTAAGCACTAATAGAATAAAAATCACAGAAAAAACAAAGACAACTTGCACTAGAAGACAGATAAAAGGAAGTAACAGTAAGGACGCTTAAAAGTAATAGAAAGCATTAAGTATAATAGAAGAGCAAACATATCAGTTGTTACCAAAAAATATGAGTGAACTAAATTTTCCTGTTAAAGGATAGTGACTCTTAGCCAGGATTTTTTAAAAATTTAACTACTGTGTATATTGTGCTAAGAACTATTCCTAAAACAATAATATAGATATATTAAAAATAGAGAAATTGGCAAAAATGGACCCAATCAATGCATATCTGAAAGAAAAAAAGAGTGTAATATTGGTACAAAGTAGAATGTAAAGCAAAAAAAAAAAAAAAGGAGAGAATAGGGAATAACTACAATTTTCATATTGGAAATATATATATACATATACAAAATTCACTCTGAAGATCTAATGTTTGAAAATATGAATGTGCTGAAGAGTATAGGATCACAGTATATAAAATAAAAACTTAGGAATAAAAGGAGGAACTGATATAAACTATAGTAAGAATGTGAGAGCAATATATTGCCTATCCGCAAATATCAGTTAGGCAATAGATATGAAATTAGAAAAACTGAATGATATTAATAACATAATTTTTTCACCTTTCATACACAGAATATCTTTCTTCATAGAATACTGACAAAAAATGATCTTATACAGAGGGAAACAAGTCAACAAATTCTCCAAAGTAGAAATCATAATCTAATCATAATGAAATAAAGCTAGATAATAATTTCTAAAGTATAAACAAATATTACTTCAAAATTTAAGGGGAAAACCCTAGAGTCAAAGAAAGAACAAAATTGCAATTAGAAACTCTTTCTAAAATAACAACTAGCCATAAAAATTTATGGAATGTGGTCAAAGCTATACTTAGGGGAAAATGTCTCTTAATGTTTTTATTATCAAACAAGAAATAATAAAACTAATTTAATTTACAAAATTGGCAAAAGAACAATATTAGCCTAAGGAAAGTGAGAGAAAAGAATAGATAAAGATAAAAGCAGAAATCAATAATTTAGATAAAAGAGAATAAAATGGATCACCCTAGCATTGGAACTTTAAAAAGACCAATAAAATAGGCAAACTTCTGGCAAGACTAACTGAGTGGAAAGAAAGAAAGAAAGAAAGAAAGAAAGAAAGAAAGAAAGAAAGAAAGAAAGAAATGCACAGGAGCAGATGTGAGAAAGGGATGTGACCCAGACACCATGGAGAAAGAAAGGTTGAGTGGGAAAACAGTGTACAACCTTAGGATAATAGACTTGACACTCTCAATAAAATGGGTGATTTTATTGGTGATTCCCTGGACTAACACACACACAAAAATGATTCATGAATAAGAAGGAAATCTCAGTAGATTAAAAATCATGCAAGAACATTAAAAAAAAATTCACAAAGACCCAAGGGTCCCCACCAAGCATGCTTGCTGCTGCCTCTCCACACCCCCAGAGTAGCACCATTCCAGTATCAAGGACAGCATCTTCCAATGTTACTTGGACTGTCCTCTAAGGTCATTTCCCCTCCTATCATCCTCCGAGGTGTGAGCTCCTCTGGTTCCAGGTCAATAAAAGGCAGTGGTCGTCCCTCTCCTTCCCCCTCCCCCTCCCCCTCCCGCTCCCTCTTCTTCGTCTCCCGCTTTCCATGGTCTCTCTCTGTTGCCGAGGCTGGATTGTACTGCCGTGATCTCGGCTCACTGCAACCTCCCTGCCTGATTCTCCTGCCTCGGCCTGCCGAGTGCCTGGGATCGCAGGCGCGCGCCGCCACGCCTGACTGGTTTTTGTATTTTTTGGTGGAGACGGGGTTTCGCCGTGTTGGCCGGGCTGGTCTCCAGCTCCTGACCTCGAGTGATCTGCCCGCCTCGGCCTCCCGAGGTGCCTCGCTCACTCAGTGCTCAATGTTGCCCAGGCTGGAGTGCAGTGGCCTGATCTCAGCTCGCTACAACCTCCACCTCCCAGCCGCCTGCCTTGGCCTCCCAAAGTGCTGACATTGCCGCCTCTGCATGGCCGCCACCCCGTCTAGGAAGTGAGGAGCGTCTCTAACTGGCTGCCCATCGTCTGGGATGTGAGGAGCCCCTCTGCCCAGCCGCCCAGTCTGGGAAGTGAGGAGCGTCTCTTCCCGGCCGCCACCCCGTCTAGGAAGTGAGGAGCGTCTCTAACTGGCCGCCCATCGTCTGGGATGTGAGGAGCCCCTCTGCCCAGCCGCCCAGTCTGGGAAGTGAGGAGCGCCTCTTCCCGGCCGTCATCCCGTCTAGGAAGTGAGGAGCGTTTCTGCCTGGCCGCCCATCATCTGGGATGTGGGGAGCGCCTCTGCCCGGCCGCCCCGTCTGGGATGTGAGGAGCACCTCTGCCCGGCCGCCCCGTCTGGGAGGTGAGGAGCGTCTCTACCCGGCCGCCACCCCGTCTGGGAAGTGAGGAGCGCCTCTGCCCGGCCGCGACCCCGTCTGGGAACTGAGGAGCGCCTCTGCCCGGCTGCCCCGTCTGAGAAGTGAGGAGCCCCTCTGCCCGGCCGCCCCGTCTGGGAAGTGAGGAGCCCCTCCGCCCAGCAGCCGCCCCGTCTGGGAGGTGGGGGGCGACCCCGCCCAGCAGCCGCCCCGTCTGGGAGGTGGGGGGCGCCCCCGCCTGGCAGCCGCCCCATCTGAGAGGTGAGGGGCGCCCACGCCCGGCAGCCACCCTGTCTGGGAGGTGGGGGGCACCTCTGCCTGGCCGCCACGTCTGGGGGGTGGGGGGGCCCCTCTGCCCGTCCACCACCCCGTCTGGGAGGTGTACCCAACAGCTCATTGAGAACGGGCCATGATGACGATGGCGGTTTTGTCAAATAGAAAAGGGGGAAATGTGGGGAAAAGAGAGATCAGATTGTTAGTGTGTCTGTGTATAAAGAAGTAGACATAGGAGACTCCATTTTGTTCTGTACTAAGAAAAATTCTTCTGCCTTGGGATGCTGTTAATCTATAACCTTACCCCCAACCCCGTGCTCTCTGAAACATGTGCTGTGTCCACTCAGGGTTAAATGGATTAAGGGCGGTGCAAGATGTGCTTTGTTAAACAGATGCTTGAAGGCAGCATGCTCGTTAAGAGTCACCACCACTCCCTAATCTCAAGTACCCAGGGACACAAACACTGCGGAAGGCCGCAGGGTCCTCTGCCTAGGAAAACCAGAGACCTTTGTTCACATGTTTATCTGCTGACCTTCTCTCCACTATTGTCCTATGACCCTGCCAAATCCCCCTCTCCGAGAAACACCCAAGAATGATCAATAAATACTAAAAAAATTAAAAAAAAAAAAAAAGAAATCAAGGAAGCAGAGATAGAAAACATAGGCAGCTCTTTGGAGAATTGTCTGGCAAAGGGAGCAGAGAAGTGAGGTGGTATTTGATGAAGAATGTGTGGTTAGATCACACACACAAAAAAGTGCAGCATGGAAAATGCTGCTAGGACTCATCTGATAGAACCAGAGAGGCTGAGATGTAGGAAAGAGGGGCCCCCAAAGAATCTTCTAGCTCTCGCTCTTTGTCACTCTCTGTTCAACCCTATATATCTGTGTTTTAAGTGATGATTTTTTCCCTTATTTTGTTCATTGTTGTAAATTAATTATGAGTGGAACATTCAATAGATTTCTCAAAATCAAAATTAGGTTCATTTTTCCTAATTCAACTTCTCAGTCCACTGAAATATTATTTATCCCTGGGATAAAGTTCTGGCCCTACTTAAAAATGATCTGAGCTTGGGCAAGTGACATAACTAAGTTTGCTACAGTTTCATTAAAATAGGCTTAATAGTAACACTTAACCATAAACTGTTTTAAGACTTAAATGACACACTAGTAGACCGGGCATGGAGGCTCATATCTGTAATCCTAGCACTTTGGGAGATGGAGGCAAAGTGGATCACTTAAGCTCAGGAGTTTGAGACCGGCCTGGGCAACATGGTGAAACCCTGTCTCTACAGAAAGAGTGCAAAAATTAGCCAGGCGTGGGGGCTCATGCCTGTAGTCCCAGCTACTTTTGGGGCTGAAGTGGGGGAAGTGCTTGAGTCCAGGAGACAGAGATTGCAGTGAGCTGAGATTGCACCACTGCTCTCCAGCCTCACTAGTAAAGCATGTAGAACAATGCCTGATACACATTAAAGACTCAATAAATATTAGCTGTTGCTGTGGCTATTGTTGTCATCATCAATCAAAAAAAAAAAGGCAGTGGTCTCCTTCTAGCCCTTCCCCTTTGCTAAGCCCGTGTGAAATGAATTAGAATAAGCAGATCATAAAGATGACAGAGATCAGGAGCACAAGCAGGGAAAACCCAATGAAGGTTCAACCCCAGAGCCTCATCCTCATGGCTGGTTGGCCAGGAATGCTGTGCCGTGGCTGGGGACACATCTGATTCTTCTGCATCCTAAGGACAAGAGGAAGCCTTCCCTGCCAGAACCACTTCTCCAGGTCATGGAAACTCCCACCCTTCCATGCTAGAACACAGGCCAGACCAGTCTCTGCTGAGTCTTCCATACTTCCTCTCAGAGTCAGAAAACCCAAGTGTCTAACACCAAAAGCAATGGTAACAAAAGCCAAAATTGACAAATGGGATCTAATTAAACTAAAGAGCTTCTGCACAGCAAAAGAAACCACCATCAGAGTGAACAGCAACCTACAGAATGGGAGAAAAATTTTGCAACCTACTCATCTGACAAAGGGCTAATATCCAGAATCTACGATGAACTCAAACAAATTGACAAGAAAAAAACAAACAACCCCATCAAAAAGTGGGCGAAGGACATGAACAGACACTTCTCAAAAGAAGACATTTATGCAGCCAAAAGACACATGAAAAAATGCTCACCATCACTGGCCATCAGAGAAATGCAAATCAAAACCACAATGAGATACCATCTCACACCAGTTAGAATGGCGATCATTAAAAAGTCAGGAAACAACAGGTGCTGGAGAGGATGTGGAGAAATAGGAACACTTTTACACTGTTGGTGGGACTGTAAACTAGTTCAACCATTGTGGAAGTCAGTGTGGCGATTCCTCAGGGATCTAGAACTAGAAATACCATTTGACCCAGCCATCCCGTTACTGGGTATATGCCCAAAGGATTATAAATCATGCTGCTGTAAAGACACATGTACACATATGTTTATTGCAGCACTATTCATAATAGCAAAGACTTGGAACCAACCCAAATGTCCAACAATGATAGACTGGATTAAGAAAATGTGGCACAAATACACCATGGAATACTATGTAGCCATAAAAAATGATGAGTTCATGTCCTTTGTAGGGACATGGATGAAGCTGGAAACCATCATTCTCAGCAAACTATCACAAGGACAAAAAACCAAACACCGCATGTTCTCACTCATAGGTGGGAATTGAACAATGACAACACTTGGACACAGGAAGGGGACCATC
The DNA here is from genome assembly GCF_000001405.40 of Homo sapiens. Taxonomy (NCBI): domain Eukaryota; kingdom Metazoa; phylum Chordata; class Mammalia; order Primates; family Hominidae; genus Homo; species Homo sapiens. Next base: position 34,085,212 of record NC_000001.11, read on the forward strand.
ACACACCAGGGACTGTTGTGGGGTGGGGTTAGGGGGGAGGGATAGCATTGGGAGATATACCTAATGCTAAATGACGAGTTAATGGGTGCAGCACACCAACATGGCACATGCATACATATGTAACAAACCTGCACGTTGTGCACATGTACCCTAAAACTTAAAAGTACAATAATAATAATAATAATAATAATAAATAAATAAATTGTACCCTTCCACACTAACAATGATAATCACGTTTGCATTATACATAATTATTTTCTTTTGGTGGGGGGAATATGTGGTTTTCTTTGACAGCACAATCAGAATTACATTATGGCAGACTCATCACAAATGTAGGTCAAAAACAGTTCAATTTCCTGCAATAGTTGGTAGTCAATTCTAAAACAAGATGGTGAGAGGAGACAGAAGATTTTTTGAGGTTTAGGGGGAAAAGAGCTGACCATTTGAAAGTGAGATATGAACCCCTTTCTTTGTTTAATTCTGGTATACTTATTTTTACTGCTGCTTAACTGCCTATTATTTAATAAAAATTAGAACGTCATTTTATTTATAAACAGACTTGTAAACAAAGTCCATCTCTTGGTCAGTTAGTTTATAAATTTGTCTGAGGTGAACAAAGACTCTTTACTTCTTCCCCACTAGGACCACACAACAAATACCACAAACAAGACTGCTCTGGAAACACTTCCCACAGACTGTGTGAGAATGTGTGTATGGGGTTGTGTTTCTGTATGTCAATCTCCATTTCAAAACCAAATTGAATTTCTTAATTACTGTGGCTTATGCAAATGAAATCTTAAGTTTCCTGGAAAAAAAAAAAAAAAGAAAGAAAGAAAACCAAGTGTCAGAAAACAAAGACTCGACCACACATGTGGGGACTCTGCCTTAAGAGCAGGACAAGCTTAAATAACTCCAGCAGGCAGAATTGGAGAATTTGCCTCTAGCTGTCCATACCTCAATCAGTGCCCCATTGGTTTGACCTGACTTTCTATCTTTCAAACATGCATTCAACATTCATCAAAAGTCTACACAGGTGCCCCATAGATGGTGTCACATGAGCTCAAAATCTGATGGAGAAGACTGGCTCCCTTGTGACCACATCCAGTCTTACGTTTTAGGCACCATCCAGTCCTAGTCTCCCAATTTTGTATCTCTAGCCCTGACGGCCTTGAACTCAAAAACCACATATTCAAGTGCACGTTAAGTGCCTTCTCCACCTGGATATCTAATAGACATCTAAAATTTTATAGGGCCAAACTGAATCTTAACTTCCAGCTCCTCCTGTTGCTGTCCCCATCTCAGGAAACAGCTACTTCTTTCCATAATCATTAAGGCCAAGGAGACTGGAATCATCCTCATCTCCTTTCTCCCATAGCCCACACCCAATGCAACAACAAATCCTGTCCACTCTGTGTTTGGAATACAGCACAGAGCTGGCCACTTCTCATCATGTCCCCACTTCCAGGAGACCCAAGCCTCCTTCTTCTCTGCCCTGAACAGCAGCCTCCAGCCTCACCCCTTTCACTCCATTTTCCCCACGATGGCAAAGGCCTGTCACAGCAGGTCCCTTTTCTGCTCAGAACCCTCCAAGGGTTTCCTGTGCCTCAGGATCAAGGCCAAAGTCCCTGCATGGCCTATGAGGCCCTGCAGGATCTACCACCTTCTGCCACCTCCCAGCCTCACTTTTTCCCTTCCAGAACTCCTACCCACTGGCTCTGCTCTAGCCTCTAACCACTGACCTCCTGCATACCCTCCTTTGCTTGTGAGAGGAATTCAAACTAGCAGAGCATAAAAACAACACCTGGGATGATCTAGAATGAGGATTCCAAAACTGCAGGTCTTCCTAGTCAACATGACTGGCTTGGCCAAAGTGGGCTCTGCCACAGCAAGACCATCCTCCAAACGGTGGCCCTGTACCCTTTACATTTCCTGTGCCCTTAGCCTAGAAGCTTTCCCTAGATACCTACATGGGATACCACACCATACATGATATTCCATGATTCAGCTCTCTGCTCATAGCTCTCTTTCCCCTGGGAAAGACCATCCCTGACCACCCTATAAAAACCAGCAATCACAGCCATAAAAAAGGATGAGTTAATGTCCTTTGCAGGGACATGGATGAAGCTGGAAACCATCATCCTCAGCAAACTAACACAGGAACAGAAAACCAAACACTGCATGTTCTCACTCATAAGTGGGAGTTGAACAATGAGAACACATGGACAAAGGGAGGGGAACATCACACACCGGGGCCTGTCAGGGGGTTGGGGGCTAGGGGAGGGATATTAGGAGAAATACGTAATGTAGATGATGGGTTGATGAGTGCAGAAAACCACCACGGCACATGTATACCTATGTAACAAACCTGCATGTTCTGCACAAGTATCCCAGAACTTAAAGTATAATAATAATAATAATAATAATAATAATAATAATAATAATAATAAAGCCAGCACTCCTGCCATCACTTTCTTACCCTGTGTGCTTTGTCTTCATAGGACCAGACATGTTAGATATTTCCATGCCTGCCTCCCCATTAGCATGTAACCTCCATGAAGGCGGTGGCTTTGTTTTTCTCACTGCTATTCCCCAGCATCTAGGCCAGTGTCAAGACATAATAGGTACCCATGAAATATTTGTGGAATGAATGATTGAAGAGGACTCTAGCCCTTTACCAATGTTTCACAGAACCCTGCTGAACCTCAAGGGAAGATGATTAGCCCAGTCTTTTCTGGGAGAAGCTGCAGAAGGGGTGCAGGGGGCCCCAGATGCCCCCCCGCCTCTGCTGCAGGCTTCCCAGACTCACTTCTGCCCAGAGGGGAAAGAGAAGAGGGCTGAAGACTGTGCAGTAAATGTGTGTGTGACCCTGCTGCAGGAGCTTGGAGGCCAAGGGCTGAGATGCATCTTAAACAAAGCTTTGAGGTTAAGCATTTGGCTGGGAACCACTCATTAGTGCATCATGTCATTAGAAGCAATTAGCACCTCCGGCTCCCCAGGGCTTGGCTTGTAAGCCATTAACCCTTTGGCTTCCTGTAGAGCCGGGAAGCCACGCTGACCTGACCTGGACAAGGCTTGTGACAGACCCTGGCTGGCCTCCGGGTCACCTAGAGAGTTTTGACCCTGGGGTCTTCACCTTTGCCCCAGAAAAGTCTGCCCTTTCTGCAGAGGTTGGAAGCCTTCCTCCCATCTCCCTCCTGTAAGCTCTTCCCCTTGGGAGTCAGCTCAGGGGTACAGGAAGCCATCTTACTCTCTCCATGGGGATCTCTTCCATCACAGGGATGGGGGTTAAGAGGGTGAGAACTCCCCCAAATTCCAGAGTCTACATCCACAACCAAGGCCTTGGAAATGCAAAGCAAAGTCCAGAAAAGTATTGATGGTTTCAAATACTGTGACGCAAGACATATTCACTGCATCACTATCAGCCTTCAACACCCATATCTGTTGGTTCCAACTTATATTTCTGTGTGTACAAATAATACACCCTGTGCATGAAAAATCAGTTTCAAAAGAAAGAGCTGAATTTGTCTAGAACCCTCTTGTGTTTTCTCTCTAGTCTTCCCAAATGTCCTACTCATCAATCCTCCCAACCGGAAACCTCTAAGCAAGAGACATGAATTGGAAAACCAGAGGGGTTGAGGGAGGACATCATGAAAACAGTGGTCTTTGTTGATGACCATAAACTTTTCACTCGAGAAAGATCTTCCTCCTAGTGAGCTTGGCTCATAGCCCAGCTGTTTGCTACAGGGAAGGTGGGCAGCATGGTACCTCGTACGCAGATTCTCTGGCTGGGGTGGACCATCAAACACCGACAGGACATCAAAGTCCTCTTCCAGGGCAAAGGACTGGAACACAAGCTGGATTCTGTGCTGCTCTTCCGCGGTGATGGTCCACGTGCAGTTGGCGTAATTGGGGTAGCCATATGGGAACCCTGGGCTCTCAACTGTCCCATTGGGACCGTGCAGTTGGAACGTGCAGTTCTGGCCTGGGAAAGAGAAATGGAGCAGTTCAGAATAGCCAGAATAACTCCTAGAAGCTTCTAGAGAGTCAGGAGCAATGTGTTAGCAAATCATGAACCCACTTTTCCAAGTGCTTCCCATGAGCCAGCCCTGTACTTGGCACCGAGGGAGGTACAAAGGGTGACTAACGTTGATTGTCGGCTTGCTGTGCGCTGTGTACTGACCAGGTGATACATTGTGTATCATTTAATCAAGGCTTACAACAACTCTATGCAGTAGAAAATTAAGGCTTTGAGAATCTGAACTACACAGCCACCAATACCAGGCTGAACTCAGACTTCCCCTCTACAACATGGAATGTCAGAACCACAATTTCAAACCTTCTCCATTGTCTGCAACCTCCTGGCTCTCAGCTAATTCCTCTCCCTCACTCTCCATAGAAAATAAAAGCCATTCCTAAGGATTCCCTTGTCTTCCCAATTCCAAACCCTTCTAGCCTATCCCATGCTGTCTTCATTCCTGCTACAGAGGAGCTACCTCTTCCTCCATCTAAATGGACTCTTGCCAAGAGTCTCGACTCTTCCCTACTCTTCAAGAACAGTATACGTTCCTGTTTCTTTCTAACGTGTGTTCAGTCATTTCCTCTCCACTAGTATCTTCTCATTTTAAATGTGCTCAAGACTCTATCGTTAAGAAAAAAATTCCCTACCCCACTCCTCGTCTCCCTCCAGCCTTGTCTCTCTCTCCTTCACAGCTAAATTTATAGAAAACACAATCTGTCTATACTTTCTGTCTCCATTTCCTTACTTCCCACTCACTCTCCAACCCTGTCAATTCTGCCTTCTGGTCCCATTGATCCACCCAAACAGATCTACTACCCATGGGCTCAGTGGCTATTTTTCCGTTTTCTTGTTAATTTACTGCTCAGTGCCTCTGACTGCTCTTGCTCACCCTCCTTTCAGAAACACTCCTCCGGGCCAGAGCATCTCAGACCTCACTGTGCACACGCATCACCTGGGGAATCTGTCTCAAATGGAGATTCAGATCGACACCGGGGTGGAGCTGGAGGGACTGCCTTCCCACCATGCTCCCTGGTGATGTGATGATGCCCTCTGTGGGACCACACTTTGAGCAGCAATGCCCTGAGCTTCCTCCCACAATACCATACTCCTTTCCTGCTCCTGCTCTTTCTCTGCCTCCTTTCAGTCTCCGTGCCAAGGCCTCTGCTCCTCTCTCCGATTTGGGGGACTTCCCACTTGTGCATTGGTTACTCACAACGTCATGATCCAGGCCAGCCATCCCTCTGTGGGCCAGGCCCATCACCCCTTTGGGATGCTCTCGATGTCCCCCCACCCACTCTCTCCTCTTCTGTTGCCTACCCCCCAACTCAGTGAATGGAATCATGCCTCCATCTCTTTATCTAAGTAAGGCTCACCTAGAAGCTTCCTCTTCTTCACAACCCCATGGCTAATCTACCACTCTATCTCTATCTCCGTCTGTCCCCACCCTACACCAAGCTCATTCCTAAACTGCCGTATTAACTCCTAACTGGTCAGCCACATTTGCTCTGGTCCTTGCCAATCTGTTCTTCACACTGCACGCAGAAGGTGGTGAGGTCATGCCAACCTCCCAAATGCCCCAAACATTCAATGGCTCCTCCTTGCTCTTCAATAAGGAAAATTAAAGTATACAAGGCTTTCCACATGGCCTGGCCCTTAGTGACCTCCCAGCTTCATATCCACCAGCTTTCCAGCCAAATCCTGCCTGTTTCTGTCCTTTGTATCTGCCACACTCTTGCACTGCAGAGCCACAGGACCTTTGCGCGGTTCTCTCTGCCTACAACACTCTTAGCATACCCATCTTTCAGATCTCAGCCTAGTGTCCTTCCTTGGTCAGGTCAAGCCCACTACTACACAGTGTCATGACACCGTAACTTCTCCTTGGTGGTACTTATTATAAAAGTAAATCTCCATGCTTCCAAGTGATTGTTTCACAAGTATCTGTCTTCTCACCAGGCTGAATGCTTCATGAGAGCAGACACCACATGTGAGTTTGCCCATCTTTGAATCCATGTCCCAAGCTCAGTATTAGGTACATGGTAAATTCTCAATAATTTAATATTTTGTTTGTATTTACTTAGTGTTTGGCTAGACACTCTCCTAAAAACTTTACCTATATTGATTTGTCTAATCCTCACAACAGCCCTATACGGTAGATACTATTACTATCATCTCCATTTTACAGACGAAGAACTAAGGCAGAAAGAAATTAAGTAATGGGGCCCAAGTCACTGTTACACAAAGGTGGGATTCAAACATAAGTATTCCACTTCGAATCCATTTTCTTCACCATGATGCTGATAAATTGACTCGACACTAATTTTTTTAAAGCCCATTTTAGGGATTAACTGACAAAGGACAGTTAATCTCTAAAGGACTTTAATATTAAGAAATCTCTTAACACGAAGTATCCCATTAAATGAGAAAAAAAAATGTTAAGGTCTTCTGAATAAATCCTAAACAGGCATTTCATAAAATTAGGCATGTAACCCTGATTAAAATAAGCATTCAAAACTAGGAAAAAGAATATTTCCTTACTATGATAAAGCTTCAATTTTAGAACAATACTCTACATTGTACTTAAGGTGAAACACCTGATTAAGATTGGGAACAAGACAGAGGTGCCACCATCACCTCTGGGATTTCACGGCTTATTGGAAGAGTTAACCCATGTGACACAAGAAAAAGAAATGAGAAAAGAGGAAGCAAAATTATGGTTTGTAGATGATACATTAATATACCTAGAAAACCCAGGAGAATTCATTATAAAGCTATTATAGATAATATGAAATTTTAATAAACTAGCCAAATGCAAAATAATATACAAAAATCAGTAACATTCCTATATGTCAATGACAGATAAAAATATAAAGAAAAAAGATCTTGTTTATGGTAACTACAAAATGCATATAGTACATATAAACTTAACAAGAAGTGTGCAGGCACGATATGAAAATGACTTTTACAGAGGGATAAAAAATTTGAATAACTGGAGAGACATAGCATAATCTTGAGTGGATACAGAAAGGTTAATTTATGATATTAACCTCTTGACAAGTTACAGAAAAGTTAATTTATAAGTTTAATGCAATTCGGATGAAAAGCCCAATGACCCGTTTTAAGTTTGGTAAAATGATACCTAAGTTTAACTGGAAAAATAGATTGTCGGGGGGAGGAGCCAAGATGGCCGAATAGGAACAGCTCCCGTCCACAGCTCCCAGCGTGAGCGAGGCAGAAGAGGGGTGATTTCTGCATTTCCATCTGAGGTACCAGGTTCATCTCACTAGGGAGAGCCAGACAGTGGGCGCAGGTCAGTGGGTGCGCGCACCGTGCACGAGCCGAAGCAGGGCGAGGCATTGCCTCACTCGGGACGTGCAAGGGGGCAGGGAGTTCCCTTTCCTAATCAAAGAAAGGGGTGACGGACGGCACCTGGAGAATCGGGTCACTCCCACCCGAATACTGCGCTTTTCCGACGGGCTTAAAAAACGGCGCACCACGAGATTATATCCCGCACCTGGCTCGGAGGGTCCTACCCCACGGAGTCTCGCTGATTGCTAGCACAGCAGTCTGAGATCAAACTGCAAGGCAGCAGCGAGGCTGGGGGAGGGGCGCCCACCATTGCCCAGGCTTGCTTAGGTAAACAAAGCAGCCGGAAAGCTCGAACTGGGTGGAGCCCACCACAGCTCAAGGAGGCCTGCCTGCCTCTGTAGGCTCCACCTCTGGGGGCAGGGCACAGACAAACAAAAAGACAGCAGTAACCTCTGCAGACTTAAATGTCCCTGTCTGACAGCTTTGAAGAGAGCAGTGGTTCTCCCAGTACGCAGCTGGAGATCTGAGAACTGGCAGACTGCCTCCTCAAGTGGGTCCCTGACCCCTGACCCCCGAGCAGCCTAACTGGGAGGCACCCCCCAGCAGGGGCACACTGACACCTCACACTGCAGGGTACTCCAACAGACCTGCAGCTGAGGATCCTGTCTGTTAGAAGGAAAACTAACAAACAGAAAGGACATTCACAACAAAAACCCATCTGTACATCGCCATCATCAAAGACCAAAAGTAGATAAAACCACAAAGATGGGGAAAAAACAGAACAGAAAAACTGGAAACTCTAAAAAGCAGAGCGCCTCTCCTCCTCCAAAGGAACGCAGCTCCTCACCAGCAACGGAACAAAGCTGGACGGAGAATGACTTTGACGAGCTGAGAGAAGAAGGCTTCAGACGATCAAATTACTCTGAGCTACAGGAGGACATTCAAACCAAAGGCAAAGGAGTTGAAAACTTTGAAAAAAATTTAGAAGAATGTATAACTAGAATAACCAATACAGAGAAGTGCTTAAAGGAGCTGATGGAGCTGAAAACCAAGGCTCGAGAACTACATGAAGAATGCAGAAGCCTCAGGAGCCGATGCGATCAACTGGAAGAAAGGGTATCAGCAATGGAAGATGAAATGAATGAAATGAAGTGAGAAGGGAAGTTTAGAGAAAAAAGAATAAAAAGAAATGAGCAAAGCCTTCAAGAAATATGGGACTATGTGAAAAGACCAAATCTACGTCCGATTGGTGTATCTGAAAGTGATGGGGAGAATGGAACCAAGTTGGAAAACACTCTGCAGGATATTATCCCGGAGAATTTCCCCAATCTAGCAAGGCAGGCCAACGTTCAGATTCAGGAAATACAGAGAACGCCACAAAGATACTCCTCGAGAAGAGCAACTCCAAGACACATAATTGTCAGATTCACCAAAGTTGAAATGAAGGAAAAAATGTTAAGGGCAGCCAGAGAGAAAGGTCAGGTTACCCTCAAAGGGAAGTCCATCAGACTAACAGCAGATCTCTCGGCAGAAACCCTACAAGCCAGAAGAGAGTGGGGGCCAATATTCAACATTCTTAAAGGAAAGAATTTTCAACCCAGAATTTCATATCCAGCCAAACTAAGCTTCATAAGTGAAGGAGAAATAAAATACTTTACAGACAAGCAAATGCTGAGAGATTTTGTCACCACCAGGCCTGCCCTAAAAGAGCTCCTGAAGGAAGTGCTAAACATGGAAAGGAACAACCGGTAGCAGCCACTGCAAAATCATGCCAAAATGTAACGACCATCGAGACTAGGAAGAAACTGCATCAACTAACGAGCAAAATAACCAGCTAACATCATCATGACAGGATCAAATTCACACATAACACTATTAACTTTAAATGTAAATGGACTAAATGCTCCAATTAAAAGACACAGACTGGCAAATTGGATAAAGAGTCAAGACCCATCAGTGTGCTGTATTCAGGAAACCCATCTCATGTGCAGAGACACACATAGGCTCAAAATAAAAGGATGGAGGAAGATCTACCAAGAAAATGGAAAACAAAAAAAGGCAGGGGTTGCAATCCTAGTCTCTGATAAAACAGACTTTAAACCAACAAAGATCAAAAGAGACAAAGAAGGCCATTACATGATGGTAAAGGGATCAATTCAACAAGAAGAGCTAACTATCCTAAACATATATGCACCCAATACAGGAGCACCCAGATTCATAAAGCAAGTCCTGAGTGGCCTACAAGGAGACTTAGACTCCCACACATTAATAATGGGAGACTTTAACACCCCACTGTCAACATTAGACAGATCAACGAGACAGAAAGTCAACAAGGATACCCAGGAATTGAACTCAGCTCTGCAGCAAGCGGACCTAATAGACATCTACAGAACTCTCCACCCCAAATCAACAGAATATACATTTTTTTCAGCACCACACCACACCTATTCCAAAATTGACCACATAGTTGGAAGTAAAGCTCTCCTCAGCAAATGTAAAAGAACAGAAATTATAACAAACTATCTCTCAGACCACAGTGCAATCAAACTAGAACTCAGGATTAAGAATCTCACTCAAAACCGCTCAACTACATGGAAACTGAACAACCTGCTCCTGAATGACTACTGGGTACATAACGAAATGAAGGCAGAAATAAAGATGTTCTTTGAAACCAACGAGAACAAAGACACAACATACCAGAATCTCTGGGACGCATTCAAAGCAGTGTGTAGAGGGAAATTTATAGCACTAAATGCCCACAAGAGAAAGCAGGAAAGATCCAAAATTGACACCCTAACATCACAATTAAAAGAACTAGAAAAGCAAGAGCAAACACATTCAAAAGCTAGCAGAAAGCAAGAAATAACTGAAATCAGAGCAGAACTGAAGGAAATAGAGACACAAAAAACCCTTCAAAAAATTAATGAATCCAGGAGCTGGTTTTTTGAAAGGATCAACAAAATAGATAGACCGCTAGCAAGACTAATAAAGAAAAAAAGAGAGAAGAGTCAAATAGACGCAATAAAAAATGATAAAGGGGATATCACCACTGATCCCACAGAAATGCAAACTACCATCAGAGAATACTACAAACACCTCTACGCAAATAAACTAGAAAATCTAGAAGAAATGGATAAATTCCTGGACACATACACTCTCCCAAGACTAAACCAGGAAGAAGTTGAATCTCTGAATAGACCAATAACAGGAGCTGAAATTGTGGCAATAATCAATAGCTTACCAACCAAAAAGAGTCCAGGACCAGATGGATTCACAGCCGAATTCTACCAGAGGTACAAGGAGGAACTGGTACCATTCCTTCTGAAACTATTCCAATCAATAGAAAAAGAAGGAATCCTCCCTAACTCATTTTATGAGGCCAGCATCATTCTGATACCAAAGCTGGGCAGAGACACAACCAAAAAAGAGACTTTTAGACCAATATCCTTGATGAACATTGATGCAAAAATCCTCAATAAAATACTGGCAAACCGAATCCAGCAGCACATCAAAAAGATTATCCACCATGATCAAGTGGGCTTCATCCCTGGGATGCAAGGCTGGTTCAATATACGCAAATCAATAAATGTAATCCAGCATATAAACAGAGCCAAAGACAAAAACCACATGACTATCTCAATAGATGCAGAAAAGGCCTTTGACAAAATTCAACAACCCTTCATGCTAAAAACTTTCAATAAATTAGGTATTGATGGGACATATTTCAAAATAATAAGAGCTATCTATGACAAACCCACAGCCAATATCATACTGAATGGGCAAAAACTGGAAGCATTCCCTTTGAAAACTGGCACAAGACAGGGATGCCCTCTCTCACCACTCCTATTCAACATAGCGTTGGAAGCTCTGGCCAGGGCAATTAGGCAGGAGAAGGAAATAAAGGGTATTCAATTAGGAAAAGAGGAAGTCAAATTGTCCCTCTTTGCAGACGACATGATTGTATATCTAGAAAACCCCATTGTCTCAGCCCAAAATCTCCTTAAGCTGATAAGCAACTTCAGCAAAGTCTCAGGATACAAAATCAATGTGCAAAAATCACAAGCATTCCTATACACCAACAACAGACAAACAGAGAGCCAAATCATGAGTGAACTCCCATTCACAATTGCTTCAAAGAGAATAAAATACCTAGGAATCCAACTTACAAGGGATGTGAAGGACCTCTTCAAGGAGAACTACAAACCACTGCTCAAGGAAATAAAAGAGGATACAAACAAATGGAAGAACATTCCATGCTCATGGGTAGGAAGAATCAATATCGTGAAAATGGCCATACTGCCCAAGGTAATTTACAGATTCAATGCCATCCCCATCAAGCTACCAATGCCTTTCTTCACAGAATTGGAAAAAACTACTTTAAAGTTCATATGAAACCAAAAAAGAGCCCGCATCGCCAAGTCAATCCTAAGCCAAAAGAACAAAGCTGGAGGCATCACACTACCTGACTTCAAACTATACCACAAGGCTACAGTAACCAAAACAGCATGGTACTGGTACCAAAACAGAGATATAGATCAATGGAACAGAACAGAGCCCTCAGAAATAACGCCGCATATCTACAACTATCTGATCTTTGACAAACCTGAGAAAAACAAGCAATGGGGAAAGGATTCCCTATTTAATAAATGGTGCTGGGAAAACTGGCTAGCCATATGTAGAAAGCTGAAAGTGGATCCCTTCTTTACACCTTATACAAAAATCAATTCAAGATGGATTAAAGACTTAAACGTTAGACCTAAAACCATAAAAACCCTAGAAGAAAACCTAGGCATTACCATTCAGGACATAGGCATGGGCAAGGACTTCATGTCTAAAACACCAAAAGCAATGGCAACAAAAGACAAAATTGACAAATGGGATCTAATTAAACTAAAGAGCTTCTGCACAGCAAAAGAAACTACCATCAGAGTGAACAGGCAACCTACAAAATGGGAGAAAATTTTCGCAACCTACTCATCTGACAAAGGGCTAATATCCAGAATCTACAATGAACTCAAACAAATTGACAAGAAAAAAACAAACAACCCCATCAAAAAGTGGGCGAAGGACATGAACAGACACTTCTCAAAAGAAGACATTTATGCAGCCAAAAAACACATGAAAAAATGCTCACCATCACTGGCCATCAGAGAAATGCAAATCAAAACCACAATGAGATACCATCTCACACCAGTTAGAATGGCAATCATTAAAAAGTCAGGAAACAACAGGTGCTGGAGAGGATGTGGAGAAATAGGAACACTTTTACACTGTTGGTGGGACTGTAAACTAGTTCAACCATTGTGGAAGTCAGTGTGGCGATTCCTCAGGGATCTAGAACTAGAAATACCATTTGACCCAGCCATCCCATTACTGGGTATATACCCAAAGGACTATAAATCATGCTGCTATAAAGACGCATGCACACGTATGTTTATTGTGGCATTATTCACAATAGCAAAGACTTGGAACCAACCCAAATGTCCAACAATGATAGACTGGATTAAGAAAATGTGGCACATATACACCATGGAATACTATGCAGCCATAAAAAATGATGAGTTCATGTCCTTTGTAGGGACATGGATGAAATTGGAAATCATCATTCTCAGTAAACTATCACAAGAACAAAAAACCAAACACCGCATATTCTCACTCATAGGTGGGAATTGAACAATGAGATCACATGGACACAGGAAGGGGAACATCACATTCTGGGGACTGTTGTGGGGTGGGGGGAGGGGGGAGGGATAGCATTGGGAGATATACCTAATGCTAGATGACGAGTTAGTGGGTGCAGCACACCAGCATGGCACATGTATACGTATGTAACTAACCTGCACAATGTGCACATGTACCCTAAAACTTAAAGTATAATAATAAAAAAATAAATAAATAAATAAATAAATAAAAAGAAAAAAAAAGAAAAATAGATTGTCACAATGCATTGTTTAGAGAAGATAGTAAATTTAGCAGTCTCATTTCACAAGATACTAAACAGCATCATAAATGACACTTATGAAAATAGTGTGGGGGTGGTCCAGGAGTAAACAGGTAGGACATGAAATGGTATTGCATGAATATCTTTAATGCACATAAAAATGGAAATATGTATCAGGCAATATTAAAAAAAATTGAGAAAAGAAAAAGACTTTTGCTGGATCAACTAATAAACTGTTTGGGAAAAGAATTAAGTTATCTCCTCGAATCGCACCATATACAAAAATAACTTCCAGATGGAGCAAAGAGTTACATGGTAAAAAAATAAAGTCATAAAATAATGAGAAGAAAACCTAGGTAATTATCTGACCGTGATTTTTTAGCATAATAGCTGTGGAGGATACTACAAGATTGATATTAAAAGTATGCATATGTCAACAACAGAATATCAGAAAGCATACAAAAATGTTAGGAGAAAAGTAATATGGTGAATATAGAAAGAACTATTACTAATACTTAGGGGGAAAAGTACTATTAGTAATAATTGGACAGGATCTGAACAAATTAGTTCACAAAAGAAGACATAAATGGCCCAGAAGCCAGAAAAATAGCCAACCACAGTGATAATGAAATAAAGCCTCTAACTCCACAACTTTCAGAGAAGCCCTGAGTACACTTCCTTGAACTTTCCCTCACTGGTACAGGTACCAGATTTACTTTGCTCCTGTCCCTAAAACCTGCCTGGTAATGTCACTGCATCATGCCATTAATTCCTTCCTTCATTCATTCATTCCTCTAGGATAGACCCTGTGATAAGCCATGGGGACCTGGATCATAGACTAGAAACAAGTAAATCAAAATATGTCATTAGACAATACCATGCTAGAGGGGTACACAGAGTGGTTCTGAAGTATAGATGCCACAGGGGCCACATCTTAAGGGCCTCCCCGATTCGTGTTGTGGACAACCAATGAAATATCAACATTCACCACCATCTCCAGCATCCCAGACCTCTGCCTTGGCTCAGACCTGCCAAGGACAGGAGATTCTGATTAAGAATCTGGGTGTGAATGGCATCTTCTGCTATAGAGAAAGAAGTGAAGGAGTTCAGAACAGAGCCTCTGGGAACATCTCCCATGTAAGGGGACAGAAAAGGTGACAGAGCAGGGAACAGGTAGAATAGTCGGAGAGGATCCAGAGGGCAGTTCCATGTGGGAGAGGTTGACTCAATGTGGTGAACAGCACAGAAAGACTAAGATGAGGGTCTTGAATGAGGTCACTCTGTCTGGTGTCTAAATAGTCCCTCTGGAAGCAATGCTGAGAGCTGGAGCCTTGACCTGGTCCCTGCTGCATCCCTAGTGCCTAGAATTCAATAAGTATTTGCTGAATGGATAGATCAATTTCAGCAAAGGCAGGTGGGAGGATGGCAAGGTGGAAAGAGGGCAGATTGTAATAGGCAAGATTGGCTGATGAGAAGGTGGAAGGCCATTGTATTCTAAACAATAACTTCTACATTGTAGAAACTGAAAAATACAGGCAAGATTTAAAAAGAGAAAACTGATTATAATCTCTTCCTTCCAGAGGCAACTGCTGTTAATATTTTCATTTTTCTGAGATTTTTTTCCATGCATATTTCACACTGGTGAGATAACACCATATGTATAATTTTGTGTGCTACTTTTTCTGTAAGTTATTCTTCAATCTTCAATTTAAAAAGGCAATGTGGACTTGTAATATGCATAGATATGCACATACGCAATGCAAGTATAAAAAAATATATATGCAGTCTCCCTCCTCCCCACCCAATCCAAAATTACCGAAGTTAACAGCCAGGTATGTGTCCCTCCCTCACCTTCTTCTCTCTCATGCAAACCACACAGACACATTCTGGGAGAATTTTGATTATTTCATTTAAAAAATAAAACTGTAGTTTAGCTCATTTTTCTGCAACTTGCTTTCTCACTTAACAATACACCGGGGACACGTTCCAGGTCAGTAGATACAGATCTAACTTATTTTTTATATGAATGTGTAATATTCCATGCCATGGATGTATCTCAATTTATTCAACCACTCCCCTGTTGATGGCCATTCAGGTCATTTCTCGGTTTTCTTTTGTAACAATTCAGTAAACATTATAACGTGAGCATTCCCTAAGATACTGAATCTGTTCATAAACAGCATTTTAAATGGATGCACAACGTTTCAGTGTATGGTTATACTAGAATTTAGTTAGCCATTCTCCTATTGTCAAACATTTAAATTGCTTCTGGATTTTTTGTTCCATTGTAAATAAGACCTGGACCCTTAGTTAGATCTGGTGATAGGATGCTGGTCAATGCAGTGGAAAATGCCTTTCCACGGCCAGAGTCCCAGAATAAATGTTCCCCTATACAGTAACTGCCTCCAGCTTTGGTTTCAGGTGGGGTCGGGTAAGGTACTGTCCACATTAGGCTGGCTGACCTCTCTCAGGGATGGCTAGAAAGGGTTAGAAGCCTGACTCATTTGGAAACCTCCCTGAAACCAATGTATGTTAGTAAGTTGA
This sequence comes from Homo sapiens, assembly GCF_000001405.40. NCBI lineage: Eukaryota > Metazoa > Chordata > Mammalia > Primates > Hominidae > Homo > Homo sapiens. Next base: position 34,101,021 of record NC_000001.11, read on the forward strand.
AGAAGTTATAACCCAGAGCAGCCACTCCAGATTGAAATGTGAATGGAATGGGAGCTCATGCCAGAATGGCTTTGTCCTTTCATGCCCATGAAACGTTGAATTTCTTTCAAGAAAAAGTCTACCCGTTCTTCACTTCTAGTGACTGATGTTCTGCCCTGTAGATGGGAATGCTGCTACTGACCTCCATTTTGACGGCACCTTGCATTTCTCTCTAGCCAGGATGGTCTGCCTTCTTTCACCCATGCTTTGAGTTTCTGGTCAATGCAGCTACCCCCATCAGGCTCCAGAACAATCTCAGAGAACTAGACTCCTCAAGTCATTGCTCATTCATTTGTTTTGGATGATTTGGATGATTTCCCCAGGACAGACTTCCAAATAGCAGATGACTGGGTCAAATGGTATGAACATTTCTGAGGCTTTGGCTCTGGGTTAACAATATCCTTTCTAGGAAATGTGCACCCATTAAACTCTCAATAGTTATGTCTAGGAATACCTATCTCACAGCACCTTTGCCAACCTTGTGTATTGTCTTATTTGGAAACTTTTTGCCTGCTTATTAGGTGCAAAAAATGTGATCTCATTTTACTTAGTGATGTTTTATGACTCAGATTCAACATCTTTTTCACTTTTTCTAATAATTTTAATTTCTTCTTTTTGGAACTAGCTGATCAAATCCTCAGCTCATTTTTCATTGTGGTATTTTTTTCCCTCATTTCTTACCTACTTATCTATTTTATATATGTGTAATATATTAATCCTTTATGCATCGCATGTGCTATATATGTGTTTTGTAGTTGTTTGGCCTTTTAATTTTATCATGTTTGACATACTGAAGTTTCTAAATGTTATATACTTAAATCTTCTATTAGGTCTTACTATTTTTCTTGTTAATTTGTACTAACTCTTTATAGAGTCAGAATTTTAATCTTTTGTCATATTTGTTGCAAATATTGTTTTCTACCTGGTTGTGTGCTTTTTGTTTTGTTTAGATTTCCCATGTAGATTAAAATGTTCACTTTTTTTTTTTTGAGACAGAGTCTTGCTCTGTCACCCAGACTGGAGTGCAGTGGCCCCATCTCAGCTCACTGCAAGCTCCGCTTCCCAGGTTAATGCCATTCTCCTGCCTCAGCCTCCCGATTAGCTGGGACTACAGGTGCCCGCCACCACGCCCGGCTAATTTTTTTTACTTTTAGTAGAGACGGGGTTTCACTGTGTTAGCCAAGATGGTCTCGATTTCCTGACCTCATGATCCACCCGCCTCGGCCTCCCAAAGTGCTGGGATTACAGGCGTGAGCCACCGCACCTGGCCAAAATGTTCACTTTCTATAGGCAGTCACATTTATCTCTTTTTTCTTGGTAATATTTTTCCCTTGTTCACACTGAGAAAGACTTCTCTCAACTAAAGATTGGTTGGCTTCTCATCTCACTCAACATAAAAGCCAAAGTCCTCACCATAGTCCTCAAAGCTTTAAATGAATGGGTACCCAGATGCCTGTCCACCTCTTCTCCTATCTCTTGTCCCCTCATCCCTGTGATCCAACCATATCCCTGTGATCCAGCCATATCCCTGTAATCCGGCCATATCCCTGTGATCCAACCATATCCCTGTAATCCGGCCATATCCCTGTAATCCAACCATATCCCTGTAATCCGGCCATATCCCTGTAATCCGGCCATGCTGGACCTTTGCATTTGCCAAGACTTCAGCCCAGAAAATGTTTCCCCAGTAGCCATGGGACCCTTACTTATTTCCGGTGTCTAGTCAAATATAACCTCCTTGGAGACTACCCTAAGTACAATTCAGACCTGCTTCTCAAGCCAGGTGTTCCTGGTGCCTGCTTTATTTGTTGATAGCACTTAGCACCTCTGCCATATATTTTCCTCTTGTTAATTTTCTGATGCACCCTCCCCAGTAAAATACAATCTCCATGAGAGTGGGGCACCATTTTTTTCTCTGCTCTATCTCTAGCTCGCAGACCTGAACCTGGTACATAATAGATGCTCACAGAATAGTTGTTGGTTGAATGAATGAATAAATGAATATTAATTGCCCACCTAGCATTCTGTGCTTGGATTGTTCCTTCACTCGGCTAACTCCAGGCATTTTCAAACTCATTACCTTCTCCAGAAAGCCTTCTGGGAACCCTCAAGACACCATCAAGTATTCGTCCACTCCTTGTTTATCATTCATGATGAATGTCATTGCCTTCATCAATGGTGATATAATGATATGTTTATGTGGCTGTCTCTACCAGCAAACTCCTTGAGCTTTTTTTTTTTTTTTTTTTTTCTTTCTGAGCCAGATTCTCGCTCTGTCAACCAGGCTGGAGTGCAGTGGTGCGATCTCGGCTCACTGCTATCTCCGCCTCCCGGGTTCACGCCATTCTCCTGCCTCAGCCTCCTGAGTAGCTGGGACTACCGGCACCCGCCACCACGCCCAGCTAATTTTTCACGTTTTTAGTAGAGACGGGGTTTCACCGTGTTAGCCAGGATGGTCTTGATCTGACCTTGCGATTCGCCCACCTCGGCCTCCCAAAGTGCTGGGATTACAGGTGTGAGCCACTGCGTCCGACCCTCCTTGAGCTTTTCTTCAATTTTATTTCCATCACCTAGCCCAGTACTTGCCCATAGTAGACACTCAGTACACATTTTTAAATGAATGAGTGAGTGAAATGAATTAATCTTTTGTATTAGGTTGGTGCAAAGGTAATTCCGGTTATTGCCGTTAACAATGATGGCAAACACACACACACACAATTACTTTTGCACTAATCTAATATTCAGAAAATACTCACCAACTTCATTTATCTGTGTATTTATGGTTTATTTTGGAAGTGGCTTAGTGGAAAGGTTAAAAGCATAGGTTTTGGAAACAAAAGCTTTGGGTTCAAATTTCAGATTTGCCACTTAATATTGTGTGTGGGCAACTTATTTAAACTCTTTAAGCCTTAGTTTTGACATCTTTAAAATTAACACCCACTTCTAGGATGGTTGTACAGATTAATGTGATATCTGCTGAGTTGCTAAATGTTCAGTACAGAACCTGGCACAGCAAACACCACCTAATCTTTCAGTAAAGATTAGATGCTTTTCTTTAAGTCCCAGTCACATCTTGTTAAGGTTATTCACAGACATTTTATGCACTTTTTGCCGCACTAGTGAATGTCATTTTTCTCATTATTTTTTTCTAACTGGTTTTTATGATATACAGAAAACCTATTGATTTTTATACATTCATCTCACATCCAGCCAGGTTTCTGAACACTTATTAATTCTAAAAATTTCTCAGTTGGTTCCCTTGGGTGTTTTAGGTACACAATCATGTTGTCTACAAATAATGATAATTTTAAGGAGATAACTCTCTTGAGAAGTTTGGCAGGAAAATTCAATTCAATTCTGCAAATATTTATTGACTGATAAGGTCAATTTTGGACAAATTTAGTTGGAGATGCCAGTGGGACATCCAGACGGAGATGGCCAGAAGGCAGTTAGGGCTGTAGACTGGTGTTTGGGAGTGCAATCTGGACTGGGGATATGGATTTGTTGAAGCCACGCAATTAATGAAACTGCCCTAAGAGGAAACACAGCGGGGAGCTGCAGATGCTGGATAAATCATCACGCCCGCTGAAGGTGTCTCACCTGCCACACGGAGCACCAGCTGGACACCTCAAGTCTACAATCAGCCTCTGGCCCATCACTATGCATGCCTTCTGGCAGGGGCACCTTGTCCGCTGATGAGAGAGGCAGGGGTCAAACAGTATCTTTGGCTCTCTACAATGATCCTTTAGGAAAGGACCAAGAACTAGGTCATTAGGGATGCTGGCACTGAGCCTCATTTTAGCCCCTCTCCCCTGCACAGCATGTGCCTCAGTCACACCACTAATTTGTCACCTGCAGTGCTTGGCCCTTTGCCTCATACGCCCTTCCACTGCAACCTTCTCAACCTAGCAAATCTAACTCACGGTCCCAGGCTCAGTTCATCTCCTCTAAGGAGCCTCCTCTAGTCTGCAGGCAGTTACTCTTCGCTCTCCGCTACCCCCATCTCCCTATTTCGTGCATTAAGTGCTGGGTGACACAATTATCACAGATGTTTTTAATGAAGATGTGCACTATTTTTTTTTACTACAGATCTTAACAATCGGAGAGATTTCTGTGAATGTGCAGTAGTCTAATCCAGGGTTTCTCAACCTCAACACTATCAACATTTTGGGTGGGATAATTCTTCACTGTGGGAGGCTGTCCTGTACATATAGGATGTTTAGCAGCGTCCCTGACCTCTACCCACTGAATGCCAGTAGCACCTCCCAATGTGACAACCAAAATTTCTCCAGATATTGCCAAATGTCCCCTAGGGGGAAAATCACCTCTAGTTGAGAACGACTGGTCTAATTCTTAGCCATATTGGAGTTCCTAATGAAAGTCAGAAATACTTTTTCTAGAATCACATACATAGGAAGCTAACCTTCTGCCGTTTTCATTCATTTCAGGGGATTAGCAGGCCAAAAAAGCCTATCCCTGGACCTCCATGACCTGAAGTCCTCCATCTTTGTCGTGCCATGCCCTCCTTGGAGCCTCGTGACACCACCTCAAATGGTGTCTTAAAATATGTAAAACAAAATACATAGAATTGCAAAGGAAATCAGCTAGATTGAAATATAGTTTTTAAAATATACTGAAAATCGATCATACACTAATAAGTGCTCCTTTATTAATGCATTATTAATAAGATCTAGCAGTGGGCCTGATACATATTGTAGTTTGAAGCATAAATGCTACTTCAAGATAATTGTAACAACTGTAATGTTCTATGGAAATATCTGTGATCTTACCAGTGACAAATTCACAGGTACTGCTAATACCACTTCCGTGTTTGTTGCCTATCTTCATGATTGGTAGAAATGCTGTTTCAGTAGGAGATTAGTGAAAATAATGCAATTGTCCTCATCCAAGTTAGGGACCCCATGGATTCTATCAAGAACCCCAGAGGTCCAAGACAAATTCAGTCTTTCAGTCAGCAAATCTGGGGAATGGATGGCTTAGTTCCAGGGTTTATAGGTGGGGGTGTTAATGGGCAGTAGGGAGTTGGGGGAGATGGGAGGGGCAGATTGCATATAATATGGTCCATGCCCTCAAGGAGTTCACAGTGGATTGTAGGAGACAGACATGGCCCATCTTACTAGCCATCTCCACGTGACAAGTGGTTCAGGGAAACCATGCTGTTCAATCTTAGGGGAACAGAAAGGAGCACAGACAAACCTAGAAGGACTGGTGCTTTCATGCAAGTCTGAGAAGGGGCCAACATTTCTGTGGTTCACTAACATTATCTCTCTAACATTTGCAATGACCCTTTTGAAATGGCTGTTACAGCCCCACCCTCATCATATTACAGGTAAAGAAACTAAGGCTCTTCAAGGTTTAAAACATGTTCAAGGTCAAACAAGTAGCAATGGAAAAGCTGAGATTCAAACCCAGATCTGTACAAAAGCAAAACCCAGGCTCTCAACCCTACCACCCTTCCCTCTGCCAGGCTGCAAATATTTCACACACATCATCTCAGGACATACTCTCAAAGCTATAGTTCTGGTTCCACTCTGCACCCAGCACCAGGGGTCAGAGCCTGGGATTTATTGAAAAGAGCTTAGCACAGTTGCTGTGCCTCAGGGACCTGGATACAAAACGGGTCTCCTTTTTCCTCTCAAGCTGGGGATGCATGCAACAAAGGCACAAAACAATGCATGGCAGGTGGGGTGAAGCAGCAAGCCTGTCCCTGTACCATATTCAATTGCTTCGTGGGAATAATCCCATGCCACTCAGCTTCCTAATTCTAACTCCAGGCTTTCTGATTCTCCTGGACATGTTTAACACAGAAGCCACCATTGCGGACCAAACATGATTTTCCCTGCATGGTGATACAGATGCAGTTCATTTTCCATCATCCTAAGCCAACACTAGTCAAGGGTTGTTTATTATTTTGACAGGGAATCCTGGACTAGCAGAAGCATCTCTGCTTTACTGATTCTTATTATGCCACAGCCCTGGATCAGCAGCAAGAGAAAGGGCCAGGTATCTCTGGGGCCAGGGGCCTCTGCCAGGCTGATTCTACTCCTGTCTGGGTCTTTCAGAGTGAAAACAAGGAACTACCATTGAGTTCTCCCCAGCTGAGAAGATGCCTGAGCTATGGCTTTGGTCCACGGGACAATGGCTAAGCACAGGAACAGACTCATGAAAGTTGAGGGCTTAGCAAATGCTTGATTCATTCATTTACTTATTTTGAAAATAGTATTAAGCACCCACTGTGTCCCAGTGAGTGCTTCCTGCCCTCATGGAGCTTACGGTATAATAATAATAATATATTATTAAACATTTTTTCTGTGCCAAGTACTGTCCTACGCACTGTACATATAATAATTCATTCCATCCTCACAACCATATGAGATAGGTACTATTACTCTCCCCATTTCATAGGTAAGGAAACTGAGGTCTAGGAAGGTTAAGTAATCTGCCCAAGGTCAGACAGCTGATAAAAATGGAAATAGGAATCAACCCCAGGCAATCTGGTGCCACATCCTGTCTTCTTAACCACTACTCTATCATAGATGATGGATGGATAGGTGGGTGGGTGGATGGATGAAGGATGGCCAATGTAGTAAGCTAAACTCCTTTCTACAGCACTCTCATACAGCAAAGAACTTCACCTTAGGTAGCCCTTTCCTCAAGTGTCAGTCATGTCAGTTAGAACTCCTAGGCTTCTGTCCCATTGCCTGACATTTGGGGAATGAGTCCACTATGGTGAGGTTCAGCACAGTGGCAGAAAGGGGACCACATGGGGACGCCTGAGCACATTGAACTTCCCAGAAGAAAAAGAATCATAATAACTCGGGAAATAGGAGTGAATTGTCAAAATATGTGAAACCAAGCCTATGCTGCTGTTTCTCTCACCATGAGAATCTCATGAGGGCAGGACCACGCCTGACTCACTGTTAAATCCCAACACAAGGCTTGGCATTTCATAGACACTCCATTAATATTTGTCAAGTAAATGGATTAATTTGTCTGCTTGTCAACGGTGTCTTTCTTTTTTCTTTTCATTTGTTTCTTTATCCATTAAAAACACATGGCTCCTGTTTTATCTGGTGGAACTGGCCTCATCCCTAAAGAAAATAGGCAACTTCAAGCCCTGTGCCCTTATGTGAGACATATTTGAAAATTAATTTTAAAAATGAGAGAGAGAAAAAGAAAACAAAACCCTAATGAGAGAGAGAGAAAAAAAAACCCAAAACCCTAACATAGTGCCATGGAATCAGAAAGCCTGGGTTCTTAACTCTGCCTTGCCACTTGCTAGCAAGGGGTATGGTCAAGTCCCTTAGTCACTTATGGCCCCTGCCCCTCTATCTATGGAATGAGGTTCTCAAGACCACATTCACAGAGATGCTCTGATGCAGCTAGCCCAAGTGAGTTGTTGGTGCCTGACTGGAGCAAGAGTAGCCCTGTCCATGGTCCGGAACCGTAAATGTCCTCAGGGGAGGCTGTTTCTTCTGCTCCTAAGCCAATGGGGATGCCTGTCCAACCTCTCCCATAATTTCTGCACCAGAAGAAAAAGGAACTACAATGATAAGAAAGTAACAAAGAGAATTGGTGAGATAAAGGAATGAAGGGATAGAAAGAGGGAAAGAGGCTGAAGAGGGAAAGGGGTGAAGGTAGAAGAGAGAGCACTGCAGCTCCATTCAGAATCCTGAGTGCCCGAGACTCTGTCTTCCTGCCTTGGGCCAGACGGAACCACAGTAGAGGTGATTTGACACAGGAGTCCTGGGATAGGGAGGGCAATCCTTGCAAGGTGTACTCCCGAGATGTTCCTGGCACTTATTCTTCAGTAGCCAATGACACAGAGGAGGACAGGTGGGAGGCTAACTCTCTAGAGATGAGGGGTGGTAAGACTTGAAATCAGAAAGCATGAGGGCCAGCATCAAGGAGGGCATGACATGTGGTCACCAGCTGTTGGATGCATCCTCTTGTTTCTCCATAGCAGCCCAACCCCCTCATTCCTCTGACAGCTTCAGACTGGACATCTACTGGGAATCCAGAAGGTTCACTCATGAAGACAGTGGCAGCAGATCCAGGGCAAGATCAATCCAGATCATTCTTTAAATTAAGGCATTCAAAGGTCATCTGCAATTTCACTTTGCTTTCCCAATCTTCAGCAGACGTGTTGCTCATTTTACATATAAAGGAAAGGGTTTTGTGTTTTGATGCCCCCAACTACACGTTTGAATTGTATGAGCACTGATGGTGATTTGAAAGTTGTTCCTATCAAAAGGGAGAGCTCAAATCAGCTCCCTCTGCTCAAGCAAATTAGTGATGGGGTCAGTATGGCCCTGGCTCAGCTCAGACCAGTCTAGATGCCAGCAGGGGCTCATCATTCAATGGACATTTGGCATCTTCATCATGAAACTTTTGCCAATCCAGAATGGTATTGCCTACGTTGTCCCCCAGAGTTTTTACAGTTTTTGGTTTTACATTTAAGTCTTTTAGAGCTTCTGCACAGCAAAAGAAACTATCAACAGAGTAAACAGACAACCTAAAGAAGGGGAGAAAATATCTGCAAACTATGCATCTGACAAAGGTCTAATATTCAGCATCTGTAAGGAACTTAAACAAATTTACAAGAAAAAAATAAACAACTCCATTAAAAAGTGGGCAAAGGACATGAACAGACACTTTCCAAAAGAAGACATATATGAGCCAGGCACGGTGGCTCATGCCTGTAATCTCAGCACTTTGGGAGGCCAAGGCGGGCGGATCACGAGGTCAGGAGTTCAAGACCAGTCTGGCCAACATAGTGAAACCCCGTCTCTACTAAAAATACACAAAAAATTAGCCGGGCGTGGTGGTGTGCGCCTGTAATCCCAGCTACTCGGGAGGCTGAGGCAGGAGAATCGGGTGAACCCAGGAGGCGGAGGTTGCAGTGAACCGAGATGGCGCCACTGCACTCCAGCCTGGGTGACAGAACGAGACTCTGTCTCAAAAAAAAAAAAAAAAAAAAAGACATATATGAGACTAACAAGCATATAAAAAAAGCTCAATATCATTGATCATTAGAGAAATGCAAATCAAAATCACAATGAGATACCATCTTACAGCACCCAGAATGGCTACTATTAAAAAGTAAAAAAATAACAGATGCTGGCAAGGTGGTGGAGAAAAGAGAATGCTTATACACTGTTGGTGAGAGTGTAAATTAGTTCAACCATTGTAGAAAGCAGTTTGGTGATTCCTCAAAAACCTAGAAACAGAACTATCATTCAACCCAGCAATCCCATTACTGGGTATATACACAAAGGAACATAAATCATTCTACCATAAAGACACACGTTTTTATGTTCATTGAAGCACTATTCACAAGAGCAAAAACATGGAATCAACCTAAATGTCCATCGATAGTAGGCTGGATAAAGAAAATATGGTACATATACACCATGGAATGCTATCCAGCCATAAAAAAAAAACCAAGATCATGTCTCTTGCAGGAACATGAATGAAGCATATATATTAAGATCTCCATCTTAAGCTAGAAGTCATTATCCTTAGCAAACCAACACAGGAATAGAAAACCAAATACCACATATTCTTACTTATAAGTGGGAGCTAAGTGATAAGAACACATGGACACAAAGAGGCAAACACATGGACACAAAGAGGCGAGCAACATACACGAGGGACTACCTGAGGGTGGAGAACGGGAGGAGGGAGAGGATCCAAAAAATAACTATTAGGTACTAGGCTTAATATCTAGGTGACAAAATAATCTGTACAACAAACCCCCATGACATGGGTTGACTATATAACAAACTTGCACATGTACCCCTGAATCTAAAATAAAAGTTAAAAAATAAAATAAAATGAAATAAAATATTAACTAACCCCCTACTTCCATCGCTGGCACCTCCAATCTCCCTTACCTGCTCTATGTTTTCTTATTTCAATAGCATGTATCACTCTGTAGCACCCTATGTAATTTACTTATATATTGTACTTACTGTTTATTGTTTATTTCCTCCTGCTAGAATATTTACTTCACAAGAGAAAGGCCTTTGTTTTACTCACTGATGCGTCCCAAGTGCCTAGAACAGTAACTGGCACATAGTCAGCACTCAGTTAATATTGGTTGAATGAATGAACAAACTACAATCCAGTGCTTTTACAAAAGTACAATTCATATGGACCCAACTCCCTAAAGGCCTAGGAAACCAAACCAGTTGGTGTGGCTCTGTCTGGTAGCACACAGACCCAGAAACCCAGCCCACAATGAAAATCTGGGAAGGAAGGATCCTGAATGCCACTTGCCCATGACTTCCATAACCATCTCCCCACCAGACTGAGTTCCTTGGGGACACAGAGCATGGTCTGCCTTTTTTACCACTATATCATTGAGGATCCAGCACAGGGCTGCCACAGGATGCATGTGTCAGTAAGCAGGAAGTTGAAGGAATTTCAGCCATCATTTATCAGGCACTGACTGTGTGTGCCCCACACAATCATGACTTTGGTCCTTGCGTTATTTCTGTTAAACCTTCCAATATCCCAAAGAAGCAGGTATTATTCTTCATCCCATTTAACAAATGGGGATCAGGGTAAGTAGCTTGCCCAAGCTCACACATACAATAACATCTGGCAAAGCTGGGGTTCAAACACAGGATTCTCTGACTCCTGAGACTGAGATCTTAAAATATAGGCTCTACCACCTCACTGGTATGAAACAGGAAGGGAGGGAGAGAGAAAAAGATTTGGGCTGGTCATATGCCAGACACAGCATGAAGGCCTAAAAGAGCTGACCAGAGCTAAGAAGCTTTTCTCAACTAGACACGACTCCATTACAGCCCTGTCTCTGTCTCCCTGCCCCCAGAGGAAGGACAGAGGTGGCAGTCTTGGCTGAAAGGAACCTTATTTCAATAAATTCTTTCAAATTCTCTCTCTCTCTCTCTCTCTCTCTCTCTCTCTCTCTTTCTCTCTCTTTCTCTCTCGCAGTTTGAATGAACTGAGGGAAAAATATATCTGAGTGGGTGGACAGATAATCTAAAAATTGTGTCAGGGAGTAGTAGAGAAATGTACTTCCTCTTACAGTCTCTATAAAAGGAAACCCTAACAAGCTTATTGTTGCCCCTTGCCCATACACATGCAAACCAAGGTGAAAAACATGATCAGGCTGGGCATGTGGAGACACTGGGTTCAGAACCCAGCCCAGTGACCTCAGACTTCTGTTTAGAAGACATTGCCATGGCCATTTCCCCAGATGCCCAGTTCTGCCCTTAATGGCCTTTGCTCACCCTGGGCTTCCCCAGTCTTGTCAGCTGCAGCCCCAGCCTATATAACTACCTGCTGTCCAACCGCCTCCACACTGCAGCAGACAGCTCTATCTATAGGCACTCCAGCCATGAGGTAACTCAAAGGGTTTCCCAGTGGACTGCTCTGCAGAGTTATGTGAATGAATGTCCTGGAGACCCTTCAAAGCCTCCAGAAATACTTCCAATACTAGCCTTCTTCTCCTGTGGGCATACTATGCTTTGTCACCATGCCAGAGACTGGGGCATGAATTTCTGGGTCATATGGGCAGCCTTGAGAAAAATCAAAAGTATATGTTGAATGAATGAATGAATGTGCCTTCCAATAAGATAATCTATAAAGAGTAAAATCTATATAGGCCTCTAGAATCTAGTTAGTCCAATGCTAGAGATTTCTGGCAAGAAATTCACAGGCTTGGGAGTAGCATGGGGATATAGAAAGAAAAGGATTCAAGCCAATTCAATGGATTTTTACTAGGGCCTCCTAAAAGACAGTCTGACCCTTCCCTGACAATGCTCATGGCTGAGGGGCAGCTGGTGTGTGGGTGTGTAATATAGGAAAGCAAGGAATTTATAGAAAGGAGAAAAAGAGATCTACGGCCATACCACCCTGAACGTGCCTGATCTTGTCTGATCTCGGAAGCTAAGCAGGTTCAGGCCTTGTTAGTACTTGGACGGGAGAAAGGAGAAAAAGAAGGACATGGATGGGAAGGTAGGACCCAGCTTCAACCCCACCATTGTGAGCTAAGCTCTACTCCTGGCTGAGTCACTCATGGCTCAGACTTCTTAACTTGGGTTTGGAAATGGTTGTGTCTCTGAGCTTCCTCATACCCTCCTTGTGACACTTCCCAACTGAATTCTTAGGATCAAGAGGTATTTATCTCCCCATGCCCTCCAAGAGAAAGTGTGGGTCTTAAAACGCATGAGTTGAGAGAGCCAGAGGTGTCACACATGGGTGGCAGAGCAGCGACCCAGGACCTGTGACTCCTGACAGTTGTCACAGATGCAACATCCTCTCAAAACATGTCTAACCTTGAAATGGCTAGGAGCACATGTTCATCCATAGCATGAATAATATGCAAGACGCACATGGGTGAACAAAGCAAGACCATCACATGCCCCATGGTCACTTGTTAGCTGGGAGAGACTTTATTATGGCCCAACAAGACCTTTATAATTGTAAATCCCTGGCGCCCCCTCATGGCCCTTACAGTCCTGTGGCTTCTGCTGAGGGGCAGTGGGGGAAAGGTGCCTGGAGGAGGTGCCAGGGGCTTGGGAGTGACATCAGCTAGATGGCAGAATAGGAAGCCCCAGACATTCTGCCCCACAGAAACACTGACTTAACAACAATACACAGTCCAAAAAAGCCTTTATGAGAACTCTAGAAACCAGTTAAGAAGTTACAGTACCCCAGGCAAGCTCAAAGTGAAAAGCCACCATATTGAAATGCATAAGAAAAATTGTTTCATGTCAACCATAAAAACCCTTCTCCCAACTGTCACAGTTCAGTGAGACTGAAGGAAAAAGTTCAACTTGCAGCTTCCCCCTTGGAAAGGAAAGAGAAGAGCATAGCATACATTCAGTGTTCCCACTTTTCAGTGGGCTGCAGAGGGACCGGTTTCTGTCTCACCTGACAGAAACCAGAGTGCTGATGGGGAACCAGCATACTTTCAATGCCTGGGGGCCATGGAGAACAAAAGACAGTTCACTGGCTTTTTGCAACACCAGAGAACCTGAGTACCATAATCAGACACCAGAGGGAGCAAGAAATTACAAACCCTTGAAGGAAAAACAAACAAGACCCAGTAAACCTCTTTAATTAAGAAAGTACACATGCAAGCTCAGAGAATATATATCCCAAGGAAAGCCCCCAGAACCTCTAGCTGCTGAAGACTTTCCCTTGTGTAAAACTACTCTGTAAAGACTGGGAGAACTCCTTTGTTGTTGTTGTTGTTGTTGTTGTTTTTCAAATGCAGAAATCACTAAAAAAATAACAAAGCACACTTAAAAAAAAAAAACGAAAAACAAGGCAACATGGCTCAACTAAAGGAAGAAAATAGGCTGAGCACAGTGGTTCATACCTGTCATCCCAGTGCTTTGGGAGGCCGAAGCAGAAGGATAATTTGAGGCCAGGTGTTCCAGACCAACCTGGGCAAGATAGCAAGACCCCCATCTCTAAAAACAATTTTTTTTAATTAGCTGGGCATAGTGGTACACCTATAGTCCTAGCTACTCAGGAGGCTGAAGCAGGAGGATCACTTAGGCCCAGAAGTTGAGGTTACAATGAGCTATTATCACACCACTCCATTCCAGCCTGGGAAACAGGATGAGACCCTGTCTCAAAAAAAAAGGAAGGGTGGTGTACATAATAAATCTTCAGAAACCAATTCTAAAGAAATGGAGATCTATTAATTATTTGACAAAGAATTCAAAATCATTGTCTTTAAGAAGCTCAATGTGCTACAAGAGGACACAAATAGACAAACTAAATAAAATCAGGAAAATGATGCATGAACAAAATGACAATATCAACAAAAAGTTAGAAACTATAATACAAGATCAAACAGAAATTCTAGAGCTGAAGACTATAATAACTGAATTTAAAATTTTACTGGAGGGGTTCAATAACAGACTTAAGCAGAAAAAAGAATCAGTGAACTCAAAAACAGGTCATTTGAAATTATTAAGTCAGAGGAACAAATAGAAAAAAGAATGAACAAAAGTGAATAAAGCCTAAGGAACTTAGAGGACCCCATAAAATAGACCAATATGTGTGTTATGAAAGTCTTAGAAGGAGAAAAGAGAAAAAAAGGAACAGAAAGCTTATTTGAAAAAAATAACGGCTGAAAACTTCCTAAATCTAAAGAAGAAAATCAAAATCCAAAGTAAAGAAGCTTAAAAGACTCCAACTACAATGACCCCAAAGAAGTCAATATTGAGACAAGAAAAAGTTAAAGACAAGGAAGGAAAGAATCTTGAAAGCAGCAAGGAAACATGACTCATCACCTACAAAAGAGTTCTCATAAGATTATCAGCAGATTTCTCAGCATAAACATTACAAGCCCAGAGGCCAAAGAGGTGATATATTCAAAGTACTGAAAGGAAAAAGAAACCATGCCAACCAAGAATCCTTTATCTAGCAAGATTGTCCTTCAAAATGAAGGAGAAATAAAGACCTTCCCAGGTAAACAAGGTGAGGGAGTTCATCGCCATTAGATCTGCCTTATGAAAATTATAATTAAAGGACACACCAGACAGCAACATGAAAGCATACAAAAATATATAACTCTCTAGTAAAAATAAATATATAGACAAATAGAATCTTGTAATACTATAATAGTGATGCCTAAATCATTTTAATTCTAGTATAAAACTTAAAAGATGAAAGTATAAAAATATAAGTATAATGAATACAAAATTGTAAAAGGTGAAATTCGTGATATTGCTAATACAAAGTGTGTAGGGAGAAAGAAGGTGTAATAGCGTGAAGTTTTTATATGCAACTGAGGCTTATTATCAGTCTAAGACATATTATTATAATTATAAAATATTTTATGTAATCCCCATTGTAGCCACAAAGCAAATAACTATAGAAGATGCACCAAAGAATATAAGAAATCAAAGAATGTCACTACAAAAACAATCAACAAAACACAAAGGAATGTAGCAAGAGAGGAAAAAAGGAACAAAGTAACTATAAGGCACACAGAAAACAATAAGAAAATGGTAATAGTAAGTCCTCTATCAGTAATTACTTTCGATGTAAATGGATTAAACTCAGCAATCAAAAGACATAAAGTAGTTAAACTGACTTATAAAAACAAGATCTAACTATATGCTGTCTACAAGAGACTCGTTTTAGACATAAGGACATACATAAATGAAAAGTAAAAGAACGGACAAAGATATTCCATGCAATAGGCTAAAAGTGATAGAATAGAAAAAGATTTTTCATGCAAATGGTAACCAAAGACAGCAAGGTGATTATATAATTATATTAGAAAAAATATACATTAAATCAAAAACTGTCACAAGAGACAAAGAAGACATTGTATAATGAAAAAAGGGTCAATTCAACAAGGAAGATATAACAATTATAAACATATATGTACCTAACAGAAGAGCACCCAGATATATGAAGCAAACATTGACAGAATTAAAGAGAAAAATAGACAGTAACATGATAAGGAAGAGAGATTTCCATACCCCACTTTCAATAATGGATAATTAATCAAACAGAAAATCAGTAAGGAAACAGAAAACCTGAACAAGACTATAGACCAATTGGACCAAATAGACATATCTAGAATACCCTACCCAACAACAGAATATACATTCTTCTCAAGTGCGTATGAAACATTCTTCAAGACAGATCACATGCTAGGCCATAAAATAAGTCTTAACAAATTCAAGAAGATTAAAATCATACCAGTTACATTTTCCAACTATAAAGGAATAGAACTAAAAAGCAGCAGCAAAAGGAAAACTGGAAATTCATAAATATATGAAAATTAAACACCATACTCTTGAAGAACCAATGGGTCAAAGAAAAAATCACAGGGGAATTAGAAAATATCTTGAGACGAATGAAAATAAAGATAAAGCATGCCAAAAACTTACAGGATGCAGCAAGTGTTACTAAGACAGAAGTTTACAGCAGCACATTGCACATGCATTAAAAAAAAGAATGATCTCAAATCAATAACCTAACTTTACATGTAAAAGAACTAGAGAAAGAACAAACTAAACCTAGAGTTATCAAAAGGAACAAAATCATAAAGATTAGAGCAAAAACAAAGGAAATAAATAATTTTTAAAATGGGGAAAAATAAACAAAATTAAGAGTTGATTTTTTTCTTAGTTAGACTAGCTTAGAAAAATAGAGAAGCTCAAATAAAAATCAGAAATGAAAGACAAGACCTACAATTGATGACACATAAGTAAAAAGGATTATAAAAGACTACAATGAACAATTGTATGCCAACAAATTGGATAACCTAGAAGAAATTGATACATTTCTAGAAACATATAACCTACCAAGACTGAATCATGAAGAAATAAAAACTCTAAACAGAATTAGAGCTAGTGAGGAGATTGAATCAGTAATAAAAAACCTATCTACAAAGAAAAGCCCAGGACCACATGGATTCACTGGATAATTCTACTAAACATTTAAAGGAGAACTAACATCAATGCTTTTTAAACTTTCCCCCAAAATTGAAGAGGACAGAACACTTCCAAAATAATTTTATGAGCCTAGCATTACCCTAATACCAAAATCAAAGATACTACAAAAAAAAAAGAAAACAAACAAACAAAAACTACAGACCAATATACCTGATGAATACAGGTGCAAAAATCCTCAACAAAATACTAGCAAATGAAATTCAACAATATATTAAAAGGATTGTACAGCAAGACCAAATGGAATTTATGTTTGAAATGCAAAAATTTTGTTCAGCATATGAAAATCCATCAATATAATATCCCATGTTAACCACATGATCATCTCAATGCAGAAAAAGCATTTGAAAAATTCAGCACCCTTTCATGATTAAAAGAAAAAACACTCAGCCAGGCGTGGTGGTGGCTCATGCCTGAAATTCCAGCACTTTGGGAAGCTGAGGCAGGTGGATCACCTGAGGTCAGGAGTTCAAGACCAGCCTAATCAACTTGGTGAAACCCCATCTCTACTAAAAATAAAAATAAATTAGCTGGGCATGGTGGCAGGCACCTGTAATCCCAGCTACTTGGGAGGCTGAGGCAAGAGAATCACTTGAACCCAGGAGGCGAAGGTTGCAGTGAGCCAAGATCATGCCATTGCACTTTAGCCCAGTCGACAGAGTGAGACTCTGTCTCAAAATAAAAAAGAAGAAACACTCAACAAACTAGGAATAGAAAGAAATTACCTCAATATAGTAAAGACCATATATAAAAGGCCCATAGCTAACATTATGCTGAATGGTGAAAAACTGAAAGCTTTCCCTCTAAGATCAGGAACAAGGTATGCATGCTCTCTCTCACCAGTCTATTCGGTATAATACTGGAAGTCCTTGCCAGAGGACAAGGGAAAGAAACAAAAGTCATCCAAACTAACATTATTTCTGTTTGCAGACAACCTGATCTTGTATGTGGAAAACCCTAAGGATTCCACACGTACATACAAAACTGTTAGAACTAATAAACAATTTCAGCAAAGTTGCTGGATATAAAATCAACACACAAAAATAAGTTGCATTTCTATACATGAACAATGAACAATCTAAAAAGGAGATTTGTTTTGTTTTTTATCTTTCTCCTCATCTTGTCTTTCATTTACAATGGCATCAAAAGGAATAAAATACTTAGAAATACGCTTTACTGAGGAGGCAAAAGACTTGTGAACTGAAAACTATAGAACATTGCTTACAGATATTAAAGAAAACACAAATAAATGGAAAGACATTCCATGTCCATGAGTTGGAAGACTTAATGTTGTTAAAATGCTCATATTTTCCCAAAGTGATCTTCAGGTTCGATGCAATCCCTATCAAAACCCCAATGGCACATTTTGCAGAAATAGAAAAAGCCATTCTAATATTTATATGGAATCTTAAAGGACCCCAAATAGCCAAAACAAATCTGAGAAAGAAAAACAAAGCTGAAGGCCCCACACTTCCTAATTTCAAAACACATTGCAAAGCTACAGTAATCAAAACAGTATAGCATTGGACTAAAGAAAGACAAATAGACCAGTGAAACAGAATAGAAACCTCAGAAATAAATATATTGTCAAATGGTCTTTGACAAGGGTGTCAAACCTACAAAATGGGGAAAGAATGGCCTCTTTAACAAATGTTGTTGGGAAAACTGGATATCTACATGCAGAAGAATAAAGTTGGACCCTTACCATATACCATATATAAAAATTAACTCAAAATGGAATAAGATCTAAAAGCAAGACCTGAAACTATAAAATTCCTAGAAGAAAACATAAAAGGAAAGCTTTATGACATTGGATTTGGCAAAGATTTCTTGGATATGACAACACAAGCACAGGCAACAAAAGCAAAAATAGACAAACGAAACTACATCAAACTTAAGAACTTCTGTGCAGCAAAGGAAATAGTCAACAGAATGGAAAGGCAACCTAAGAAATGGGAGAAAATATTTGCAAACCATATTATCTGGTGAGTGGCTATACAGAATATACAGAGAACTCCTCTAACTCAACAATAACTGAATGAATAATCTGATTTTAAAATGAGCAAAGGACTTTAATAGACATTTCCCCAAAGAAGATAGACAAATGGCTGACAAACATATGAAATTATGTTCAACATTACTAACCATTAGGGAAATGAAATTTAAGCCACCATGAGATATCACCTCACACCTGTTACAATAGCCACCATCCACAAAACAGAAAATGGCAAGTGTTGGTGAGGATGTGCAGAAACTGGAATCCTTGTGCATTGTTGGTGGGAGTGTAAAATGGTACAGCTGCTATAAAAAACAGCATGGAAGATCCTCAAAAATATAAAAATAGAATTACCATCTGATTCAACAACCTATTTCTGGGTCTATATCCAAAAGAAATTGAAAACAGGATCTCTAAGAGATATTTGTATACCAATGTTCATTGCAGCAATTATTCACAATGGACAAGAGGTAGAAACAACCTAAATGTACCTACATGGATGAATGGATAAAGAGTATGTGGTACATACATACAATTGAATATTACTCCACCTTTAAAAAAGGAAGGAAATCTTTTCATATGCTACAACATGAATGAACCTTGAAGACATTATATGAAGTGCAATAAACCAACAATAAATAAGTCATTAAACCTATAAATAAGTCACAAAAAGATATTACTGCATGATTCCATTTATATGAGATATTTAAAATAGACTCTCAGAAACAGAAATTAAGATGGTGATTGTCATGGGCTGGGGGAAAGGAGAGTTGTTGCTCAATGGGTGTAGCGTTGTTGCAGTTTTGCAGAATGAAAAAGTTCTAGAGTTCTATGTGCACAATAAGGCACATATAGTTAACACTACTGTGCTGTATAGTTAGTGGTTAAGACAGTAAATTTTATATTATGTGTTCCTTACTACAGTGAAGAAACGAGGGGCATGGGAGTTTGTGTAAGATTTATACAGAGCAATATGAGGTGTATAGTAGGACAACAATTAATTGGTAACTGTAATTTCTTTTTTTGAGATTGAGTTTTGCTCTTGTTGCCCAGGCTGGAGTACAATGGCGCAATCTCGGCTCACTGCACTCTCCGCCTCCCAGGTTCAAGCGATTCTCCTGCCTCAGCCTCCCAAGTAGCTGGGATTACAGGTGCCTGCCACCATGCCCGGCTAATTTTTGTATTTTTAGAAGAGACGGTGTTTCACCATGTTGGCCAGGCTGGTTTCAAACTCCTGATCTCAGGCGATCTGCCCACCTCAGCCTCCCAAAGTGCTGGGATTACAGGCGTGAGGCACCACACCTGGCCTGGTAACTTTAGTTTCATATCTTTCCATTAGAAGAAAATAAAACATGGTCCCCCTCCTGCCATATGCCCAGCGAGGCATTTCCAACCACCCATTCTCTGCTTTATTTTTTTTAGGAGCTCTTACCACCCAACATATTACATATTTACTAACGTATTTGTTTATTTTCTTTGAATAACCAGACATGCAGACTCCCAGAAGACAGGAATTTCTTTCTTTCTTGTGTATTACTGAATCCTCAGAATCAAGAAGAGTGTGTGCCTACATGAGGTGCACAATGAATAGTTGTTGAATGAATGAGCGAATGTGGAGGTTAGGAGAGCCAAAGGGCAGCTGAAGTCTGGGGTTTTCTCCTATGTTCTTCCATCTACTTGGGGAAGATAGAAAAGAGGAGAGGGAGGAAGACATGTAACAGACTAGGAAGGACAGATGTCTTTTCATTGGGCTTGTGGGGGCAGCCAGATCAGCTTGAGAAGTACGAAGGATGAGGAAGATCCATCTACTATACAGTCCCTGTCCCGGGTCTCTTCTGCTTAAGCAAAAGATGGAGGCTATGACCACTAGGTCTTGCCAGTTTGGTGTAGCTGTTACTGAATCAAGAGACTCTACCTGTTAGAATAAAAAGTCTTCATTGTTCCCACTTTTTATATCCTAGGTCAGTGGGTCAGTGCTTCTCAAACTTTAATGTGCATACAAATCACCTTGGCATTTAGTAGGTCTGGGTGGGGCTTGAAAACCTGCATTTCTAATAAGCTTCCAGGTGATACTGATATAAATTCTTGCTTATAGTGGCTGGTTCTCAACCATGTGGCACCTGGGAAGCTTTGTAAAATCACAGTGTCCCAATTAAATTAAATTAATTAAAATTAGCCCTCTGGGAGTGGGACCCTGGCTATGGTATGGCCGAGGTTGAGAACCAGCACTCCAGGGGCTCTTCCAAGGTCGCTAACTCTAATGGAAGCCATTGTTTTGGACCCTGTAGGCCTTCTTTCCAGCTGTTGTCCCCTTTCTCCACAACCTCAGGACTGCTGAGACTTCACTATTGCTGCTGAGCGTCTGCTGAGAGCCATAGGTGAACACAGGCACGCCTTGATCTTGGATATACAATAGGGTTAGTTAACACTCTCAGGCAGCTGGAAGGAATTTTTCTGGTTTTTTTTTTTTTTTCTACCTCCTGACTTCCACTTTTCATCTCTCTTTCCAGCTGGTAGGAAAATATCCTCTTCCAGTCTAGCAGAACAACGGTTCTAAATTTGGGGGCGATTTTGTTCCCGGGGATATCTGGCAACGTCTGGAGACATTTTTAATTATCACAACTCAGAGTAGGGGGCCGCTACTGGCAGCTGGTGGGTGGATTCTGAAGAGGCTGCTAAACTTCCCATGATGCACAGGACAGTGCTCCAGAACAGTGTCCAGCCCAAAATGCCCAAGGCTGAGAAACCGTGCAGGAGAAGGGAGACCCACAGCTGAGCCTTTGGGGCACCTTTTTCATCTTTACCAAGCTACCCTCTCCTCCAGGCACCGAGGTCCGGGATCTGCAGGGGACAAAATGGGATGGGCTGCGTCCAAGAGTAGCCTCCTGCTGTATCCAGAACCTCTGTCTTTTCTTACCCTCAAGCAGCAGGGCCCTCCCTGTCCAGCCCACTCCACTAATCCTCTTCCTCATGCAAAGTGGGTGAATTTCCTCTCTGGTGCTAATTTATCTCCCTCAGTGTTTTAATTTTCATAGAACCTCCTCCCACCCATTATAAAGGTCTACCTATTTCCTCTCTGGTGTTACTTTATCTCCCCCAGAGTTTTAATTTTCATAGAGCCTCCTCCCACCTATTACACAGGTCCACCTATTTCCATACCCCATCTGTGCTCAGGATTCAAGTTCTTTCTCATGAAATTCCTACACCCATGCAAATCAGGGCTGGGGCCAGTCATCCTGAAAGTTCTTTGAGAGGTGAAGGGCATCTTACCAGGGGACAGAGAGGCCCACTAGAGGGAGGATAGCCTGATCCCCAAATGCCTTCCTAATCCCATCTCAATGGCAACTCGGGCAAGACACCCTGTCATATATGTCCTGGGCACTTGCTAGGTGAAGGCCCTGCTTTAAGTGCTTTGCCTCATGAAATTCTCCCAAGAGTCCTGGCAGGTAGGTGCTAAGGTCATCCCCATATGTAATGAGCAGCCTGAGGTTAAGTGGTGCTATTTTTGTCTGTAGTTCCTGTAGTTCCTAACTCCTAAAATCCTTGGGATCTCCCAAGTGCTGTCTTTCTTTTGTGTGATAGGTTCAAAGTGGGGCTGATCACTGGAAAGAATAAGGCAGGATTAGAGGGTTGGGACTTAACAGCTCCACTCCTGAACCTCCGGGAAAGGGACAGGGGCTGAAGGTTAAGTTGATCACCAATGGCCAATGGCTTAATTAATCATGCCTACGTAATGAAGCTTCCCTAAAAACCCAAGAGGACGGGGTCCAGAGAGCTTCCAGAGAGCGGAACACGTGGAGATTCCTGGAGGTTTGTGTGCCCAGGGAGGGCATGGAAGCTCCAAGCCCCTCCCCCTACACCTTGCCCTACACACCTCTTCATCTAACGTTCATCTGTATCCTTTGTATATCCTTTATAACAAACTGGTAAACGTATGTGTTTCCCTGACTTCTGTGAGCTACTCCAGCCAATTAATCAAACTTAAAGGGGGGGGGTTGTGGGAACCCCAACTTGAAGCCAATTGGTCAGAAGTTCTGGAGGTTTGGACATGTGACTGGTGTCTGAAGCGGGGGGGAGTCTCGGGAACTGAGCCCCCAACCCATGGGATGTGACTCTATCATCAGGTAGATAGGGTAGGAGTTGAATTGGAGGATGCCTGGCTGGTGTCCACTGCTTAATGTGTGGAGAAAAAAAACCCACACTTTTGGTCACAGAAGTCTTCCTCTGTATTGATGATTGTTGTTGTGTTGGTGGTGGCTGTGTGAGAGCAGGAAAAAAAAACAACAACATGGCTTAAGAGAGCTTTTCCCTAAACAGTAAGAGACCAAGTAAGTTGTCCAAGGTCATACAACTAGGAAGTAGTAGAGTAAGGTTGTGAACACAGGCAGCTTAGGTCCAGAACCCATGGGTTTAACCACTACACTGTACAGTCCCTTATGTGCTTGACATTGACAATAACCCAGGCAGGCTTGGATTCTGCTGTTGGTTTTGAAGATGGAATCCAGTTCCTCAAAGGCAAAATAATCTTCCAAAATCACTCAGCTAGTAAGTCATGGTCCTGGGATTCAAATCCAAAACAGAAATTCCATGCTTAGGCCAAGGAAGGAAATTATAAGCTTTAGAAGATGGCACCATTTATCCATTCATTCATTCATTCATTCATCCATCCATCATGCACTCAGCACACATATATTGATGCTTCCTGCCAGTGAGGCTTGTTCTGTGAGCTGAGGATCCAGAGAAAATTCAACCATTTTGAATTTATGTCTGCTTGGAACTCACATAAAATTTGGGGGACATGCCACAGGCTGGTGGGTGGACTAGGAGAAAGGGAAGGGCATAGGAGTGCAGAGGAGTCCATTTACACTTGTCTTCTGGGAGACTGGACAGATATGGGGATAGGGTCTGGAGAAACCCAAGGGTCCACTGCTCATGCCATCGGCTAGTCACCTGGGTCAGATGATCCAGGTGACACCCTGCCTCCTGGTGCACACTTGCACACTTTCATGTTGCCTTGTTTTCTCCCCATTTGTCTTCTCATTGGCTTGCTCAGAACTTCCCATTCATAAGCACAGCATGGGGAGAAACAAGAAGGGGTCTGTGCTCCCCCAGTGGATCAATGCGAGGTTGGCATCCCAACTTATCATTCCAAGGTCCCAGAGAGAAACCAAATTGTAACTGTCAGGAACACAACAGAACTGTCAAAAGCAGACAAAATCAGCCACATAAATTGTGAAACAAAAGTCACAGTTCTATTTGTTCTGCAAGAGTGAACATCTCACATTTTTTTGTAAAGATGGAAAATAAAAACAAAGACCAACTAGGGGCATTGCAAGCATTTCATCTCTGTGGAGAAACCCACCACCAGAAAATCTCAGTTTCCATCAATGCCCCCTCCCCATAAATCTATGTCTACTTCCATGACTTCGATTCAGTAAACACTCAGGGAGTCTTACAATGGGAATGAGTGTGTCAATCATCAGAAATGATTATGACCCAGTCCCTGCCCTTGACCATCATATATCCAGCTAACGTAATTAGAATAGAGCCAGGCCAGACCAAATAAAGAAGGCCAACTCAGGGAGTGACAAATCCCTCTATAGTGGAATCAGGGATGGCTTCCTGGCAGAGGTAACATCTGCATTGGGTCTTAAAAGATGAATAAAATTTCACAAGTGGAAAAGGGAGGGAAGGAAACTTCAGAGACAGGGGAAGACAGATATAAATGCACAGAAGCTGAGGCAGGTAGAGAGGGAAGGACATGGCATAAGAGGTACTTTGGAAGTCAAATCTCCATTTTGTGCAACAACCAGGCTGGGAAGGTTAGCCCTTGGCCAGGGAAACTTGCCCTGCCATCAGGCATATGGGGCTCCTTCATTTGGACGGCAGGTATGGCGCTCACATGTGCTCCAGGGCACACACAGGTAGGCCATGCACAGATGGTGCAAGCACACTTCCCATCAACCTTGGCTGTGTGTGTGTGTGTGTGTGTGTGTGTGTGTGTGTGTGTGTGTGTTGGCAGCAATTTGGCAGGCCGTTCTGCAGAAGCCCTGCAGCACCGTGGTTGCTCACCAAAATAGCATCAAGCAATTTAGGTCAGGAAGTAAGGACTGTGTTATTATTACTAGTTACTGAAGTTATTTAATAAGAATGTCACATCCAATTGAGACCATGGTGGGAACTGTCAGCAGGAAGAATGTAATTACACTAACTGGAGGTGCTCCACAGATCCACACAGAGGTGGACTCTCCCCCAGCCCCACTGTCTTCTGGAAGGAATTTCTTTAGGTGAGGCCATCATGCCAGGCCCCAGAAGAGCCAGACATGCTGCTCCAGTTCAGGCCCCGGGAGGGCTTTTGAGGGGGAGATCTCCAGGACCCAGTGGGGGTCTGTTCAGTGACACCATCCATGACCTGACATCCTAGTGATATTCAGAAGGGAGAGGGTTGTGAAGCCCCAGCCTCACTTCTTCAGCTCCAAAGAAAATCCAACAGACATCACTGCAGGGCATGGGAAGGCCAAGAGTCCGTTCCACCCATGCCCTCATCCAGACCCACTCCAGTTGCCCACAGCAGTAGCTGGGTTGGAGACAAACCCTTTACTGATGACTCTCCCTTACCATTCCTCAACTGGTATTTCTTGGACCACCTCCAATTTAAACTACTTACACTTAATCCTTGTCTCAGGTCTGCCTCCGGGGAGCTCAACCTAAGGCACTTCCGGCAGCTCCCAATCCATTCCCTAGAAAATAAAGCCGAGCTCTTCCCCACAGCCCTGGACTCTGGCTGAGCCCACCTAGCACATACCTCCTGCTGCTGGTTGAGACCTGAACTAAACTACCTCCCTGTAATGGGGCTAGGCAGAACCCAAGGATCCTTGCCCATGAGCACAGGCTCTGTGATCCTCTAAGGCCACGGTTATGGGAGGTGGCACAGCTGAAGCATTTCATGGGGGGCCCAGCCTGCAGCCACTGCCCATCCCCCAAGTATTATGTGTGGGACACAAAAGGTGCTGTGCTCCCATTTTGCTTCAAAATCTACACCCTTTGGGATTTCTAAGAGTCCTGTGCCCTCGCTCCCTTGTAGCAGCAGTTAGACACCCAGACGAGGGAGATGGGGAGGGCTGGGAGACACTGCAGGAGGGAGTGGAGTGGGAAAGAACACTGATTCTCGCTGTCAGGGGCATCACAGCTAGCAAGGCAGGCTGTCCTTGTGGCCAGGAGGAAGGAAACGGAGGCAAGGAGAGACTCGGGGAGAGAGAGAGACATAGGGGAGAGAGAGAGACATAGATGGGGAGAGAGACGGGCAGGGGAGGGAATAGGGACACAGAGACAGGACCCACAGAGACAGCCAGGTAGAAAGAAAGACAGAGCAGAGAAAATCAGGGACTCAAAGAAAAGAACAGGCAGTAAGAGAGATGGGCAGATAGAAAAAGAGACACAACGGCAGATAGAGAGTGAGACCGCAAGCCAGGGAGATGCAAGAGGACAGAAAAAGAAACAGAGAGACGGAAAAGTGACAGAGACACAGGCAAGAGGCAGACAGGAACAGAGAGACCAGATAGGGATAGCGGAAGGCAACGAGGGCATGACCCAGAGTGAGACACCAAGAAGCCACGCACAGCTTCACAACAAAGGCTCCGTCAGCGGCATCCGACCCCCCAGGTCCCCATGGGAGCTAAGTGGAAGAACCAGAGACTGAGTATGGACTATTTGAGGAACTTAGCTTTAAATGGCAAAGAACAGGGCGGCAGCCAGAGAGGAGTTCAGGGCCCAAAAAGCTTCTACCTTCTATTTTGAACCTGTTTTAAATTCAAGGAGTGAAGTCAGTGGAGAAGAAAAATAAAATGGGAGGGTAGAGGGGAGAGAAGGGGCATATCACAAAGAAGACAGATGGAAGAAAGGGGTCCTGGGCTCTGGGAACTGGGGACTGTGGGAGAGACCCCACCTCTTCCTCCAGGAGTGAGGGGAGGAGGAGTGGCTGCAGAAGCAGGTAACCACAGGTAGGAGGAGGATGTGGAAGTCCATTCTGATGGTCTGCCTGTTCTCAGTGAGGTACCAGGGTAGTCATCCTGTGATGGAACCAGGGATTTGTGCCTTGGAATGGCCACTCTTAGGATTAGGACAGGAAGCTGACCAGGTGGCCGATAGAAAGATAGTTAAGGGGTGCTGGGCGTAGGTTAGAGATGTGAGTTCGCAGTGGCAGCAGGATTCATAGTCCAGGTGGCAGGCCCAGAGCTGAGTTGCAGGACTGACCCAGGGCTGGAGCGTGTAGAGACTGAGGGTCCTAGTGGGACAGTGGTTCAAGGGATGCACAGTGGAGACTGGCCGGCCTTGGTAACCAAGGAAAGGGGCTGCTCTGAGAGGAGTTGTTGAGAGTCTCGGGGTCTCCAGCATTTGAAGGGACCTTGCATGGCTGGGCACCACCACACCCATCGTCCCACCCTCTTCTCAGGCCAGCAAGACCTCCATTTGCCCCTTGGCTGCAGTTCTTGATTTCTTCCTTGTGGGAAGTGGCCTCTTCCTCCACCTTCTCAGCAATCGGCCTCACCGACGCCCTGACCTCAGTTCTGCTCCACACCCAAGACCAGGGGTGTCCTTCCTCCCACATTCCCTCTGGACTCTGAGCTCAATCTGGACCTTTTTGAGGGCTTCTCTCCAAGCAAAACCCAGGCAGCTGACCCCTGCCTGCTCCACTTAGCCCCCAGCACTGGAAGCTTCTGAGGCTCCTCCCCAGAGCACCTGAAGGACTGAGTGCAGAGACTGAGGCGGAAAACCTCTCCGGCTCAACTCAGTGGTGACTCTTGGTAGAATTTGTGGGAATCCCATGTCCTTCAAAGACTGTACCCGCAGGAAGGGATGCTGCGCTCGGGTCTGAGGGTGTGTCTCCTAACCTTCCTCCTCCCTGAGAAAGCACAGACAGACAGTGAGGGCTCCAAGCCAGCACGTTGTCGAAGTGGTGGCAGCTCCACCAAAAGAGAAGACCTGGGTGTTCAAAGAAGCCTGAAGTTCAGGCAGAGGCATAGACCTGTCTTGCTGAGCACAGAGCACCAGGCCCCCGCCTCCCTGAAGGACCCACACAGCCTGGCAGGCTCTGTGCAGCTGTCGGCCTTGTTGAGCCCTGGCTGTTACCAGGCATGGTTGTCAAGTGCAGACTCATATCCTGGGTCATCGGGGAGTGAGTAGACCGGCTTTTGTTCCCAGGAAAGCCACTCCACACAGAGCCTGAAGTGTAGTCAGGAGGGGCGTCGTCCCTAAACTCTGCCAGCTCAGAAGGACAGTGACTAGGGATGGGGGAGGTTCAAGGTCAAAGCCTGACCCACCCTTGGGGCTGGAGAGCTGGGAGCTGGAACCCAGGCTAAGCAAGATGCTCACAACTGCCCAAGTCCTGGCATGCAGAATTCACACCTGTGCACACACACATCAACAGCTACAGAAACAGACGTCCACGTCCACTACATACATGTGTACCCCCCCCCACACACACACACATATACATTTTGCACACACGGTTCTCATGCATACAGCTCTTTAGTACGTGGCTGCATGCCCACCCTCCCATCCTGGATGGAGGCTCCATGGGTCCCGCTGCCACCCCCTCCCTCCACTAGGGTATCAGTGCCCTTCTGGAAGAATCTGTGTAAAGGTCTGGGTGTCCCTTCCACCTGATGTTGTGTTTGTGAGTGGTAAAGCAGTGTACCTGTCTTGTGAAACTGTGTATGTGAACACATGTTGTGTGTAGAAGCGTGTGTGTGTGCACATGTGCTTACATGTATCAGTTACAATACATGGAAGGATATGTGTAAATAGGGAGGAATTTAAAAGAGCCCATGATAGGCTGGGCGCAGTGGCTCACGCCTGTAATCCCAGCACTTTGGGAGGCTGAGGCAGGCAGATCACGAGGTCAGGAGATCGTGACCATCCTGGCTAACACGGTGAAACCCCATCTCTACTAAAAATAAAAAAAAATTAGCCGGGCATGGTGGCGGGCGCCTGTAGTCCCAGCTACTCAGGAGGCTGAGGCAGGAGAATGGCATGAACCCGGGAGGCGGAGCTTGCAGTGAGCCGAGATTGCGCCACTGTACTCCAGCCTAGGCGATAGAGCAAGACTCTGTCTCAAAAAAATAAATAAATAAAATAAAATAAAATAGCCCACGATAGCTGGGATTGCATCCTCACCACTGCCCTCTACTGCAGACATGCACATGTGCCAGGGCCTCCGCCGCTCTGACTGGCTCAGTGCTCCCTGCACACACAGAGCATCCGGCAGCACTGCAGGAAGGAACAAGCCTGGCCTGCAGAGTCAGACAAAACTGAATTCACAGTCCCTTCTGCCACTTGCTGGCTGTGTGACCTGGGGCGCCCTGCTCACCCTCTCTGAGTCTCAGCTCCCTCATCTATAAGGAAAGCATAATATTAATAATACCTCCCTCACAGGCATGCTGGGAAAATTAAATAAGATTATGAACATGAGACTCCAGGCCCTGGGGAGCTCAAGAAACATTAATTACCACTCATTCTCTCCCTTCCACTCCACCCTGTGCCTTTCATTCATGCAACTGATAAATATTTATCAAGTGCTGTGTGTGGCACTGGGGGTACAGAGTCCCTGTAGTCATCCTCATGCAGCTTGTTGTCTAGTGGGGGAGACAGACAGTAAACAAGTAAACAACAGTAGATCATATAATGAGCATGATCAGAGCTATGAAGAAGGTGATGTAGTCCTTCATCTACTGTGGTCACCTCTGACAGTGCCATCCCTGAGCAGGTATCTGCAGGGTAAGAGCGAACTGTTTGAAGATGGGAGAGAGAGCATTCCAGGCAGAAAAAAACAGCAGGAAGAAATGTCTGGAGGCAAAAAAAAAAAAAAAAAAAAAGTTTGTTGTTTTCCAGTAAGAGCAAAAAGGCAAGTACACCTGGGGTATGGAGAAGCATGCAGGAGTGGTGGGAGGGGAAGCGTGGGTAGACTGGCAGTCAAGGCCAGATCAAATCGGGATGGTTTCAACTGTGTGTATGCAGTGGGAGGGGTGACCGAATCAGATCTGCATGTTTTAGGATTTCTCCAGCTGCTGTGTGAAGAAGGAACCACAGGTGAGAACAGGGGAAGCAGGTGGACCAGCCAGGGATCGATTGTCCCAGGGAGAGACAGAGAAGGCTTTAAAGACTCACCCTGCTCAGCCCTGCGCTCAATGCCTTCCCTGCCCTCCACCCATCCTTAGGCTCCTCTCTCAGGATGTCTTTCTTCTCTGATGACTCCTGACTATAGCATCCATTTTCCAACTCTTGGAGCCCGTTTTCAAGGGCCTCCTTCCCAGAAACCCGTCCCAGGTCCCCATCTCCGCACATCCACAGCTTGCTTCCTGGTTTAAAGGACAAACCGAGACCATCCTATCCAGGAATCAAGAAAAAAATATGGCATCTGATTCTCCTTTATGTATCTCCCCACCAGATAGAGCATATAGTAGGTGTTCAATAAATGCTTGCATTCAATGTGGTACCTGTTCCTTTCTGCCTAGCATTCCGTACCCTTCCCTGCTCTTGTTTCTCCACCTCCCACCTCACCAAGCAATGCTTCATTTTTGTTAAACATTATTAAGTACCTGCCATGCACTAGGTCCCTGCAAGTGCATGCTCTCATTTCTCCTTCCTGACTATCCCATGAGGCAGGGGCTATTATAACCCCACTTTACAGATGAGGACACTGAGGTGAAGAGAGGTTGGCAGAGCCAGCCAATAGTGAAAGTACTAGACAAGAATGAATTATACCTGACCCAAAGTCAAAGTTCTGTCTGCTCTATTGGGAGGTGCAGGAGAGGGGGGGGTCTTAATTTTTCTTTTCAATAAGCAAACAGGGAAATATATCTTGCAAGTTACTTACACAGGCCAGCCTGCCTGGGGATGTCCCTGTCTTGCACTCTCTAGGAGAGTGTGTAGACCAGACCCTGCCTGCTGACTTGGCCCTGGTGTCATATCAATCTTGGCATCCTGCACCTTCTTCCCCAACTCCACTCCAGGGACCTAGCTTGAGGGGGGCTTACTCACCATCAGGAACTGCAGGAAGTGGAGATCAGGTTGAAGCCACAGACT
This sequence comes from Homo sapiens, assembly GCF_000001405.40. NCBI lineage: Eukaryota > Metazoa > Chordata > Mammalia > Primates > Hominidae > Homo > Homo sapiens. The sequence goes on from NC_000001.11 coordinate 34,131,621, forward strand.
CATGCTGACACCCATCCACAGCCTCCAGGCCCAGGCCTCTCTCTGAGGCAGCACAGAGTGGGGATCCCTGAGGCCACCATCACCAAGTTACTCATTCCTGATCAGGCATAAAATTTCCTTCTTGTTTTCAAATGAGCCCAGGCCAGAGTCTCCAGTCAGGGGGTTCTTCTGCCTCCCATCCAGTGGCACAGCTCTGTCTTTGCACAAGCTCACCTCTCAGCCCACACACCCTTTCCCACTGCAATGCAAGGGTCAGGATCCCCTGAAAATACTTCTGAGCGCTCACTCGGGGTTGCCTAAATCATGAGCTAGCTGGGGCCAGGGGCATCCAAATTCAGCTTCCCAAGAGACAAGAGGGATTCCAACCTCTCATGGGCCACAAATTCCCCCAAGTATGGGACAGCTAACCTTATAGACAATTCCTAAAAACAGCACACACCCAAGCAGCTTGCATGTCCCTTCACTGATGAGGTGACTCACACACTTGACCTGTAAGGAGGAAGAGCAAGAGAGAGGGAGGACTCGCCTCTGGAACAGACTCGGGATGGATGTCAGGCAGAATATCATGGCCCCAGCACACCCCTCCATGGACATAAGGGAGAATGGGAGACCTGTGGCACCTCGTCCTGCTGACCCTTAGTCAGCTTTCCCTTCCCCTAATAAAGCCCCGATTCACTCTTACCATGTGACATTGTGGAATTCATCCCAGGCCCTGGTGGGTAACAGGTGGCACCCACCGAGAACCATCTTGCTTGTTACCCACTTCTCTATCACCCCTCTTCTTCTGATTAAGACCCAAATATCCCCTCCTCTGGGACCTCCCCCAGGTGTAGTTACTTGCTCCCTCCCCTCTGTTCCTGTGATAGTTAACTTTATGTGTCAACTTGACTGGGCTAAAGGATGCCCAGATAGCTGGGAAAACATTATTTCTGGATGTGTTTGTGAAGGTGTTCAGGAAAATATTAGCATTGGAATCAGGAGACTAAATAAAACAGATCAACCCTCACCAATGTGGGTGGGCCTCATCCAATTCATTGAGGTCCCCGAAAGAAGAAATAGACAGAGAAGAGGCAAATTCTCTCTCCTTGAGCTGGGATATTCCCCTGCCATAAGATATCAGAGCTCCTAATTTTAAGGCTTTCACACTCTGGGACTTACACCAGGGTTCACCCCCACTATCCCACATCCCTTTCCTCAGGCCTTCAGACTCAGACTGAATTACACCATCAGTTTTCCTGGGTCTGCAGCTTACAGGTGGCAGATTGTGGGGCTTTTCAGCCTTCATAATTGCATGAGCCAATTCTCATAATAAATTTTATACACACACACAAACACACACACACACCTTTTTTTTTTTTTTGGTTCTATTTCTCTGGTGAACCTTGACTAATACAGCTTTCAAATTAATTCATTCAATCACCAAACATTGGTTGGGCACCTCAGTGTCAGGCCTCATGCTTCGTCCTAGGACAGAATGACAGATAAGGCATAGTTCCTGTCCTTGTAAAGTCTAGCACCTTCTATTACCACCTCTCTCCCTCTTTTGCAATACCACTTGTTTCTGTATCTAGCTGTCCACTAGACTGCCAGTTCCTCCCAAGCCAGTACAGTGGCTTGTGAATGATATCATCCCAGTATCTAGCACTGAACTCTGCACTTGAAGTTGTCTGAATAATAGAAAAGCAAGCCTTGCAAAATAATGATGGTTCCATTAATTCAGTCAGCCCAGGCCGGGTGTAGTAGCTCACGCCTGTAATCCCAGCACTCTGGGAGGCTCAGGTGGGTGGGTCACCTGAGGTCAGGAGTTCGAGACCAGCCTGGTCAACATGGCAAAACCCTGTCTCTACTAAAAATACAAAAATTAGCCAGGCGTGGTGGTGGGTGCCAGTAATTCCTGCTACTCTGGAGTCTGAGGCAGGAGAATCATTTGAACTCAGGAGGTGGAGGTTGCAGTGAGCCAATATTGCACCACTGCACTCCAGCTTGGGTGATAGAGCAAGACTCTGTCCAAAAGAAAAAAAAAATCAGTTAGCCCATAGTTACAGGTTGTGCAAAAGGCTATGTTTCACACTTTCCCATCCCTTGTGTTCCTTTCCCATAGTACATCTTGCTACTTAGTCAAAGAGAGCATGCCCAAGGGTAGGGAGTGTGAATATAAAACTCGGGCAGGCTGGGTATGGTGACTCACACCTGTAATCCCAGCACTTTGGGAGGCCGAGGTGGGCGGATCACGAGGTCAGGAGATTGAGACCATCCTGGCCAACATGGTGAAATCCCGTCTCTACTAAAAATACAAAAATTAGCCGGGTGTGGTAGTGTGTGCCAATAGTCCCAGCTACTCAGGAGGCTGAGGCAGGAGAATCGCTTGAACCGGGGAGGCAGAGATTGCACCACTACACTCCAGCCTGGGTGACAGAGTGAGACTCTGTCTCAAAAAAAAAAAAAAAAAAAAAAAAAATACTGAGCAGCTCTGGCAGCCAAACAGGCAGAAATAGGAGGGAGCATTTGTGTGCTGTGATGCCTCATGCTTGTGGTCTCCATGGTTCTCTTGGTGCCTCCATCACATTAGAAACATCTGTTTGCCTGACAACAGCCAACACTCTTTGCCCTAGATCTTCAAACTCTTCTTTAAATCTCAACCCATTATAGTAATAGTCTGGAGAGGGGAAAGCCATGAAATGGGAGTTTCTTTTCTCTCTGACAGGCCTAGGGGATAAAGAGGCCGCAAATATCCCTTTAGGTTAATTCAGAAATGTGAAAACTTCATATTTTCATTTCCAAATAAGTAGTCACTACATTACCATAGTAACATTTGCTGCCCTATTTTAGATTAGAAATTATTATAAAAGAAAGCATCAAGACACATTCATTGTTAAATTGTATATAATCTTAAAGGGAAAAAGGTCTTTCTCTAAGTATGACACAAAACCAGAAGCCAAAACACTGACAAATTTAAGTGCATAAATATGTAGAATCTCTCTATGCAAAAAATAAAATAAAGATACCACAGAGTGTAAACACAGGTCCAAACTGCAAAAAAGATTTGCCATGCTACTACAGATTAAAGAGCCAGTGTCTTTTATATGCAAAGAGTTCTTATAAATCAGTAAGAAAAATAGAAACAATGCCATAGAAAACAAGCAAGGTGCATAAACAGATAGTTTTCAGGAGAAGAGATACAGACAACTGGGAAACATGAAAAGATGCTTAGTTTCAGTTATAATTAAAGGAACGCAATAATGAGCTACTTTTCTGATTTCCATCAGATTCGCAAGTTTTTAAAAAGTTGTTGGGAAAGGATGGAGCAGTGGTTCCTTGACCAGCACATCAGCATCACCGGAGAACTTGTTAGAAATTCAAATACTCAGATCTCATCCCAAATCTACTCTACTGCAGACCTATTTGATCACAGATTCACTGAATCAGAAACTCCTGGGCCAAGCAATCTGTATTTTAACAAGATCTCCAGGTGATTCTGATGTACTCGAAAATGTAGCGTTACAAAGAACTTTCAAATACTATTGGCAGTGTTTAAATTAATGCAAATTGGCAAGTTTATCAAATGCATATATCCTTTGAGGCAACAAATCCATTCTATAGACATCTGCCCTCATGTTGAAATCACACACACACACACACACACACACACACACACACACACACACAATTATTTTGTTGTGATATTGTTTGGGGTAGCCCAAAACTAGAAAAAGCCTAAATAATAAAGAACTGATTGACTCCTGTAATCCCAGCACTTTGGGAGGCCGAGGCGGGTGGATCATGAGGTCAACAGATCGAGACCATCTTGACCAACATGGTGAAACCCCATCTCTACTAAAAATACAAAAACTAGCTGGTGTGGTGGCACTTGCCTGTAGTCCCAGCTACTCGGGAGGCTAAGGCAGGAGAATCGCTTAAACCCGGGAGGCGGAGGTTGCCGTGAGCAGAGATCACGCCACTGCACTCCAGCCTGGCAACAAAGCAAGACTCCATCTCAAAAAAAAAAAAAAAAAAAAAAAAAAAGAACTGATTGACTAATTTACAGTAACTTATGAAATATCATGTAGCCACTAAGAGGAATGAGATAAATCTATGTACACCTACCCAGAAAGAGGTATAAGAGACATTTCTAAGAGAAAAAAGCATGTTACAGAGTAATGTATATGATATATCTACAATGATCCCATTTTTGTGAAATATAATTTGTGTTCCATTTACATTTTCTTACATGTTTTGAAAATTTCTGAAGTAATTCAGAAGAAACTGTTGATAAGTGGGACTGGGCTCTGCAGTGGGGAGAAGGGCTTTTTTCACCATATGCTCTTCTATGCCATTCGAATTTTTGCCCTGAGCATGTATTACTTCTATAGTAATTAAAAAGTAGTTATAACTAATTAAACTTAAAGGGAAGAGAAGGAGCAAGCAGGAGAGAGAGGCATGGCTGGAAGGGGAGAAAAATTAGGTCATTTGGGTAACTGCATCCTGAAGACTATCCAGGCCCTGCCTGAGAAACTCAGAGATCTGGTCTATACTTTATCTTCAGTCACACAGGTTGCTCTAGTAAAGAAAACTTAAAAACTATTTCACTGAACTGGTGACTTTCAAAATAAATTACTTATTTAACTAAGAAAAAACCTCACATCCATTAAACAAGGCAACCCCTAAGCCACTTGATTTTCCTTCCTGTGGGTTCAGCCCACTCAGTTGAATGTGCTGTGGATGTTAGCCATTGAGTTTCTTTTGGTTCCAAAAAAAGTGTGAACAAGTGTTATCTATTAAATATTACATGTGAGTGTGAACGCCAGTGTGGACGTATCCCATATTTGCAGATCAGAGATCATGAAGACAGTGTTTGTGCATGAGAACAGACACAGTCTTTCACAGAGCTATGTGAACATGGTCTGTGCTGGGGTTACAGGCCTGACATATCATGATTTTTCATTAACGGCACTTGTTAGAGAAACTTCCTTGGGATAGGAGCCTGGACTCCTCTCTGCATCATTCGCTTGTCAATTCCCATGATGCCTTTAATAAAATTATCCAGTTCAGCCTTTATTACCATTTTTTGTCCAGCCAATCCCCAAATGAGTTTGCTTAAACAATAAATTATGAAAACTCCGATCCATCTATTATTCAATCATCCTTCCATCTACCAACCATGGGTCTTTCCTCTTGTACATTCATCTGTCTATATGTCTACTCATCCCATGAATCTACTTGCTGTCCATTCCATCATTTGTTTCATTCAGCCATCTCATTTCATGGCTATAATCTCTATCAAGCCAATCCTGCCATCCATGCATTCACCCTTCCACTCATCTTTCCATTCACTCATCCATTCCATCCATTGATCCCATCTAGCCCATCTATTCTTCCACTTTACCCACTCATCAATCAAACACATCCTTCCATCCTAGTCATCCATGCATTTATCCATCCCCCCATCTAATACCCCATCCACTTATTCATTGATCCCAAATACCCATCAATGCTCTCTAGCAATCCATCCCATCCACCTATCCATTCTTCCATCACCCACTATCTCTATCCATCCCATCCATCCGTCCACCCATCCATTCAGCAATTGCACCTCTTCATCCCACCCCATAGCCTAGACTTACTTATCTCTCTGGAGGCAAAGAGACTGCGGCAAGCAAGGCCCAGTGAGTATAAGAAAAAAAAAGTGACTGAAACCTTATTACTTTTTCAACAAGGCCCACTAAGCTCTTTTCACCAGAACATCTTTGAGCACTCTTAACAGCAAGTCTTTTTCCACACTTATATCCCTTCTCTTCCTCTCATGCCCAGATTCCCCCGCTGGTCTCTGACCAGCTGGGACTTCTAGCTACCAGTAAGAGTAAACACATCAGGCTCAAAACTACCCTGTAACCTCCAGTGTCCATTCTGGGCCCAGCTAACTATGCTCCCTTCCCTCCTTCACCCTTCTGCCTTTGAACTCTAGCCTGGGGTGAAGCCCTAGCCATGACACCAGCGCTCCTGGCCCAGTGTATAGCCTGTTCCAGCCTGGCCCAACCTGGCCCAACCTGGCTAAAGCAACTCACAATCCAGTGCTTCGACTGAAGACTGTGCTTTCCAATTGGGAAGGCAAGGAACCTAACATGTAATAGACACCTAATACAAGACAGGGACTTGTCAAGTGCTTTCTATTTGACACCTAATTTCATCTTCCCTGCAATTCTCTGAGTTAGGTAAAGGGGCTCAGAGGAGAAACTGCGTTCACAGAGGTTAAGTAATTTGTCTAAAATCACACAGCTGCTGAGAAGCAGTATCAGAATTCAAACCCCAGTCTGACTCTAAAGCTTCAGCCTTGCCACTCCAACAAGCTGCTATTAAGAGGACAATTTCCAAGCTAAACCAAGTAGGGGAAACCAGAATGATAAGCAAGAAAACATCCCATTTTCTGAACTGATTCTCTAACCAAGAAAACACAATCATGTGAATCATAAGTTGTAGTATTTACTAAGTGGTAAGTCTATGTCAGGTGCTGGCTAAACAAGCTTTCTATTTATTTAAAAGAAAGTGAAGTCCCTTTTATGATCCTTCTGGGGGGTCCCTCCACATACTATGGTTAAGCAGGTCCCAGATCAAGGTTTTAAGGGTTTGAGGCATGTACATTGTACTTTGGAACTGTACGATTTCCTCCAGGAGAGGGATTTGAATGACAGATGTTTACCTTGATCACAAGCTTGTCACTAAGGTAAGGAATCTCATATGTTTGCAAATATGTAGAAGTTCAAATCCTGCTACACCACTTGCTGTGTTACTGCAGCCAACCTCCTTCACCTCCCTGAGCCTCTGTTTTCTCCATCTGTAAAACGGAGGTGGTAAGAGTAACCATATCTACAGGACTGTCAAGAGACTTCAATTAAGATTCTGATGTAACAGCTTAACTTCTCTCTTACGGTTGGCCACTTATTTCATTTTCACTTTTTCCCTCTTTTGTAAGTAATGCTATGCATCTTCTACATAAATGGTTGACTACATGTCTGATTATTTCTTTAGGGTAAATTCTTTGAAATGAAATATCGAGTCCAAATATATGAATATTTTAAAGGCTGTTGATAATATAGTGCCAAGTTGCTTTCCAGCAAGTTTGTAACAATTTACACCCCTACAGGCAGTTTATTGAAGTGCCCATCACACTGCACCCTTGCCAGCATATACTCCTTTTTTTGAAACAATTTTTATATATTTTTACATACACATTCATATATAACCTTGCATGAATGCATAAATATGATCTTCTTGTGTATCATATTGGGATTTCAGTGAAATTTTATTTTTATTTTTCCTTTTCATATTCGACTTCCTCTCCATCACCCCCCATCCTCACCTAACCCCATGACCCACTAACCAACACTCACTCCTAGGCAACCCATATTGAAGTCTAGTTTTTATTTTCCCAAATCTCTATGTTTTCTTATAAAACCACATGCATACTACTACCATTTGAATGTTTGTCCCATCCAAAACTTGTGCTGAAACTTAATCCCCAAAGTGGCAGTATTGAGAGGCAGGGCCTTTAAAAGGTGAGGGCCTCTGCTCTCAGGGGTGATTAATCCATTCATAGATTAACGGGGTAATGGGTTAATGGATTAATGGGTTATCATGGGAGTGGAAGTGGTGGCTTTGTAAGAAGAAGAAGAGAGACCTCCTGGACTGGCACACTCAGCCCCCCTCACCATGTGATGCCCTGTGCCACCATGGGACTCTGCAGAGAGTCCCCACTAGCAAGAAGGCCCTCACCAGATGCAGCCCCTCGACCTTGGACTTCTCAGCCTCCAGAATTGTAAGAGATAAATTCCTTTTCTTTATAAATTATCCGTCTTCAGGTAATTTTGTTCTTTAGAATTTTGTGGTTATTCTATTATAAGCAACAGAAAGTTTGTGGCAATTTTGTTATAGGCTTCAGATTTTTGTGGTAATTATGTTATAAGCTACAGAAAGCAGACAGAGTCACAAACATAAACTGACATACCCACATATACACATTTACATATACAGTAGGGGTTTGCCATTGTTTGTTTCCTTAAAATTGTACCACATTATACAAACTTCTCAGCATCTTTCTTTTCTCTCAGTAATAATGATGTTTCCATTAAGTGAAGGAATAATGTCTACAGAGTACTTAGCACAGCGGCTGGAGCACTGAGTACATCTTATTCATTGTTGTTGTTGTTATAAATTAAAAAGACAAACTGGCATCCCTCCTAAAGCTGTGAGATTCATGGGTAAAGTGGCTCCCCTGTCCTGCCAGTCTTGTGTGGGAAGGAACAGGCAAAGGCAATGTTTTACTAGAGTTGTGCATGTCATTTCCATGGTCCCTAAATCATTCTTCATATTAACTAATGGCCTACTATTTGCCAGGGACCATCCATGGTCCAGAGGTAGGATAATAAGCAAAGCCAGGCAAAGTCCCTGACCTCCTGAAGCTTCCAGTCTAGACAGCAAGCTTGATAATAATAAATTAATGGCTTTGATCAATGTATCATGATCAACTGAGATAAGTTATCCAAGGGCAAGACACACAATTCTATGAGAATGATTTAGACTGCGGGGGCAGGGGGCCTTCTCTGAGGAAGTGAAACTTGAGCCATGGTTAATGCAGTGAAAGGGGAAGATAATACTCCAGACAGAGGAATCGGCATATGCAAAAAAACAAACAAACAAACAAACAAAAAAAAACCCAGCGGCAGAAGAAAGCATGGCCCTGTGAGCTTGAAGGGGACAGCAGGCTGAAATTCTGGCTCTCCGAGCAAAGGCACCGCCACTTGCAAGCAAGGCCTGGCAAATGTCTAGAGAACACCTGCAGCCTCACCAAGAGCTTCAAGGCAAGTGTTCTCCCAATGCCTCGGATCCCACTGTGTTTAGCAGGTCCCATCACCTTGGCAACCACGAGGGAGTACCAGGCCAGGCCTAGGTAAATGCATCATGTATATCATCTCACTGCATTGTTACAAAGGTTTTGTGAATGAGGCACTACTGTTCCTGTTTTAGAGATGGGGAACTGAGGCCTAAAGAGATTACTATGCCCCTTACACAGGCTAGTACCAAGCAGGGACAGGATTTAAGCCTGGGTCTCTCCCAATCTCCAATCTATGCCTCTGAGAATATAGAACAGAGAACAACACTTTTCTCTGAGGTCCTAAGCAAAGATTTCATACCCTCCTCCCAGGGTGACTTATAAGTTTTTCACGTGGGGCTGGGATTTGAACCCAGCTGGGCTAGCTCCAGAGACCAGGCTCATAATCACTTCCCACTGAACAGCCTTTCCCCTCCTCTACAACCTGTCCCCCTCCAGCCTCACTTCCTGCAGCCCCAGCCACCACACACACACAAGGAACACTCGAACACACAGAACTTCTCATTTCCTCCTGTGAATATAGGGCCTTTTGAGGTTTGGAGGCTCTTCCTGGGATACATCCCACTCCTTTCCTCCCCTGAAAACTACCTGCTCCACCTTTTAAGTCCCATCTCAAATGTCACATCACCCAACAGTGAACCTACCCATACCCCCCACCCACCCCCATACACTGGAGTTATTAACTCCATCTACTGGGTTTTCATGTCTTGGTTCTCCCTCTGTATTCATTCATTCAACATCCCATAAATATTCATCAAGCCCCTACTATGTGGAAGACACTGTTCTAGGAGTTGGGCATACCACAGAGAACAAGATAGACAAGCTCCTTGATCTCATGGGATTTGCTTGAGAAGTCAGTAAATGTTTCAAAATGCATACATCCTATGTTGGGTGGTTCTAAGAACTATGAAGGAAGCCAGAGCAGGGTAAGCGAAGGAAGGGATTACTGTGGATGAGGGGGTTGAGGAAACCTCTCCAAGGAGGTGACGTTGGAACAAGAATTTATTGAAGTGATGGCTGGGCCTTGTGGCTACCCAGGGGATGGAGAGCCCCAAATCTATTTGCATGCATGCCCCAACACCCAGTGTGTCTGAGGAACAGCAGAGAAGCCACTGGCCGGAGCAGAGTAAGCAGGAGCAAGTCTTAGGGGGATGAGGTCAGGAAGAAAATGAGGGGTGAGCACATGGAAAGGACCTTGACTTATTTCTGAATGATGCCAGGGGAATGAATGATCTGCCTAACCATGTTCAAAGCTCTCCAGCTGCCAGGTTGGAGGAAAATGGAAATAGGCGAGAATGCAAGGAGGGAAACCAGGGAAGGGTCCAGGCAAAAGAAGAAGATGGCTCGGACCCTTGGGTGTGATGTGGGTGGCACCAGGGGCTGGGATCCTGGATTTATTTTGAAGGTGGAGCCAACAGGATTTGCTCATGGCTTGATGTGGGGAGAGAAGGAAAGGGAGAAAGAGGTATCAAGGGTGACCACCAGGTTTCTGGGCACCACGTTGCACGGTGACTGCTCTGATGTGCCTCCCTCATAGAAATGTGAGCTCCTTAAGGCAGGGATGCTGTCTTCCCTCTTTGTGACACTGTACAGGGCCCACCCCATACATGTTTGCTGCATGTGTGAGTCATGAAGTGTCCCTAAGCAGCTTCTCTGAGCCATTCTTTTGCTGCCACGGCCTTTGGGGAAGAGATGGGTCATCCTGTCCTGGCGGCCCCCTCAGTCTCCAAATAGGTTATCTTTACACATCTAATAACTACGAGCAAATGGGGGTACACTCATCCAGAGATGAACGGTCTGCAGGATCAAATCAGACAACTTGTCCTTGGAGCCAAGGCCCAAGATCGGCTCTTCTCTGCCCCCTCAGTCTCCTTTCAGAAGCCACCTGGTGCCCCAGGAGACGCAAGTCCTGAAATTCAGCTGCAAGCACCTTACAAGCCCAGCGGAATTGGCCTTTGCAAAACCCTGGTGATCCCGTCACCATCTCTGTTCAAGGCAGGCAGAAGGCTGTCTCCTTTATAGAGATGAGAAAACGAAGGCCTGGAAAGTGGCAGGGGGTGATGGAAGAAGAGAATGGCCCCCTCTCTCCATCTTCTTGCATGAAATTGTATCAGGAATGAAATAGTGTTCCACTCAGCAGCATGGGCTTTGGAGTCATGCAGCCCTGGATGTAACTCCAACATTTACCAACCATGTGTGACTTTTTGTGACATTACTTAACATGATTGAACCTCGATCTGCCCCTCTGCAAGATGGGGATAATAATGCCATCTCTCTTACGGACCTGTTTTAAGGTTTATATTAGATGGTGTATACAAAATGCTTGGCACAGAGGCTCATGGTAGGGACTCCATACATGAAGATGATATTATCAGTGCTATTATTATTGAAATGGTTTGTGATTTGTGCCACTGCTGGACTCTATCTAGGGCTGCGACATTGTGTGCTGTGTGGAAACAGCTGTAAAAACATGATTAAGAAACCGCATGTGGATGCTGTTATGTGGTAACAACAGTCCCAGCTCCATCCTTTACCTGCTGTGTGATCTTTGGGCAAGTCATCTTATTCCACCAAATCTCAGACTATGTCTATAAAATGAGAATCATTATACTACCTACCTTCAGTGGGGTCTGGAGCCCACTGAATATGATAATCATATAAAAATCTAGCACAGTGCCTGGGTACAGCAACGTGTTCAACATAATCAGAGTCAGAATGAGACTGGCACCTCACGGGTCCCAGTGCCTGTCCACCCAGAGCAGCAGCCTCCCAGGCCATTAACAATAATAGCTTTACCAGGTGAAAAACTTGCGATTGACTCTTCTCAGTCTTTTCTACACTAACTGCCCCCTAGACCTCCAGGTCTCAGTTTAACATTGCCTCCTTCAGGAAGTCATCCCTGATAGGCGCTGGCTAGACTCCTGACCTTCCTGTGTGCTCCCATAACCCCTCTCCTTGCCCCGTGTTAAACTTTATTGTGATGCTCACCACATTGCTTTTAAATTATCTGTGTAATTATCTGTCCACTCTGCAGGTGATATATTAGAAAGACTGAAAGCTTAGGGGGATGTGGGCCAAAGGACAGATCCCATGCATGTCATCAAACTCTATATCCCAGAACCCAGCATGGTATCTGGCACAAGGTGGTAGCTCAACACAACTTGGTTAAACATATACACAGATGGGAGAAAAAAAGAAGGAAGGAAGGAGGGGAAAAGTCTTGGTGTTGCTACTGCTTTATACTAGTAACTGTCTCTGTCATCTCCAGCCTGCTCCTCTTGCCTTGGGTCTATTATTCAAGTCAATTTTGGCCCCTTGTCTGCAAAGCAAATGTGTGATGCCCGGCCCTAATCTGACATCAGTTTCTATCAAGGAGTTAACCAAGGAGAATCAGGTCTGACTCCAGAGCTGATGCATTTTAAACCATTGTCCCATTTCCTAACAATCCACCTAGTTGAAATATATTCTCCATTTACTCTTCCAGGGGACAATGAAGGGTAGAGAAAAATTAACAATTTATTTTCTTATTTAAATATGCCACAGAGATAAGCGGGCCAGATGATCAATGTCTTAGTCAACATCTCCTCTCAGTCTGGATAACAGCTTTGAGAAACCTCCAAGGCTGTCTGGTATCTACAGCTGAGTCCAAGGTGGGTGGGGCTCCTACCATTCCTCTTGATGGGGTGGGACAGGTCCTGCCTGTCCCAGTTACCTCCAGCTGCAGGCGGTGCCAACCAGCTCAGGTCCAGATTCACCATGCAGTGTTAGGAGAGAACATGTTCATCCTACTCTTGTCTCCACAGAGGGGAATGAATTCCCAGTCCATGCTCCAGAGGACCAAGTACCAGTGGCACACATTTTTCCAGTCTCTCTCTGACCCTTAACTCTCTCCCTACCTTGGAGGAAGAGTGACTTGTCCAAAGGGCATTTGTGGGGAAATAACTTGGCATACTTAGCTCAGCCCCAACCCACCTTGCACCCCCTTAACTTACCCAGCAAGCCTTGCTCCTGTGAGGGAAGCCTGAGGCTGTTTCCTTTGCTGGTGAATGAGTGGGTAACTTCTTCAATTCAAGAGTGATGTATTAACAAGACAATTTTGCCACATATCCAAAGCCATGTCTTCCAATCAGCGTTATCGGTAAGGTAATGAAGCTGACATTTTGATCTCTCCATGTGACTCCTCTTGTGTTTTTTAGGCAGTTCATTCCAAACTTGAGAGGGGAAGTAAGGGAGGGGGTGTTGAGGGTGTAGAGGAGAAATTGGACAAGAACGGCATTCCCTGCCTGGGGTTCCCAGACCCCTGTGGCTCTTCAAAGGCAGTAATGAGAGTTTGTGAGCTATTTTCAATATTTCAAAGAGCCTAACAGAAACTGCATTTAACCGCGATCAAAATGCACAGGCCAAATAAATGCCAAGTGTCTGCTTTGGGCTGGAACTATTCCCAATCAGTGAGGTCACACTGCCCTTTGTCCACTCTGATCGGTGAGACCGAGCTGTGGCCCTTGGGGGACACCAGAGGCTTGCCAATTAAGGGATGGTGGTTCCCCAACCCCTCCGCTTGACTGCATGAGAAACTTTAGCCCCTTGGCAAGGCTGCCTGCTTCTTTGAAAGAGGAAAGTGAAATGAGGTGCATTTGGGGGATGAATGAGGGTAGCCTCAATCTTAGACAAAGTGAATAAGAATGAGGTCCTAAGAAGATGCCTTTTCCCAGGGCCAAAGAACAGAACCACCCAAGTTAGGAAAGTGTATAGCTCATGGCCTCAACTCAGACCACATATGGGGGATAAAGGAAAGTCGAGGCCATAAGAAGTTGGGAGGGGCTGAGGTTCTGTACCAGGACAGCAGAAAGGCAGGAGGGCTGCATGCCTGCTTCTTTGAGTGGCACCTCCTCACTCGGCCATGGCTTTGCCCTCTTGCTGCCTGGAGGGGTGGCTCTGAATGCAGCTGAGAATGCTAATGAACCTCCTCCCTGCCCCTTGGCAGCATCTCCCAGTGTAATTTTTGTAGGGTAGGTGGGATCTGGGGAGAGCTGATCTGTACCAGCAGACCTGAAAACACAGAAATAGAAATGGGGAAATGAATCCATGTCCTTCTTAATGAGTGCAGCCTGGTAGAAACAGTGCCTTGAAACACAAGACTCTTGGGAGGAACTCAGAGAACGGGAGAACATCCCGCGCCATAACAAAGTTAGGTTGTGTCGAGGAACGGGGAGGCATTTAGGAGTCTTTTCCCCTCCCCATGGCAGTCTCAGCACACAGAGGAGAGGGGGACCTCCTTTCTGCCCAGGCTAGGGAGGGCTTCCAAGGGACCAGACGCCTGTTCTACCTGAAACTGATGAGTAGAACAAGCCCCCCATCATTCTCGTGCCAAGAGCTGGCTGGGAAAGTGGACACTGAGGCTTCTCGAGAGGCACAATCCTAGCCCTAACTCTGCAGATGTCCTGAGTGCTCCATTCTCAAGATTTAGATTCATGGTGAAAGGAGGTGGAAAGCTCCATTCAGCCTCAACAGGCCAAGCCATGTTCTTCAACATGATACACCAAAGACCAGTAATTTGTGTTTGTTTAGAGTCAGGGTCTCACTCTGTCACCCAGGCTGGAGTGCGATGGCATGATCACTCCTGGGCTCAAGTGAATCTCCCACCTCAGCCTCCCGAGTCACCAGGATTACAGGAATGTACCACCAGAGCCCAGCTCAGGACCTGTGCCCTGAGGGGTATCAGGCACACGCCTGGCTATTAATAAATGAATCAGTACTTTTCCCTTTGACCATTATTCTAGGTCTTTACCCTACTCATCAGAGCCCCAGCAGGGAGCAGGTGTTAGTGGCATATCAGTTTAAGCACCTTCCAAAGCCAGTCTTAACCCAAAAGCTTCAAACTCTTTGCCAGTTCTTCAAGAGGTACCAACTTCTCATTGACCTTTGTCTTGTCCCTCCTCTTCCATTCTAAAGAGTAAAGTCACTCCCTTTGTCTGACTGAAGCAGGAACCACCTATTGGAAGAAGCTAGGACAGATGTGGGAGGCCATAGCCCTGCCACTGCAGTTGTAAGAGTGCTATGTTCCAACTGTTCAGGAGAAAAGGGGTGAGTTCCAAGCCAAGCAAAGATGCAGAAAAATGCTTGAGAATGATTTGAGAAGTAAAATCCATAAGATGTGGTTAGTGAAAGGGAGCAGAGAGGGGTGGAATTCCAGGATGAGTCCCAGGTTTCTGGCTTAGGAAGATGCATGACTGTGAAGATGCATGAAGCAATTCATAGAGGTGGGCCACAAAAGTTTGGGAGAGTAAAGTTTCTGGGGGTGGGAGAGAGTCATATAGGTGACAGCAGGAATGAAGACTTCAGTGTGTGGAGTGGGGAGTTATGCGGTTCTGGAGTTCAGGAGCAAGGTCTTCATTAGAGACCTAAGTATGGAGAGTCTCAGCATTTGGACAGTGGCATGAAAGCCATAGGAGCGAATGAAATAAAGGATAAGGCCTGGCGCGGTGGCTCATGCCTGTAATCCCACCACTTTGGGAGGCCGAGGCGGGCGGATCATGAGATCAAGAGATCAAGACCATCCTGGCTAACATGGTGAAACCCCATCTCTACTAAAAATACAAAAAAATTAGCTGGGCATGGTGGCAGGCGCGTGTAGTCCCAGCTACTCGGGAGGCTGAGGCAGGAGAATGGCATGAACCCGGGAGGCAGAGCTTGCAGTGAGCCGAGATCGTGCCACTGCACTCCAGCCTGGGTGACAGAGCGACACTCCATCTCAAAAAATAAAAAAATAAAAAAATAAAGAAATAAAGAATAAAAAGAGAAGGTCAAGGCAAATGCTGGAAGCTCCAATATTAAAGCAAATGTTAAGTGGGAAGGAGTGATGGGCAGTGTCAGACGCTGAAGAGGGGGAGGGGAGGGAGGAGGATGGTCAGAAGGTCAGGAAGCTTGGCTGTGGCCAGACTGTGGAAGGTCTAGGAGCCGGCAGAGATGCTTGGATTTAGTAAACAGGAAGTCATGTGGTGCCCTAGGCTGGAGCACCTCCCCCGGAGTGAGGAGGGTGTAAGCCAGGTAACAGGTGCTGAGAAATGAATTGGCAGACACCATCTCAGGAAGTATGGCTGGGGAGGAAAGGAGAGAGACGGGGTGACAGCCAAAAGTGGGTGCAGTCAGGGAGGGGCTGTTTTTTAGTGTATTATTAAGACACAAAGAAAGTGTGTGCATGGGCTAATGGGAGGGAAACAGAGGGGAGGGAGGAGTTAGAGAAATGGGGCACAGGGATGCCAATTATGGCAGTGACGTCCCTGCGTAACACAGGGTATGGTGTCCTCAGCGCTTCCCTGCACAAATTCAGCAGCAAGGCTCACGCAGCTGTTTCCTTTAGTGTCAACTTTTCTATGAAGTAGGACACAAGGTTGTTCAAGAGAGTGAGCGGGTGAGGCTGCCACAGAGATGAGAATGGCCCCAGGACAGAGCCTGTGGTCCAGAGTGGTCGAAAGCCAGAGGCAGGACACTCTAGGGACTGAGTTGAGAGGGAGGGGCCCACAAGGGCTGGAGCAAGAGTAAAGAGAGGCACAGCATTGGGTAAGATGAACTTCTAGGTTCAAAATCTCGTTGAGGCCCAGGGACACTGGGAGGGTCCAGATCCATAGAAGTCTACCCCCTTGCCACCTACCTGATCCTACTTTCTGGACTAATCGGCTCATTCTTACTAAGGTGTTAATGGCTAACATTTCCCAAAATATTTAGTTCTAACAGTGGCTTTCAAACCAAAGATTTCAGTAATAACAGAATTTTCCTGAAACACAGGCAGACACAGAGCAACTATCTCATTGCTCCGCATCAAAAACCTCCACCGGCCCCTTGCCCAGTCTCTCAGCAATCCTTCACTCTGAAAAATCTGCCGTAATTTGGTGCAGCAACAGAAAACAAAAGGAAAATTGCATCTTTGCTGCTCCCGAAAGCAGTCTCCAGCATGTTCAGTTTGATCTGACAACCACTTGACGTGTAATTCATTCATTCATTCATTCATTCACAATATTTATTGAGCATCCACCATGCTGCAGGTACTGTGCTACATCTGCGGACACAGCAGTGAACAAAAGGGCCAAACCCCCTCCTTCAGTGGGGCACAGACTCATCAGGACAAAGGGGCAGGAGAGCTGCATGCTCTGAGCCAGGCACTCTGCAAGCATGGACCTTTACAAGCATGACTTTGAAGTCAGGATTTTTGCCCCATTTTACTAATGTGAAAACTGAGGCCAAGAATGAACTAGGACGAAGGTTTGCTGGGGTCGGCCTTATTCTAAAGTCTGTGCTCAGAGAATGCACCGCCTAGTGCTTCTCAGACTCTCACAGGCACAGGAATTGACCTGGGGATCTTGTTAAAATTTAGGTGCAGTAGGTGGCGGATGGGGTCCAAGAGGCTCCATTTCTAACAAGCTTCCTGGCAAGGCCTTGAACCACACCTCAGAAGCCAAGGGTCTAGTGTTTCCCACACTCATCTGGTCATGAAACCTTTGCCCTCCCCGAGCATTTATTTACTAGTCCCTACTTTACTTCCTCAAACCCAAGGAATGAATGAAACCCCAGGAATGGCTGAATAAATGAATGAATGCCATCTCTGGGCCTCCCAGTGTTACTGTGCTTCCTACCTTCACAGCCCTATTTGCATAACTGGCCATTTGCCTCAGTTTCCCTGCTGAGCCCCTTGGGTCCTCACTGGGACCACAGACTCTCTAAATACCCCTTCACTGAGCTAGGGTCCTTCTACCCTGCCTGCTCCCCGCCCTGGGTCCGAGGTCCTGTTCCAGCCAGGGAGAAAGTGAAGGCTGGACCCTGGCCTCCTCAGCCCCACCCTCTGTAGCTTCCTCATCTCCCGGCTGGCTGGCCTCACCTCAGCCTGCCTGCAATGCCTCATCCTGAAATGCCAGCTGCCCCCCACCAACAGGCCCGAAGAAAACGGCATTTCAGTGCTGTGTGTCTGCCCTTCAGAGAGTATTAAATCCAGAATAATGGGAATTAGTACACGGAAGAAGTTGAGGATAAGACTCCCCTGAGTGTCCTGATTTCTCACCTAACAAATCCAGGGCTGGAGGAAAGACTTAGTGATTCAGGAGCTCCAAGCTGTCAGGCCAACCCTCACCAACAGCCCTTTTGTGAAGTGTATTAAGCAGTTTAGGAATGCTAATGCGTGCCTTTGGGGCTGGTGCCTTCCCAGGCTCTTCCAGGGGGCTGCCTAATCTCATCAACACAAATCTGGTCAGCCTGGTGACAACCTCTGGGCTGCTGCACTCCCTGGGAACATGTCCTTATGGCACCAGCACCAGGGCTAATTGTAAAGGAGGGACAGAGGGAGGGGAAGGCGGTGCTGCAAAGGTAGCCCAGGTGTGGGCTGACTTGTGGAGGCAGAGCCTTTGCTCAAAGACACCCAGGACCTGAGCCCTTCTTCTAGTCATTCCTGAGTGGGGTTAAGACCAGGGTCATCAGAAGGTAAGCAGGAAGAACTCATTAAAGACGCAGATCCCTGCACCCTGCTCTCAGATCCTCTGATTCAGAAAATCAGAGGAAGACCTGGAAATCTACATTTTTCTTCTTTCTTTTTTTTTTGTTTTTTTTTGAGACAGGGTCTTGCTCTGTGACCCAGGCTAGAGTGCAGTGGTGCAATCATGGCTCACTGCAGCCTTGACCTCCTGGGCTCAAGCAATCCTCTTGCCTCAGCCTCCTGACTTGCTGGGACTACAGGCGTGTGCCGCCACCACACCCAGCTAATATTTTTATTTTTTGTAGAGACAGGGTATTACTATGCTGCCCAGGTTGGTCTTGAACTACTGGCCTCAAGCAAGTCTCCCACCTTAGTCTCTCAGAGTGCTGGGATTACAGACGTGAGCCACTGCACCTGGCCAGAATCTACATTTTTAACTGGGAAACCTGTACAGTGGTTAAGCCTATGGGCTCTAGAATTAGACTAGGTTTAAATCCAGGCTCTCCCCCTCCCTACTTGTGTGGTCTTAGCAAGTAATTTAATTTCCTTAAACCTCAGTTTCCTCAACTGCAAAATGACAGAATTCTTAGGAGTTTTGTAAGGGGTAAGGGAGGAATGAGCAGCTCTCACTAAGCATAGGGCCTGAGTGTTCAACAAGGGACAGCCAACCAGGGACTGCAGCTCACGCTTGTAATCCTGGCCCTTTGGGAGGCTGAAGGGGGAAGATTACTTGAGGTCAGGAGTGCAAGACTAGCCCGGGCAACATAGCAAGACCCCCATTTCTACAAAAAAGTTTAGAAAAAAAAATAGCCAAGGGTGGTGGCATGTGCCTATAGCCCCAGCTACTCAGGAGGCTGAAGCAGGAGGATCACTTGAGCCCATGAGGTCGAGGTTACATTGAGACATGATCATACCACTGCACTCCAGCCTGGGTGACAGATCAAGACTCTGCCTATAAAAAAGATAAAAATAAAAACTAAGGGACAGCTTCCACAAGGAAGACTATGATGCTGATAAAGGGGGGGCGGGGGATGCAAACTTGACATCTCCCAAGCACAGCCTGCTGCTTTAAGTCTTTGTCTAGCTGCTCCCTCGAAGATATTCTACCTGCAAATTGCTCTCCTTCAACCGAATCCCTGCTCACTTTTGAAGAGCCTGCTGGCACCTTCTGAATGAAGTCTTCCTTCTTCCCCTCTCCCCCTCTGCTGTGCTTGGAGCTCCTTTGGCCTTTAGTAGCTTATAACTGTCCCTGGGGGAAGGAACTTGGTTTTAAAAGGTATTTGTGTCCATGACCCCCAACCCAGGGCCACTGCACTAGGTACTCAGTGAGTGTTCCATGAGCCAGTCCCAATGCTCCTAGGCAGACGGGAGCAGCTAAAGGCCTTAAAAAGCCACCTTGATGACAGAGGTATGGGGTTGAAGCCTGGTTAAAGAAAAGGCCACGGAGGGGAGGGTCCTGGCTGGGGTGAGGGTGGAGGCAGCAAGGTGAAAGGTCAGGAAGAGGCTCTCACAGATGGCAAGGCTGAGGATGGGGAGGAGGATGACTTACAATGAGAGGGAATCCTGGTTTCTTGGGAAGTAGCAGGACTAGGGAAGGGGATGGACAGGAAAAGAAAGGAAAAGACATAAGTGGAGGAGATTGGCAGAGAAGGGAGAGGAAAGGAGAGAGGCGGAAGGAACAAAAGGTTGACAGGCACACATGGCCTGGACAAGGTAGAAGATAGCAGGTCTCCCCACAGACAGCACCTGGAAAGGACTTGCTGACTCAGCCCAAGTAGGTAGACTTTCTATTTTTCTTTTATTTCTTCTTTCCTCCCTCACTCCCTTGCTTCCTTCCTCCCTCCCTCCCTCCCCCCCCTTCTCTCTTCCTTTCTTTCAGTCACATTTTTAAGAGAAACAGGGTCTTCTAATTCTGTCACCCAGGCTGGAGTGTAGTGGCACAATCATAGCTCACTGCAGCCTCCAAGTCCTGGGCTCAAGCCATCCCCCGGCCTCAGCCTCTCGAGTAGCTAGGACTACAGGCACATGCCACTATACCCAGCTAATTATTTATTTATTTATTTTTATACAGAAGAGGCCTCACTTTTTGTCACTTAGGCTGGTCTCAAACTCCTGGCCTCAAGCAATCCTCCCACCTCGGCCTTCCAAACTGCTGGGATGAGAGGCACAAGCCACCACACTTGGCCTATTTCCTTTCTAGATGGAAGTTTTGTGATGTTCTCATGGAGGCATGATGAACAGAACCATAACTTATGATCCATGATTCATGGAATGGGTTTCATGTACTTTTGACTGTTCACTCAGCTGTTTACCCTCCCTGGGAGGCCAGGGCACCAGGTAGAGGACTTGTGGAAGAAAAAGGATCCCCTCAGCCCCAATTTGCTGATGTGGGGCTCCAGGCACCCTCACCAAGGCCTGCCTTTGCCAGTAGCACCCTACCCTCATTGTGTTTTTTCAGAGACCTGTGGCTGCCGGCCAAGCCAGCCAGCCATCCCCCTTCTCCAAATCCTCCAGCCTCCTCAATGCCCTTCTTTGGTGAGCAAACCTTCTTCCAGACCTGGAACAACCCACTCTCACTCAACCAGGAGCCCATGCAGATGAACCTGCACTGTCGCAAGCCATTTCCTGCTCCCCTCTTCACCTGCTCACTCCTGTTGATCCTGCAGGTCTCGGCTTGAACATCCTTCTCTGGGAGCTTTCCTTGATCCCTTGTGTCTAAAGAGTTGTCCCTCTTCTTTTATAAAAATTGTGGTAAAATACATATAACATAAGTGTGCAATCTGAACCACTTAGAAGTATATAATGTAGTGGCATTAAGTCCATTCACACTGTTGAGCTAACATCACCCACCATCCATCCACAGATCTCTCTCCATCTTGCAAAACTGAAAGTCAGTGCCCATTAAATGATTAACTCCCCATCTCTCCCTCCCCAGCCCCTGGCAACCACCATTCTATTTTCTGTCTCTATGAATTTGCCTGTGCTAAATACCTCACACATCAGTGAAAGCATATGGTAGGTATTTATTTGCCCTTTTGTAACTGGCTCCTTTCTTTTTAATTTTTTTTTGGAGACAGACTCTCGCTCTGTCACCCCAGGTGGAATGCAGTGGCGCGATCTCGGCTCACTGCAGCCTCCACCTCCTGGGTTCAAGTGATTCTTGTGACCCAGCCTCCCGAGTAGCTGGGACTACAGGTGCGCACCAACGTGCCCGGCTGATTTTTGTATTTTTAGTAGAGACAGAGTTACACCATGTTGGCCAGGCTGGTCTTGAACTCCTGGCCTGAGGCGATCCACCTGCCTAGGCCTCCCAAAGTGCTGGGATTATAGGTGTGAGCCAGCGCACCTGGCCTGTAACTGGTTTCTTTCACTTAGCATGATGTCCTCAAGGTTCAGCCATGCTGTAGCAGGTGTCAGAATTTCCTTGCTTTTTAAAGCTGAAAGATTATCATATGGATATACCACATTTTGTTTATCCACTCATCTGCACATGGACACATGGGTTGCTTCCGCCATTTGGCTGTTGTGAATAATGCTGCTCTGAGCCTGTGTGTAGCTGCCTCTCTTATGTACACTCAGCACTGAAACTTGCCCATGTCCCCAGTGCTGCTGAGAGCTCAGGCGCACAGAGGCACTCAATAACTGCCTGCTGAAGGAGTAATCCTGCCCATTCTCTAGGTATAGCATCCATCCATTAAATTGTACTTTAACTGGGGCCTTCGGGAAACACAGGGCCTTGAGCCAGAAACCTCCTGTAGGATGTGGGGGCCCAGGATGGATGGACAGGAAGGTTCTAGAACTCCTCAGAGCCCTCTATACAGAGAGCCAGCCCTGCAAGGGAGTGGGCCCATGGGACCCCACCATGCTCTCTAGCTCATCAGTGCCCTCCTATCTCAATTTCTACCTCCCCAAAAACACTGATGGATCTGACTATATCAAAAGGAAGCATTTCTGTCCAACGAAAGCTGCCATATGCCAAATAGATGGATTAAAGACTAGAAGAAGCTATCTGCAACTTCTAAAATTAACAAAGGGCAACACCTAGACTATAAACAAAACTTCTACAAATCAACCGGAAGATTTCTAAGGCAAGAGATCCAATTTTTAAATGGGCAAAGAATATAAATAGGTAATTCAGAAGAAAAGAAGTTCAAACAGCTAACAAGCTTACTAGACTTAACAGACTTGCTAGTAATCAGAGAAGTGTAAATTAATACAACGAGATGGCACTTTACACTCCTAAAAATGGCAAAATTGGACAGGTGGCTAATATTAGGTACTCATGAGGACGTGGGAAGACAGAAACTCTTGGGCACTCTTAGTGGAAATGTGACCTGGCACACCATTTCCATGGTGCTCTGAAAAACATCATGGCAGAACATGAAAAATTAACACACTAACCCAGGGACCAAATCTTCCATCATATAGTCCAGAACTATTCTCACACAGGGTCCCAAATGGGAATGTACAAGGATGTTCTTCAGAACTTTTAGTGGTGGAGTAAGGGGGAGTTGCTGATAAGCTAGATGGCTATCCTCAGGGGAACAGATACGTAAAACGTGATGGATGTATAACTCATAATGCAATGAAGCAGTTAGAAACCACTGACTAGGTACACTCAATGAGCATGGTGAGATATGCAAAATATGGAGTTGAGTAAATAAAGTAAGAAACCAGATGAAATTTAGACTTCAATATCATTTATAGAAATAAAAAATACATATACATACAAACAACCCTACACATTTTATAAGGATCCAGGCTTTTTTTTTTTTTTTTTTGAGATGGAGTCTTGTTCTATCACCCAGGCTGGAGTGCAGTGATGCAATCTCGGCTCACTGCAAACTCCACCTCCCAGGTTCAAGCGATTCTCCTGCCTCAGCCTCCTAAGAAGCTGGGATTACAGGTGCACACCACCACGCCTGGCTAATTTTTGTATTTTTAGTAGAGACGGGGTTTTGCCATTTTGATCAGGCTGGTCTCAAACTCCTGACCTCGTGATCTGCCTGCCTCAGCCTCCCAAAGCGCTGGGATTACAGGCGTGAGCCACCGCGCCCTGCCTGGATCCATGCATATTTGAAGACATATATCAAACACATCAGAATGAGTACTTATTGGGATTGGGATAGCTTAGCTTCAGGATTGGGGATGAAGGGAGGCAAACTTTGTAAATAAGAGAGAAGTTTTGCACAGAGAGGTGATCATAAAGTGCTAATGGACTGAGGGTAGGATTAATTCAAATGTTACCCACCTGAGACTTGGTGGGGTGCAGAAAACAGAAAACGTCAACTGTGCCTTCCACGTAACTCAGGAAAACTGTCCCTGTAACACTGTCTTCTTTCCATGTTCCTTAGAACAAAATATCGTAGGAGATGTGAGTCCCAGAGGTTCTCGAATGCAGGGAATTTTCCTCTTGCTATAGTTAAAGGCCTCATTCAGATCTGGTACCCTGGACGAATGTGTTAGTGAGAGTGAAGCCCAAGCAGTCAACTCTCCGAGACTGAACTCACAGTGCTGCTGCCCAGGGGTGGGTGGTGGTTGGGGAAAAGGCTGTGACCAGGATGTCTGATGGGCTCTGGATGGAGATGGCTTGTTTCTTCCCTTTTGAGTTTTCAGGAGCAGTCCCACAGGCCACTGGAGGGTAAGAATGGATCAAGGCCAAGAAGCTCAGCAAGCCCACCCTCCTTCTCACCCCTGAGACCTGAAAAATAGCCTGGCAAGCTGTCTGCAGAGGTCGTGAGCTCCCCATCCCTGGAAAGCCAAGCAGCCCGAGCCCTGGGCAGGATCTCCCACTGGATGGGCTTAAACTAGAAACTTTTTTGGTCTTATTCTAATAGCTCTGGCTTCTCTTTGGACGCTTCTTTTTTAAAGAGCTTCCAAGTCCATCATTGCATAGACACACTGTGTATTATTATCCCCATTTTATAGGTGTGAAAATAGAGGCCTAGGAAGATGAAACGATTGGCTTCTGTTCACATAGGTGGTTAGGGGCATAGCCAAGCCTGGAAGGCTGAATTCCTGACTCCTAGGCCAAACAAGGCCTTTCTCCTGGCTGAGGATCTGCTATGAGTCAGCCCTTCTAGGAATGCACATATGATAAGGCCAGGAGGATAGGGCCACATAGGTCCCTGGCAGGAGGGGATGCCAACATTGAGATGTCTGTTTTCGTGCTAGGAACATTTTAGCATTAATTGAAAATAAACCATTAAACTGTCATCTCTTTCTTACTGCCAAGTCCACACACCATCACCAAGTCCCACCCAATCACTGAACTCTCTCCATTCCTGAAATGGCAATGGAGGAAGCAATGAAGGTTGGTAGGTAGACAGATTGAGGCTGGGGTAGGGAAAGGGTTGGGGTCAGGCAGCAACCTGAAGACAAACCTCCCGAGGCCTGAGTCGACTCTACCACACTTGCTCATCTCAGAAAGGGCCATCAATCATTCTGCACAAAATGTCTGCACATTCTCTCATAATATACTTGTATCTCAAATTTCAAAGTCTCTGCTTTTTCCCTTTACAGTTACATCCGTCACACTCACTTACTTTCAATCAATAAATAGATGTACCTACTTAATAATAGAACTTATTCTGTTTTCTATTTGAAAACCTTGAAGATGGACACATAATTTTTTGAGGTTTATGGATTATAATTGCACTTAATTGGTATAAATTAGACATTAGCAGGTAGGAAGGCTATTTGTGTTGCAATATAAGCCCTTATTTTCTGTTCTAGATGGCACAGGAGATTCTCAAGTAAATTTCTCAGAGTAATTTGGTGCTCTCAGTAATTTAACTATACATACATTATTTTTAGCATCATAAAAGTTCCTTATAATAATGATTTTTCAAGGGTGGGACTGACATCCCTTGAAAGACAAATTCAGTTTAAAATTTTCCAACAATACAAACACAAACAGGTGGAAAGTAAGAGAGTCTCTAGGAGAGAGACTCGCCCAGCAGAGGGGGCCATGGAGGTAAACCCCTACTCCATCCTCGGCTTTCCTTTCTGTGAGTGGAGCCACTGTGCTAGCTCTAGGGTAGGCACAATGTCTTTCTCTGATGGTGGACTTGATAGGAGCTGCCCTGGGGTTCCTGGTTTGTGCCAGGCATATTTTTCGGATGGTTTCCTGGTGGTGGCCACATGGGACTCCCAGGGTCTCCCTGAAGAATGATCCCTTATGGCAGGAAAAGGGAGCCTCCAGCATTTTAGGATTCATGCTTTATGGGACCAAAGGCTAATGGAGACTTTATGTCTGCTGGAAATTTCACAATTCAGGTGAGAAAGAAACTGACCAACGTTCACAAAGTCCTGGTCAGGAAGATGAAGATGCTACAACAATGTGAGGCGGGTCAAGGTATTTCCAGTGCCCTCCCTCACTTCCCATTTCCTCATGTCCACTCAGTTGGTGCCTATTCAATTGGTTATATAATAACCCCATCTTATCTCCCAGTCTCTTGTTCCAACTCAACCAACCCAAACCATCCCAATAAATCTGACTCACCTCTATCTCATGCCATTCTACCACAATACATCTCACCTCCCCTCCATCATATCCCAATTGTTCCATTCTACTCGACCCCAACTCCACCCACCCCATCTTATCCCATCCCACCCCAGTGTCTTCTAACACATTCCCTCCCCACCTCACCCCCCATCCCAGTCAATCCCCTGAATACTGCACACCCCACCCTCTCGATCCCATCCCCGACATCACATCTCACTCAATCCTATCCCATTCCATTCCATCACCTGTCTCACTCTATC
This sequence comes from Homo sapiens, assembly GCF_000001405.40. Taxonomy (NCBI): domain Eukaryota; kingdom Metazoa; phylum Chordata; class Mammalia; order Primates; family Hominidae; genus Homo; species Homo sapiens. Next base: position 34,157,732 of record NC_000001.11, read on the forward strand.
TATCCTGTGCCAACACATCCCAACCCACCTTTGATCCTACCCAACTTACACCTTCCTACTTGAGCTCAGTCTACCTCAAATTAGGCTGTTTCTCCAATCCCACCCCATCATGTTCCACTCCATCTCCTTCCCTCTCATCTGCTGTTTGGCTAAAGTTCACATTTGTGGATGTATAGTGGGTCATGACTATCTTTCATGTGACATTAAGCTACCTGAGAAGGCCAAAGGGGTCTCACCTTCTCCCAAAGCTCTAAGAACTAAGTGTGTGTTTGGGTGGGAGAGAAGAAAAGAAGATAAAGAATCTCATTTTTAGAAGAGGAGTATGAAAAGACAGTCCAGGAGATTGAGCTCTCTAGAGTCCAGGGGAAAAATAAATATGAGTTTCCTTTGTTTCTCTTAACTTACAAGAGTAAGAAAAGAGCTCTGAGAGCCACGCCATCATTTTCAAGTAGAGAAACTCCCACGTTGCATAGCCCACTCTTTGCTTTCTGTGGGTCCAAGGGAAAACCAAGCCCTTCTCAAAGCGAGTGAACCCTGAGACAGAGTCTTTGTAAGCATAAAGACTCTGAAATAATCCTCTATTTGCAGGTTCACCCCGATGTTCCCCTGTTGTTGGGGAAGCTCTCACGACACTGCAGCAGATGGAGAGGAGGGGTGCAAGGCCATATGCCACCCAAGGAGATAAATCCAGGGAGGGCAATGCAGTGCATTCTCGAGGTAGAGGGTTCTCCCTCCCTACCCTCCTGGATGAAGGGCACTGAGCTGGGTTGATGGGTTGAGTGAGGGGACCAGGTTCTAAGGTGTGTGCTTTCAGCCAGAGGAGCAAAGAGAAAAGACTCCCCCCACTGGGTATAGTGGTGCCAGAGAGTGGCAGAGTGTATGAATTGTTTCTCTTATATTTCTAAGAGGCTGGTGCTGAAAGCAAGTAGACCGTAGTTGTAGTAATAGTAATAGTATCTAACATGTATTGAATGGTAACAATGGGCCCAGCACTGTAACAAGGGCTTTCCAAAAAGATGGGCCCTAGGGTCAGGTAGACTTGAGGTTTAATCCCGCCTTCTTTACCTACCTGCTCTACAGCCTTGGCCCAGCTGCTTACTTTCTGAGCCTCAGTATCTTCAAATACAATATTACAGTGATAATTAAATGGTAATGTCTACAAAGCATTTAACCAGCACTCGGTAAAGGAGAGCTATTATTATTGTGCAGATGGGCCTGGGGCTGCCTCCTACTTGAAGATGCCCCTTAACCCGTTTCCAGTCTTCCCAGCCCCCAGCTGCCCTTGGGAATGCCCAACAGGGTGGTCTAAAGGAAAGGGAGCCCTGGGCTCCAAACAACCTGCCTCTGATTGTCTCATCAGCTCTGACTGTCTCATCAGCACACTTACTGAGTGTCCACTATGTGCTCTACACTGCCCTGCCTCAGTTCACAGTCCTTTAGGGAAATGAGACAGATAACCACCTCACTAAGCAAGAAATTCCAATATGTCCTGATGACTCTGACAACAAAGGAAATGTGAGGAGTTGTAAGAACCCACAGTAGAGTTCCATCTAGATGGGTGTTTGGGGCTAGAAACCAAGAATGACTTTACAGCCTGCCCCCCCCCCACCCAGGAGCTTGTGGTGGAAAGGAATGGACAATAGCTGCTTGAGGATTAGAAGTGTGGGATTCAGGCCTCAAAAGCAGCACAGTATAACTGATGAGGACAGCCCAGTGGGAAGAGCAAGGCCAAAGAAGGCAGCCTGGGCAGACGCTTCCAGGGACGTGGTACCAGCTGGGTCCCCAAGAAGTTGAATGGCAACAAGGTTATGAGTAAAAGATATGGCGTCAGCCAGGCCTGCATCCAAACTGTGGCTCGGCTATTTACTTAGTGCGTGGATAAGTTATGTGTCCTCTCTGAACCTGTTTCTTCATCTATGAAATGGGAATAATAATACTGCAGGCTTCACTGGGTTGCTGAGAGGATTGAGTTAATACATCCAAGTGCTTAAGACAGTGCCGGTGAGTACTCAGTGAATATGAGCTGTTATTATAACTCCCCTGGGTGTCCAGAACAGCTCTCTGAGCATGGTAGGTGGGGAAGGACATGGTGAGGGCACATAGACTTCCTGGCTGATTCCTTTGGCCCCAGCTTCTATTTAATAGGCACATTCGATGAGGTATGGCACTGGACTCGTTGCATCTCTGGTTTCTAATCCTTCCAAAAACTCAGGAATTACTTGTCCTTTTTACAGCAGGGAGACTGAGCCCTAGAGAGGCCTGAAGATCAGCTGGGTCTCCAGCAAGGCTCTGCGGAGCAATCAGGTTCCCTTAATCCTGCTGGCGTGATGATGAGGGTGAAACAGGCAGGTCAGGCACATGAATGAGGGTGAAGGGGGTGCTGCTGAAGCTGCCTGCTGGGCTCTGCCGGAGAAACCCAAACCAGGCAGTGTCCAAGACCCTGCAATTTGGTCCTCCAGTCCCTGGTGCATGATTCTAATCTCACCTTCAACAAAGCCACACACTCACCAGCCCTAGATATGGTGGGCACTCTCCGCTGCAGTCAGCTCATTTTTTAAAAACCATAAACCCTCAGCTTGATTGCAAATGGAAATTCAAATTCATACACACACTGGTGACTGAGTAGTGAAACGCCTTTCCTTGGCTCAGGGTTGGAGGAGAGTGGTATGCCAAGGGCTTATTGTTGCATTGGTTCTAGAACCTAGGGAACTGTAACCAAACGGTGATACTTAGTTGTGGGGAAAGGAACAGGGGACCAGATGTCTTTGTCATCTTATTACCTCTGCAAACCAGCTGGCTTCCTTGACCCCCGATTTAGTCTTATCAGTCCTTGGAAAACTCTCCAAGAAAAAGAAAACTGTAAAAATCATCTGATCAAACAGCCATACATCAAGCACCAATTCTATGCCAGAACCTGAGCTGGATATGGGGATACCAAGAGAAATAAAGCACCATCCCTGCCTTCAGTAAGCTCACATTTTAATATATAAGGCAGACAAATAAATGCTTTTTAATACAATTCAGTTTGTACTACAGTAGAACATTGAGTACAGTCAGTGCTCTAGTCTACAAGAGGCTGACTAAAAGCAAGCACTCAGACAACATACAAAGCAGGGGAAATTTTTTTAATTTGGCATTTGATTTTTTTAAAGCCATGATGTAATTGGCACGGGAAAAATCAGAACTTTGTCAGAATTCCATCTACTTAAACTATCTACTTATAGTTTAATATTGCTTTTTAAAAATTAGTTAGTAAGGGAGTGGAAGGCATGATAGCTTTTTCAATGCTCAGAGCTCCTCAAGGAAAGTAGCTAGGTTCGAGAATAATTGAGGATATGAAACTGACAGAATTTGATGACCATATGATAAGGAAGGAGTTGAGGATAATCCAAAGGTTTCTGGGCTCCATAACTGGGAGGCTACAGGAACCACCAGCTCACAAAGGAAATACGGGAGGCTTAAGAAAGAAGCTAATAAGATTGCTCTGGAAGGGAAATATCTAAGTGAAGATGTCCAAGGATCAGCTGGATACATGGGTTACCTAGACCCAGAATTCCCATGGACCAGGAAGCCAATAGATGAATTTCAGGAGAGATGTCTTGGCAGAAGAGATCTGTCTGGAAGCTTCAGAGTGTGGTAGTGAAAGGGTTGGGCAAGGATGAGCTCACCCAGAGAGTGGTGAAAAGGAATGGGAAAAAGTACAAAGAATTAAATGCTGCAGGACACTATACTTCAGGGAGGGGAATAAGTGTTAGTATTAGAGACTGAGAAGGAACACGCAAGAGATAGGAGAAAAATCAGTAAAACATAGTGTCCCAGAAGCCCAAGGAAGAGAAATTCATCCAAAGTGGCCACAGCCACAGAGAGATAAAAGAAAATAAAGATAAAGTACAATGTATTTGGCAATTGAGGTGGTCATTGGTGCTCTCTTCTAGAGTGTTCCAGTGTCATCCTGGAGACAGAGGTTGAAGTAAGGAGTGACGGGTAGTAGAGAAAACTGACATGAAGACCCCTTTGAAGAGAAGTGACTAAAAGACAAAAAGAGATGGGGCAGTGGCTTAGATAGGTCAATAGGGCCAAGAAGGCTTCTTGGCTTGTTTTGTGGTAAAGATGAGCCTGTTCACAGGTCAAAGGGAAATGTGTTTTAAGAAGGGAGGGTGGCCAGGTGCGGTGGATCACGCCTGTAATCCCAGCACTTTGGGAGGGCAAGGTGGGCAGATCATGAGGTCAGGAGTTCGAGACCAGCCTGACCAACATGGAGAAACCCCCCTTCTCTATTAAAAATACAAAATTAGCTGGGCATGGTGGCATGCGCCTGTAATCACAGCTACTCAGGAGGCTGAGGCAGGAGAATCACTTGAACCCGGGAGGCAGAGGTTGCAGCAAGCCGAGATTGCGCCATTGCACTCCAGCCTGGACAACAAAAGAGTGAAACTCCCTCTCAAAAAAAAAAAAAAAAAAAAGGGAGGATGATTGATAGGGACAGCAGGTAATTGGTGGGAAGTCTCCAGGGAGGCTGGGGTGGGGAGGGGGAGGGGGAGTGCAAGGCAGGACAAGGACTAAAGGGGTTGAGGGGAGAAGGTATGGGTGGGTGAGGAGACTCCCCTTTTTCAAACTATTTTATTCATTTATCCAGTGATCACTGAGCCGAGGAAGGGAGACGGTTCAGTCCTGAGCATCTTTTAAATTCAACAGTGTGAACTGAACACAAAATGAATGTGTTTCCCCTTCTAATGTACCAAATCCTGCCGATCTTCTGTCACCAAGTCCATTTCCAAATCTCTGCTGCCTGCAAGGCCAAACAGCCCATCTAAAGGCGGGAAAGGCTTAAAAAGAAATGTACTGGGCTGGGCGCGGTGGCTCACATCTGTAAGCCCAGCACTTTGGGAGGCAGAGGCAGGCGGATCACCTGAAGTCAGGAGCTCGAGACCAGCCTGGCCAACATGGTGAAACCCCATCTCTCCTAAAAATACAAAAATTAACCGGGCGTGGTGACGGTCGCCTGTAATCCCAGCTACTCGGAAGACTGAGGCAGGAGAATCGCTTGAACCCAGGAGGCGGAGGTTGCAGTGAGCTGAGACCGCGCCATTGCACTCCAGCCTGGGCGAGAAGAGCAAAACTCCGTCTTAAAAAAAATTTAAAAAGAAAGAGAAGAAAAGAAAAGAAATGTACTGGAAGCTTGCAAGCCAGAGCAGGGCCTGCCGGAGAGGAACTACCCCAAGCCATGAACACAAGGCCCCCTCCCCGCAACTTCTCTACTGAGCAAGGAGCTGCGAGCAAATGGATCTCTATAGGGCAGGATTCCAGCACCGCTGAGCGGTGCAAGCGCCGGTGAGTCGGCCTTTTTCTCTCCCCTAGGGGCAGGATATGCCCAAGGGGCAGGGACAAATCTAGCCAGAAAAACAATTCAGTCCGATGCCGAGACATTCTCCAATCAGCTAAGCCAGAGACCGGCCTCGCCTCAACGTACGTCCGGGAGGCCTGGCGGGAGGTAGCAGCGATTCCCCCACCGCCCATGTGGCAAGTCTGGGTGACCAGCAGCGTCGGTATGCACAGCCTCCCAGTGGGTGTGGGTGTGCGAGAGGCCAGAGCTCCCAGGCGCGCGCACCGCGGGCGCCCCTCTCTGGGTGTCGGTGGCTATGACTCTTAGCAGAACCTAAGAAAGTCCCGTCAGCTAGGAATGAGAGAGCCAGAGCTGGCTCGGGGCGCCCTCCCTGACCAAGAACCCCAACATGCCGCGGTTAAGCGGTGGGCGACACGGTCTGCGAGGACAGACTCACAAGACGCTGAAGGCCAGAGTGGGCCAGAGAGCTCGCCACTCACTGACCTGCCAGAGGAGAGGCGCACTTTCCCAAGAAGGGGAACTGGGGTGGTCCAGGCCAAGCCTTCAGAGGTTCAATCGGTGGTTTCAAAACAAAACAAAACAAAACAAAAACAAAAACAAAAAAGAAAACACGGCTCCAGGTCGAAGGTGCCCTAGGTCTAGGCCTGGCCAGCAGGTGTTTCGGTTTCTCCCCCAGTGGGTGTCAGCCTCGCGGGCTAAATGAAAATGCGGTTCCAGGCATCCCGGTTTGGACCCGTCTCCACCCGGGCACACGGAACTTTCTAGCTTGTAGCTAGAACTGAGCTTCGGAGGGGTGCTGTGGGTAAAGCGGGAGGGCACCAGTCGCGGCCAGTAGCCTCCACAGGGGACCGGGTTCCCTCGAAGGTTCGCGTACCTCCCCCGCGCGCTGCAAGCTGCAGCCAGACACCCGCGAAGTTCCGGGACTCTCCGCACCCGCTAGATCTGCCCCTTCCCGGACTCGGTCGTCGGGAGCTGGTCCCGCCGCCCGCGCCGCCGCTGCCGCTGCCGCAGCCGAGGCGCTCGGCTGCAGCAGGGCGCGGGAAAGGGCACTTTGGCGCGGAGTGAGCACCGAGGGGAATGTGGCAGCGCGAAGCCTGGCGGCGGCACTCCCTCCCCCGCCTCGGGCTACAACCCCCACCCCCTCCTTCCCATCCCTCAACACCCTCCAGCCCCCACCTGCACCCTCCTGCAAGGAATGCGCGGGACCCCCACCGTGGGCACGCGTCCACCTGAACCCCCTCCTAGCTCCGAGCGCCGAGGGAGGGGTAGCATTTGAGGAGGGGGATGGCGGCCGCAGTCTGCAGTCGGTTCCAGAGGGGGCACCGGTTTCAATTGGAGAAAATGGGCGGGGGCAGGGAAGGGCAGACCTTGCAGACGCAGAAATGGGGAGGGGGCGCACGGTTCCTCTCCAGCCCCCAGGACCAGCGTGCCTGGCAGAATCAGGAGCCGGGGGAGTAGGGCTCCCGGAAAGTTTATCGGGAAAAAGCCTAGCACCGTGGGGGCTGGGAGGCTGGAGAAACTGAAGCCACAGACCAGGTGCCCCGCAACCCCGGGCGGGGATGTCTGTCTCCCAGGCCCCCACACCGGCCGCATCCGTCCAAGTTGCGGCTGGGGTTGGGGCAGCAGTGAGGGTGAGGGTGGAGGTGAGGACGTGGCTGAGGGTGGGGTGGGAGACGGAGGCAGGGATGAGAATGAGAGTAGGCAACTGGGAGGGTGGGAGATTCAGGCAGGGATAGAGGCGGGGGGAGGGACTGGGACCGGGTCGAGGATGGGTGGGCTCGGGGCTCGGGTGGGGCGCGCGGCGGCCGCTGGCTCCTCGGCGCGGCTGGACTCACCCGCGGCGGCCGAGACGCTGAGCAACCCACAGCCCAGCAACAGCAGCAGAGGCGGCGGCGTTGGCGGCGGCGGGCGGCCCCAGCGGCTCCCGGCGCCCGGCACAAGCGCCGAAATCCCGGTTTCGCCGCGAGCCCTCCCCGCGGGGCAGCCGCAGCGCCCCAGCTCCCGTCCCCGCGAGCGCGGCATGGCGCGGCCGGCAGCGCCGAGGGAGAGGCTCCGCTCGCCGCCGAGGAGAAAGGAGGTCAGGAGAGCTCTGGAGCTTTTTTCTGCTCGGAAAAAATCCCGGTACGCGGGAGCCCTGAGCTTCTGCGGCTGGAATGAACCAAGTGTCCGCCCGGCCGGGGAGAGGCGCGCTGCGCTCTCGGAAATGACTCGCTCCAATCCCGCTTCGCGGGGTTCGCGCCGGGGGGCGGGAGGGGGTGAATTATCCCCGGATTAATCACTCCGGAGCCGCTTCTCCGCCGCTCCAAATGCTGGGGGTGGAGGCGCAGCTAAGGATAAAATATTGGGGGGCGGGGGTTCCTCTTCAGCGCCACCTCCACCTCCAGATAAACCACAAATTACATCTAAAGGGTTGTTTATCCGTGTCTGTTTTGCAATTGACCAGTTTCTTTTAAGTTCAGTCCTCCTGTTTTCATTTATAACATCACCCATTAATACACCCCCCTCTCCACACACACACACACAAACACACACACACACACACAGTGACAGAGACACACGCACTCACACACACAGGCACATACACGCACACCTCTTCCACGTTTGGAAATTGGAATCCTGTCTGGGAAAAGGTAACCAAAGAAGGACGCGTTCCCCAAGTCTTGGCTCTTACCAGCTGATCTTGGGTGGTGGCTTTGAACTTGCCATCTAGGGCCGGGGGCGATGCTTATGAGCCTCATTCACAATAGCCTCCTACCCCATCCCAGGAGAGGGGCGTGTGTGCGTAGACAGAGGCAGGGTTAAGAATTGGAGGGCGGTGGAGGGGGGTTGTGTGTGGGGTGGGGAGGGGGGGGAACCGGTTCATTTGACCCAGTGCGGTCCCACTCCTACCCTAAGACAAAAATCTCAGGGTGGCAGAGGCGGTCCCTGTGTGCACGCGAGTTGGGGGTGGGGAGTGAGGTTGGTGGAAGGACGGTGCAAGAGTTACTAGTACAATTTATCCCCAAATTTAAATAATCGGATCCTACTTCTTCTTCTCCCCTTCCTCCTCCCAGCCAAGGCCCCAAACCAAGAGAGTTCTTCCCAAGGACGTGAGCTGCTCCCCACCTCTCCCCAGTAGCGGCTGCCTCTAGGCCCCAAGGGCTTAGTGTCGGTCCCCACCCCATCCCCCACCCGACTCGGTCGCCGTCTCTGTCTCGTCTACTCCAGGCTTCTCCGCCAGTCACGATGGCTCCTTCGCTGTCTACGCCAAACTCTCGGCGAGAGGGAAGAGACGCTTCATGGGGGGAGGCTGGAGGAAACTGGGAGGGGCAAGGTCCAGAGAGGAGGCTTCTGCTGGCGCGTGCAGTGGAAAGGCACCTGCGATGGGCACCCCCGCCCCCTTTGCCGACACACCCCAGAGAAGCTGTGCTCCGGGCTTAGGGCAGCCTGATTTGGCCAAAACGGAGCGTTGGCATCTGTGTGGCCAAGGGGGCAGTGGCCGGCGGGCGGTGGGGCCTGAGAATTTCCGGGGAAGGGTGTGGAGAGGGACTGTAGGGATGGCGAGCCAGGCTGGGGGTGGCTGGCGACCCAGGTTGGCCGGCTGTCAGCGTGGCCAGGAATTTCCATCCAAGGAAGGGTGTGAAGAGGGGCTGTGGAGTTGACGATATGAATTGGGGGGCGGGGGCAGGGCTGGAGGAGTGGAGGCTTGTCCCTACTCCCCATGAAAAACTTCCTCCCCAGAGCCACGCTTTCGCAGCCTCCTAGATGCCACTCTTCCTCCCTCCCCCCACCCCAAGTTGTTCCGGTTTCCCTGCATGAGCTCATCCCACAGCTGGGGAGCCAGCCCGGTGGCCCTGGGCGGGCGAATCTCCTCAGAATCGCGGGCCTGGTCCCCACCCCCAACACGCTTGTATGCCCGCCCCTCCCGACGCCGCCTTGCTGGGTGCCAAGAACCAACCGAAGCAGCCAGAACTCCTCAGTGAAAGGCCTGCTTTATGTTCCCGGGGCAGTGAGGAGGGGGCTTCTCCCTTCCCATTGTCCAGACTCAGCCCCCGAAAGAGAGGGCTCAGCCTTCCCACCAGCCCTGGAGAGGAGGAAGGGACTGACTACGCCAGCAGTGAGTGGTGGTGGTGGCCTTGGGGGCTGTTAGCTGGGCTTGCCTGGGGGTGGGCTCCTGGCTTCTAAGCTCCGACTTTACCCCTCTCTTGGAGGCGGGGTTCTCCTCCAGAGAAAGGAACTGGCAGAGATGCCCAGGCCTCCTGTGCAGCCCACAGCTGGGCAGAAGAGAGTCTGGGCTGCTCTGTAATTCTGGGGCTGCAGGCCAATGGGCTTTCTCTTACCCTCTTCTCAGCTCCAGAACTTTGCTCTGTGGCTGCAACGGGCAGATGAGATTTACCCCCAGAACTTTCCCGGGCAAAAGGAGCGTTTGTCATCCTTCTCCCTGGGGGCTGTGGAGGGCAGGGCACCTATTTTATCCCTGCAAAAGGCCCAGTTACTCACATCCTCCGCCATTCCTGCTCTCTGATCTATTTGGGTCCACGTGCTTTCACTGAGCGCCTCCTGTGCTCGGGGGCCCTGAGCGAGGCTGTGCTCTGGGCCCTGCAGAGATGCACAGTGTGTGGTCCTGCTTTGGGAGGATGCAGGCCAGAGGTGGAAACCCACACGTAACTGATACCGTCAGACAGCGATAATCACCATGACTGAAGAACCGGCATGCTACCGAGAGGCATGTCAAGACAGTGAGCTTTTCCTGGACTTGGGGGATCAGAAGGCTAATTTAAGAAGGAAAGTAGGATTTGGTCTGGAACCTGAGACATGGATAAAGACCTTGAAAAGATGAAGATTCATTTACTCAACAAATATTTATTGAGCATCATTATGTGCCTGGGTGCTGTGCTAGACAATGAATATACACCTAGTGCACAGTCCCTGACTTGATGAAGGCAGAAAATATGTATACAAATACACATAAAGTTACTAATTAAGGATGCTACAAAAGGAAAGTTTATGGTGCTAGGAGAAACAATATGGGGATGTGCTTTAAGGAGATGGTCTGAGAAGGCCTCTCTGAGATGGCAACGGTGGAAGATGGGATCTAAAATTAAGCAAGATGCTCAGGAGGCTAAAGCCAGAGGATCATTTGAGCCCAGCTGTTCAAGGCTGCAGTGAGCCATGATCACACCACTGCACTCCAGCCTGGGTGACAGAGCCAGACTATCTGTCTATGAATTAATTAATTAATTAATTAATATAATAATAGAATTAAGCAAGGCAGCCATGCAAAGTTGGGGAAAGAGCTTTTGGTATAGTGAGCACAGGCAAGGCTGTAAAAAGGAAAGGGGGCCAGGAGGAGGAGGATGGGGCTGGATCCAGGTAAGCAATGGGAGATAGGGAGTGGGGCAGATCACATAGGGTCTATTAGGGGATGGCGAGGAGTTTGCATTTTATTCTTAGCCAGTGAGAAATAGAAGGTGTATTAATTTGCTAGGACTGCTGCCACAACAAAGTACCATAGACCCTGTGGCTTAAAAAACAGAAATGTATTGCCTCACAATTCTGGAGGCTGGAAGTCCAAGATCAAGAGGTCGACACAGTTGGTTCCCTCTGAGGCTTCTCTCTCTGGCTTGTAGATGGCTGCCTTCTTCTCCCTGTGTCCTCACATGTGTTCCCATGGTACATATCTGTGTCCAAACTTCTAATCAGGACACCAGTCATACTGGATTAAGGCCCAACCCAATGACCTCATTTTGACTTAACTGACTTTTTAAAGACTCTACCTCCAAATAAGGTCACATCCTGAAGTACTAGGGGTTCGGACTTCAACCTATGAATTTGGGTGGGGGGGCACACAATTCATTCTATAACAGGAGGAGATGACTTTTCAGATGGAGGGAGGAGAGAGATGCTTGACAGTCAGAAAATATATGTAAAGAGATATCTGTTTACATTTATTTTCTGTGTATAGCATGGCTCCTTTAGTGAAAAGTAGACAGCTCTGAATATGAAAGGTAGGTTTTCATTTCTGGGAAAGAGACGCCAAGTGATGTGGCCTGACATATACTCTAACTTCTCTGTGAGGAAAGGGTAAGAAAGGAAAGGGTACCACTTAGAAGACTACTGCAATAGTCTGAGCCAGGAAACATGGGGGCAAAGGCAGAGATGGGGACCCTGGAAACATCTGCAGGGCAATGGAGAGGCAGGAGTCAAAGACATAACAGCCTACCCGCATCTAGCCTAGGAGAGTGTGGGTCTCAGCCCAGCCCCAAGTGCTGGCTCCCTGCCTGCCCCTCTCATTCTCCCTGTGAGCAACAGGCAGTCGTGGGTTGAGGTGTCTTTACAATATCACATTGCAAAAAAGCCCAATGCAGTCTAGTGACTAGCCAAGATAAGCCTAATATCCAGATAAAATCAGAGTTTGATTTAGAAAGAATACAAGGCCTGATGCTCTGGAGAACTCTGCCTCATTCAAGGAGGAGCTGTAGACTTGATGCCCTGAAATTTTCATTCTGACCCAGGAAAAGATCAAAAAGCCTTCTGAAGCTGAGAGAGAGAGAGAGAGAGAGAGAGAGAGAGAGAGAGAGTGAGCAAATGGGAGATTCTAGCAATGCGAGGGCAGAAATAGAGGCCAAGGGGCAGGCAGGGCTGCAGAGAAGGGCTACAGGACAAAGATGGGCTCAGAGGAAAAGCTTAGGATCCCAAATGGGGCACAATTTTAAAATCATGAGCATGATCAGGCCAAAGCGAGTATCTCCCAAGGGCGAGGCTATCACCATAGAGGTGGCAGTGATCTGCTGCCCAAGGAGTGGCGACAGAGGGGCTTCATGAGGAAAAAGCCCAGACCACACCAAGGTGAGGCTGTGGGCTTCTGAAACCAGGAGGGAGAAGTGAGAAGGGGCCCACAGCCTAGGCCATTCCTCTAGTGCTACCACATGCTGTGGTCACCAAATTCTGACATTCTTGGTGAAAATTCTTCATTTGTGTATAAGGAAAAAGAGTTCATGCCAGTGACAAAACAGGGTGTTAAGCCATTGAAATATTGGAGTTTGTTACAGCAGCTAGCAATACTTTTATGCAGGCTTGCTCATTTTTTGCATAGTATCTTGTGTAGTCATTCACTTACTCTTCACTTACTCTTTCATTCATTTGTTCATGCCACACTGAGCTGCATGTCAGAGTCTGTGCTAGGTGTTGAGGAAACAAATATAAAGAAGAATAAGACATTCCCATGGCCCCTGTCCTCAGGGGGTTGAGAGTTTATTGAGAACAGCGTTAAACAGCAAAGCATGATTGATTACTCCAGAAGAGATATAGCATGTGATGGAAATAAGAAGGGCTCCTAGCTCAGCCTATGGGAAAGGGCAGGTGAGAACCAGCACTTTCTAGGAAGAAAGCACAGAGTGGGCCAGCTCAGGGAGGGAGGACACAGTGTGTAAATCTGCAGCACTCACAGGGTACCAAGGAAGGGTGTGGGGTGGAAATAGACCTCTCTTCTGACTCAACAGTCTCTCCATAATTGCTGGCTTTCTTATTTGTCCCTGCTGGTGGATGGGCAACTCTAGGATGGAAACCTCTTTTCTCCCAAGTCCCAGGGTCTGTATTGTATCTGGCATTCTCTCTCCTCAGATGTCTCATAGGAGCCCCACCCCACCCCTTCCACCACAGCCTGCTCAGACCTGGGCTTATCCACTTCTAGTTCTCCACCCCAGCCTGCCTCTCTGCTCAGCTCCCCAATTCAGGGAACAGTTTCCACATCCACCCAGATCCTGAGCCAGAAACCTATTTATCCTGGACTCCCATCTTGCCCAGTCCCCACATCAAGCCATCACTGAGCCCTCCAGATTCTGCCTCCTAGACACCTCCCAGATTCTAACCAGAGTCCACAATGGCTATGTTTCAGGTTACTTACAACAACTGAGTAACAAGTGCCCATCTCTGCTCTTGCCCTATTCAATGCATCTTCCTCTCTGCCACCAGCTATCTTTTTAAAACACTCACCTGATTTCACAGCTCCTCTGTCTTCCCCGGACTTTCCCCTATGGCCTACAGAGTAAAATCCAAGCTCCCTGCTAGACCCTCCCTACAAGAGCCCCCATCATCTGTCCCTGCCAGCCCCTCTAGCCTCAGATCTCCCTATTCCCAAATCCCTCAGCTCTAAGCCATTCTGACACCCTTGCACTCTTGCAATGAGCCATGCTTTCTCTCCCCTTTCCCCTGGATCCTTCTGTGTTTTGTTCTCTCTGCCTAGAAAGCTTCCCTTCTCCTTCTGTGACTAGCCTTCTCCTATTTGCCCTTCAAAATTCAGTCCAGGTGACAGTTCTTACAAGCAGTATTTGTCAGTGCCATTCAGAGTGCCTGGTACATGGTGAACATTCAGGGAATTTTTGCTGGATGAATGGATAAACAGATGGATGGATGGATGGATGAATGGATGGTTAAGTAGGTGCTCAGTACTGTTTGTGGAATGGACCCAAAGGTATCTCTTCTAGACTTCATTATTTGAGTTCCTTAAAGAAATGCCTCCACTGAGTTATGATTTAATGTTATGCTGTCTTCAGAGAACCCTGATGCGAGAAACTGACGAACCTAACAGCATCTCTGTCTTTTATGAAAACAGAATTGCATATATTGCCCACTATGTCACTCAGTGTCCTTTATACAAGGACTCATGATAAATTCATGCTTGGGGTTATTTCCTGGAAACATTTTGTCTCTGCAGATGAAGATGTGTATTTTCTGCTGTCAGAAAACAAAAACTCTGCCACCCGACGTGTTTCCATTTTTGCTTTAGCTGACAAATAAGGATACCCAGTTTTATTGCCTTATTACCTCCATGAGGCCTGACCAGTTCGGGTGCTGGAAAGTAGCAACTGTTTCTGTTTTCCTTAGAGTCAGTTCTTCCTTTATTCTTTGATGCTGTAGTTTGTACTTTTTAATCTGAAAGCTGCCTCAAATCATCTCAGCAGTAAGGTAGAAGAAGTCTTAAGTGAATGCATTTTAGTGACCAATGTCCCGGCATGGAAGCTATGGAAGGAAGGGCAAAATATAAAGCTTCTAGCTGAAGGGTTTCCCATAAAGGGCCTCGCCAGGAATCCTTGGCATACCTATCACTACTGGGGTCTGGCAGAAAAACCAAAGCAGGAGGAAAGCCAGCTGAATTCTGACTTTGTTTCTACCTCACTGGACCACTACTGCCACCACCATATTCTTTTATTCTGTCATCTAGGACCTTCCTTTTCCCTAACTTTAAGTGGAGATCTCATAGGCTGCCATTTTTACATTGCTAGGCTCTCAATAACAATAGCTAGTGATAATCATAATTACACATTTCTTTTTATTGAGAGTTTACCATAAGCCAGGCACTGTGTTGAGAAGTTCACGTGCATTTCCATATTTAAACCTTCTTCCTACCCCAAACCTATTGTTTTTACAACTTTGCAGATGAAGAAATGTCAGAGAAGTTAAGTATATACAAAGCCACCTTTATCAAGTAGTAGAGTAGGAATTCCAATTCAAGTGTGTCAGCTGCCACCACCCGAGCTCTTAACTGCCTCCTCTCATGTGGGCAAGGAACAAGGCAATAGTAAGGGAAAAACCCCCAAGAAATGGCAGAGATCACCGATGGTGTTGCCAGGAGAGAGAAGCCACAGAGTCACAGCTTTGCTTGCAGAATATTCAAGGTTCCTTTTCAAAGTCCTAGAAATGGCTGGCTGCTCTGCAGCCCTGTCCTGTTGCTGAGACAACATGAGGGGGAGGCCCATTCCCATGAAACATGGCTGCAACCTCCTCTTCCTTTAGCTGTGATGGTTAATTCCCCAAGATATTTGCCTGGGATACTCCTATGCATGGATCCTGCCTCTGGGCAGTTTGACCCATTGAGCATTATTCGCATGGGAATGGGGGTCCCTCTGGGTTTTAGGGACCTACAAAAGCGTTTGAGTCCTAAATATTTTATGATTAGTCCCACAATACAAAGAAGAAAACTGCCACATGGAAATCAGTAAATATTTAATTAAATGCAGAGTATAACATTATGTCAACTTCATTAACTGTTGGATTTAGTAGTCATAAAAATTTCATTGCATTTGGTAACAATTTGTAGGTTGGAGTTTTCTCACTGCACAAGATTTCTCGAGTAGGCACTAAGATTGGTGAGAAATCACAGCCCATCACAAATTAAATAAATTACTCATGGCCAAAAACTTTCAAAAGCAAAATGGCAAAAATCCTTTCAATTTTCCTCTATAGCCAAAAAGTTATTTTTATGGTGAGAGGTGGGTGTGTTTAAAATATGTTAGATGAGGAACCTAAAAGGACCTACAAGAGTAAGCAGCCTTAGGGGCTATATGATGATTGTAAAAGAGCCTAGGCCATTCCCACGTTTCTGAGTTTTCCAGCCTAGCCATGTTTGTGTCAGAGATGAAAGCCAGATGAGAAGAGGCTTTGACTGGATGGGAGGTAAGGAGAATTGCCTCCTCCTTAGGCCTTCCTGGTTCCACAGAGAAAAGCTAAGAATCCCAGAATTCTAAATAATGATAGCCAACATTCACTGGATACATACATTAGCCAAGCTATTATAAGCACTTTACATGTATTATTTCATTATCGTAAAACAAGTCTATGAGGTCAGTATTTTATTGTCTCTGTTTCATAGATGAGCAAATGGAGACATTGAGGTTAAACCAACCTGCCCAGGGTAATGTAAGTAGTCAGGGGGAATTCAAGAAGTTTTCCAAGCTAAAAATAATTTACAGATTAAATGGTGTCCATGACCATTAAATGCTTCACTTTAAACTCTAAAAAAGACAGAGACCAAACTCCTCTTCTTCACTACTCTATCTTCAGCACCTCAAACAGTGCTGGGCATAGATACATGTGTTGGAGGAACATAACTCCATGTTGGATGGAAACTGGAATAAGTCAGTTTATATCACACTGCTCTGCACCAGGCACTTATGGAATGCTTTGCCCCGCCTCTGTCACTAGGTGATTCTGTCTAGGGTAGACATCTTTTTCATCATCTCTAATCCCTGTGTCTTTCACAATTTTGACCCATGATGGATGCTCAAAAATGAACAAAGCCTGGAAAGGCGTAAGTGATTATGTGAATTCGTTTCTCCATCACAGAACAACTTCCCCAGTACAACACAATTCTCCCTCTCTACACAAAACACAAAAGCTGCTATTCAGAAACTCCAAAGGCATGCATTTCAGTGTAATCAACAAGCAAACAACTGTATAACACGTTTATCTGTCAGTTGTTGTTCAAGGGACTTTCCATGTGTTAAGCAATTGGTTAGTAATAGAACATCTGTAGTAATTCTACAAAGCAAGTATTCTTCATTATCATCCCATTTTACAGACTAAGAAATCAAATGTTGTGGGCTGAATTATATGCTGCAATCCTAAACCAAATACCTCAGATGTGACTGTATTTGGAGATGAGTCCTTTAAAGAGGTAGCTAAGATTAAAAAAAAGAAAAAAGCCATTAGGGTGTGTCCTAATCTAATATGACTGGTGTCCTTTAAAGGAGTGATTAGGACAGGGACACATATACAGGGAAGACCATGTGAGGACATAGGGAGAACACAGCCAAGTGCAAGCCAGCGAGAGAGACTTCAGAGTGAAACTAACAATGCCAACATCTTGGTCTTGGCCTTCTAACCTCTAGAATGGCAAGGAAATAAAATTCTGTTGTTTAAGCCACACAGTCTGTGGACTTCGTTATGGTAGCCCTACCAAACTAATACACCAAGGCACAGAGTAACTTGCCTAAGCTTACATTGCCAGAAAACGTGAACTCAGAATCTGAACCCAGGGACTCTGGTTCCCGAGAATATGTATTTAATGATAAGAAATGTTCTCTGTGCTGTCCAATATGGTAGCCACTAGCCATATGTGGCTACTGAGCACATAATATGTGGCTAATGCAAATGAGGAGCTGAATTTTTCATTTAATTTATATAAAAATAAAGTTAAAATTAAAACAACCCCATGTGGCTAGTGGCTACCATATGGACATAGCTTTATACTATTTCTAAGTACATCACTTAAGATTTTTGCAGAATTTTCTAGAAATCTCGTCTGTGCACTCTAAAAACATGCTCTATCTTTGTTCCGTATCCCTGCTGTATTTGATTTTTTTTTTTTTTTTTTTTGCAGTCCTTTCTGATTTAGCCCCCGTTGCCTGGTCTCCTGCTGAGGGGGAGAGGGAACAGGAAGAGTGAGTGAGCTGGCTAACTTCCAGAATCCTGGGGCCTGGGCAGTGCAGGGTCGTTGGCGTTCTGCTCTAAGCTTAAGGTGTTAGCCAACCAAATGCCAAGCAGCACAAACACTGAGTGACATTTTCAGAACTATTAATATTTCATCAGAAATGATCACTTTTCCTTTAAATACACTATTTTAAAAGGTTTTCTACATTCTTAACTATAATTTTATTCAGTCTAGGCCCTCAGAATTTTCCCCAAAGGAACACATCTTCAATTTTGTAATGAAAATCAAAGGAGAATGAAGCTCAGATTTCAAAATTTAGAGTAAACATTTCCAGGAACTCAGCCCCTCTGTAAAGAGCAAGGTTGCGTATTGGGCACCTACTGTATACCAGGCACTTTACATACAGTATACCATTAATTCATCCAACACATATTTTTTGAGTGCCTACTATGTGCCAGAAACATGATCCTCATAATTTATTAACACCATTTTACAGAAAAGGAATTCCTCTCATCCTTCTCAAATTTTTCTCCTCAAAGAAGTCGGCCTGGACCACCATGGAATATTGCCTCCCCTCTTCTCCCCAGTGCCTCACTTTGTTACTAGGTTGGTACAAAAGTAATTGTGGTTTTTGCCATTGCAAGTGATGGCAAAAACCGCAATTACTTTTGCACCAACCTAATAGTTATTTTCCATCAGAGTCCCATTGCATCTGTAATTATTGCTGCTTTACTCGCTTGGCTGGTTTGCATCGATCTCTCCTCGCTAGTATACAGGCTCCAGGAGAGCAGGGACCATGCCATTTTTGCCCACCCTTATGCTTCTTCAGTGCCCAGCAACTCATCGGGCACAGAGGAGGGGTTGCATCAGTACTGGGGGAATTATGAATGGGGATGGGAGAAGTTCAGAAAGTTCTTAAGGTCACACAGCTCGGAAATGAGTGTCAGGATTCAACCCAGCCCTGCATTTATAGACTGCCATCTTCCTCTATTTGTGTCCATTCTTCTTTCTTCCGTCTCCACCCTCTTGCTTTTCCTTTTCAGGGGAATTGCTAGAGAAGCAACCCCCTGACTCTCGGAACCAGAAAGTCTCCCTCAGCAGAGGTACTGTGTCAGTGCCCAATTGAATGAAGCCGCTTCAGTGAGGGTAGGGGCCTGTTGATCAGCAAACAGCTAACTTAGCCCTTCTCCCTGCACCTCGGACCTCCTACTCCTGCTCCTACCCACCTACTGAAGCTGTCTCAGTGGTCAAGGGCTAGATCAGGCCTAGAGTGCTGGGGTCTGAGTCTCAGCTTCCCTTTTCTCAGGGGGCCTTGGACGCAATCCCTTATGACTTTGAGATTCGCTTTCCTCCCGTGTAGAACGATAATAAAAAGTGGTACTAATTTCACGAGCTTTAATAGGATTGAATGTGAGCCCAGCGCTTGGCACAGGGCAAGCGCCCCATAAAATGGCAGTTAGGATTAAAATCGAGGTTGCCGGGGGACCCCCAGGCAGGAGCTGAGATTTGTGTGGAGCGGCGAAGTGGGGCGGCGGCGCGTTTGGCTTTGACTTCTGATCCCCCGAAGCGCTCTGGGGTCCTTTGGGCCCCACCCCCACCCACCCCACCGGCGGGTCTTGGGCTCCGAACCCAGGGCGCCCCGCGCACCGAGCCGTTGCGTTTGAAACCCACAGAAAGAATTCCCCCGCTCGACGACGGCGAGGGTGTGGGAGCTACTGGCAGGCAAATTGGTGGGAGCCGCCCGGCCCAGCCTGCCTTGCCGAGTCAGCGCGCTCTTGAGCCGCTGGGCCCTTCCCGGTGCCCGCCTGGCAGCGCGGCGCGGCTGGGGCAGGGGTCTGCTGGGGGCCGGGGACTAAGGGCTGTGGGCCCATCCACACACGCCTCATCCCTTCTTTCCGGGGGCAGCAGAGCAGCAGCGGGAGACCGGGAGCAGGAGGGGTAGGGCGAGAGAAAAGCAGGACCTGGGCCGGGGGTGGGAGTCGGGCCGTTGACGCTCGCTCTGCGAGGGGCTCCCTGGGAACGCCCAGGCGAGCGCCTCCTGCGGGGCCCCGCCCCCCGAGTGCCTACAATGGTGCCAGGCCCGCACCCAGTCCTCCGCGTGGCTTAGCGGGACAGCATGGGCTGAGCCCAGGCGCCGAAAGTTGTCACGGCGGCGTCGCAAGGGGGCAGTGCCAGGGACTGTGGGGAGAGCCAGCCCTCCCCTTCCAGCTGTTCCCAGATGTCATTCTGCCCGCCCAGGCGCCTGGTTCCTGAGCTCCGCAGCATTCCACTGTTCCTAAGCTACTGGTTTTTGTTGACTTTTAAATATTTTCTTCTAAGGGAGAGGGGGAGGGAGGCAAAAGTCAGGAAAGAGCAAATAAAAACAAATCAAAATAAGCCCTCCCCTCCCCAAAAGAAAGCTGTCCTCCACCCACCCCTCCCACACAAATAGAAGGCCTCTGAACCTAACCACCTTGCTGGAGCGAAAGCCAGACAGAACTGACCCACTTCTGCCAAGCCCCATCCTCATCTCCCTTTCTGGTGAATGAGGGGTGGTGGTGGTTGTGTTCTAGCCCTGGGTGGACAGAGGGGCTTCCAGAAAGAGAGGAGGAGGATGGCCAGCGGGAATGGGCTTCCTTCATCCTCGGCCCTGGTGGCCAAGGGCCCCTGCGCCCTGGGCCCATTCCCCAGATACATCTGGATCCACCAGGACACACCCCAAGACAGCCTAGACAAGACTTGCCATGAAATCTGGAAGAGAGTTCAAGGCCTGCCTGAGGCCTCACAGCCCTGGACCTCCATGGAGCAGCTCTCTGTCCCTGTGGTTGGAACTCTAAGAGGCAATGAGCTCAGCTTTCAAGAAGAGTAAGTACCCCCCTACTCCATTGGCAGCAAGGGAGGAGGGAGGAGATGAAGTCTGACCTTCTGGGGGAATGTTCTGGCCCACTGTTGAGGCTGGTGAAACCCTAAAGGCTGTATATTGCCCCCTCCATGGTCCTTTGTCCAAGCTTTATAGAAGAGCTGACCAAAGTTCTGAAGTTTTGTGGGTGAAGAGTCAGATTAGGGCTATATTCCAGGCTGCCTCTTCACCAGCCCGTTAAGCAGACATTTCTCATCCTAAACGCATGTGAATCTGAGGTCCTTGAAAAACCACCCTAGCTAAGGCTAAGGGTTATATGGCTTGTGGCTTTCCCCAGAAGCAACTAGAAGATCCTTCCCCTCTCCCACCTAAAGGCTAGGCATTCACATGGATGAGTCTGATGGTTTTAAATCACATCTGGAATTCCCTAATACAGGGAGCAGCTGTCCCATTCAGCCTCCACAGAAGCTGCTGCAAGAGCACACATCAAAATATTTACTGGGAAGGCACTGACATATTCAGAGGACATAATAGAAAATTAAAGTGCGGGAAGATGGCTGTAAATAGCCCGTTTCCGGGATGGGAAATCCTGTGTCTGGGAAACACAGAGCTAAGTGTTTCTCCATCAGGGCAAAGTTGGGCAGATATTGTTGAGGATGGATATTCGAAAGGAAAGGAAGGAGCAGAGAGGAAAAAGGGAAATTAGGAAAAGAAAGTAAATCTGCTGTGGTTATTAATACCGCCGTTGAGCACTTACTTATTTCACGTTTTGCATCTTCAAAGTGGACTGTAAACTTAATTAATGTTCCCAGAGTCCCTGTGAGGCAGGTATTAGTGTCCCCATTTTACAGATGGATTAAGTGTTAATAATTAAGAGCTAATTAAAGACTAACCGATAATTAAGTGTTGCCTGCTCCAACACATGCTACAGCTCAGTTCAGAGATGCTCTGGAGTTGGGGAGCCATTCAGGCATTTATCAGCTGCCTCGGGTTTCAGGGATGCCTAAGCAAGAGCTAAGAAGAAAAGCAAAGTGTAAATGACACCCAGCTCTACACTACCTGCTGTCCCTCTGTGGGCTCATTTACTTACTGCAGATGAAGGTGGAAGGCACTTTGGCTAGTCCTGCCTCCCTGCCCTGTGCTCAGCATGACAAGGCTCAGACAGGAATGGCCCATCTACAGCTAAAATCCTGCTGTCAGGCCCTTCAGTGGCACTGAGCCCTTCTCCCCTGCTCATTGCCATCTGCTCTGGGACAGGGCCTTGGCAGGAGGGCCCATGGGGCTGTGCTCTGCTCTCAATGGCCAAGAAGCTGATTGTCCACTTTGTGGACCAAGGGTCAGTAGCAATTTCCAGTAGATGGCATCCTCTTTGCCAGGTCACACAGAGTTAATGGAGACAGACTCGACTTCCAGTCTGCACTTGGCTGAAAATTGAACTGGTGCACCTTTGGCCAGCTGCTTAACTCCATTTGGCCTTTACTTCCTCATTTGCAAATTGAGGGTGATATGTGCTGCCTTGTCTACCTCAGAGTTGATAATGAGGATCCAATGTGATGGGAGACAGGGAAATGAAAGATGCATTATACAAATCAGGCTGCTCTTAACATGTACTTCTTCAGGTTGGGATTTGTTGTTGTTGTTGTTGTTTTTGTTGTTGTTGGCTTCAATCTGGGGTTCACACTATGCTCCATATACCTCAAGGTGCTTCAGGGGTCACTGTGGAGTCAAGTGGGCTGGTTGCTGGGCCCCAAAATCCATTTCAGCCAGAGCTGTTTAGCTTTTATCAGTTTTACTTACTAGAGTTCTGAGTAGGGCTGAATTTGAAAAACATGTTTCTGCTATTGAGAAAAGAGATAGGAAACCAATGACTTAGACGAATAAACGACATCCTAATTGTCAACCAAATAGAACACAATGAGCTATTCTTAAAATAAAGGCGGTGTGCTGGTGGAGTCAGATAACTCTGGTTTCAGATTCCATTTCAGCCCCATGCCATTTGAAGAATTTGTTACTCTTTAATTTATCTAAACTTTGGTTTCCTCATCTGCCAAATGGAGATTAATACTATACATTTTGTAGGGTTGTTGGAATGATTAAATGGGATATTTAAACATTTATGGTAATAATTCAGATTTGTAAAAATTCCTTGCAATTCAGATGTGATCATTTCTTTAAGCTCTACAATTATTGCATGAGGTAGGTACTCTTTTAAACTTTCCATCTCTTTTTACTTTTTATTATGCAAATTTTCAAACACATAGAATAATAATATGGTGAATATCTATGTGTCTATCACTGAGTTTCAATAATTATCACATTGTGCCATTCTGGTTTCAATTGCTACCTCCACCCCTCCATTTATAAGTGAAATTACTTTTACAGATAACGTGGCTGAGGTTTGGAGGGGTTAATTTCTTTGCCCAAGCTCCTACAGTTAGGAAGTAGTAGAGTTTCAGAAATGAAACCCAAGACCGCCTTGGCCCTGAGGCAATAATGTCGGCTGTCCTGTCTTAGAATCTGGGGCATCTTTGAATAGTCAAAATAGTTGGGAGTCCCATATACTGAATGATCACACACAGAGTGAAAAGCCAGGGAGCTGTTCTTACTATTTCTAGAATGCCTTCAGGTGCACAAGATATCTCTCAGCTGGTCTTTCTGCTGCTTAATTTGTAGACCTGGTTTTGGTGGTGTTTTCTTGTATTGTGGTAGATAGGTAAGTGCATTCTACAATTCTTTTTGGCCAGAATTTGTTTTTCTTGACTCTGCACCTATTTATCATAGGAACCTAGACATTTCAAATTTGAAAGAGATTTTTGAAGCCATCTTCCGCTGCTCGAATCCCCTCCTTACTGTCCCTGCCAAGTGGTGCACTTGTACCACTTGGTACAGTTTATCAGATGGGGAGCTTACCACTTCCCTTTGCTGCCCCTTCCCTTGCTATGAACCCCCTCAAAATACCTTTTGCTTTCTATCACTGAAATATGTCTCTATCAAACTAATTCCCATTGATCTGGATTCTGCCCTTAGTACTCCAAGCCAAATCTATGTCTTTTTTCTTTCGATACCCCTTTGGATAGTGAAAGACAGCAAGACAGCAACAATATTCCTCCCAGAATGTTTTTGTCTCTATAAGCTAACCACCTCTGGTTTTCTAAGTTTCTCCCCATGTGCCAATTTGGTTAGTTTCCTGTCCACACTGTTGGTCCTTGTGGCAGTGTAACTTTGAAAGCCAAGTACAATAATCCAGGGGTGATCCAATCCATGCAGATTTGATCCTCCCTGTCTGCATTCTGTTTCCTGTTAATGACAACCAATACTACACTCACTTTTTTCCCCAAGTCGACTTTCACTCTGTGGACACATTTTCAATCTCTTAATTCATTCATTCAATTATTCATTCAACAGATATTTATTAAACATCTACTATATGCTAGAACTGTGTGAGAAACTAGGGGGATGGAGCTGTGAACTCCATTAATCCCTGCCTTCCTAGAGCTCACATTCTAGTATAGGAGAAAAAAGAAGCAAGTAAATACAAAAGCTATGATATCTTCAGAATGTGAAAAGAATGGTATTCCCAGTGGAGGAGACCCATAAGAAACACACAAAAATAAACAAGATAATTTCAGTGACAACTGTGATAATGGAAATAGAGCAGAGGGAAGTGATAGGAAGAGCTCCTTTAGTCTGGGTGTCAAGGAAGGCTTCTCTGAGGAGATGTGATTATCTGGGCTGAGACCTGGGTTCTAAGAAGGAGCCAGTCAAGGGAAGTTCTGGAAAGAACATTTGGGCAAAATGGAGAGCAAGGGCCAGGCATGGTGGCTAAAGCCTGCAATCCCAACACTTTGGGAGGCTGAGGTGGGCAGAACGCTTGAGCCCAGGAGTTCAAGACCAGCCTGGGCAACATGGCAAGACCTCATCTCTACAAAAAATACAAAAATTAGCTGGGCATGGTGGCACACACCTGTAGTTCTAGCTACTCGGGAGGGTGAAGCGAAAGGAACACTTGAGCTCAGGAAAGTCGAGGCTGCAATGAGCCAAGATTGCACTACTGCACTCCAGCCTGGGCGACAGAGTGAGACCCTGTCTCAAAACAAAACCAAAAGGAAAAGCAAATGCAAAGACTGTGAGGTGGGAGTGAGCTTTGAGAGGGACAGCGAGACGGGAGAGTCAGGAGGGATGGGGACATGGCCATGGTATAAGTATAACAGAGACAGGCAGGCAAGGCCTCAGGAGGCCTGGAGGATCACTGCGGGGAGTTCAGATTTTATTCCACATGTTATGGAACACTTTTGCAGGTTTTTAGGAAGGGGTGTGACATGAACAGATTCACTAATGTTTGAATCTCTGTCCAGCTTCTGTGTGGAGATGGTTTGTAAGTGTGTGGGAGAGGAAGTGGGAGGCCTCTGGGAAGATACTGTCAGAGTCCAGGGGAGGCCTAATGGTGGCAGTGGCTGGGTAGGAGTGACTGCAGTAGGGATGGAAAAAGTGGAGGATTCAACTGTGTGTTTTAAGATGAGCCAATGGACCTACTCATGATTTGGGTACACAAACAGACACATTGAGGCTCATGCTCTGCTTCACGCACGAGTTCACTTGACAAACAAGGATGGGGGCATGCATCACTATCAATGTGACTGGGGTGTTGAGACCGAACACTGGCAAACTCAAGGTGGGGAGTGTAGGGCCTCAGAGCAAAGGATTCCAACCTGTGGCCCATGGGGTCTCTGAAGTAATTCCCCAAATGCTGAGAGCTGGGAGGATGTCTTTCCGGCAAAAGGGTGTAGAGAAGCTTTCCTCAGATTTTCAAAGAGGTGTTGACCCCTCCAAGAGGAGAAAACACTAGCCAAGAGCATTAGACTCCAAAGATCTCCAGAGCTGGTTTCTAGTCTAAGACATCAGCCTGAGTTCCATGTCTGAGTCTTGTCTTTATCACTCCCATCACCAAGTTTCAAGCTTTCAAAATAATAATGATAATAAAAGAGGCTATGTATTCCAAGCTTGAGCCCCTGGTTGGACGGTGTGCCATTTACAAAGGTGGGGAAGAAATGGGGAGCAATGGGTTTTGGGGGAGAAATCAATAGTTCTGTCTAGTGCTGATTTAACTCCAAAATCTGGTTCAGTTATCTTTTAGTTAGTCTTAAGTTTGGGCTTAGAGAATTGTGGCAAGCCACTTATTCAAGGATTACTTATTCATTCATTCCCCTAATCTCTAAAACTTCAAAGCCTCAGAATGAGGTCTTTGGATTTGCTGTTGACTCCGTTGCCCTAACTACAGAATGACATTTGTTCATTTCTTCATTCATGAATTCATTCAACAAACACAATTGCCTTCGCAGTACCAGGCTGTATGATGGGTCCCAGGGACACAGAGATAAGCAGAACAGAAGCCTTTCCTCAAAGAGCTCCCAGTCTAGTGGGTGGCATGAACACAGATACATCTGACAACAATGACATTCAACAAATATTGCCAGGTGCGGTGGCTTATGCCTATAATCCCAGCACTTTGGGAGGCCGAGGTGGGTGGATCACTTGAGGTCAGGAGTTTTGAGATCAGCCTGGCTAACATGGTAAAACCCTGTCTCTACTAAAAATACAAAAATCAGCTGAGCGTGGTGGCAGGTGCCTATAATCCCAGCTACTCAGGAGGCTGAGGCAGAAGAATTGATTGAACCCAGGAGGCAGAGGTTGCAGTGAGCCGAGATTGTGCCATTGCACTCCAGTCTGGGTAACAAGAGCAAAACTCCGTCTCAAAAAAAAAAAAAAATTAGTATGCACCTATTACTGAAATGTCTGAAAAAAATACAATGGTGGAAAAGCTGGGGACAGTCTCTGACCTCCTTTATGAACTTTCAACATCTTGCAAAAGGCAGATCACAACACACTATAGTAAGTGTTCTGGTGATGAAGTGCCAGTGCCATGGAAGCGCACTGAGGGGACACATGACTGAACATTGTACTTGACTACTGGACTGGGCTTGGTACTTAGGGAAGTCTTCCTCTGAGGGAAGCAATCTGAAGCAGCAACAGATGAGACCCCTGCACTGTGTGATGAAAGATGCGGGTGTAGTCCGCAGGTAGCAGGGATGTCATGATTAATAACTGCAAAGGTTTCCATAGTTATGTCCCCCAGCTAGGTCTTGAGAAGAGAGAAAGAACAGCCTATGGAAAGAGCCCAGCAGCAGGCGCAGGGAAAGATGAGAAGTTACATGGGAGTGAAGTGTAGCATGTGTTAGTGACCGGGAGAAGGTGGCTCGAGCTTGCTGGGTGTGGTTGGCTTCCCTGGATGCTTCCAGGCCCTCTGTCAGCACCCAAGACTTTCCCATTTACCTGTCATAACAAACTTGGTCTGCAGAGTGGAAAGGCTTTGGTGAGCATTATTCCAAGCCAGACTCAGGTAGGGAGATAAATCTACTGAAATAAAAGAAATCTGTTTAAGCATTTTTTGAAAAACAGAAGTGGTTTATTGATTGGCAGCTTTCTGAGGCTATTTGTTGCAAGAAGGAAGAAGGCTTTTTTGCACTTATTTTGGTAAACTTTCACTGTTGGCTTCCATTGGCCAGTTCTCCACACTGGTGAGCAAGTGATATTTGGGAATCCACTCGGCTTCCTTGCTTGAATGGCTCTCCCAACAAACATCTCTTTGTGCTACTGTTATTTAAACAATTAGGTGAACCCGACTTCTCTGGAAAAGTTGCTTGGAATACATAGCCTCTTTTGTTTTTTTTGGTTTTTTTTTTAGCATTATTCTTTAAAAAGCTTGAAACCTGGTGATGGGAGTGATAAAGACAAGACTCAGATACGGAAACTCAGGCTGATGTCTCAGACTAGAAGCCAGCTCTGAAGATCTTTGGAGTCTAATCTCAACTAGTGTTTTCTCCTCTTGGAGGGGTCAATACCTCTTTGAAAATCTGAGAAAAAGCTTCTGTGCAGCTTTTGTCTGAAACACATCCTCACATCTCTCAGTATTTGGGAATGATTTCAGAGACCCCGTGGGCCACAAGTTGGAACCCTTTGCTCTGAGACCCAACCCTTAAGCAAGTGTCTCCCTCTCTCTTTATTTTACTTTATTTTTAAATTTATTTTTATTTTTTAGATGGAGTCTCGCTCTGTCACCCAGGCTGGAGTGCAGTGGCGCGATCTTGGCTCACTGCAACCTCCACCTCCCGGGTTCAAGCAATTCTCCTGCCTCAGCCTCCCAAGTAGCTGAGATTACAGGCATGCACCTCCATGCCTGGCTAATTTTTGTATTTTTAGTAGAGACAGGGTTTCACCATATTAGTCAGTCTGGTCTCGGACTCCTGATCTCAGGTGATCCACCTGGCTTGGCCTCTCAAAGTGCTGGGATTATAGGCGTGAGCCCTTGCACCCAGCCTTTCCCTCTCTTGAGCTTCCCAATGCTGGGTCTCAGCACCCCAGTCCCATTGACACTGATGCACCCCTGTTCTTGTTTGTCAAGTGAGCTAGTGCTGGCAGACACTGGCTCTTCCCTCCTCCAGCCTGCCACACGTCCTGGCAGTCCCCCTTCATGATGGCCTTTGGTGCCTTGCCTCCCTGCTCGTCTCTCCTCTGCCACCCTCACCACATCTCTTCTCACTGCATTGGGTGCCTTTCCCTCCAGGATGCCCTCCACCCTTCACCAATTTCATCTTCTGAAGCAGGTCAACAGCACTGCTCAGACATCTCTCATGGCTCGCCTTGTCCTCTGGCCCCTTGGGCCTGGTTTTCAGGGGTCTCTGTAGTGGCCCTGCCTCCATCTCTAGATGCACGTCTTGCTGGTCTCCTGCACATGCTCTATAAACCAACAAGAGCTACCAGCAGGTGCATGTCACCTTGCCTTTGCTCATGTTATTCCACTACCAGGAATGCCCTTCTCCCATATCTCTGTCTATCTAAATCTTATCCATCCTTAAGGACCTAGAATAAGTGTGTTGTCCTCTGAATTCTTTGTTGCTCACATCATTCAACATTTTTCTTTCTCTTTTTCCCACATTCCTCTTTTTAATTGAAATAAACAACTATGTCCCACCTCTTTCCTAAGTGTTTTAAGGTGGCCCAGATAACAAAAAATAAGGAGACAGGTGGATTAGAGTTCCAGCACACTTTCTAGCTGTAAGCAAGTTCCCCAAACTTTCTGTGCCCTATTTTCCTCATCTGAAAAAATGGGAAAAGTCACAGCGACTATTTCAAGGGATTACTATGGAAGCAAATGAAATGATATATGTAGAGCTCACACAGCACTGGGAATAAGAGAAGGACTCGATGTTCATCATCATCATCACCATTCCACCATCATCATTGTCATTATCATGGATAAAATAACAGGACATGATTGATATGGGACAAGGAGATATATATGCCAGGAAACTTAGGCTGAAGGGAAACTGCTCAACTGATAACAGCATCTGGTTTGAGATTCTTGGCAGCCAGGGCATAAAGGGAGATCATAGCATTCGGTTTTCATAACTCATATTGTCTTCTAAGAGAAAGCAGAAGGGGTCATCATAAGAGACAAATGCTTCCCCAGCTCTGAGAGCTACATGGGATAGATCTTTTGAGGACGATAGAATGGAAGAATCTGTTTAAAATCAGCTCTCTTCTTGACCATTGGCCAGAGGGAAGGACACAGCCCCTTAATCGGGGCTATCAGCCCAGTTCCAGTGTGGGATTCTGATGAGGTGGTGGGCACCTGGCACATATCGTGTGCTGCCTTGTGGCAACAATTCCTCTTCCGCTACTGCACTATGGGCTTCTTAAGGGCAAGGTCTGTGTCTTACTCATCTTTGTCTCCCCAGTGCCCAGCTGAGTTCCTGGCACTTGGTGGCTATGCAGTGGGTATGAATAAATAAGGAAGTGAATGGTGAATAAGCCATAAAACTGCCACCACCCAGAGGTAGCCAGGATCGAAGCAAGGGGTCACGGTCATCAGAGGAAGCACAGAATATCAATAGCTCAAGACATTGCAGGTTTTTTCCTCCTTCTGTCTTAGGCTGCAGAAAACAGAACTAACATTTTCTTGAGTACTTTATAGGTGCCAGGCTCTATATTTTCATTTTCTGCTTTATTTCACTATCTTAGCAACCCTTCCCAGTAAAAGGTCAATATTACTCCCATTTTATAGATGAGAAAGGTGAGGCTCAGAGAGGTTAAGCAAGTTGCCCAAGGTCATCCAGCTCAGAGGAAGCAGAGCACGGATAAGAGTTTGATGTGGCTTCAAGGCTTGAGTTCTACCCGGAACCATGGGCCCTTCCGAATAGCCCTTCCACGTCTGCTTAGTACCAGGAGCCATGAGTGGTGAAGAAAGATGAATCATGATTAACGTCCCACTTCCCATGTCCCCCTTTGTAATTTAATTTTATGGTTTCGGGAGCTGTGTCGCAGGTTGTGGGAGCCTGCAGAGATGGGCCACCAGTGGTTTGGTTTAATCCCCTTTTTAATATCTTTGTTGCAACGTTATTTCCAATTCAGCTCCCAAGTCACATTAAAAAAAAAAAACACCTCTTCCTTAGGGTAAGCCTTCCCTTATTAAACAGATTCAAATGAAAAGTTTTAAAGACAATTTGAACAATAAGCATCACTCTGTAGCTCCCAGCTGAAGACTCTTTATTGCTGTATTTATTCCCTGGTATTTCCTGTCTCATTCCCCAGCTCACTGAATCCACCCACCCCCCCCCCCCCGCCGCCCCCCACCACCCAACACTTCTAGTTCTTGCCCAACTCACCTGTTCCCTGGAGGGAGAATCAGGTGGAGGACATTGTGGGAAGCAGGGTATCTCACTTCCACCTGACAATATGCCATCTAAGGCTGTCTCACCTGCCCTAATGAGCAGGAAATTATTGCAAAGCATCTAGAGGGACATTCTCACCTGGCTGGGTGTCTGCAAGTGCACCATTGCATCAAAACCAGGGTGAAGAAATGGGATGCGAGATTCTGGGGAAAACGGGGATGCCACAAGTGGAGAAAGAATAGCTGCTGAAAATGCAGACACCTGGGCCCCATTCTAGATCAGCTGAATTGCTATTTCTCCAAGGGTGCTGAGGAATCTGTATTTGAAACCAGCACTACAGGTGACTCATGCATGTGTGTGAAAGGTTCTCTGATACTTTGGAAGGGGGTCAAAGATGACAAAACCTTAGGCTTAAAAGATAACTGTCTGGTACATCTTTGAGAAGGAGGTGTTTCAAAGAAAAGTGTGGAAGGAAGGAAGGAGATTGACCTTTATTGAGTTCTAAGTGTATGCCAGGGACAATTAAAAAAATTTGAATCTACTATGTGTGAAGACCTTTGGTAAGAAATTAGATGAACATAAAGTCCAGGCTTGGCATTCAGGGAGCTGAGAGATTTCACGGTGTTGCCTTCTTTAAGTCTGAGTATCACCATCCCCACTTTGCAGATGAAGAGACCGAGGTCTCCGTGATTCCCCTAATTGTATAGCTTTAGTAAACCAGGCTCATGGCTGTGAATCTGGGCCAGCAGGACTCCAAAGCCTGCAGCCAGGCTTGGCTCTCCCACACCAGGCTGTCTCAGTCAGAGCTGCTAACATTTGCATAGCGCTCGTTACAATTTACCGAGTGCTTTCACATTCATCATCTCACTTAATCCTCACTGCGGCCCGGAGGGTGGAGGAGGGCTGGGGGTGGGGAGGCCAAAGCTTTCTCCAGCCCTAAGCTTAGTCCCCTGACTCCTATCAGGAAAGTCCCAGGAGACAGAGCTTAAGGGTTTTCCAGGTACCTTTGGGACACGGGTTCACAAGCCCTGGTACCGCAACTGAATGAATCTGCAATTTCTCTCAATTGTCCCTTATCCCTAAGCTGAAGGAAGTCAGCCTAGGCCCCCCAGATAGTGAGAGAGGTAGAATCCACCTTCCTTCCCTGTTTTCTTTCCTTCCTGCTGGTTTTCCAAGCAGGAAGGCTACGGTGGTTTGTGTGTTTGTGTGTGTATGTGCATGGGTGTGGTGTGTATGTGTACATGGGTGTGTGCATAGGTGTGCATGTGTATGCATGGATGTGTGTTCATGTGTGCAGGATGTGTGTGTATGGATGTGTGTGCATGGCTGTGTGTACATGTGTATGTATGTGTGTGCACATGGGTGTTTGTACATGGCTGTGGTATATTTGTGTGCATGGCTGTGGTATGTGGGCATGGCTGTGGTACGTGTGTGCATGTGTGAATGTGTGTATGTGTGCATAGTGTGTGTGCATGACTGTGGTGTATGGTGCATGGGTGTATATGTGCCCGAGTGTGTGTGTGTGTGGCGGGGGGTGGCTATGGTGTGTATGTGGGGAGAAGGTACCTGGGCAATTCAGTGAATCTTGGATCTGGAGGAGAAGGAAGATGGAGGAAGACACAGGCAGCTTGGCAGAGGTGGCCACCTCCCTTGCTTCCACACTGGGCAGGGGCCACACTGGGTGCTGTGACATGCACCAGAGAAATAGGTATCTGTCAGAGAACATGGGTCTCTGATCCCTATGCAGACAGGTAGACTCAGAAGTGCCCACCGGCCTTGGCCTGAGCCAGGGTGGGCTCCACTGGGGAAGATGCTAGGTTGGACGCCAGAGCCACTGCTTACATGATAAGGGGCCTCTCCTAGCCTGGGGCCTTTGGTGACCTCCCTTTCCACTCACTGCCACAGCTCCTGCAAGTCCCCATGCTGGACAGCTGCCTGTCCACTGGGTTCTGTCTTCTGCTGCCTCATCCTCCTGGCTCTTGGCTGGCTCCTGGCCTCTGGCCCTGCCTGAAACTGAGGCTCAGAGAAGGGAAGCGAATTGTAGAAGGTCACCCGTCAGAAAGGACAGAGCTGGGTTTTGAATCCAGGTCTCCTGACTGCAAAGCCCTTGCTCTTTCTCCTTCTTCCACTCTTAGGGGAAGTGGAGGACAGGGAGGGGGTAAGAGGGGAGATTTGGAAGTCACATGGGCCTGGGGCCCAATTCCACCCCAACACTTATTCTCTAGGGTCAATTTGAGTACATCTTTTAACCTTCCTGAGCCTCAATTTCCTCTTTCTCAGTTGGAAAGGAAGATGCTCTGTATCCCTCATGGTTGTGGTGGGGACAAGTGCCACCTGTAAAACCCAGCACCTAGCAAACTCCTCAAAAATACTGGTTCAGGCCCCAGTCCCCTCCTGTCACTCCTCTAGATTATCCTGGGAGAAATAACCCTCACCCATGGAAACCAGAGCCTGATAGCTCCCTGCCTAAATCTCTCCAGTGGTTTCCCTGTGCCTTTAGAACAAAATGCCTTAGCATCACCTCCAAGGCCTGGCAGATTCTGACTCCTACTTTACCTCTAACTTCTCCCCTCCACCTCCATTCATGTGCCCCATCCACTTGAACATTATTCCCAATGATGCACCAAGCTCTTTCCCTCCTCATGGTCTTTGCACATGCTGTTCCCTGTGTCTGACAAGGTCTTCCTTGCATTCGTTACCTGGCTAAGTCCTTATTCTCCTTTAGGCCCCAGCTTAAAAGACAAAGGTGCAAAGAAGCCTCTTCTGCTCTCCTAACTTAGGTATCCATCACTAGTATTCTCACACACAGCATTTCACTGTTGGTTTTTTAGAGCAACATAGCTAGTGGTTAAGAGAGAGGCATTGGAACGAGATTGCCTCAGATCACTGGCTTTGTCCCTTAGTAAGTCTGTGACCACAGGAAAATTACTTAACTTCTCTGTCCCTTGGCTTCTTCATTTTGAAAATTGGGGTGACTGTACCTATCTGTGACAGGAAGCTTTTGATATATAACAAACCACCCCAAAGCTTAGTGGCTGAAAACTGTGACTCATTTAGCTCTCATTTCTACAGTTTGGCAATTTGGGTTGGGTTCAGCTGGGAGGTTCTTCCGCTGTGGGCTGGGCTTGGCTGAACTTGGCTCATGCTCACCCAAGCATCTGCACTTAGCTAGGTCTGGATTGGCTGACACAACTTGGAGTTTTCCTCTGTGTGACATGTTACCCTGGGCTTGTTCACATGGAGGTTGCAAGTCCCAAGAGAAATAGGAAACTAAGCCCTAATTCCCAAACACTTTTCAAGTCTCCACGTCTTACAAATTAGGATGAGAGGGAACTACCAAAGAGTATGGATACAGGAGGTTGTGATAAAATGGGGGCCATTACTATAATTAGTCTAACACACTACCCCACTGGGGCTGTTGGGGGGATTAAAATGAGAGTTTTGCTTGTAAAGTGCTTAGCACAGTGCCTGGCTTGTTAATTAGCACTAAATAAATAATGAGCCCTTCTTATTATTTTGTGAAAAGGACCTAAGGCTTTGACATATTAGGTAGCTTCCTTTAGGACAGCCCTCTCCCTGACCTCCCCCACCCCCATTAAACGGTGGGGATTTGAATCTAGTTTCCACCTCCCTCCAGGGACTGACCTCTTAACTAATATGCTGTGCTGCTCTACCCACATAGACACATAATGGCAGAAACTCACCCAAAGCCATGAGGTCAGTCTGCAGATGGACCACAATTCAAGCCCAGGTCTGTGCCTGACCCCAGAGCCCTCCACTTCACTCTAATCCGCCAGGTTGCCTTGGGTACTGTGTTTGTCATTGGTCTAAAATTTCATAGCTGGAAGAAAATATTTGTTTTGGTATCCTCCTCCAGCACTAACAATTTTCTGCTTGCATTTTTCTGTTGTTTGGCTCAGATGAATAGCAGTTTTCATCTTTGCTCTGTGTTATCATGTACACAGAACTGCTGTTGGGGAGCTAACAGCATGCTTGCTTAGTCATTATTCTGAGAAGGGGTGCCAACCAGTCAATAGCCTTTATTTTTGTATGACTCTGTATACCACAAATGCAGAAATAATGCACAGCATCCGAGTATGGCGCTACTATTGGACAACTATCATTTCTGGAGATGGGCAAAGCAGAGGTGGCACCGCGTGGAGCTGGAGCCGCAGAACTGATTCTGACTTGCTTCTTTTGTCAGGAGCCCAGGAGCTGGGTTAACCTCCCTGAATGATTCGCTGTGATAGAGTCTGTGATAGATTAGGTGGTTTTTCCCAACCCCAAAGAGAAAGCGAATAGCACAGGAGAGATGCCAGGACTGGCAAAACTTGGGGGAAAAAGGTAGATTACAGGAAATGGGGGTGAGCAGGCCTAACCGTGAACCCAGCAAAGTGGTCGGGTGCCCACAAAATCTTTCTGTGAGCCCCAAGGTGATTACTCAAGGTCAATGCGGGTTCTGTGTGGGGTCTGCCATGGGACCGCCTTGCAGAATTTGGGAGGTCTTAGGACTGGGTCAAGCAGGATGGTTAGTGCCATCTGATCGGCTCACAGGGATGCCAGGCCAGAGATGGGATGTGAGATGAAAGGCCAGAAAATGGAACCAAAGCCAGACAGGTTGCAACCAGCTCTTAGAGGTCTTGGCATGGGTAAAGGCAAGTGAACTTGTTCAGTCCTTTATTCAACACATCCCGACTGAGCTGGAGTTATGTGCCAAACACTGTTCTAGGTTTGGAGGCCTCTGTGGTGAACAAGATAAAGTCCCTGCCCTTGTGGAGTAAGGACACAAAAAGGATATTATTAAATTAGGTGATGGTACAAACGCTGTGAAGAAAATAAACAGATTGACAGAGGAAGGTGGGGGAGGGACACTTTTAAAAATAGGCAGGAAAGGCTACTTTGAGACTGTGACACTGGAACCGAGGCCTGAGTGATGAGGAGGAGCCAGTCAAGGGACACTGGGGGGTTGCAGGGAGAAGCATTCCATAGGAAGTGCAAAGGCCCTCGGGCTGGAATGAACTTAGCATTTCAAGGGGTAGATAAAAGCCCAACATGACTGGAAGAGGGAGGAGATGGGGCCAATTTGTGTAGGGCATCATAAAGGAGTTTGGATTTTATCCTGTGTGTAGTGAGAATCCACAGGAGGATTTTCAGCAGGGGAATGGTTTGATCTGAGTTCTGAGAATGTCCTAGCTCTGCAGGCACGTAGTTTTCTAGAATAAATAAGAACAAGCAGATCTTGTTTTCTTGAAGTGGAGGGGCGTGGTGGAAGGAGACCCTGAATCAGGGACTTTTAACTATATGGCGAATCTCGATGGCAGCGAAGTGTTTGATAAAGGCTCTTGGGAGGGAATGGAGATGTGATGACAGTGATGGGGATGATTTATTCCCCCAAAATGTTGATCCAGGATTACTGTCAGGCTGGGAGGAGAGTCTCCGGTAGTGTCCCTGAGGCTCTGCCCCAGACTCTCTCCTGTTCAACATTTCTATTTGTAAATTGGCGGAAGACTCAGAAGATGTGCTCATCAGACATGCAGCTGACATGGAGCTGTCAGGGACAGCTAATGCCACGGATGACAGGCTCAAGATTCACTGTGATGATCCTCCACAGGCTGGAGTGATGGGACGAAACCAGCAATATTCCTGAGTGCATTCAGATTGGGGAACAACGCCTGGCCAGGGATCAGGGAGACCTTGCTGGATAACAATCTCCTGAAAGGAAGCCCAGGCTGGGGGTGGGGAGGAATTAGTGGAGGCAGCTGGACCCAGCCAAGTCCCTACATCAGCTTCTTCCCTCTGTGGCAAGGCCCTTAGCCTTTCAGGGTCATTCTTCCCATATGTAAAGTGGGGATGATCCAGGCTACTGCCCAGGCATATGGGTAGGATTAAATATGAACACATATATGGATGACTGGCTTCCTGTGTGGCCCATAGTAGGCTCACGGCAAATGCAAGGGAAATATTAATTGTAGAGGCTGGCAAGAGAAGAATGGATATCCTGCGGCAACCTTTCAAGGGCACGTAGCAGGGCTCACAGCTGGGGCGGGCCCATATGTTCTTGACACACCAATGCCAGCTTTCTAAGAGCCTCATTGATTCCTGTGGTATGTAGAGGAGAATGGCCTGGAGGGGTTGGTTCTGGAGGCCATATCCCCTGAAACCCACCGTGAGTTCAGAATGGAGACAAGGAGGTGGTTGCAGCTGGGGGGGACATGAGTGTTTCCTTAAACACCACAAAGGCTGCAGTGTGGGAATGAATGGGGAAGATGCTTTCTTCATTGTTCTGGATGCCTGTGAGGAAAAGTTGTGCAGAGGCACATATGGGTGCATCGTAACTAAGATCTAAACATTGATAATTACATTATAATAATTATGCTGTGAGCATTTCTCGAGGGCCCACTATGCACCCAGCTTGTGCTAAGTGTTTTGTACAACTTATAGAATGCTCACAGTCTGACCTTGACAGATGAGGAATACAAGGTGTAGAAGGCAGCTCTTGAGAGGCAGAGCAGGGATTCACACTCAGCCCCTGGTAGTTCCTGTCTGCTAGCCTGGCTTCAGGTTGGGGAGGGCAGGAGTGACCTCCCAGGTGCTGAGAAGGGACCATCATGGGGTGATTTTTGGTACAGGGATCTCAGGGCCCTGTGGGGCTTCTAGAAGCTACTTTGAGTATGTGCGTGTAATATTTGTATAAAATAAAGCAGAAAGCAAATACAGACAAATAGAATGACTAGTGTGTGATGACCCTATGTAACCATTACCTGGCTTTAGCAATGATTAACATATGGCCAATCTTGTTTCATCTATTACTCCCTCTCTCTTCTTTTCCCTCCTCCTGCTGGATTAATTTTAAAGGCATTCCCCGGCATAATTTTCTCTGTAAATAGTATGTATCGCTAAGAGATAAGGACTCTTTGTTGTTGTTAGGCATAACCACAATACCATTATCACAATTTTTAAAAATTGACCTAATTGTACTGTGTCTTTCTAATTCAGTGAAGCTATTGGTGTATGGCTTGCTTTGCAAAGTATTTGGGGAGGGGAGGCAAAAACTAGTCTGACTCCTGTGACTTGAGACTCACCTGTTCCTTTTGAGGTGGA
Source organism: Homo sapiens (assembly GCF_000001405.40). Taxonomy (NCBI): domain Eukaryota; kingdom Metazoa; phylum Chordata; class Mammalia; order Primates; family Hominidae; genus Homo; species Homo sapiens. Next base: position 34,194,934 of record NC_000001.11, read on the forward strand.
TGAAGAGGAAGAAGAGGAGGGGGATCTAAAACTTGAGACCGCAGATTGGCAGCCCCTTTATTCTGATTGTTCTCAGGGGACTCAGCCGGGAAAGTGAGGCCTATTTATAGGCCTAAGTCTAGACATGGGAAGGAGGCAAAGGAAGGGAATAGGTGACAAGTCAGGGAAAGGGGACAGAAGAGAGAGTGGAGGGAAAGAGAAAATAACAGCAAGTGATCTTGCTGCACACATAGCTCCAGTGGCCCTTCAGGAGCTGGCCGGGACCAGCCCACACTAGCTAATGCTCACAGCTGACACTGACTGAATGTTTCCTGTGCACAGGGCACTGTGCTGAGCTCACGTACCAGTGACCTCGCCCAATGCTCCCAACCATCCCATGAGGCAGGTGATGTTAGGTGTCACACCCATTTTACAGGGGAGGACACTGAGGTTCCAGGGTCCGACATGAAAAGAGCAGTGGTGCCTGGATTCAAACCCAGGTCTGTTTGTCTGGAGTCTGCTTTTTGCAGGCTTTACTCTCTGCCTCCAAGCCTGGTGATGTTCCATGTGGGGGTAGAGAGGCTCATGTTCAAGAAGTACGGCTGTCTTGGCTGCTGGACTATTGGTACATTCCCATGTCTTTAGTACATAGCTCTTCCCCAGGGTCCCCAAGCACCCTGGGCTACCAAGTCTTTGCCTCAGGACTCATCAGGACCCAGCAACTAAAGGTTTCCTGTCTGGCACAATAGGAAGCCTCTAAGACTGTAGACTGTGTCCATTCTGATTGACTGTTAAATGCAGTGACTACTCCCCTGGGTCTGTGTATGGTGACATGTGAATTGTGTGCCTGCCTGTTTCTGTTCGTGGGTGTGTGTGTGTGTGTGTGTGTGTGTGTGTGCGTTTGTACACAATAAGCATTACCAGGAAGGCATGGACCCTGCTGGAAGCATTCCATGGTCACCGTTTTGGAGACTCATCATGCCCTCTGAGAGGCTGGCCAGAGCTGGAACCTGTGCTGGACCTCCAGACTGCAAAGCCTAAGCCACAGCAGCTGAGCTCCCCTATGGGACTCCTTGATTTTTTCCCTTGGGTCTTCATCATCTTCTCCTTCAGCGCTCCCATGATAGAAGGCTGAGTAGTTTCCAGAATGCTTGGTGTGGGCCACCTCATCCACTTCTCATAGGAGCCCCTTGAGTAGGCACAGCAGATGGTTCTAGGCTGGTGGCTCTTGTCCTCCTGGGTGCCTGCTTGCCAAGAGTGCTGGTGAGGTGGGCGGGGCCACCAGCCAGGCCAGTAGGATTGCAATCCTCTCTACACCTGGAGAGAAGTGGCAACGAGGAGCCTAAAAGCCAGGAGACCATCAGGTGCTATCAGACAGGTGCAGACCAGCAAGTGTGCAGCGGAGGACCCAGGGTCCAAGGGGCAGGTTGAGGCCATTATTTAGGTTCAGGAAGATCCTGGTGAATCAGTGCAGGGATCAGTGCAGGGATCTCCCCACTGCTGGTGCTGTACATGAAGGGAGGCCCAGTCCAGAGGCTGTGATCGGGTCAGAGGCCATGCCAGAGTGAACATGAGTATCCAAGAGGCTACCGTATGAGATCCAGGGGCGGGGACCAACTAAGGCTGACAGTGGTGTAAACATGAGAGCTGACCTTTGAATCGCCCTTACTCTATGCCAGACACCATTCAAAGTGCTTTGCACCTCTATGATACTCCTAGTAATGAGAGGAGGAGACAGAATACCAAGATGCTGAACAACCTGCCCAGGGTCACACCGATGGGAGTTGACTGGATCAGGGTGTAAGCTTAGGCTGTCCACTCCACCATTCTGCAGTGAGGTGATGGGGGCTGCGCTACTCTCCTGGGGGCTTCCCAGGGCTCAGCCCCAGCACCCTAGACTCTGCACTTAGAGCTGTTGGCTTGCTCCTGACCCCTTTGCTGCTGGGCAAAATTCCCCAGTGAACCCCTTCTCTGGTCTTTCATTGCTTCAGGTTCTGAGCATGAAGAACAAGGAGGAATGGACTAGAATTAAGGCTCAGTGAGGCTGTGACTTGCCCCAGCTCACTCAGCAAGGTTGTTGGGAGAGGATCCAGGTTTCCCCATTTTTCAAAACCATGCTCTCAGTGCTGCATCCTACCGCTGTGGTATAGGACCCTCTGGGGGTCCAGTGTGTCTGCTGGGTTATCTTGCCTGGAAGTGTGTTTTTGTCATGTTATGCATCCATCTCCCTTTTCTGGGGCCTATGTCCTTCTGCAAAGCCACGCCTTGGTGAGCTGGCACTAACACCGTCTGTCTCTCTGACCCATTTCCAGAGCTCTGGAGCTCAGCAGTGGCAAAGATGAGATCTCCTTGTTGGTGGAACAGGAGTTCCTAAGCCTCACCAAAGAGCACTCGATCCTGGTCGAAGAGAGTTCTGGGGAGCTGGAGGTACCCGGCAGCTCTCCCGAGGGGACCAGAGAGCTGGCTCCCTGCATTCTTGCCCCTCCTCTAGTGGCAGGCAGTAATGAGCGCCCCAGAGCCTCCATCATTGTCGGAGACAAGCTTCTGAAGCAGAAGGTGGCCATGCCCGTTATCAGCAGCAGGCAGGACTGTGATTCTGCCACTTCTACTGTCACAGACATTCTGTGTGCCGCCGAGGTCAAGAGCAGCAAGGGGACAGAGGACAGGGGCCGCATCCTAGGTGACTCCAACTTGCAAGTCAGCAAGCTTCTGTCCCAGTTCCCACTGAAGTCCACTGAGACATCCAAGGTCCCTGACAACAAGAATGTGCTGGACAAGACAAGGGTCACCAAGGACTTCCTACAGGACAACCTGTTCAGTGGCCCTGGACCCAAGGAGCCCACAGGGCTGAGCCCATTTCTGCTGCTGCCTCCCCGACCTCCTCCTGCACGTCCTGACAAGCTCCCTGAGCTCCCTGCTCAGAAGAGGCAGCTCCCAGTGTTTGCCAAGATCTGTTCCAAGCCCAAGGCTGACCCTGCTGTGGAGAGGCACCACTTGATGGGTGAGTGGGGTTGGAACTGGGGTAGAGTGGGCCTGCAAGGAGGAGGTCCTTCCCAGGAAGCCAATCAGGGCTGCAGCATGTACATAAAGCATCTTCATGCAAAGCAAGACAAAGCAGCCTCTCTGGTGGGCACAGCCCCGAGGGACGGGCTGTTTCCAGCCCCCACAGGCTTATTTTGCTGGGTTCCCCTGTGCAGGGCACAGCTTTTGTAAGCAAACCCAGAGGCCCTGATCTCAACATACTTTGAGAAGAGAAATAGGCGCCATGTAGTAATTGGCTTAACTTTGGAATCAAACGGGTGTCCAGAGTACATTGAAGGAAGTGTTTACCCTAGCTGGGTTCAGGGTGAAACTACAGCATGGAGATGCCAAGATGTATAGAAGAGAAATTTGATTGGTAGCTGGGGTCATTTGGCATCTATCTCATGGAGGTACCTTGAGGACATGAGGCCTGGTCCTCCCTCTCTGGGGTATTGGGTAGATGCGTAAATTATCCAGGCATAGTGCAGACTGTTGACTCTGGGATCTGTTTCCTGGGACTTACTTTATTGAGGAGCTCACATTCTTCCCAGGAAAGCCAGCCACCTCCCAAGCTTCTCCTACTTTATGCCCAGGATTCTGTGTGTTGTTCTGATCTAACCAGTCAGACTATATGGTTCCAAGAAGGTAGGCTGATGGCCATGGCCATTGCCTAGAGTCAGCAGTCACTAAGAGAGTGATCATACTCATGTTAGCCAAAAGAACAATTTCCTCTGGGCTATGAGCATGGATGGATAACTGAGAGACACCCGTATTGGGAGGGTCCAAATTAATCTACCTGAGAAAATAAGAGCAAAGTCATCCTGAACATTCTGTGTCCTGGAGCATTGCAGGAAGGCCAAGGAATCAGAGCTGTGGATAGCAAGCTGAACTCTGGGTCCTGGACAGGCTTCTAGGAGCCAGAGGGCTTTAGGATGGGGAGCTGTAGGAGAGAGACGGTTGAGCTCTTCCCAGAGAGGAGACCTTCCTCCTACCTCTTCTCCAGAAGGGACCCATAGATATTTCCCTGTTGGATGGGGCTGCTGGACTGGAGGCAGTTCTGGTCCCACCCACCCCACCCACCATTGGTGCATGTCTGTGTGTACGAATGTGTGAGCAAAAGTGTGCCAAAAGGAGTTTTGAAGGTTTTAGTGTATTTGTTAGAGAAAATGCAAGAGTGGTGTGTCTAAGCATGTCTGTGTACACATTTGTGCATATGTCTGTCATGTATGTACTTGTGTATGTGTAACTAAGTCAAAGGAACAACAGATAGGAGTGTGTCTATGTCTGTGTGCCCAGACCTGGGACGAGGGAGCTTCGTAGATGTTTAAGGCATCTGTAAATATGAGTGGGAAGCTGCAGGTGTGTGTGTCTCTGGGGAAAGGGCTATTATCAGTGGGTACTGTTATTTCAGCTCACAGGCTAGGGGCTGAATTCGGCAACCGGAGGAACTCCTGGAAAAGACTCTAGGGATGTTTTGCTAAAAATGTTGTTTCCTTCTAAATTGGCTCAGGCTAGAGCAGCTCTTTCCTTTGCTGGAATAGTGCTAGGAAGACAGCCTTAGCCCCGAAGCTCAGCCCCCAAGCCGCTGGGCTAGGGGGCCAAAAGCTGGTGGGATCTGGTCTATTATTATCAACAGGTAACACTGAGGCACAGGTCCTTTCTGGCTGCATCCAGACAGATCCCGGTGCCTGCTATTGGGCAGCACAGTGCACAGCCATCTGGTGGGTGGCCAGGTTTCCCACCACTGCTGTGGAGGATCCTGTGATGGTCCCCAAAGTATGTCTGCATTGGGAGAATAAATGCTCAGTCTCTTTAGTGAGAAACCTGTGTCTGCCACCAATCTTGTCCCTGCTCCACACTCTAGCCATATCCAGTGACTCACAATGTCTCCTTGATGCTTCCAGGCCTTTGCCCACAGTTATCCCTGCCTGCCATGCCTTCCTCCCCAATACCCCTGGATGTAAGGCCTCGCTGCAACCCTACTTCCTTCTGGAAGGAACCTTCTCAGACAGAAGCAGCCTCAGCCACCCTGTTCTCCATTTCTTCCCTCTGCCACCTCATGGTGTTCATCTACCTTATCCTGGGGCTATTTCTGGGCATGTCTCTCTTTTTTTCTTGTTATGAGCTCCTGCAGGGCACAGTCTAGCTCTGACTCACAACTGTGTCCCCAGCACTCAGGTCAAGGCCTGGCACTGACAAGTGAGCTGAATCACCTGTGAGTAATAAAACAAAAGTAGAATCCAGAATGAGAGACCAAAGTGTGTGGCTCAGACCACATGTTCTGTAAGAATGTGTGACTCCTTCACTAAGCCATGTGCTCACTGAAGGCAGGAACTGTGTCCACAACATCCTTGTTTTCGCAGCCTGGCACTATGGATGGTTGGAGAGAAGGAATAGTGGAAGGAATGAGGAAAAGTAAGGAAGGAGAGGAAAGAAAAGAAAGGTAATTCGAATAAAGGAATGATGGAAGGAAGGATGAAGGGGTGGATGGATGGAAGGAAGGCAGGAAGATAAAGATGGATAGTCAGACAAATGGATGGACAGATGGATGGATGGATAAGTAGACGGATAGAAGGAAGAAAGGCAAAGATGATGGACAGATGGGTGGATGAATGAACAGATGGATGGATTGATGGATGCATGAGATCGGGGGGCAGGGGCCAGGGAGGGTTTCAGGGAGAGATTGGGATTGTATTTGGCTGAAAGAGAGTCCCCCAAAGTGGTCCAAGCCTCAGGTGTGTGCTGCAGAGGATTCATCATTTAGTCCACAAAAAGGTGCTTCCAGCATCCAGCACTTGGCCTTCCAGAGGCATTGACTCAGTTTCTTTCCTGCTACAGAATGGAGCCCTGGCACCAAGGAGCCAAAAAAGGGTCAAGGGAGCCTCTTTCTCAGCCAGTGGCCCCAGAGCCAGAAGGACGCCTGTGGTGAGGAGGGTTGCTGTGACGCAGTGGGCACCGCATCACTGACCCTGCCGCCCAAGAAACCTACATGTCCAGCCGAGAAGAACTTGCTCTATGAGTTCCTTGGGGCCACCAAGAACCCAAGCGGGCAGCCGAGACTTCGAAACAAAGTGGAAGTGGATGGGCCGGAGCTGAAATGTGAGCTGACCTACCCAGGGAGGGATTGGAGGGGAGGGGGTTGCAGTGACCCTCACAGGCTTCAGGGTGGCTCTGTCACCAAGTGGCTGTCTTATCTACTGCCTTTCTAGAGGTGTCAGTTTTTAAACCCATAAAATGGGGGCAATGACTTTCTCCCCATATCCCTTGTTGGGAATACAGTTGCTAGAGAAGTGTAGTTGGCTTTCAAGGGTCACGTCAGCATTATTAATGGTCACTTCTGAATATAGCCCTGACCCAGCATGTATTATATCCTCTCAAATTGCCCAAGCCAAAACAAAAGATCCTTGCTTTAGATTATTTCTATATTGAGATTATGTTCCCGCTTTCTTTTCCTACAAGGGTTCTAGTCAAACCTCTTTTCCCAAAAGGATGCCAATAAGGGGAAACTGAGGACCCATTTCTGATTTTATAAGCCCCCACAACATCTTGTAGAAAGGAAGAATCCAGGATTCTGATCTTGAAACAACTCAACCTAACTTCATTTGTTTAGACCAATTTTGAGTCACTGCATGCTGAATTATTTAATGTTTTAAAATATAATTTTTAAAATTCCCATATAGATACAACAACCTGTGAAAGTTTCTTAGTGTTGCCAAATATATGTCCTTAGGGAGGGGCTGCTTTAATCATTTGATAAGGATGAATTCCAATGGCATAGCAATGGTTCACATAAAGTTGGATTTTTCCAAAGCAGTTGAAAGAATTTCATTTTGTAAGTAGGTGAAATATAGGCCTAGCAATCTGGCTTATTGTATTCCCTTGCTAAATTGCCTTCTTTACTAGTGAATGATGGAAAGAAAAGCTCCAAGCCAGACCTTCTGGGATTTTCATCCCTTCCAAACTGGCAAGGTGTGAACTAATGATGTTTACCTATAGTTGGAAATGTACTAGAACTTTGAAGAACCCTCTTGGAGCTTAAAGGACCTGACCTGTGAGACTGTGAATCCCTAAGGAAGTTGCGATGCTGAAGGTGTCCTGGCCTCTCCCTGCCTCCATCACTGACCCGCTTTGCCTCTCCTGTGACTTGCAGTTAACGCACCTGTGACGGTTGCTGACAAGAACAACCCGAAGTACACAGGGAATGTTTTCACTCCACACTTTCCTACAGCCATGACCTCAGCAACCCTGAACCAGCCACTCTGGCTCAACCTGAACTATCCACCTCCACCAGTGTTCACGAATCACTCTACCTTCTTGCAGTATCAGGTCAGTGAGCTGGCCTGGCTCTCCTGTGGACATCCACGGGGGTTTTGGCCACAGAGAAGGAGTGGCTGGCAGGGGGTCTATTTCACAGAGTCTTTAGACTCCTCTGAATCCCTTCCCTACATGCAAGAGGCTTCGCTGGGGCTATGGAAGGGCGCTGTCAACTTGTCAGCTTGTTGGTTATTTTTTTCATTGTAGTCACATCAGATCTACCCCTTGGTTCATGTGCATGCGTGCGCACACCTCCACACACACACACATATGTATATTTAGTCCTAACTTTCCATTGTCCGAATTCCAGTTCACACTGTGCTCTTTATTGCAGAGTCTCTTTGCTAGTTGTGGCTGGTTAAGTGCTTGGGCTCCCAGGAGAAGATGATGTCACAGTCCTTGTTTCCCACCTCTCTCCTGTGACTTCCTTTGAAGTTGGATGACATATATCCCAGATTATTTGGGACAGTCCCAATTTAGGTCTTCTGTTCCAGAATAATATGAATGGCATCCCTTTTCACTCTCAAGTGTCCTGGTTTGGACAACAAATTACAGTCAGCCCTCTGTATCCATGGGTTCCAAATCCACAGATTCAACCAATCTTGGATGGAAACTACTTGAAGAAGAAAACAACAACAACAACAACAAAATACAACAACAAAAAATAATGCGAGTAAAAGATAATACAGTATAATAACTATTTACATAGTACATTATTAGGCGTTGTTAGTAATCTAGAGATTAAAGGATACAGGAGCATGCGCATAAGCTACATGCAAATACTATGCCATTTTATATTAGGGACTTGAGCATCCTCATATGCCATTTTATATCAGGCACTTGAACATCTTTATATGTCATTGTATATCAGGGACTAGATCATCCTCATATGCCATTTTATTTTATTTGAGACAGAGTCTCACTCTATCGCCCAGGCTGGAGTGCAGTGGCATGACCTTGGCTCACTGCAACCTCTGCATCCCAGGTTGAAGCGATTCTCCTACCTCAGCCTCCCAAGTAGCTGGGATTACTGGTATGTGCGCTAATTTTTGTATTTTTAGTAGAGACTGGGTTTCACCATGTTGGCCAGGCTGGTCTTGAACTCCCCGCCTCATGTGATCCACCTGCTTCCACCTCCCAAAGAGCTGGGAGTACAGGGGTGAGCCACCGCACCCGGCCCTCAAATGCCATTTTATATCAGAGACTTGAGCATCTTTGTATGTCATTTTATATCAGGGACTTGAGCATCCTCAGATTTTGGTATCCACAGGGCAGGGGAGGGAGGGTGGTCTTGGAACCAATCCTCTGAGGATACCGTGGAATGAGTGTATATGGCCACCTTACTTAAACTACACCAAGCAGTCTTAGCTTTGTACCAACCAAGGTGGCTTGGCACACATTCTTGTTCTTGGGATCATAGCTAAAGGAGAAAATCAATGGCCAGACACAAAGGGACAGTGAAGCACCTGTAGCAGGGCTGGAAATTCTACTCACAGAACTTATTTATGCAGGGAAAATGTAGTTTCTTTATTTTGTCGATTTAACTTAATATCCCTTAAGAGCTGCCGCCCACTGGGTAGAAGGAGGGAAAAATTAAATAAATGTCCACTCTGGTTTAAGCCTTAGCCCAATCCAATAACTTAAATAGTCCCTTTAGGTAGAACTCAATTTTTTCAGGAAAGATTCTCCATGCCTAAGATTTCTGTCTTCTGTTCCTCGCACTGGCTTCTCTCCAGAATTGTATGTCATTGTATGGGGAAGGGCAGGAACTCAAATTTGTGCACTCAGGACCTTGGCAATTTGCTGCCCCAGCCTGGCCCAGCACAGCCTGAAGTGAGAAAGCAAAGAAGGAAATACTTCCAACTCGGCTTGTCCTGTTGCTATGTCCCTTCCCCGCTCTCCACTCCTAGGAACCCTATGTCATTCTTTCCCTTTCAACACAGCACAAACCTTATGTCCTATTGGGAAAGGGGATTGGCTCTTCTGCATATAAAGACTCTTCAAGCTGGTCCACCAGGCTTAGTTTCTGAATCTTAAAGGAACTTAGCAAAGTCTCTCTCTGTTTTGTTTTCAAGCTTTTTGTTTGTGTGTGTGTTTGCTAAAGAGAACAAGTACCCGTCCCCTCCCGAGGGAGGGAAAGCTCACACCCCATTGTGGAGGTGAGAGGTTGTGATGAAAGGTGACCTAAGAAGGAAGCTGAAGTGGACCAGTTTCATATTAGTAGTCTATTGTCATGGACCTGTTCATATCAGTAGTCTATTGTCCTTACACAGGTCTTGAAATGTCCTGTTCATTGATTCGCTGACTCCTTTACCAATATGATTCTACCCTTTCATTTTTGTGTGCCTATTCACTATTCATTTACTCACCTACTCACGATTTACTCATTTCTATGTATTTATTTACTCATTAATTTAAGTAATTTTGAAAACCATTTCTCCCTACAAGCCTACTAGAGGCTGAGCATTGTTCTAGGTGGAGGGATTCAAAGATGACTAAAGTCAGGTGTGGTGGCATGTGCCTGGAGTCCCAGCCTACACCAGAGGCTGAGATAGGAGAATTGCTTGAGCTCAGGTGTTCAAGACTAGCCTGAACAATATAGTGAAACCCTGTCTCTAAAAAAAAAAAATGATGACTAAGAAAAGCTTGGAGTCTAATGCAAGTTCAGGAATAAACCAGAGATCAGCTCTATGCATCTCCACCTCTAAAGGGGAAACAACTGCATAATTCATTTAGTACAAGTCGATTCACTCTAAAATGCCCTCACAGAGCTCACCGTGTAAAACTAATTTGCAATGGTTTGCTTTATTAAGTGGGGATAGCATCTCTTTGCTATGTTAATTTCTTCTGACTTTTTGGAGTGGGTGAGATTTGGACATATCATTTTCTGAGCATGACGGTCCTCTGTCTTTAGCATCATAGGGCTGACTATGAGGTTCCTGGGCTTCTGAGCAGAAGCAGCAGAAGGACCCTGGCTGGTAAGGCCTGCTGGGTTCTTTGAGACAGTTTAAGCACTGAATGGGCCCAGCTGAAGTTGGCTGTGGAAGGCATTGGTCCTCCCAGGTAATAAGGAAGGACAGCATAATTTACCTTCTCCCAGCTTCTGTGATCTCACAATGCTGTCCAGCTTCAACATAGCTGATCAAGGGGCCTGAGATAATAGCAGGCAGGTTTTGAAACCAGTAGACTTGACTTTAAAGGTTCTGCTGCTTCCAAGTTAGGCCTTAGGCTGGTTAGCTGCTCAGAGCCATGGTTCCTCATTTGTGAAATGGGTTCATAATAATTGCAGCAGCAGCAGCAGTAGCTACTGATATGGTTGTAAGGATTAATTGAGTCCATGGAAGGGTAAAGACTCTGTAAAATTTAAGCTGTGACACAGATGTTGGTTTTTATTATTATTCAGCCTCAATCTTCCAAGGAAATGGGGTCAGAGAGCTCCACAGACCTTGAGGGGACAGAGAGGAGAAATGGGGAACAGTCTAGCCTGGTCTTTTCCCTGTTTAGCACTGGGAATAAAGATAAGGTCCCAAATCCAATTTACTCAGAGCTCTGTGGTAGGAGGACTCAGAGATGTGAAAGACAAAGTCCCCAACACCGAGGAGCTTCAGAGGCTCCTGGGCTACTTGGCATAAAGGAACTCTGCTCCCAATGAAGGAGGGAGGGTGCGTGGGAAGGGACCATGGCTTAAGCAAAGAACAGTGAATGTTTATTTACCCTTGCCTGTGATGTTACAAACTTGCAATTCTAACAACTAGAAATGTTGTTGAAGTCATGCAGTGTTTTCTAACTCATGAGTGTGGCACCATCTCCTGAGAATCCGCCCTGGGACTGAGCAGCGGTGGGCAGCTGTTTGCCATCCACAGAGCCTAGGGCAGCCTGGCACAAGCAGGTGTGGGATGGTGGAGGCTGGGGAAGTTGGCTGTAGAAAGCAAGGGGCACCTTCCTCCCTGGTGCTCCCAGGAGGACCAGGGCCACCAGCTTAAGCCCTCTGCTGTCCCTACTGTATGGGCTCCTGTGAGGGGTGGATGGCATGGCCCATGCTGGGCATTCTGGAGACTGCTCAGTGCTGTACCTGAGGGAGAAGATGATGAAAAAGAGGCAGAGGGAAGATGAAAGATTCCCATAGGGAAGCTCAGCTGCTGCAACTTAGGCTCTGCGGTCTGGAGGCATAGCTCTGGTCACCCTCTAAGAGGGTACGATGAGTCTCAAAAATGGTGACATGGAATGCTCCCAGCAGAGATCTTTGTGTATGATGCCGTGCACACACACAATTGCACACAAACGATATCCATGCATGTTTGATGCACACACATAGAAACAGAAACAGGCAGGCGCACGACTGCCTGTAGAAAGCAGAGATGAGTGCTAACAGGGATCAGAGGAGGCGGCGAAACAGAGGAGGGACACTTAGCAACATGCCTAGTGGCCTTGGAGCTCATGGAGGGCTGAGAACAGGTAAGGCAACACCATCAGTCTCACTGCTCTGTCCAGGTTCAGGCAGAGGCTGGGGTTGCAGGGACCGGGCAGTGGTCATAACAGGAGAGAGAGGCTGCCCTGGGCTGTAGAGCTTGGAGTAAAGGGGAGCAGGTGAGTGGTTTCAGGTGAAGGAGTGGACAAAAGTGGGAGGGGCCTGAGCATGGGAATGTCAGGAGTGTCCCCTGCATGGGAGCAGAGAGCAAGGAGGGGCTCTGAGAAGAGGTACACTCTTGGGGACCTGGAAGATGGAGCAGGAGGAGAGCAGGGAGACCTACTTGCAGACTCCATATCAGAAAGTCCACAGGCCATGAGGGAACCCTCAAGGGTGTAGGGTCAGCCATCATCAACACTTTGGTCATTGGCACAAGCTGAGCTGAGAATGGAGGCAGCCTCTCGGGCAGCAGATCTTCTGAGAAGATGTCCTGGGCTGAGGGGTACTTTGGGTTTTGAGCCTCATCTTAAGGGAAAACTCGGGATTGACAGGTGGAGGCAGAGTCTGAGACTAGAACTGACCACTGCCACAGCAGCAGTTCTGCGGGGTGTGTGTGTGTGTGTGTGTGTGTGTGTGTGTGTGTGTGTGTCTTACGTCTGTGTGTGGACACATGAGCACCTCAAGACAGAATTGTGAGTAAAATGTCAATTTCCCATCTGGCTGAACTGCCAGAAAGCTGTTTAAGGGAGGAGGCAGTGATGGATGACAAACACACTGAACATTGAGTCCTTACTATGTGCAGGGCACTGTTCTAAGCTCTTTAGATGTATTAACACTTTCACCCTCACAGTGCCCCTCTCCGTAAGCTACAGACACAGGTATATGGATGGGCACATAGATACACAGCAACACTAACACACCTGGGTTCACAGTTGTATATTTGTACACAGAAATACACAGCTGCATAGACACAAATGTAAACACACATGCAGGTGTATTTAACATGGATGCAAACCAACACACACACGTAGAGACGTGCATAGACACCTTGTGTCTTCAGGGGGCAGGTATGGGATTAGGGGAAGGCATTTAGAAAAGTTGTGTGGACAGCAACAAAGATAATGTGGCTACCTTCATAGGCTTTGCAGGCCTGAGCACATGCAATTTTTTAGAGAAGGAAAAAGAGGCTCAGAGATGTGATTTGCCCAAGGTCACACAGCCACTAAAACACAGATCTGGGACTCGGGAGGCAGTCAGGCTCCTGAAGCTCCTGTCTCCCACACTCATCAGAAAGGCTGTGAAGGCTGCCTAAGAGGGGCTTCCTGTGTGATGTGAGTCCTGCTTCTCCTGGCCTGGTTCCAGCTGGCCTCAGACAGCCCATGGGTCTGGTCAGCAATGTGATGGGACAAACTCAGTCCTGTCTGGGAACTGAGCTGAGTAGCTGATGCCTTCTGGCAGGAAACCCCTTGCCTGGCCATACTGAGCCTCTGTTTCTCCCCAGGGCCTGTACCCACAGCAGGCAGCGAGGATGCCCTATCAGCAGGCTTTGCACCCGCAGCTGGGATGTTACTCCCAACAGGTGAGTAGACGATCTCTCCTCCTCTGTCCTGGGTCCATGAAGGCCTTTGGGTCAGAGGGTGCATCTGCTCCCTCCTCCTTTTCCAGCTGGTGACCAGACACCTGGCCCACCATTGGCTCTGGAGTACAGACTCACATACCGGCATGCGTGTGGAAAACACAAACCGATGTCCGTATGTGACAACACTGGGCACTTAATGGAGCCCTTCCTGTGTGCTGGGCCTGTCCGTAAGGACTGTGTCTGCACTAACTAATTTAGCCTTCAAAATTACCCTGTGAGGTAGGTTATAGATGAGGAAACCCAAGCACAGAGAGATTAAGTAAGTAACTTGCCCAAAGTAATAAAGTTACTTGGGAACATACAAATTAGGTGTTGCTGTGGCAATACATAACCGCCACATCTCGGGGACTTTCAACAATGAATATTAATTTCTTGCTCGGGTCTATGGGCTGGCTGAGCTGGGCTGTGGATCAGGTTTAGGTGGGTTCCATGTGCCTCTCCTGGGCCTCTGCTGAAGATTCAGTACCTCTTGCTCTTTCCACGGTGGATGGCAAGAGCCCAACAGGGCAAGCAGAAACACGTGATGCCTCTGAAATCCTCAACTCAGACCTGTCCGTGGGAACTTCCACCCACCTTCCACTGGCCAACGCAAACGACATGGCTTTGCTCAGCATCAGTGAGACTGAGGAGTCATATTCTTCCCACGCAGGGTTGCCAGTTAAAATCCAGGACACCCAGTTAAATTTGAATTTCAGATAAACAAGGAAAAAATGTGTAGTGTAAGTATGTCCCAAATATTGCACAGGATATACTTATGCTAAAAATATGTATTAGTTATCTGAAATTTGAACGTAACTGGGTGTCCTGTATTTTTATTTGCTAAATCTGGCAACACTACTTTCATGGGTAGGTCAGGATAAATATCTGTGGGACAATAATTGAGGTTTGACCTTTGGCAGGCTGGTACTCCAATGACCATGCTTTACTACATCTTGTACCTAGATGCACAATAATACTGCCTGAAAATAAAGCAGCAGAAAGAGAAATGCAAACACACACACACACACACACACACACACACACACATGCAGACAGAAACACAGGTATAGTTGTACACATGCCACCAAGCTGCAGGAGCCTGTGTGCAGGCACAGGGACACAAATAGATACAGAAGCACATTGAGGGGTATTGAGTCTTGGGGCAGGGATGGGGGTGTGAGGAAAGGAGCTTAGAATGGAGGAGCAGAGGGCACCAACACCCAGCCTGCCATAGCACCAGGCTGGCCTTGCTCCTCCACACAAATGTGGACACCCCCACACTCCAACTCATACAACCTCTGCCTCTCCTGTCTCCCCAGGGAGCCCCACCCTCCGTGCAAACCGCACCTCTGACCTGAAATGTGTTAGAATGTTCGGGAGGGTAGGGAAGAGCCTGCAGGGGTAGGGAGCCTTGTTACCTGGGCCAGCACTGATTTCTCAGCAGCAGGAACCCTTGCATCCTGAGATGAATCTGGGATGAGAGATGATCTGGGTCAGGGAATCTCAGCCCCATTGCCTCCACCCCTTGAACAAGAATATCGTCCACCTGGCTCCAGAGAGAATATTTTTAAATAATTATGTGTATGTGTATGCATGCATGCATGTGTATGTATTTGAAAAAAGTAATATAAAAACATGGTAAAAAATTTTAAAACTTGGAGGCAATCACTGTTTAATGGTTTTTTACATATTTTCCCGGCAATATCTATTTATATAAACATTTTTAAATAAATGCGGCATTCTGGGCACACTGTTCCATTGCTTTTGTCAGTGAGGATTATATTTGGAGATGGCTCCAGAGCAGGCTACAAAGCTCTACTTTATAGTTTCATCAGATACATGGAATCAGGGGCACATTTTTTTATAACACTGTGTGAACTCTAGGACCTGCCTCCTCCACTTCAATCCCCTCCCAGGTCCAGGCACTTCCTCCCCCATGAGGACAGGGGTACTTTCTGCCATGCTGACCCATAGGGTCATGACTCCCATCTGACCTGCGAGGTGCTCTTGGCATGTTCTGACCTTTAGCTCATCACCTTGGGATTTGGTGCCTGCGCCCAGCATCACCAGGCCCCACATCTCCACTGGAGAACATTGGGGAAGACCGGGAGGGAGGACTCAGGTTTCCAAAGAGGACACAGCATAGAGAGGCTAGTGAGAACCAAGGTATAGGCTCCGGGCTTACCCTGCTGGGGTTCTGACCACAACTCAGACGCTGGAAACACTGAGAAAGTTGCTTCACTTCTCTGAACCTCAGATTTCCTGCTTCCAAACTGGAAATAATAATGGCCCTACCTCACAGGGCTTTCTGGAGTTTTAACGACAGCATCCATGTGAAGGGCCGGGCACATTTTAAGCAGTCAATGAGTGCTAGCCTTTGTGGATTGTTTTTTTTTTTTTAGACGGAGTCTCGCTCTGTTGCCCAGGCTGGAGTGCAGTGGCACAATCTTGGCTCACTGCAACCTCCACCTCCTAGGTTCAAGCAATTCTCCTGCCTCAGCCTCCCGAGTAGCTGGGACTACAGGCATGTACCACCACGCCTGACTAATTGTTGTATTTTTGGTAGAGACAGGGTTTCACCATATTGGCCAGGCTGGTCTCAAACTCCTGACCTTGTGATCCACCCACCTCGTCCTCCCAAAGTGCTCGGTTACAGGCGTGAGCCAACGCACCCAGCCCCCTTTGTGGATTTTTTTTTTTAGATAAGGGTGTATGGGGTGAGAGAGGGCTGTCAGAGTGCCTGATTCCTGAGCACTTGGACCCCAGACTTGCTATTAAAGTGGAAATCCAGAAGTTTCTTCAAATTCTAACTGATACTCCCCTCAGTACACAAGAGGATAGACATCAGCTCCGTATGAGAAAAGGTTTTCTCATATTTGGAGCTGTCAGTAGTGGAATGTAGTGCTCATTAGGTAACGAGCCCCCCATCATTTAGGTATTCAAGCAGATGCCTTAGTGGTCTTTTCTTTCCTCCCTCCTTCCTTCTGCCCGTCTTTGCTTTCCTCTCTCTCCCTTTCTTGCATTCATTCATTTAACATATGTTTGTTAAGCAGTGACTGTGTCCCAGGCACTGTCTTAGGGCTGGGGAGATAGTGGTCAACAAGATGGATGAGGTCTCTGACTTGTCGCGGCAAGATGGTGGGAGCCCCAGTTCTAGGTCGGAGTTCATCACGGGCAATCTCGGAAGCACCACTGAATTCCTGTATTTCCCTAGAGTTTGTGCTCAACCCCATTGCCTTTTTTTGCCCTTCCTCCTAGACTCACACTGTCTACTATGGCAGCCACCAGCTATGTGTGGCTATTTAAATTAGCTAAAATTAAGTATAATTCAAAACTCAGTTCCTCATGCCCATGAGCCACATTTCAAATGCTCAATTGTCGTGTGTGGCCGGTGGCTTCCATGTCACACGGCACAGATGTAGGACATTGCTGCCATCCCAGGACTTTCCACTGGGTAGGGCTGTCTCGGACTTGCAATCTGTTGAAAGGCTCTCAAGAGAGATAGAAGCCAGAGCTGTGTAAATCACAACAGCTTTTTGGGGATAATGAAAGCCTTAAAAATAAACAAGGAGCTTTTGAGATGGTTATTGACAGAGGGAAAAGCTAGGCAAACAGGGAAGAGAATGGAAATAATATTGATTTGCTATTTACTATATGCCTGTCTCTCTACTTGTATCACCTGACTCTATCCCCACTAACAACGTAGATAGTGTTTTCCCATTTTGCAGATGGGGAAACTGAGGCTCAGATAAATTAGGTAACTTGCCAGGCTCACTACATAAGTTGAGCCCTAGGCTTTCTCCATTCCAACATGTTGCCTTCTGTGTACCCAGCAGTGACTGAGGAGCACAGGGGCTGAGACTGGGGGTGGGTGGCTGGGGTTAGAGTTGGGCTGGGGAATGGTGACCTCACCCCTCTCTTCTCTGTGATGTGCAGGTGATGCCATACAACCCACAGCAGATGGGACAGCAGATCTTCCGCTCTTCCTACACCCCTCTGCTGAGCTACATCCCTTTTGTCCAGCCCAATTATCCCTACCCTCAGAGGACACCTCCAAAGATGTCTGCCAACCCCCGAGACCCTCCCCTAATGGCAGGAGATGGACCGCAGTACCTCTTTCCCCAAGGATATGGGTGAGTCAGCCCACACTGGGAGCCTAAGGGTATCCAGAAAGCTGGTGGGAACGGGGGCAAGTTGGGTGGGCTTACCAGCGCTTTCTTAGTATGTGTGTTCCATGGCTGTGGGGTGGGATGGGCCCTGTACCTGTGGCTGGTGGTTGTGTGGGTCCTGGAGGGACCTGGTGCAGAGATGAAGAGGGTCTGGGGCCTGGTGGGCCCCTTTTGTAGGTGCATTTCAGGTCTGGTTGCAGAAATGCAACTGCACGGTCCATAACATATGGATACCCCTACTCCATAGGCAGGGGCAGTTGGTGCAACGATGCATTTGCCTTTACCCATGTGCTTGGTTACAACAGGACATGGCCAGCTAATCTCCTTAGAGCTCTCACCTCCCACTGTCCGCACCCTGATCTCCTTGCAAGGCTAATCTCCCCAACATCCCATTGACTTTGTGATGGGCCCTGCGGAAGAGCCTTCGACTGCTTATCAGGGCTGCCCACACTTTTCCACCAAGTTCCCCAAACTGCAGAGGCAAGGAGCTCCTACTTCCTGGGACAGTCTGAAGGCTTAACAGCAAACAGCCAGCACAAACTCAACATTCTGGCTGAAAATTCTACTCAAATTGTGCATGCTGTTGAGTCATAAATTTGTGTTTGTTTTAATATAATAATACATAGCCATTCATTCCCACCCACCAAATCTTCCACTAATATGGATGCTCCAAGGGGCACGTGGTGCCCTGTCATTCCTGGGAATCCCAGTCTCCCGGGCACACCCTGGGGAATGGGTGCCTGGGTTTGAGAAACTCACTTTATAGGATTAAGGCCAACCTTCCCAGCCTGACAGTGATTCCCATCCTTCCACCTCCCCATCACAGAACCTTCCCTGCAGTGCCGACCCATGTCCCCAAACTCTCATCCTTTCAATCAGTATTTTCTCCAAATAGCTTGTTGAAAGGGATAAATGCAGCAAGTGGTTTCAGTAGTCAGATCTGTTTGGGAAAAGCTGTGGGAAACAGAGATAAACAGATTTCTTAACTGTTGGAATTCTCAGATCATTTAATTTCCTAGGGTGCACGGAGAATGTTCAAGAAGGTGGTCGATAGTATTATTTAAACATGAAATCCACACCCTTTTCTTTTTTTATTTTATTATTATTATTTTTTTGAGATGGAGTTTCACCCTTGTTGTCCAGGCTGGAGTGCAATGGCGTGATCTCGGCTCACTGCAATCTCCGCCTCCCAGGTTCAAGCGATTATCTCACCTCAGCCTTCCGAGTAGCTGGGATTACAGACGTCCACCACCACACCCAGCTAATTTTTGTATTTTTAGTAGAGACGGGGTTTCACCATGTTGGCCAGGCTGGTCTCAAACTCCTGACCTCAGGTCATCTGCCTGCCTCAGCCTCCCAAAGTGCTGGGATTACAGCCATGAGCCACCGTGCCCAGCATCCACATCCTTTTAAAAAAAATATTCCTTCCTTCCTTCCTTCCTTCTTTCCTCCCTCCCTCCCTCTTTTCCTCTCTCCCTCCCTTTCTCTTCCTTTCTCTTGTAGAGTATATCATGGTGTGTTCTACCTAACACACCCAGGGAAACGCTGTGTTGACACATGTAGTTAATTTGAATTTAGCCTGCAGGGGACCTATAGATGAATAGGACATGCTTCTTCCCTTCAGAGAACTGAGAGCAGATGAAATGTGGGCACAACAATGTTAGTGCCCTGGCAAAGTGAAAACCATCAAAGTGGCCCGAGGACAAAGGCAGAATCCCTGCAGCGGGGGAGGTTCCAGTGAGCAGCACTGGGAGGAGGGCATTCCAGGCAGGAGGAGCAAGGCCCTCAGATGGGAAAGCAAGTGGCAAGCTGGAGGCCTGGGGAATAAAGGAGTCTGGCTGAAGAATTAGATTTGTCTCTGAAAAAGGTGGAAAATAGGATTGGAAAAGGGAGGTTGAGACTAGATTATGAAAGGCTTTGGACTGCTAGGCCTGGGGATCCAGGGAAGATTTATGCACATCAGAGTGAATTGATGGGCTGGAAGTAAGAGAAAGAGGAAGCAGGATAGGGTGGGGTCTAGAGGTGGCTCTAGGGGCCTATGGGACAGATTATCATCCCCTGGAGGTGAGAATAGAGACCCAGACAAGCCCCCTGCAGGTTGGCCAACTTCCCACATTCTGTGCTGTGACTCTGGGCTCTGGGAAGATAGACTTGCTGTAGGAGATAGCCCTGGCTGTGTCTGGGAGGGAGGGTGGTCTCAATGTCTCCTCAGTCAGCTTTCGGGAACCACCGACTGGGAGCTGTGAGACCAGAAGGTTGAGACTTGGTCTCCACATGTCTGCAGAGGTCGGAGGAGTGGGTAGGCAGCCCGAGGAAGGAGCAGCCTGAGAAGTGAGAGACAGCCTGGGGAAAGCCAGAGACAGTGGAGGCAAAGAGGAGGGTGAGGAGAAGGAGCAGGGTGGATTGGCGTTCTGAGAGGCTGGGGAGACCAGGACCATGAGGTCGGAAAAATAATGTAAGGGATGCAAGCCTGAGTACCCAGAGGGGATGATCTGTTCATTCAAAAAATATTGATCCAGCACCTTGTATGTGCCTGGCACTGTTGTAGACACCAGGGATAATGAAGTGAACGAAAAAAAGGTTTTCCTTCTCCTAAGGAGCTTTCATTCTAGAAGGAGAAATGGACAATAAGGAGATAAACAGGCAAGCATGCAAGGCCAGGTCCTCAGGATATGGGTTGGGGTGGGGAGAAGAATCAAGGGCAGCCTCTTGAGCCAAGATCTAAATGAGATGAGAGAATGAACCACACATACATTTCGGGGATGAGCCTCTGGGCAGAAATAATAGAAAGTGCAAGGGCTCTGAGGTGGGAACCTGTGGCTGCAGCACAAACAGTGAGGGAGGGAGTGCATGGAATTAAAATAAGAGGTAGCCAGGGCCAGACTAGACAGGGCCTGGTAGGCATGGCTAGAAGTCTTGTTTCAGGAGCAGTGGAAAACCATGTAGGCTTTTAAATTGATGAGGACATGTTCTAATCTTCTATATAAAACAGATCACATTGGTCAATGTCTGAAGAATGGACTATGAGGGTAAGAGCTGAGGCAGGGGAGTAGGCTAGAGCTTTATAGTTGAGCAAGAGGCATTGGTGGGATGGATAAAGGCAGTGACCCTGGGAAAGGGGGCAGGTGAAAAGATCTGTGATGTGTTATTTTCTTGGTAGAATTGGTGGGACGTGATGATGGTTGAATGTGTGATGAGGGAAAGGGAAAAGTCAAACAAATTCCTTGGTTTTTGACTTGTGCAACTGGAGCAGCAGCAATGCCAAAACACTAAGGTCATTGGGCCAGGCACAGTGGCTCACGCCTGTAATCCCAGCACTTTCGGAGACCGAGGTGGGTGGATCACTTGAGGTCAGGAGTTCGAGACCAGCCTGGCCAAGATGGTAAAACCCCATCTCTACTAAAAATACACAAATTAGCTGGGCATAATCGTGGGTGCCTATAATCCCAGCTACTCGGGAGGCTGAGGCAGGAGAATTGCTTGAACCAGGGAGGCGGAGGTTGCAGTGAGCCGAGATCATGCCATTGTATTCCAGCCTGGGTGACAGAGCACAACTCCATCTCAAAAACAAAACAAAATAAAACAAACAAACAAACAAAAAACAAAAAATGACCAAGGTCATGATGACCACAGCAAGGATCTGTTTACCAAGAGTCAGTCTTAGACATGTGAAAATTGAGAAAGTCATTAGACAGATGGGTGGAGCTATGGATAGGTAGGTGCATATAGGAGTCTGGAACTCAGGGGAGAGGTTGGGGCTGGTAATACGTTTGGGAGCCATTCTCATATACATGATATTTCAAGGCAAGGGATGGGATGGGATGAGATGGCCCAAAATACACAAGTATAGAGAAGAGAAGAGATCCAAGGGCTGAGCCTTGAGACTTCCAGCATGTAGAGGCTGCGGAGATGTGGAGGAACCAGCAAAGATTCTGTGAATAAGTAGGACTATCTAGTGAGGTGGGGAAAAAAATGGGAAAGTGGAGTGCAGGAAGCCAAGTGAAGAAAGTGTTTCCTGAACAAAGTGCTGGTGTTGGGGTGGTGACGCGAGGTGCTGATGGAACAAGATCAAGGTGAGGCTGCACCTGGCTGGGGAGTATGCATGGGCCTAAGCAGAGAGTTCAGCATGGAAGACAAGGAAGGTCAGCAGAAAAGGTGGAATCAAGAGACAAAACTGTGTGAAGGGGAGAGGAAGGAGTGAGAGGCTTCCATGTCCTCAGGGAAGGAGAAGTAGAGCCCTCCCCTCTGCCAAGTCAATTTGCACACATTCATCATGGTGGAATAACCATACAATTTATCTTCCAAGCAATAATAAATTTGAGAGTTAAAAGGAGTACAGATAATAATTATATCAGGCCAGACACGGTGGCTCACAACTGTATTCCCAGCACTTTGGGAGGCCAAGGCAGGTGGATCACCTGAGGTCAGGAGTTTGAGACCAGCCTGGCCAACACAGTGAAACCCCATCTCTACCAAAAATACAAAAAATTAGCCAGGTGTGATGGTGCACACATGTAGTCCCAACTACTGGGGAGAATGAGGCACAGGAATCGCTTGGACCTGGGAAGCAGAGATTGCGGTGAGTCAAGATCATGCCACTGCACTCCAGCCTGGGTGACAGAGTAAGACTCTGTTTCAAATAAATGAAACTATAAAATAATTATACCAGAAATACCAACATAGAGGCCGGCCCAGGCAAACCAGGACATATGTTCGTCCTACTCAACAGGCAACTCAAGCTCCTCCTCCTCCAGGAAGCATTACTTGTTAACTCTCGTCCACACAGATTGCTCCTCTTCCTGGCCCTCTAGCGTACATACTGTCTAGATCATGCCGGTGGCCGTTGATCTGATCAGAAGTTCTCAACCTGGAGGACCTAGCTGCATGTGTGCCAATCAGATATGAGCTGTGTCATGATCATTGTTGATTACTGATAATTGTTAAATACTGAAGTATGGGTTACAGCCTTTATTTTGTAAGTCAGAGTGGAAGGCAGGGTATCCCTATAATAACATCATTATGATTTCTGAATGATCCCAATATGATTTCTGAAAGAGAGAAACAGAGGTGGGGTTACCGCTGGCATGGATTGCTTATGAGGGACCCACATTGTGTCAGGCCCTGGGCACATGATATGAAATAGGTAAAGTCTCTGCTCTCTTGGCACTTATTTTAGTGAGAAGCTAGTGAGACAACCCAGCCCAACTTGCCCATGGAGACTCAGTGAGCAAGAGACAGAGTTAGCTGCTGAGGCACTACAAATGAATGCCGTGGTCTATTTCCATTGCTTCTTCCCTCCTCTGCTCCCGCTTTTTGTTTCATCAATTCATAGAAGGGTACCATGAATGTGAATCTCTTCTATAATATGCATCTGCCCAGCTGAAAAGTGATTGAGAATCCCAGGATTAGATTAAATCTAGCCATTTGCTCTATTGTAATTTGTATTGAGTTCTGTTCCCATTCATTCAAAGTATCTGAGCAGATGGGTGAAGAAATTACAGTAGGATTCCAGCAGTGTGAGTAAATGATTCCATCTGGAGAGGTCAGGGAAGTCTTCACAGAGGAGATGGCTTTTGAACTCTATTTTGAAGTATGGATAGGAGTGTGCCAGGGAGAAAAGGAGAGGCGTGTGCATTTCTGCTCTTAGACGGTGAGGCTCACGTCTTAACCCTTCCTTCCCTGAGGGTCTAGCAAAGCCCTAGGCACTCAGTGATGTCTCAATGCTTATTTCTGAGTCAGGGATGGAGTGAAGGGCCTGATTTAGCTTAGTGCTGGAAGGGGAGGAGGGACTCTGGGATTGTCCAGCCCCAAAGACCTTATGCTGGACTTGCCTCTAAGTTCTCTGATGTTGTAGATTTTCCTGAGGGACATGTCTGGTCCTCTAAGGCAGGTAGAGTGGTCACAGGAATACAGGTAAGATGCTTAGGTCCAGAGAGGGTCCCTGTTCTATGGGTCTTGGGCAGGGAGAGAGTGTAGGCTCCATTGAAACAATCTTTACAGGCTCCCAGGGACTTCCTGATCCAAGTAAGCATAAGGAGAAGCGCTTGATTGTCCTCTAATTGTATTATTTTAATATTTTACTTTCCCAGGGCCAAAGCCTTTCTTATGCCAAAGCCTTTACCCTCCAAGCCTGTCATGGTCTTCACTGTTTCTGACAACCATAAAATTAATATATATATTTTTCTAATTCTCTCCGATAACATTAGGAATCTCATCATGGCATCCACCCTCCCTCTCTTCCAGGTTCGGCTCGACATCCGGAGGGCCCTTGATGCACAGCCCCTATTTTTCTTCCAGTGGGAATGGCATAAACTTTTAGATCTCCTCTTCTCCCTTCTCCTCCCTTAGCCCTTGGATCAGGACTAGGGGCTCTGATTTTTGGATTCTGCAAAAGCTTGGTATGAAGTTTGGAAAAGCAAGGTTCTGACCAGGTCACAGACAAAACAGCAAGACCAGATTCATCTATTGGCCAACACTGACACAAAAATAGCCCTCCTCACACATGGCACAAGCTACACACACACACACACACATGACCCTCATATTCATACTTGCTTGCTCAACCACTTATGCATCTATATTTAGCTAACATGAGTGATTTTTGTTTTTGTTTTTGTTGGTAAAATAGAAGTAAGACACTTAATTTTAGAAAGTTTGTATTTTATGATAAAAGTATGAGCTACTTGAAATGGAGTGTGCCTGTTTATTTTTGTGGTGTTCTGTGTAATCTTTACCTCTCATTTTCCCCACGAGACTCAGCGTTTACTCAGGGCATGAAAGGAGACCACAGGCTGGAGTCCTCAGAGTGCTGCTATCTAAATATTGGACCTCAGGGATCATAAGTGAGAGGGCTTATCTCTTTTCCCCTGTGATCCACTCACCTCTCAACATCCCAGTGTATGCATCTCAGGAAGGGACATCATAAACGGAATGCACTCTGTCCTATCCCGAGTGGAAGTTTTCCATAAAAAGTCTCTTTTGGACAAACGATTGGGAAATGTAGCCTGGAAAACAATTTCAAAATTGATGCTAAATGTGGCAGACTATATCCAATGATTGTACATCAGTACCAAGATAGAGGTCAATGTCAAAACTGCACCTAATGGTGGCATCCTTAGACCTGTCTTGTTCAACTCTTACCAATGACTCGAATAAGGACATTGAGAGCAACTTGATCACATTGATGGAGGACATGAGTCTGGGAAGAGGAGACAGCCTGGATTTGTGACAGCACACATTCTTTAACTCTTCTGTTGCACCCCCTTGGCAGACATCGCTAATCAGCTCTGTCATTCTATCCCCATGAGTTTGGAGAAAGCCACAGAGTCATTCTTCCTGTGGTGCCCCAGGCAGCTGTCACTGATCAGAGTTGGTCTATGAAATGAAACCCATGTGGCATGCTCTCACAGTGTAACCCCATCG
Source organism: Homo sapiens (assembly GCF_000001405.40). Classification (NCBI taxonomy): domain Eukaryota; kingdom Metazoa; phylum Chordata; class Mammalia; order Primates; family Hominidae; genus Homo; species Homo sapiens. The sequence continues at coordinate 34,219,865 of NC_000001.11, forward strand.
GCCTCACTGGTCTTTCTTTCTGGGTCCCTGGAAACCAATTTCTCTCCCAAGTTCCCTCAAGACTTATGCCTTCTTACATTCTTCATGGCCTAAGTCTAGGATTCCCTGGAAGTCCTTCAACTCCCTTCCCCAATGCTGGACCCTACTTTGGGCATTTCTTGTTTCTTCTTGATAGCCTTGGTTAACAGTCTGTCCCAAAGGTCTTTCTTATATTGTACTTCTAGGTATTGATCCAGGCTAGACTATAATTTGCCACCCTCCCTTGATCTCAGCATTTTGGGAAACAGGAGACAGTAAAAGAAAAATTATGGGTTTGCCTTTGGCCAGACTTGGCTTCTTAGCTGCTTTCCAACTATGACTTAGGGCACAGAACTTAACTTCTCTGAACCTCTTTTCCATGATTGGCCATATTAAGAGTTGTGAGGATTAAAAGATAATGCAGACTTAATATAAACTTTGAATTTTGAGGATTAAAAGATAATGTAGACTTAATATAAACTTTGTCTATTTAACATAGACTTGTGGCTTTAAGATGGTGGAGTAAAGATGTTTCTTTTCCTCTTCTCTTGAAACTTACCCCCAAATAACAAGGAGAACAAGTAAACCTGTATGAACTCTATCCTCAATAAAACTCGGAGAAGTTGGCAATCCCATCCCATATACAAAAGCAGAAATGGGATGGAGGAAAGGTAAATTCCTTAGCAGAACAGAGGAAGATCACATGGAAATGCCTGCCAAAGGAAATATCAACAAGAAGCTAGCCATTTCTCCTGCAGAGCCCTGATGGTCCTGGAATTGGAGGTGCCAGGTGCTAGACTCCATGGAAGGTGGGGCTAGGAAGAGGTGAAAGCAACCTGGCCCCACAAAGCCAAAGGCCATGGCCAGTTCTGTAGGAGACAGGAGGCATTTTCTCAGGAGAAAGGTACAGACCATGCATAAGGACTGTGGAGATGAGGCCCCAGATGGAAAATTGGAATCAAGTGAAATACACATACACTCCTCAATGCCAGCAGCTAGGCTTTAACCAAGAAGCAGAGGTTTGGAAGGTCCTCTAGGGAAGCTGAATTTCCCCAAGGCGTTTGGAGGTACCAGTGAAAATTACCCTATGATTAATGTCCTTTTACAAAGAGCTTCCAATAAACTTTTTAGAGCAGTCTCCACCAAGAAGGAAATAAATCAAAGATAAGAAGGAACTAAGGAGAGACAGACCATAATAGTCTAAGGGAGATAAGGTAGTACATTTTAAAAATAAGGACAATATGCCATATGCTTATTTTTAAAAATCAGAACAAGAAAGTGTTTTTGGAAATTAAAACAATGATAGCTGATGTAATTTTTTAAGTGAAAGGGCTGGAAGTTAACATCAGAGAGATCTCATGAAAGGAGAATAAAGACATAAGGGTGGGTTATAGGAGATAAAAGATAAGCAAATGAGAGGACCAGTCCAGGAGAACCAATATCTGGCTAAGGGACATTCTAGGCAACAGAGTGAAAATCAAGGGGATGGAAATACTAATGAAAAAAATAAAAGAAAATCCCCCAGATTGAAAGGCCCAAACAAGTGCTCAGCAAAGTGAAAGAAGAAGATGTACATTGAAGACTATCCCTATGAAATTTCAGAAGAGCAAGGATAAAGACAAGATTCTAAAATTTCCCAAAAAACCAACTGACATACAAATGCTCAAGAACCAAAATGGCATCAGAGTTCTCAACAGTAACACTGGCACCTAGAACATCCTGAAACAAAGGCAACAGAACTTCGAGTGGAAATAATTTTCGACCAAGAATTCTAAATCCAAACTCTGCCCTGTGAAGGTAGAATAAGATGTTTTCAGATATGAAAAGTCTCAAAAAATTGACCACCCTGCACATCTGTCAGGAAGCTAAGGGAAGATGTACTCCACTAAGACAAGTGGGTAAACAAAGAAAGAAGACATGGAATCCAGGAATCAGGTATTCAATGTGGAGGGAGGCTAAGGAGATTCCTGGGGTGACGGAAAAGGAATGCCTTCACTCAGGAGCCATGAAACAGAGCCTCTGAGAGCCACCACCACCAGTCCAGATGTAAGTAGGAAGTTGGTGAGCTCCAGAAGAGAGGCATATCAGTGGGGGCTGGGGAAGGGCTGGAGAAAAAAAATGATAGATTATTCTGACAGAGTTGATTCTGTGGAAAATTGTATTAAGAGGTGTTTTATAGCAGTTGGTGGGGGTGGGAAGCTTTAACTATAAATTCAAATTAAAAAAGGAACAATTGTTATTAACTCAGCAGTGAACAGTATTTACCTGGTCACAACAATAAAAAGTTCAAATATAGATTTAACAAAAAATGGTGATAACTTATAACCACGGTGGGAGGATGAAGGTGGAGAGAGGGTGTGAATAGAGCTAAAATCCTCATTTATCATAATAGAAAGGCAGGAGGTAATATCTAAAATGGATGATACCAGAGATAGTGGAATTCATATAATTATCTAGAAATCTGGAGATAAACACCAAGATAAACAGCCAAGAGATTTAGGGGGATTGATTTGTGGGGGAAGACGGTGCAGGAATCACTGCCTTGTTTGTAAGTCTTTATAGCACTGTTTGGCTTTTAAACTATGTGTATGCATTATTTTAATAAAAATAAAGATTTATTTAAAAGAGAGAGAAGTTGCATGTAGAACACTAATATGATGCTTGGCACATGGTAGGTATCAAAAATGCTTGTTGAATTGTATCAAGCTACCTTCTTTTTTTTCTTTTTTTTTTTTTTTTGAGACGGAGCCTCGCTCTGTCGCCCTGGCTGGAGTGCAGTGGCGCAATCTCGGCTCACTGCAAGCTCCGCCTCCCGAGTTCACGCCATTCTCCTGCCTCAGCCTCCCCAGCAGCTGGGACTACAGGCGCACGCCACCACGCCCGGCTAATTTTTTTGTATTTTTAGTAGAGACGGGGTTTCACCATGTTAGCCGGGAGGGTCTCCATCTCCTGACCTTGTGATCTGCCCGCCTTGGACTCCCAAAGTGCTGGGATTACAGGTGTGAGCCACCGCGCCTGGCCTCAAACTGCCTTCTGACACAGATAGAGCCCACTGCCCCAGCTCTCATCCCAGGATGTTTGAGAATCAGATTCTCAGAAGTCCTTAGAAACTTTTTTCTCCAGAAATTCTTATGGAGAAAATTTAGTTGAAGCGGGGGCCTGGAGCCAATGGCCAATGCTTTTCCAACACATTGCACCCCTGACTCTGCTCACCTCTCAGGGAATTCCAGAAATAGTTATAGTTGAAGAATAATGGGAACAGGGACCCTCAGTGCTTTTCCTGATCCAGCGTCATGAAGTCTGGATGGGACTGAAAACTCCCAGCTCTTCTCAGCTTTTCTCTGGGTTCCTTCAAACCCACCTTCCCCCACCCGATGCATTCAGCGCACAGTCACTGAAAACGTATCCTTAGGGATACAGCAGTGGGCAAGACAGACACAGTGCCTGGCCCTGTGAATTTTTAAGCACAGATACTCAATCATAGTCACCGTGAAAGGTGATGAGGTTACCAAAGGCACACACTGGGTGCTATGAGAGCACATATCAGGATCACCCAATCCAGTTCAGAGGGTCAGATAAGTGATGTCTGCTCCTTTTTTTTTTTGAGATGGAGTCTCACTCTGTTGCCAGGCTGGAGTGCAGTGGCGCAATCTCAGCTCACTGCAACCTCTGCCTCCCGGGTTCGGGTTCAAGTGATTCTCCTGCCTCAGCCTTTCGAGTAACTGGGACTACAGGCGTGTGCCACCACACCCAGCTAATTTTTGTAATTTTAGTACAGACAGGTTTTCACCATGGTGGCCAGGATGGTCTCGATCTCTTGACCTCGTGATCTGCCCGCCTCAGCCTCCCAAGTGCTGGGATTACAGGCGTGAGCCACTGTGCCAGGCCAAGTGATGTCTGCTCTTTTAACATTCCTGGTCCTTGCAGTGAATTCCCATGTGACATGTTTTCGAGTTGTAAGCCTCCAGTTTTCTTCCTGGACACACTCTATTTGTGAATTTCTCTCTCTCTTTTTTATTTTAGAAGGAGTCTCGCTGTGTCCCCCAGGCTGGAGTGCAGTGGCACGATCTCAGCTCACTGCAACCTCCACCTCCCGTGTTCAAGCAATTCTCCTGTCTCAGCCAAGTAGCTAGGACTATAAGCACACACCACCACACCTGGTTAATTTTTGTATTTTCAGTAGAGATGGGGTTTCCCCATATTGGTCAGACTGGTCTCAAACTCCTGACCTCAGGTGATCCACCCATCTCGGCCTCCTAAAGTGCTGGGATTACAGGTGTGAGCCACCGAGCCCAGCCTATTTGTGAACCTTAACACTAACAGTGGTCTTTATATAGTTTAAGCAAGTTGAGGAGTAGCATTTTGTGGGAGTTCTAGAAATACTTCATAAAATAATACCAGCTACTAATCATCAAGCACTTACAATGGAACAGGCACAGTGCTATATACATCACCTTTATTATCTAATGCTCATAATAACCCTGTGAGATATATATTTATTACAGGTGCAGAAACTAAGGTTCACAGTGAATATCTTGTTTCAGGTCACGCAGTGAGCCAACATTCTTACCCACTTTTCCTGGTCCTTCCCTGTTCCTCATAACACAGCCCGCAGTGAATGAACTTTGTTGGAACTTATACCATATGGTTCATGGCTATTAAATTTTCAGACAACTAAGACTTCTGAGTCATTTTCCAGTATGAGCCAGTGTCATAAGAAAGTAGGAGGCAGGGGCCGAGGAGGTCAGGGAAGCAGCGGTGGATTCTCCATAAGAAAGGGAGAGGTCACCTGAAGCAGAGAAATCAGCTCTCAGCCTTCAAACTCCTCCTCCAGGGCTTCAAATCCTTCTCCCAGCCTCCCTCCTTTGGGAGGACTTCCTCAGTCCTGTGTTATACGTTCCTCCATACTACAGAGATTGTCGATTGGTACCAAATATGCATTCCCTCTTTCTCCTTAGTAAAGGAACCCCACTTTCAGAGTGACACATGGCCTTCCAGAATATGTGACTTACTTACAGCCAAATGGGATGTAAGCAGAAGTGTTCTGTGTGGTTTCTGGAGGTGGAGTCCTCATGATCAGGTTGGTAGAGCAACCAGCCTCAAGAAGGAACTGGGCCTCTTAGTACCTTTGAGAATGTAGAATGGCCAAACCAACCCTCCCACAAGGGAGTGCCTATCCCTAGGTTTTGTTTACATGAGAGGAAAGTGAATGCTTTTTAAAAGCTACTGTAATTTTGGGTTTCTTTCTTTTTTTTTTTTTTTTGAGATGGAGTCTCGCTCTGTCACCAGGCTGGAGTGCAGTGGCGCAATCTTGGCTCACGGCTCACTGCAACCTCCGACTCCCTGGTTCAAGCGATTCTCCTGCCTCAGCATCCCAAGTAGCTGGGATTACAGGCACACACCCAGCTAATTTTTGTATTTTTAGTCGAGATGGGGTTTCACCATGTTGGCCAGGATCGTCTCGATTGCCTGACCTCGTGACCCACACACCTTGGCCTCCCAAAGTGCTGGGATTATAGGCATGAGCCACAGCGTCCGACCCCTAATTGACATTTTAAAATGAAGTAACACTATTCCTTCAAGAAGACCTTCCTCTTTTTGCTACCAGATGTTCTTCAGATTAGACAATGTTCATCCATCCATTTATCCATCCATTCTTCCATTCACCCATCTTTGTATTTATTCATCCAATTATTTAGTAGATAATTATTGAATGCCTCCCTTGTACCCGGCATTGGTCTAGGTGCTGAGTTACATAGGTAAACAGTCATATGCTCTGCCCTCACAGAGCTAACTATCTTGCAAGAAAGAAGAAAGACTTCAACAAAGAAAGCTTTCCTTGCCACAAACCCATTGTCCAGACATTACCAAAAGGAGAAAGAGATAATGTTGACTTGGTGGGGTCAAGCTCATAAATGAAACATATTTGTCATTTGCTTCACTTTACAAGGAGATAAACAGTCCTAGAGAATGCAAAGGTGGCCTATCTATATTTTCCAGCATTGCATCTTTTTGTCCAATAAATGGGGCCAAGTCCCCACTATCAGTCAGGGCCCAGGCATGAGACAGAAGTGACTTCAATTATTTCAATAGAAAGAATTTAATATATATAATGGTTAGGTCTGTATTGAAAAACTGAAAAGGCATAAAAAGAATTCCAAGGGTATTGCAGAAGTAGCAACTGCAGGAAGCAGCTGCTGCCCAAAGAGAAGAGGGTGTAATGATTAAAACTTAAAAGGCTGGAGGAGGAGCCTCGAGGAGCTGATGTCTGGATCTGGGAAGCAGGGGCTCTTTGGCTGATGTTAGTGTCTCTGGGCACACAGGAGGGCTTTATGGAGTAGGGACCCATTCTCTGAGGAGAAGGCACATTGAGGCTGGTTTTGCAAGTTTGCAAGTGTTGGGAAAATGGTAAACTGGGTGTAACTATTGCTATTGGAAAAAATTGCTATTGCTAGGTTGATGTTGACCAGCATAGGAGCCAAATGGGACCAAATAATCCCTTCTTCCTCCTCCAGCCTCTAGTGCCCCTTATTGGTAGAGCCTGACAGGGAACCAGAAGGCAAAGCAAAAATATGGCTTACAGAGTTTCAGGAGCATTGGGAATGTGTTTGAAGCCAAGTAACTGGCCTAAAAACTAGAAAACCTTCAGTTATAGACTGAAGGTTTGTGTCCTCCCAAAACTCGTATGTTGAAGTCTTCACCCATAGTGTGATGGTATCTAGAGATGGGACCCATGGAGGTAATTAGGATTGGATGAAGTCCTGTTAGGTCCTATTAGATTAGATGGGTTTAGCATCCTTATAGGAAGAGCCAACAGAAAGCTTACTCTCTCTCCCAAAGAAGAGGTCATGTGAGCACAGAGCGAGATCAAGCCACCTACATGCCAAGAAAGGAGGCCTCAGAATAAAACCTACTTGGTGGCACCTTGATCTTGGTCTTCCCAGCCTTCAGAACTGTGAGAAATAAATTCTTGTCGTTTAAGCCACCCAGTCTATACTATTTTGTTAGGGCAGCCCAAGCAGACTAAGATATTCTCCAATAACCTTGACATGGGAACTTTTGAAGGCTTGTGGAATGCTCTGAAGTTATCAAATGTGGAAGTGAATTCTCTCCAAGAGTTATCTTCTGAGACTCATCTCCACCAGTTCACAAGCATACCAAGCCTTAGAGAAGAGTGTGTGTATGTTCCTGGATATTAACATTCCCTGGACAAAACATTTTTGTACAATGTTTCTCCAAATCCTCTTCATTCTTCAGAAATTGCCTGTTGTCCTTCAGGAATCACCCCAGGAAGCAGGGAGGTTGGGTGGGGGACGATCAAAAACTATTAATCAACAGACAAGTCCTCTTCTTGCTGCATTATAAAGTCTTAAGGCTTAGCTTCAGCAGTTTATTAAATTACCAGAACGCCAAGAAAAATAGCTTTAATAACACATTTCTCCCTATCTATTATTTTTTTATAACCCAGAGTGGAGAATTAAAAGGCTCCCTACCATTTAAAATAGCATTTTTAAAATTAAAATGAACATGTTAGAGGAATTTTTTTAACTCAAAAAAGAAGCCATTGATTCAGGATGTGATTACTCTAAGCCGAAATTTTATGGCTAAATCTTTGTGTGGTGTAAAGAAAGGAGGAGAAATGGTTTTCCTTGAAAGGTTTAAAAGTATATTAATTAGAACAGGTGGATGGGCAGGTCACTTTGTCCTCTCACGTGGTTTAGTGTTACAAATACTATTTTCAAGAATTATGATGTTGAAGTAGCTGAGATACAGATACTGTGTAGAGACTAGCTGGCCACCCAAATGGGGCCTTGAGAGGATCAGAGCCACAGTAAAGTGCCCTCAGCTCAGGTTCTGCTTCTGAGTTTTGCAAATTTGAAAACTTTATCAGATCCTCAGAACTGACCTAATTCACAGGTTAATGCATAAACCCAACTGTAATTTATTTCTAATGAGAGACTCCTCAATAATTTTTTTTTTTTTGAGATAGAGTCTCGCTCTGTTGCCCAGGCTGGAGTGGAGTGGCATGATCTTGGCTCACTGCAGTCTCCGCCTCCCAGGTTCAAGCAATTCTCCTGCCTCAGCCTCCTGAGTAGCTGAGACTACGGGCACACACCACCACACCAGGCTAATTTTTGTATTTTTATTAGAGACAGGGTTTGACCATATTGGCCAGGCTGGTCTCTAACTCTTGACCTCGTTATCCACCCACCTTGGTCTCCCAAAGTGGTGGGATTACAGGCATGAGCCACTGTGCCTGGTCCTCAAAAATTTTTAACAAGCATTTGTTGAACTCTAACTATGAGATAGGCATTAACCATAGATTAAATGGTAAATACATCATAGACTGTGCCCAAAAAGTTTACAGTATGGGTGATGGGGAGGGTGAGAGATACAAATATACTATGAAATGTTTCTACTATCATAGTTTTCCAGGTGCCATGGAGATGCAGAGGGTTGTAGTGTTAATTATCTACTGCTTGGTGTCCCAAATTACTCCAAGACATATCAGTGTAAAACAATAACACTTATGATCTCACAGTTTCTTGGGCATTGCTTATCTGGCTTCTTTGCTTTAGGGTCTCTCACAGGATGCAGTCCAAGGGTCTTCTAGGGCTGCAGTCTTATTAGAAGGCTTGACTGGGGAGGATCTGCTTCTAAAGTGAGTACTCTTGTGTTTGTTGGCAAGATTCAGTTCTTTTCACGCTATTGGCTAGAGGCCTCGCCTTGTTCCTTGTTGCTCTCCAGGGAGCATCTCACAACATAGCAGCAAGAAGGCAAGAAAACGTGCCAGCAAGAGTCTGCTAGCAAGATGGAAGGCACAATCTTTTTTGTAGATAACCTAATCATGGAAGTGGCACCCCACCATTTTTGTCATATTTTATTTGCTGTAAGTGAGTTACAAGGTCCAGCCCCAGGAGAGGGGAACACACAAAGGCATGAATCCAGGAGGTGAGAGTTACTGGGAGCCACATCGGAAGCTGACTACCACAGTGGTCTTGTCTTGAAATGGGGAAAACCTGGGGGTTGCCTGGAAAAGCAGCCCGAGAAGAGCACAGTAGTTAGTAGTTCTAGAATCATTCTTCTTGTATGCAAAGTCTGATTCTACCACCTGCTGTTCTTCTTAAGCTTACCCTTCTCTAACATCTAGATATTTCATTCAACACATATTTATTGAGTGCCTACTTTGTGCCAGGTACTGTTGAAGCCACTGAGGAATTAGAAGTGAACGAAACAAAGTCTCCTCCCATGAAGTTTGCAGCCTAGTCAAGGAAGAAATTAACGTTGCTGCTATTATCAATGGTATTTCAGTGGAGTCCAGAAAGACCATAGGGAATTATATCACATACCTGGGGAGGAGAGCCTTTCAGGCAAAAAGAGTTGTAAAGGCAAAGAACAATAATAGTACCTACTTTGTATGGTTGCTGTGAAAGTTAAATAAAACATATGCTATAGCCAGTGGTGAGAAGGGCCCTGCAGAAAAGTAAAGCAGGTTAAGGGATGCAGAATTGGATGCTACTCTTATTATATTTTCTTTTGGTAAATTTTATTTTTAAATAATTTCAAATACACATACAGAAAAGTTGCAAAAATAATACAAAGATCTCCTATATACCGTTCACTCAGGTTCCCTATTATCGTTTTGCCATGTTTGCTTTGTCATTCTTTCTTTTATGTTGTTATTTTCTGAACTATTTGACAGTAAGTTACTGATATAATATCCCTTTACCACCAAATACTTTAATGTATATTTTCTAAGAGCAAAGACGTTTTCTTTACATAGCCATAATATAATTACAAAAATTGAGAAATTAACACTGATACTATTATCTCATCTACAGACCTTGTTAAAATTTTAACACTGGTAGTTTTTTTTTTCTGGTCTAGGATTCAATCCAGGATCACACGTCCCATTTAATTGTCATGTCTCTTTAATTTCCATTAATCTGGGATGGTTGCTCAGCTTTTCTTTGCCTTTTATAACCTTGAAATTTTTGGAAAGTACTGACTAGTTATTTTGCAGAGTAACCCCTCAATTTGGGCATATCTGATATGGTGGGAAAACCCTGGAAGTGAGATGTCCTTCTCAGCACTTCACCTTAGGGAGCATTTGGGATAGTTTTATCCCATTACTGGTGATATTAACTCTGGTAATTTAGTTAAAGTGATGTTTGCCAGCTTTCTCCAACATAAAGACACTACTTTTTCCTTTAAAATTATCTAAAAATATTTTAGGGAGATACTTTGAGCTTATATAATTTTCCTGTTCCCCATCAAACTTTTACCCACTGGTTTTAACATCCATTAATGATTCTTGCCTGAATCAATTACTAGCACAATGGTTGCCAAGAGGTGATTTTCTAATTCCATCATCATTCCTTCTGCATGTATTAGTTGGCATTCTACTAAAAGCTATTTTTAGATGGAATCATCAGGGAAGATTATGTAGGGGAAGAGTGGTAGGCAGAGGGAACTCTAAGTGCAAAAATAAAAATAATATTTACTTCATATGGCTGCCATGAAAAGTAAATACAATACTACATGCAAAGCATGGGGCACAGCTTTTAAAAATAACTCAATGAAAGTAAACCACTATTGCTATTAAATAGTGACATAAAAGCCAAGATCTATTATAAAAGGCAAGAAGAATGGGGTAATGAAGTTTAAGAGGAGTGGGGGAGTCCAAGTGCCAGAGGCAAAATGCTAAGATGATCCCTAAGGATCCATACCTTTGTTAATTCCCTGCATCATGAGGTGAAGGAGTCTGTGAATATAACAGGATATCACTTCCATGGTTAGGTTATGTTATCTGGCATATTACATGACCTAATCACATGAGTCCTTGAAAGGGACAAGTTCCTCCCTGGAGAAAGAGATTTGAAGCATGAGGAGGATTTGATGTATGAGAAATTCTCCACTTTAGCCTTTGAACATGGAGTTGCCCATGTGACAAAGACAAGAGAACAGCCTCTCAGAGCTGTGTGCAACCCCAGAATACAGCCAGCAAGAAACCGAATTCTGCCAACAACCTGGATGAGCTTGGAAGAGGACCCTGAGCTGCAGATGAGAATGGAGTCAGCTGACACCTTGATTTCACACTTGCAAGACCTTGAGCAGAGAACCCAGCCACACTGTGCCTAGACTTCTGACCTACAGAAATCATGAGATAATAAACAGATGTTGTTTTAAGCTGCTGTGTTTGTAGCAGTTTGTAACACATCAATAGAAGACAAAACCCCGCCGCTCCCTGGGAAAAACATTAAGAAAGATCTTCAAGCGAAAGAAAGCATGAGAACATTCAGCATGGCTGAAGCACAGGGGTGGGTCAAGGAGTGAGAGTATGAGAAACTAGAGTGTAGGGGTAGGCAGGGTGTTCAACCAGCAAGGGGGTTCAGACTGATGCAGTTCAACAGACATTTAGTGAGGACCTTGGTGCCAGGCCTTGTGCCCCGACAGGCTGGAGTCCCAGAGATAAATAAGACCCAATTTCTGCTCTCAAAGGGTTCACATTCTGATGGAAAAAAAACTCAATGGAATTAGAAAATCACAATTGCAGCTCCATGAGGGAAGTCCTCTTTGCTTTCTTCATCTATATCCCAAGTGCCTAGAACAGTGTCTTGCCTATAGCAGATGACAATATTTCTTGAGTTGAATAAATATAAGTGATATTTCATCTGGGTCAGTGATTTTCAACCAGGGGCAATATTGTCACCCTGGGGCAATGTCTTCAGACATTTTGGGAATGTCTTCAGACAACTGGGAAGGAGATACCAGCATGTGGTAGGTGGAGGTAAGGCATGCTGCCAAACATCCTGCAATGCGCAGGGGAGAGCCTCACTACAAAGAATTATTTGGTTCCAAATAGTGCCAAGATTGAGAAACCATGATCTAGACAATAGTGAGACCCAGTGAAACCCTTGTTCTCCCCAAAACAACCATAAAAACAGCTCTTTAATGCCTATTACTCCCAGTCTCCCTGTGTCTCCCATCTGGTTAGGGCTGCATAAGCAATGAAATTCCCCTTTGTCAGATCCTCTTAGGGCTTCATGAAGTCCAGCTTTCTTTCACTGGCATTCTTCCTGCAAAACTATTACTGTCATTGATTAGAGCCCAGTATCCTCTTATGATCAGTCCCCTGCTTTGGTGTGGGCGATACCAAGCAGTGTGCAAGTCAGTATTTAATAACCAGCTTTTGAAAAATTATGCATCTATTGAACTTATGTATGTAAGTTTGTTAAAATTTAACTGATACAAAGGATGTGTAGCACACCATTTCATAAAATCATAAAATAAACAACAACACTTTATTTTAAATTCCATATAGCCAATCGGTTCTCACAGAACACTTTAATTGACTTTTGCTGAGCTCTTGTATCTATAGCCAATCTAGGGAAGCAACTGGGAAATGAGTGTAGTTCTGACATGAATGTTGGCTGATATTTTCTTTTATATTAACAAGTAAGATGAAAGTGAAGCAACAATGGCATGCCAGAACTCCATTCGTTCATGAATGAGATGAGCGACTGCTTTGCTGAACCAGATAACAGTTTTCAAATACTGGAAGAGTATTTTCTCAATTTTTATGCCATTTGCCATGTAACATTTCCAGACATGACAGGCTTTTAAGTTTAATCTGCATTATTACCATTTCTCTATCACTTTCTTAAGTCTAGACAATCAACAAAACAATAAAGCAAGCCCTGATTTGTAGCATTTTTTTCATTTCCATGGTATAAATACACCCACCTTGGCTGACTTCAAGCTACCAATGTGATGTTACTGAACACCGAGTTGGGCAGAGCTGTGCAGTAACACACCATGATGTAATATTTCCACCATACGGAGATAATAGATGCAAATAATCCCCAGAGCGTAGATAGTAGTAAAATGAAGTACAATAATTTGGAAATGATGAATTCTGAGTATTTATTACCTTTGTTTTTAATACAATTCATTTAATTACAGATTTAGAAAATTTAACTTTCAATAATGTTTGTGCTTTACAACTGGTTCACAAAATTCTGCAAATTTAACCATGAACTCCTGCAAGCCAGTATGAGCTGGTTCTAGCACATCACTGGTTTATGCAGTGAGGCTTTGTGCTGATGGTCAAACGTACTCTCTAGTTGACAATTTGGACAAATTCGCTCTCAAGGAGTTGTCTTATTTTGGAGTTCTGGGAATTGTATATGAACTACACACACAAAGTGTGTATGCATTGATCCCCTGAGAGTTTGTCCTGTCTATGCAGCATGTCTCCCACCCAACTGGCCTTATTAGTATTATTGGATGAAGGCACCTGATTTTTACCATCTGGTGGAGACTGTTGACTTTTCGTTACCCTGCTCCATTTCTCTTTCAAGCAGCAGTAGTGGTGAGCAGGACAGGGGAGGAAATATGGATTCAGAAACCTTTAATTGATTTACACTGGCCGTGACAATGCTTGCAGGAGAAACAGGCAGTAAGGTAACTTGCTCAAGACGTTCTCAAGCACACAGTCTCAGTGTATTCTTCTAAAATCAATCACCCCTCAGTGTCATCCCCATGTTATGTCACATTTTAGCCTTTTCTCAAACCCCTCCTATTTACACCCAACTTCTCTCTGAGTTGGAGCTAGCTTGACTCCATTTTGTACTAGCCCCATTTGCAGGGGGTTTTTCCATTTCTGGTATATTTAACGGGAGGAGAGACAAGTGGAGTGGTGGCCACATAGGTTAGCCTTTGCAGGGTTCTCTTTTATGGACATGGAATCCAGCCATATCCATTGCTCACCTCACGTCCTGTGATCTCATGGAGGTGAACACTCACACCATCTCAGTTATTTTGTCTGTTTCTTCCGACGACGCAATGAACTCTTTATGTTTTCTTGAATTCCCCAACTTAACTGATTTTTATTTCCACCAACTATGCATAAACACAAATCACTCTTAAACATATTTAAGCCACATAATTATACCTTATCCACTATCAAACCTCTTACCAAATACACTTAATGCTTAACCTACAAATTCTCTCCTTCTAATGCAATGCATTTCCCTCTAAGCCAGTTTTAGACCTTAAGGACTTTATTTGCTTTATGCTTTTTAACAAAGATGAATGAGTGTCCGTTCTGGGCTAATGGTGGGGGCTAGATCAGGAATAAGAAAGACAGACAGAGCCCCTCCTTTCAAAGAGCTTTTTATCTGATTGGGGAGAATGACATTAAGCAAACACACACACAAATATAAAGTTAGAATGATGAAAAGCACGATAAAGGCAAGGAATGGGGGTCCTATGATGAGGGGATGTACTGGGAGCCAGGGAAGGCATTACTGAAAGAGTGACATTTGAAATGAAGAATGAGAAGGACTGAGCCAGAGGAGGAGTAGGTGCAGAGCCCTCAGGGAAGAGGGCTCCAGGGACAGGGAGTCACCCATTCCAGGACCCCAATAAGAGTAATGAGAGGTCTCTCTCCAATACAGGAATGGAGGAGGTGGGTGGTATGAGGTTAGGAGTGAGATTGAGATAAGTCCAGATGACAGTCAGGTAGACCTAGCTATAGCTTTTATTCTAACCTCAATAAAACATTGAAGTCTTCATAGAGGGGAGTGAGTGTTCCAATTCATTTTCTAGGCAGATCACTCTGGATGGAAGTTGGAAAGTGGATTGGGGAATTGGAGCAAAAGGGGAAGCCGAGTGATAGTTAGGAGGCAGTTGTAGTAGTCTGGAATAGACCAAATGGTGGTGTGAACTACGATGATCGCAGTGGAGAGGAACAGAAACAGACAGACTAGAGAAAATAGGAGATGGGAATGATTGAATACACCAGGAAAATTATCACAGTGAAGGGGATGAGTGAAAAGGAGGTGTCAAGGATGGAGCTCAGATTTACAGCTGGGTGGAAGGAGGGGTCATTCATTGGGAAGACTGTGCAGGCACCAGCTTAGAAGGACAGGGTATGACGTAGGGGACTGGCAGTTGCACAGGAAGGCAGGGTGAGAAACAAGATGACTTGAGCTACTGCCTTTCACCTCTCACCAGAGGTGAGGAACAGTTAGACAAAGTGGTAATTTTCTATTTATAAAATGTACTGGCTATTTTGCTCTCATCCTCTCTAATAACCAGCTAGTCCTCAGTCTCACTGTCTTTGGCCATGCATTTAACAATTCTGACCAAGTTCAAACACTCCAAGACAGTGTTCTTTAAAGTGTTGGGCAGGTAGCACTAGTGGTCTACCAGATGATTGCAAGTGGCATAGAAAAAGACTTCTCGATGCTATATGGATATGGCATCACATCACATTGAATCACACAGTGAGAAAGTAATTTCCTTTTCAATTCTTTCTTGGGCCTTCTGATTACATCAGGGAGAAAGGCTCAGTTTGGTGTTAGTATGTCTTAACACCTCTGTAACACTTGATAATCTCTCTTCTTAACAAAGAAAGAACAAGGCCACAGTCTCAGAGCATTTTTAGCAGGCCACAGTCTCTAGCTGGAATTTAATAATATGGTTTTGTTTTCAATGTAAAAAAAAATTTAACATTACCTCCTATTCGTGGCAAGTGATATTGGTTTTTCATTTACAGCAGTGAAATAAATAAATAAATCTATTTTAAAATGAAGCTCCAAGTACAAAAAGAGAGTTGTGAAAAACACTATTTAAATAATAGTACACTTGGCACAGGAATATGGCAAGTATGATGGAGGAGGTCATACGGTCAAAGTCTGGAAAATATAGCATGACACTGAAGTGGTCATTTGTTATTCATGCATCCACTCTTCCTTCTTGGGGCAAAATTTCCTAATCTGCTTCGGTGAATCATCTCTCCCCAACTCTCAGCCCACAGGTTCCCAATAAAGTTGATTTTCCTCTGGGGCCCTAGGACATAGCACTGGAAGCTTGGCTAAGCTAATCAGCATATGCCATCATACCAGCCAGTGATTGGCTTATCCATGGGCACCTGACCCAAATTAGGCCAATCAAGTGCAGCTTGGATTTCAGCCCAGGCGGTTGGCTTTAGAGGCCATGCATCAAACCACTGTGTTCCCCTGCCTCCTGTATGCTATGTCCTTTGAGGTGAGATCTGAAGGGTGAATATCAGAATTAAATTAGTAGATGATGATGCCATGAGGCTGCTGGTGTAGTCAGGGCCCCGACCACATAGTGAGGCAGGAGAATAGGGTCTGGAGGCAGGGAACCTAAGGCCATTTCACGCTGACTTCCTAGAACTAAATTGAAAGGAAAACCCTAACTTTCCACATCTAAGTAACAAATGGACCAGAGGCTACTCCCTTAGCAAACCCCCACCTTTTCTGCCCGGCAGATGGGAAATTGAAGGTATCTCTGATTGGTTGCATAGGAGTGTAACTTTGTAACTTCACTACACTCAGATAGATTGTGGGCCAAGTCTTCGTTTGCATAGAAGTGCAACTTTGTAACTTGACATTCAGATGTTTGCACAGGAGTGTGACCTTTGTAACTTCACTTCAGCCTCTGATTGGGGGCCACCGGTTCATTTACATGAGGTGAGCACCAAGTGGCTAATGGGAAACCTCTAGGGGGCATTTGGACGGGAGAAGATTCTGTATCCCGGCCCTTGAGCCGCTGCTCTGGCTGGCTCCCACACTGTGGAGTGTACTACCATTTTCAATAAATCCCTGCTTTCATTTTTTGTTGCTTCATTCTTTCCTTGCTTTACTATACATTTTGTCCAATTCTTTGATTAAAACACTAAGAACCTGGACAACTTGCAGTCAAGAAAGACCCTCTACTGGTAACAATAGGACCTTATAGACCGTGGTAAGAACCCCACTTGGAACTCTATCCCAACAGCAATGGGAAGCCTTTAAATGGTTTGTCAGCAGGAAGATGGTAGGCCTAGATTCTTATTTTTAAAGACCACCATGGTATATAAAGCACTTAGCATGGAGTCCAGCACCTAGTAAATGTGTTAAATTGGAGAATGTCCAGTGTCGGCAGGATACATAATTGGGGCTCAGTAAATGTGCATCCACATCCCCCTTCTCTTCTGCTTGTTCCTGAGGTTGCTTCTATCAGAAGGAGCCTCTCAGAGCCTCTGGGAAAGTAGTCTTAAGTAGGATGTTACCTTGCCCAAGGGCACTGAAGTTTAGCTGGAGCCTGCCAGCTAAGGGCAAAGGCAGGAAGCAAATGTTAGTGCTCTTGGAACTTTTAAACTTTGGTATCACTGAATTTATACAGTTAAAAAAAAGCAGACTCTGGAGTGAACAGTTAATGAGGCAAATGGAATTTAAAAATAAATAAATAAATAAGCAAAACCAGTGTTAAGGGAGAAGGTCTGAATTAATACGGATTGCTAGAGTCAGAAGAGCACTCTTTTTCTGGGTCATGGCCAATGGGCAGACAACACGTTTAGCCTGCAGGAAACAAGGTTCGTCTGCTTACCGTCCCTGTTTGCACGTGGGAATGAATGCACAGCTACAGGAGGAAGATGAAAGTGTAATTTGGAGATAGAAGTAGTCGAAGGAATTCAACTGAGAAATAACATCCTGGCACAAGCTTAAGACATAAAAATAAAATCAATTTCACAAGACCCAGAAAGGCTGATTCTTCTTGTAAAGTGTCCCTGTAGAATCTCAACAAGCTTCAGCACCCCCGTCTTCTAGCCCCTCCCACCACCGTGCCTTTGCTCCAGCCTCAGTGGATTTTTGCAGTCCCTCAATCTCTCACCTATCTCTGTCCAGAGCAGGGATAGCTGTCAATCCTCCTGCTGCCCCCACTCTTTCCTAGGCTTTCTGGATCCAGAGGCTCACCCAGACCCACTGTACTGTGCAAATGCACCTCCTGGGTGACACCCACTGTTCCTGGCCTGTCACTGCCCTGAGCTTGGACTGGCTTTACCACCTCCCTTTGTACCTGGACTCCCTCCCATGTCAGGGTAGCATGGCTCAGTAATTAAGCACAATCATTCTCAGGCTGAACAGCCAGACCTCGGGTATTGAGTAGTGGCTAAGGGAGCAGACTTTGGTGCAAGGTTGCTGGCTAATTTCTGGCTTCCCTACTTACTATGTGTACTATCTTACATTGGTTGTTTAATCTCTGTCAGCCTCAGTTTTCTCACCTGCAAAATGGGGATGATAATACTACTTGCCTCACAGAGCTAGGAGGTTTATTAAATAAATTCATACATATTATGAACTGAGAGCAGCTTGTGACACCTAGTAAGCGCTCCATAAGTGTTAGATATTATTATTATTAGAACCCTTTCCCTACCATTTACCAGCTGTGAAACTGTGTGAGTGACTTAATCTAAGCTGGAGCTTCAAAACTACCCTCCTAGTCCCCCTACAGTAGCATATCCATTCCCATGAGCAAATAGGAATGCTTAGCAGACAAGCTTTGTGATCTATAGGCTCAGAGTGTTTTCTCTTTTTTTGGGCATAACCCAGATAATGACTATGCACCTGCATTTAGTAACCTGTGCCATTCAGTCACCTCTCTTCCTTGGGGATTCATCCATGGCTGCACCTTTTTACTTTGTTCCTTCTGCCTCCTTATCCCTCAAACACGGAGGTTTCAAGACTTTTCTCTTTAAATGCAGAGCTTACTGACTTCTGAATATAAAGGCTCAGGCCATCTCCAGAAAGGAACTAATTGCAGGACACAACACACAGGATGGCTGTGGGGAAGACAGAGGGTAATGTAGACAGCCTTGATGAACAGTGATATGGTTTGGTTGTGTCCCCACTCAAATCTTATCTTGAATTGTAGTTCCCATAATTCCTAGGTGTTGTGGGAGGGACCCTGTAGGAGGCAATTGAATCATGGGGACAGGTCTTTCCTGTACTGTTCTCATGGTAGTGAATAAGTTTCGTGAGATCTGATGGTTTTATGAATGGGAGTTCCCCTGCACAAGCTCTTTTGCCTGCTGCCATGTAAGACATGCCTTTGCTCTTCCTTTGTCTTCAGCTGTGATTGTGAGGCCTCCCCAGCCATGTGGAACTGTGAGTGCAGTAAACTGCTTTCCTTTATAAATTACCCAGTCTCGGATATGTCTTTATTAGCAATGTGAGAACTGACTAATACAAATGGTCTCGGCTACCATCAAAACAAGAAACTTGATGTCCTGAATCCTTCATCTCCTTCACCTCCTACATCCGCATGATCACCAAGTTCCACCAGTTCTTCCTTTCTGCTACTTCCTGAACATGACTCTCTCTCCACTTCTGATTCAGGACACCCTTATCTCTCATTTCCCTCACTGCCCAAGTCCCTGGACTGCTGGCTGTTTCTCCACTGGGGTATCACTTCTGTGACCCATCCTGCCCCACTGGCGGCCAATAGGACCTTCCCAAAAGAGAAACCTGACAATGTTCTGCCCCTTCTTAATACTGTTCCATGTTTTCTCACAGCCCTAGAGAATGCCCAGACTTCACTTAAGATGACTAACACCCCCACCTTTAACATCGAAAATGTTCCTAGACACTTCCTCAAACCTCAACCCATGACAGTAGCTGTACTTTTAGTAACTGTCAGTGGGGAAAATGCATAATGCCAACAAATGCTCTGACTTTTAAATATATTTGAATTTTAAAAATTATTGCAATATTTATTTACATTTTAAAATGGTATATATATATGTATATATATATATATATTTGCAGCATTTATTCACTCAGTGGAAAAGGCTCAGTGCACATAAGAATTTGAGGAATCCTTGTAAGTAACTTCATGGCCCTATGAAGGTCTTTGGGGGCTTACAAGTTGGAAATAATTGGCCTAGAACTTAAACTCTAAGCTTCTTATTCCTCCCAGCACTTGTAAAGAGCCTCTGTGAACACTACCCTCCCACATATATTCAAGCTCCAGCTGTGGAGATATCTTTTTTGTTTCTCCAGAGAGCACCAGAAGCTTCCACACCTTCAGAGGGTCTCTGCCCCCATCTTTCTCTCTGGTGAATTCCTACCCCTTTTTTGAGCCTCAACTCAAATGTCACCTCCTCTGATGAACCCAGCAGTTTAATACTTTTTCTGATAAACCAACAGTTTGCCACTTTTTCATCTGTAACAAAACTCAACTAGCACCAAAATTAATGTGTTGCAATTATATGTCTATATTTTTTCTCCCTTTAAAAGCTCCTTCTGGAATGATACATTGACCGCTTCATCATCTTTGTGCCCCATCCACTATGACAGCTTCTGCCATTAGTAGTTGCTTAATAAACATTGAGTCTAATGAGCAGATGAAGGAACAACCCCTAGAGAGATTTGATCTCCCCAGTATAGATGTGCTAATGGGAGAGGGCCAACTGACTGTCCAAAGTAAAGAATGTGTATTTACTTTAATATCATCTTGGGGGAGTAACAAATGGTGGGTCCTTCATGCCCACCAGGAGGGTGGGTGGCATGGAGACAGTCTTTTCCAGGGAGACTATCAGAGGTGGATTTCCACTCTGCTTGTGATTAGGGAAGGAAGCCCAGCAGATGGCTCCTCCGCTAATGGAGTGCTTAATCTTGTGCTCCCAACTGCTTCAGGATAGAATGAGCATGTGTGGGTAGCCAGCACCCTCACTGTCTATGATTCTCATTAGGAAGGAGAAAATCTCCCTTTTGTGGTGGAGATCTAACCTGTGTAGGGTCTAATCTGCTGTCCAATGTCCTAGTACTAAGAGGAGATATTTGATGGAGAGAAGAGGCAGCTGATGTCCACTAGATCCATGGATGAGAGAGCCCCCAGAATGACTGCTATCTCCCCAGCCAGCTGCCGCACTGCCTGTGTCCCCAAACATTCAACTTCTACCTGGAGGCACCGTCGTGAAGTCTGCTTCTCCCCCTGTGCTCAGAGTTTGTAGACTCAGGAGTCTTGGAGGTCAAGAAAGTTGAGTTCAAGTTCCAGCTCAACCATTGAAATGCTATGTGATTTAAAATGTTTACATATAAATATAACATTTGTACAAAAGAGTGGTTAGAATGTGTGCTCATCAAGAAGAATGGAAACCTAAGTTACCATGATTCAACGTAAGAGATGGAATATTGGCAACAACATGTACTCCTCCTGTGTGCCCCGTGGCAAACCATACTCCATCCTCCAAGAGGTAACCGCTATCCTACATTTTATGTTTGTCATCCTTTTGCTTTTCTTTATAGTTCTCTTATATATAAACACATAAACAAAATATGTTTATGAACTTTATATATGGGCTCCAACCTGTGTATGTTCTTCTGTGACTTGCTTTTTCAATCAACATTACATGTATGAGATTCATTCATTTTGATGTGTTCAATAGTTATTCAACCATTTTCACTACTGTATAATATCCCATTATATGTATATGCTGCAATTTTCCTGAAGTTGGATATTTGGGTTGTTTCTAATTAATGGCTAATATGAATAATACTGCTATGAACATTTAAGTACAAGTTTTTGTTTTTGTTGGAGACAGAGTCTCACTCTATTGCCCAGGCTGGAGTGCAGTGCTACGATCTCGACTCACTGCAACCTCTGCCTCCCAGTTTCAAGTGATCCTCATGCCTTAGTCTATTGAGTAGCTGGGACTACAGGTGTGCACCACCACATCCTGCTAATTTTTGTATTTTTACTAGAGATGGGGTTTTGCTATGTTGCCCAGGCTGATCTTGAACTCTTTACCTCAAGTGATCTGCCTGCCTTGGCCTCCCAAAGTCCTGGGATTACAGGTGTGAGTCACCACACCTGGCCTCTTTTGCTTATTTTTAATTGAATTTTTGTCTTCCCATTATTGAGGGACAAAAATTCTTTATATATTGTGGATACAGATTCTTTGTCAGATACACGCATGTGACTATTTTCTCTGAGACTCACCTTTTTATTCTTTAAATAGAATCTTTCAAATATCAAAGTTTTTAATGTTGATGTAGACCAATTTACCAGATTTTTTCTTTATAGATCATGCCTTTTGTGTCCTAAGATATCTTGTCTTCTAATACCTCCTTCAGGTCATGAAGATTTTCTTCGAGAAGTTTTATGGTTTTATGTTTAGGTATAGGATCCTTTTCAAGATAATTTTGTGGGTGGGATAAAGTAACAGTCAAGATCCCTTTATTTTTTCCATATGGATATCCAATGTTGCTGGCATCATTTGTTGAAAAGACTACCCTTTTCCTATGGAATGACTTTCATGCTTGTTCCAGGCAGCATAGTGTCCCTGTTTGCCCAATGTTGTCCGTGTCCAAACCTAACATATGAATAAGTTAAATGACATAACAAAGGGGAACTAAGGTTACAGATGAAACGTGTTGCTGATATCCTGACCTTAAAATAGGGAGTTTATCCTGGAAGGTCTGCATCAACCCAAGGTAATCATAAAGGTCCTTAAAAAATGGAAGAGGGAAGCAGAAGTTGGTGTAATGCAGTGTGAAAAGGACTTGACCCACCGTCACTGAACTGAAATAGAGGAAGGGGCCATGAGCCAAGGACTGTGGGCAACCTCTAGAAGCTGGGAAAGGCAAAGAAACAGATACTCCCCTAGGAGGAACACAGCCTTGCTGACACATTGACTTTGAGTCCTGTGAGACCTGTATTGGACTTCTACCTTACAGAACTATAAAATAAAACATTTGTATTGTTTTAAACCACTAAGTTGGTAGTAATTTGTTACAGCAGCAATAGAAAAATAATACAGCACCTTTGTTAAAAAATCAATTGACCATACCTACGTGGATCTATTTTCATACTGTTCCATTGATCTACCTATTTGCCTGTGTGCCAATGCCACATTGTCTTGTTACTGTACCTTTAAAAGGAGCCTCATTATAAATCCTTAAATCAGACAGTGTAAGTCCCCTATTTTGTTCTTTTTAAAAACAGTATTTGTTGTTCCAGTCCCCTTGCAGTTCCATATTAATTTTTGAATCACTTTTCCAACTTCTATTTTTCATTGGGATTACATTGAATGTATGGATTGTTTTGGGAAAAATTGACAGACGTCATAACAATATTGTGTTCTGATCCATGAACATGATATATCACTCCATTTTTTAGTTCTTCACTTTTTCTTTTTGTAGTTTTTAGTGTGCAGACC
This sequence comes from Homo sapiens, assembly GCF_000001405.40. Lineage (NCBI taxonomy): Eukaryota > Metazoa > Chordata > Mammalia > Primates > Hominidae > Homo > Homo sapiens. The sequence goes on from NC_000001.11 coordinate 34,242,900, forward strand.
TGTAACATGTCATTAAATTTATCCCTAAGTATTTCATGTTTTGTGATGCTACTATAAATGGCATGATTTTCTTATCCCCATTGAATGTTGGTAGTTTTTACAACTACAATCTATTTTGTATACTGACCTTACTAAACTCACTTCTTAGTACAAGTGGCTCTTTTGTACACTGCATAGGATTTTCTATTTAGAGATCATATCAATTTCAGTTTTTTATCACTTTTTCCTGTCATTTTATGCTGCCTAGGACCTTCAGTACAAAGCTGATTAAAAGTGGTGAGAACAGACATCTTTATCCTGTTCCGAATTTATGGGGCAAAGCATTTAGTCTTTCACCACTAAGTATGATGCTGTTGGCAGATATTTTTTGTAAACATCTGTTATCATATTAAGAAAGTTTCTTTTTCTTCCTAGTTTGCTGAGAGATTGTGTCATGAATAGGTCTGAAAATTTTCAAATGCTTTTTCTCTGTCTACTAAGGTAATCACAGTTTTTAAAAAATCTTTTTATTCTACTAATATGCTAAATTTTGTTGATTAATTTTATATTTTAAACCAATATTGTCTTCCCAATCTTTGTGTAGTTTTGTTATCATGCTAATTCTGGTCTCATATTATCATTTGGGAAGTGTTTTCTCCATGTCTATTTCTGAAAGATTTTGTATAAAACTGTAGTAGTATTATTTTTCCTTAAATGTCTTCTAGAACTCATCAGCAAAGCCGTCCACACCATATGTTTTCTTCATGGGAAGGTGTTTAATTAAAAATTCACATTTATTATTTGATATGGACTATTCAGATTCCTTGTTTCTTTTTAAGTAAGCTGTAGTAGATTTTGTCTTTCAAGAAATTTGTCCATTTATTGCATAAAGTTGTTCATAATATACCCTACAAAATATATCATGATGTTCCCTCTTTCGTTCCTGATATTGGTAATTGGTGTCTTCTCTCTATTTCTTGATCAAGCTCACTCACTGTAGGTTTATCAATTAAGTTGTGTTTTTTTTTCAAAAATGATTTTTTTATTTTATTAACTTTCCCACTTTTATCCATTTCTTTTTTTAAATTAATTCCTGCTCTTTATTACATTTTTCTTTCCACTTATTTTGGTCTTAAATGTTCTTCTTTTTCTATCTTCTTAAGGTAGAATCTTAGATAACTGACTTTAGACCTTTCTTCTTTCTTAACATAAGCATATAAAGCTCTACATTTTCCTCAAAGCATTCCTTTAGCTTCATCCCAGAGATCTGAATATGTCTTGCTTTTGTTTTTATTCAATTCAAAATATTTTCTCATTTACCTTGTGATTTATTTGTTTGATATGAGTTAGAAGTGTTTGGTTCAATTTCTAAATCTCTAGAGACTTTCCAGGTAGATTTTTGTTATTTCTAATTTAATTCCCTTATATTCAGAGAACATACTCTATATGATCTCAATTCTTTTAAATTTGTGAACATTTGTTTCATGATCCAGTATATGGTTTATCTTACATGTTCACTTGAAAAGAATGTGTAGTCTGTTTTTGTTAGAGGAGGGTTCTATAAATGTCAATTATTTCCAGTTTTTTGATAGATCAAGTACTCTATAACCTTACTGACTTTCCATTTGTTGCATCAATTACTTAGAAAGAATCATTGCAATCTCCAACTCTAATCATACATTTGTCTATTTCTCTTCTCTGCTCTATCAGTTATTTCACATATTTTGAAATTCCGTTGTGTGTACACATTTAAGATTGAGATATCTCTTTGAAGAATGAACCCTTTATTGTTGTAAAAGGAATCTGGTTTTTTTCCTGGTAATTTTTTTGCATTGAGGCCTACTTTGATATCTGTATAATTACACCAGGATTTCTATAATTAGTGTTTGCATGGTATACCTTTTTCTGCCATTTTACTTTAACTTACCTGTGTCTTTATATTTAAAATGTGTTTCTTACAGGCAACACATAGTTGGGCCTTGCTTTATAAATCCAATATGATAATCCCTTTTAACTGGAGTGCTTAGATTTTTTAATTTACACTTAATGTAATTATCAATATGGTAGGGTTTAAATTTACAACCTTGAAATTTGTTTTCCGTTTGTCCCATCTGTTCTTTATTTCTTTTTCTTCTTTCCTTGCCTTCTTTTTTTAAGAATTCAATTTTTATTTCCATGTTATCTTATTAACTATACATCTATATTTTAATTTTTTTTAGTGTATGCCTTGGGATTTACAATATGCTTTTCATATATTTTTTACAATTTCCAACTTTTATTTTAAGTTCTGGGGTACATGTGCAGGATGTGCATGTTTGTTACAGAGGTAAATGTGTGCCATGGTGGTTTGCTGCACAGATCATCCCATCACCCAGGTATTAAGCCCAGCATCCATTAGCTATTCTTCCTGATGGTCTCCCTCCTCCCAGCCCCCACTGTTTTTTAAATTTATTAAGGGTGTTTCAAATAATGTTTAATGTATGACTCTCCCAGTAGTGTTGTAGACTGAATTGGAGCCTATGCCTTGAAGGGGCTGTTGGTGGTGTAAACTAGAAATAAAATCATAAGCCTCCCAACCACGGAAAGGACCTTCTCTTGTTCAAGGGGACCCCAGAGAAACCTTAAAAACTGAGTTCCTGGCTATGGCGGGAAAGAAGGTCAGACACACCTTGTTATATTCCCTCCCTTTTGTGATGTAGACACAACAACGGACCAGTATTAATGTTAAAATAGAGATCATAAGACTGACAGAACAGATTCGGTGGCAATAAGATACTGAATTATAAATGGGACCTAAGGCATGCAAGGCAAGGGTTAAATCACACACCCCCTCTACTTAAAGTATAAACTATGTTCTAATTGCCATAAGATTTTTCTTCTTCTGCAGTAGTTAAAAAAACACTGGATTTGAATTAGGAATATTAAAACAGTTTGCTGCTCATCTACCACCAGACTTTCACCACCAGTCCCCTGTTCCATGAGCCACGACTACATCTTTGATTGGACAAGAGACTGATTTCAGTAGCTTTCTCCTGATAAAAGACCACCAAGCAGGGACTAGTTCTGGTGGGTTTACAGAGGCTGCACTTGAGTGCCTTTGTGTCCCTGCTTCACCTTTTGATGTCCAGGGCCTAACTGTAATACACTGAACTGTTAAGTCTCCACCCCAAGGTGAACACGGGGTCATATGTAACATGCATGTTTATTCAGTACCCATGTGTTAGGACCACCTTCATGAATATTCATAGCTCTTCCTATAGCCTGTTGAATATGTATGTTTAGCCAGCCGGTTCATCATAAACCCCTGCTCCACCTTCGCCTCCTTGGAAATGCCTGTTTCTAGCTTCTGCTGAAGACTATGCTTCCCAGCCTGTGAGGATGGCCACCTTGCAGGCTACAACTCTGTATAAGAAAGGAAGTCTCCCTTCTAAATGTATAAATTGTGTGATTTTGAAGTTAACAGTCGGAATATGGATATGAAAGGACATTCTGGTGATGTCTCTGAAAGAAAAGAGGAGAGCTGTAGAGAAAGCTTCTGTCGTCTTAGAGAATACATGAATCATCATGAACAGAATGCTGCTAGAAATATAAATATTAAAGGTGCTTCTAGTGAGGTTTCAGACAGAAATGAGAGACATGTTATTGGAAACTGGAGCAGACTTGTTATAATGTGGCAAAGGATTTGGCTGAATTGTGTTCTGTTGGATGGGAAGTAGAACTTGTAAGCGCTGAACCTACATGTTTAACTGAAAAGATTTCTAAGCAAAGTGTTGAGCCCAGTGTCTCCTTGCTGGGAGGAGAGAAAAATAAATTGAGGCAGGAATTGCTAAGCCAGAAGAAATCAGCAATTAATGATTTAGAGAATTCTCATCCTATCTAAATAGTGTGGTCTGGACAAGGGTGTGACTGGACAACCATTTGCAAAAGAGATTAGGTATATGACTCAAGCATCCAATCAACGACCTCAGCAGAAGTCAGATAGAGAGATGTGGTTATCCAGGACACTGCGGGCTCATACCTTGTTTCATTGCTCTTTGCTTTATTGTGCTTTGCAGATATTACATTTTTTACAAATTGAAGGTTTGTGGCAACCCTGCGTCAAAACAAGTCCATTGGTGCCATTTTTCCAATAGCATGTGCTTATTTCATGTCTCTAAGCCACATTTTGGTAATTCTTGCATTTTTTTGGCGGGGGGGCAGAATTATACTCTCGTCACCCAGGCTGGAGTGCAGTAGCATGATCTTGGCTCACTGCAACCTCCACCTCCCGGGTTCAAGTGATTCTCCTGCCTCAGCCTCCCGAGTAGCTGGGATTACAGGCTCTCACCACCACGCCCAGGTAATTTTTGTATTTTTAGTAGTGATGGGGTTTCACCCTGTTGGCCAGGCTGATCTAGAACTCCTGACACCTCAGGTAATCTGCCCGCCTCAGCCTCCCAAAGTGCTGGGATTATGGACATGAGCCACCACACCCAGCCTCTTGCAATGTTTTAAACTGCGTGTGTGTGTGTGTGTGTGTGTGTGTGTGTGTGTGTGTGAGAGAGAGAGAGAGAGAGAGAAACAGAGAGAGAGAGAAACAGAGAGAGAGAGAGAAACAGAGAGGAAGAAACAGGGAGAGAGAAACAGAGAGAGAGAAAGAGAGAGAGAAACAGAGAGAGAGAGAGAGAAACAGAGAGAGAGAGAGAAACAGAGAGAGAGAGAGAGAAACAGAGAGAGAGAGAGAGAAACAGAGAGAGAGAGAGAATCTCACTGTGTCACCCAGGCTGCAGTGGTGTGATCATGGCTCACTGCAGCCTTGACCTCCTAGGGTCAAGCAGTCCTCCCACCTCAGCCTCCCAAGTAGCTGGGACTACAAGTGCACATCACCATGCCCGGCTAATTTTTGTATTTTTTGTAGAGATGGGGTTTTGCCATGTTTTTCAGGCTGATCTCAAACTCCTGAGCTCAAGCAATCCCAAAGTGCTGGGATTATAGGTGTAAGTCACTGTGCCTGGCCGATATTTTAAACTTTTATTATTATTGTTATTATCATATCTCTATAGTAATCTGTAGTCATTGATCTTCGATGTTACTATTGTAATTATTTTGGGTGTCATGAACTGTGCCTATCTATGATATGGCAATTATTTTGATCTTTTTAAAAGTATTTACTTTTGACTTTGCAGATTCTCTTTATCATACATATTCCTAATTTTAATAACTTTGCTCCTATTATTTTTTCCTTTTATTACTTATTCCATTGTTATCCATTTCTAATTAAAGTTGGAATAAGCTTAGTTCATTAATTTGCAATTTGCTTTATAAAATAAGGATTTCTCTCTATAAATTTCCCTATAAGAATCATCTTAGCTTCATCCCACAATTTTATGTATTTCAATATTGTTTAGTTCTAAGTATTTTCTAATTTCCATTATATTCTCCTTTTTAACATAAGAGTTACTTAGATGTGAGATTTTTAATTTTCAAATAAAGTTTTAAGTTATTCATTTGTTACTATCATCTGACTTTTTTGCATTATGGTCATTAAACATAGTCTGTGTAATACAAACTACGTGGAATTTGTTTAGCCTTTGTTTAATGTTTCTTATTTACATGGGAAAAATTGTTATTCTCCAACTGCTGCTACAGAATTCAATTAAATGAAGATTTTAATTTTGTATTCAGATCTTCTATATCTCTACTGACTTTTTTCTTGCTTATGTATTTATTATTGCACTGTGAAAATGTTTTACAATCTCCCTTTATGGAGGCAGATTTATCAGTTTCTTTAGTGGTTCTCTGCGTTCTTGTTTTATTTATTTCGAAGCAATATCATTATGTGCATGCAAGCTTAGAATCGTTAAATTTTCCTAGTGAATTGAACTTTTATCAATATGTACTAACTCTTCTTATCTCTGGTAATGATTTTTGCTTCAAAATCTATTTAATCAGACAATAATGATACAGAGGTATCAGCTTTCTTTTGTTTGGTATCTAACTGACACATCTTTTCCCATCTTTACACTATAATATTTTTGTTTACTTTTGATTGCTTTCTGTCTTATATATAGTATAGAAGCGAATTGGCTTTTTAAAATTCTTGTAACCTTTTAATATTAACTGGAGAATTTAGTCACTTTATATTTATTGAGATCACTGGTGGATTGGCACTGTATTCTACCATTTTATTTTGTGCTTTCTATTGGTCTTGCCCTTTTATTTTTTCCCACCCTGCTCTACTTTTTTTGTTTTCTTTTGGATTAATTTTGCTCCTAAACTTATTCATTATCCATCAAATAATATGGAAATTACACATCATGTTTTTGTCCTTTTAGCATTACCTTAGAAATTGCATTATATATATTTAAAAGAATAAATAAAATGGTTATGCTTTCCACCCAGACAATTGAAGGAATTTAGAACTTTAACTACAATTATCCTCTTTTTGACTAAAGGCTGTTGTTGTTCAGTATTTTTTAATATCGCAAATTAGACATTATTATTATTATCATTTGTACAGCCAATATTTATTTGGACTTGCGCACATATTAATATGATCCTTTATCAATTCTGGAAAATTCCAAGTTACTCTCTCTTTGAATATTACCACTCCTCCACTCTATCTATTATGAAGACTGGCCAGAGGGCAGGAAAATTCCCCTGGAAATAGGTGCAGTATCTAATATAGGGTCCTCCACCTGGCATCGTATTCCCAGCAGCAGGACAAGAACTTCTGACTCCAGGAGAGAATCTCAACCTTAGGGTATGGAAAAATGATAGTTAATGGTTAGCTCTAAGTTCAAAGGACAGGGGATAGAGTCAGGCTGGTGGCCGTATTAGGCCAATCAAAAGCCTAGTAATCAGAGAGAAGAAGAGATGAGAAACTGTGAGGGTGTTGAAAGAAAAAGCAGCCTGGGCTCCGACTTACAAATTTCTGTCCCTGCAAGGCTCAGCTGCCCTCGTGCTCCAGGCCTTGCATGTTCACTAGATTGCCCAACCAAAGGTAGCCTGAGTGGCTTTCAACTTTTGCAACCAAGAATCCTGACTAGAATACCTGGGACTTACTCTCTGTATCTGTAAGATGGGCCATCTGCCTAACCAAATTCATAAAGCAAAATGCAATGGTAAGAAACAAAAGTACAAATAGTAAGTAAGAAAACACCTTCCTAGCCCCAAAAAGAGATAGCCTGTCCACAGGAAGTCTTGTCATGGGACATGGCATTAATGGCCAATAGCATATTTCTTTTCTAAAACAAAGGGAGCTTTCTAGCCTTCCATTGTCCCTTTGAGAGAATTTTCACCTCCTCTCCCACTCCTATATGTTAGCTAACTTTCTCTCTGTGTAATTATTGCCTGTATCAAGTATTCATATTTTGTGAGACTGTAAGCAAATGGGATTTTGAAAGAGAGCTAACACATATTGAATATCTTACAATGTGTGGTCTGCTTTTTATATACATGTCCTCACTTACTCTATCCACATTACAATACAATATGGAATTAACTCAGGCTCAGAGAACTGATATGAATGAGTTGAACTGAAGCTGGAATTTGAGCCCACGCCAATTTGACCAAAAACTCATCTTCTTTCAATCTTATCACCATCGTAGATGTGAACAATGAGAGCTAACATGAACACATCATTAGGGAATGCTCCAGAGGGGATGATGTTAATGGCCTAAAGAATACCACTCACTAGGCCTTAGGGGCTACCTGTAACCCTGGGCCCAAAGTCATTATGGGACTCCCTCAGCAGAATACTGAATCAAGTTGGAGGTTTAGAAAGGAAAGGACAGTCTTTTACACTGATCTTGGATAAGGTATCTGAATAAGGAGAACAGCAGCTTCGGAATACAGTAAGCACTTAATAAATAAAGAGTTGATGGGGAGAAGCCAAGATGGCCGAATAGGAACAGCTCCCGTCTACAGCTCCCAGCGTGAGCGACGCAGAATCCGGGTGATTTCTGCATTTCCATCTGAGGTACCGGGTTCATCTCACTAGGGAGTGCCAGACAGTGGGCGCAGGTCAGTGGGTGCGCGCACCGTACGCCAGCCTAAGCAGGGCGAGGCATTGCCTCACTCGGGAAGCGCAAGGGGTCAGGGAGTTCCCTTTCCTAGTCAAAGAAAGGAGTGACGGAGGGCACCTGGAAAATCGGGTCACTCCCACCCGAATACTGCGCTTTTCCGACGGGCTTAAAAAACGGCGCACCACGAGATTATATCTCGCACCTGGCTCGGAGGGTCCTACGCCCATAGAGTCTAGCTGATTGCTAGCACAGCGGTCTGAGATCAAACTGCAAGGCGGCAGCGAGGCTGCGGGAGGGGCGCCCACCATTGCCCAGGCTTGCTTAGGTAAACAAAGCAGCCGGGAAGCTCGAACTGGGTGGAGCCCACCACAGCTCAAGGAGGCCTGCCTGCCTCTGTAGGCTCCACCTCTGGGGGCAGGGCACAGACAAACAAAAAGACAGCAGTAACCTCTGCAGACTTAAATGTCCCTGTCTGACAGCTTTGAAGAGAGCAGTGGTTCTCCCAGTACGCAGCTGGAGATCTGAGAACGGGCAGACTGCCTCCTCAAGTGGGTCCCTGACCCCTGACCCCCGGCAGCCTAACTGGGAGGCACCCCCCAGCAGGGGCACACTGACACCTCACACGGCAGGGTACTCCAACAGACCTGCAGCTGAGGGTCCTGTCTGTTAGAAGGAAAACTAACAAACAGAAAGGACACCCACACCAAAAACCCATCTGTACATCACCATCATCAAAGACCAAAAGTAGATAAAACCACAAAGATCGGGAAAAAACAGAACAGAAAAACTGGAAACTCTAAAAAGCAGAGCGCCTCTCCTCCTCCAAAGGAACGCAGTTCCTCACCAGCAACGGAACAAAGCTGGACGGAGAATGACTTTGACGAGCTGAGAGAAGAAGGCTTCAGACGATCAAATTACTCTGAGCTACAGGAGGACATTCAAACCAAAGACAAAGAAGTTGAAAACTTTGAAAAAAATTTAGAAGAATGTTTAACTAGAATAACCAATACAGAGAAGTGCTTAAAGGAGCTGATGGAGCTGAAAACCAAGGCTCGAGAACTAAGTGAAGAATGCAGAAGCCTCAGGAGCCGATGCGATCAACTGGAAGAAAGGGTATCAGCAATGGAAGATGAAATGAATGAAATGAAGTGAGAAGGGAAGTTTAGAGAAAAAAGAATAAAAAGAAATGAGCAAAGCCTCCAAGAAATATGGGACTATGTGAAAAGACCAAATCTACGTCCGATTGGTGTATCTGAAAGTGATGGGGAGAATGGAACCAAGTTGGAAAACACTCTGCAGGATATTATCCAGGAGAACTTCCCCAATCTAGCAAGGCAGGCCAACGTTCAGATTCAGGAAATACAGAGAACGCCACAAAGATACTCCTCGAGAAGAGCAACTCCAAGACACATAATTGTCAGATTCACCAAAGTTGAAATGAAGGAAAAAATGTTAAGGGCAGCCAGAGAGAAAGGTCGGGTTACCCTCAAAGGGAAGCCCATCAGACTAACAGCAGATCTCTTGGCAGAAACCCTACAAGCCAGAAGAGAGTGGGGGCCAATATTCAACATTCTTAAAGAAAAGAATTTTCAACCCAGAATTTCATATCCAGCCAAACTAAGCTTCATAAGTGAAGGAGAAATAAAATACTTTACAGACAAGCAAATGCTGAGAGATTTTGTCGCCACCAGGCCTGCCCTAAAAGAGCTCCTGAAGGAAGCGCTAAACATGGAAAGGAACAAATGGTACCAGCCGCTGCAAAATCATGCCAAAATGTAAAGACCATCGAGACTAGGAAGAAACTGCATCAACTAACGAGCAAAATAACCAGCTAACATTATCATGACAGGATCAAATTCACACATAACAATATTAACTTTAAATGTAAATGGACTAAATGCTCCAATTAAAAGACACAGACTGGCAAATTGGATAAAGAGTCAAGACCCATCAGTGTGCTGTATTCAGGAAACCCATCTCACGTGCAGAGACACACATAGGCTCAAAGTAAAAGGATGGAGGAAGATCTACCAAGAAAATGGAAAACAAAAAAAGGCAGGGGTTGCAATCCTAGTCTCTGATAATACAGACTTTAAACCAACAAAGATCAAAAGAGACAAAGAAGGCCATTACATAATGGTAAAGGGATCAATTCAACAAGAAGAGCTAACTATCCTAAATATATATGCACCCAATACAGGAGCACCCAGATTCATAAAGCAAGTCCTGAGTGACCTACAAAGAGACTTAGACTCCCACACATTAATAATGGCAGACTTTAACACCCCACTGTCAACATTAGACAGTTCAACGAGACAGAAAGTCAAAAAGGATACCCAGGAATTGAACTCAGCTCTGCACCAAGTGGACCTAACAGACATCTACAGAACTCTCCACCCCATATCAACAGAATATACATTTTTTTCAGCACCACACCACACCTATTCCAAAATTGACCACATACTTGGAAGTAAAGCTCTCCTCAGCAAATGTAAAAGAACAGAAATTATAACAAACTATCTCTCAGACCACAGTGCAATCAAACTAGAACTCAGGATTAAGAATCTCACTCAAAACCGCTCAACTACATGGAAACTGAACAACCTGCTCCTGAATGACTACTGGGTACATAACGAAATGAAGGCAGAAATAAAGATGTTCTTTGAAACCAATGAGAACAAAGACACAACATACCAGAATCTCTGGGACGCATTCAAAGCAGTGTGTAGAGGGAAATTTATAGCACTAAATGCCCACAAGAGAAAGCAGGAAAGATCCAAAATTGACACCCTAACATCACAATTAAAAGAACTAGAAAAGCAAGAGCAAACACATTCAAAAGCTAGCAGAAGGCAAGAAATAACTAAAATCAGAGCAGAACTGAAGGAAATAGAGACACAAAAAACCCTTCCAAAAATTAATGAATCCAGGAGCTGGTTTTTTGAAAGGATCAACAAAATAGATAGACCGCTAGCAAGACTAATAAAGAAAAAAAGAGAGAAGAATCAAATAGACGCAATAAAAAATGATAAAGGGGATATCACCACCGATCCCACAGAAATACAAACTACCATCAGAGAATACTACAAACACCTTTATGCAAATAAACTAGAAAATCTAGAAGAAATGGATAAATTTCTGGAGACATACACTCTCCCAAGACTAAACCAGGAAGAAGTTGAATCTCTGAATAGACCAATAACAGGCTCTGAAACTGTGGCAATAATCAATAGTTTACCAACCAAAAAGAGTCCAGGACCAGATGGATTCACAGCCGAATTCTACCAGAGGTACAAGGAGGAACTGGTACCATTCCTTCTGAAACTATTCCAGTCAATAGAAAAAGAGGGAATCCTCCCTAACTCACTTTATGAGGCCAGCATCATTCTGATACCAAAGCCGGGCAGAGACACAACCAAAAAAGAGAATTTTAGACCAATATCCTTGATCAACATTGAAGCAAAAATCCTCAATAAAATACTGGCAAACCGAATCCAGCAGCTCATCAAAAAGCTTATCCACCATGATCAAGTGGGCTTCATCCCTGGGATGCAAGGCTGGTTCAATATATGCAAATCAATAAATGTAATCCAGCATGTAAACAGAACCAAAGACAAAAACCACATGATTATCTCAATAGATGCAGAAAAGGCCTTTGACAAAATTCAACAACCCTTCATGCTAAAAACTCTCAATAAATTAGGTACTGATGGGACATATTTCAAAATAATAAGAGCTATCTATGACAAACCCACAGCCAATATCATACTGAATGGGCAAAAACTGGAAGCATTCCCTTTGAAAACTGGCACAAGACAGGGATGCCCTCTCTCACCACTCCTATTCAATATAGTGTTGGAAGTTCTGGCCAGGGCAATTAGGCAGGAGAAGGAAATAAAGGGTATTCAATTAGGAAAAGAGGAAGTCAAATTGTCCCTGTTTGCAGACGACATGATTGTATATCTAGAAAACCCCATTGTCTCAGCCCAAAATCTCCTTAAGCTGATAAGCAACTTCAGCAAAGTCTCAGGATACAAAATCAATGTACAAAAATCACAAGCATTCTTATACACCAACAACAGACAAACAGAGAACCAAATCATGAGTGAACTCCCATTCACAATTGCTTCAAAGAGAATAAAATACCTAGGAATCCAACTTACAAGGGATGTGAAGGACCTCTTCAAGGAGAACTACAAACCACTGCTCAAGGAAATAAAAGAGGATACAAAGAAATGGAAGAACATTCCATGCTCATGGGTAGGAGGAATCAATATCGTGAAAATGGCCATACTGCCCAAGGTAATTTACAGATTCAATGCCATCCCCATCAAGCTACCAATGACTTTCTTCACAGAATTGGAAAAAACTACTTTAAAGTTCATATGGAACCAAAAAAGAGCCCGCATTGCCAAGTCAATCCTAAGCCAAAAGAACAAAGCTGGAGGCATCACACTACCTGACTTCAAACTATACTACAAGGCTACAGTAACCAAAACAGCATGGTACTGGTACCAAAACAGAGATATAGATCAATGGAACAGAACAGAGCCCTCAGAAATAGCGCCGCATATCTACAACTATCTGATCTTTGACAAACCTGAGAAAAACAAGCAATGGGGAAAGGATTCCCTATTTAATAAATGGTGCTGGAAAACTGGCTAGCCATATGTAGAAAGCTGAAACTGGATCCCTTCTTTACACCTTATACAAAAATCAATTCAAGATGGATTAAAGACTTAAACGTTAGACCTAAAACCATAAAAACCCTAGAAGAAAACCTAGAGAATACCATTCAGGACATAGGCATGGGCAAGGACTTCATGTCTAAAACACCAAAAGCAATGGCAACAAAAGCCAAAATTGACAAATGCGATCTAATTAAACTAAAGAGCTTCTGCGCAGCAAAAGAAACTACCATCAGAGTGAACAGGCAACCTACAAAATGGGAGAAAATTTTCAGAACCTACTCATCTGACAAAGGGCTAATATCCAGAATCTACAATGAACTCAAACAAATTGACAAGAAAAAAACAAACAACCCCATCAAAAAGTGGGCGAAGGACATGAACAGACCATTCTCAAAAGAAGACATTTATGCAGCCAAAAAACACATGAAAAAATGCTCATCATCACTGGACATCAGAGAAATGCAAATCAAAACCACAATGAGATACCATCTCACACCAGTTAGAATGGCAATCATTAAAAAGTCAGGAAACAACAGGTCCTGGAGAGGATGTGGAGAAATAGGAACACTTTTACACTGTTGGTGGGACTGTAAACTAGTTCAACCATTGTGGAAGTCAGTGTGGCGATTCCTCAGGGATCTAGAACTAGAAATACCATTTGACCCAGCCATCCCATTACTGGGTATATACCCAAAGGACTATAAATCATGCTGCTATAAAGACACATGCACACGTATGTTTATTGTGGCATTATTCACAATAGCAAAGACTTGGAACCAACCCAAATGTCCAACAATGATAGACTAGATTAAGAAAATGTGGCACATATACACCATGGAATACTATGCAGCCATAAAAAATGATGAGTTCATGTCCTTTGTAGGGACATGGATGAAATTGGAAATCATCATTCTCAGTAAACTATTGCAAGAACAAAAAACCAAACACCACATATTCTCACTCATAGGTGGGAATTGAACAATGAGATCACATGGACACAGGAAGGTGAACATCACACTCTGGGGACTGTTGTGGGGTGGGGGAGGGGGGAGGGATAGCATTGGGAGATATACCTAATGCTAGATGACGAGTTAGTGGGTGCAGAGCACCAGCATGGCACATGTATACATATGTAACTAACCTGCACAATGTGCACATGTACCCTAAAACTTAAAGTATAATAATTAAAAAATAATAATAAATGAGATCACGCTCTCTGTGCACAAAATGCTCTCAAAAAATAAATAAATAAATAAATAAAGAGTTGAAAACAGCAGATACCCTAAGGAGCCAGATGATACCATAAATGAGTGAAGCAGGCTAGATGTAGGTGCACATTCAGACCCTAGTGGGTGGTTGGGTTCATCCAGAGACCAGAGCCTGTGTCCCAGTTAGCAGGGGCAGTCCTCACGCAGCTCCACACACTCAGCTCTAGCCAACTTTTGCCACGTGGAAAGGCAGACTAATCTTGCTTCATCTTCCAAATTTTCTAGGGCCTGGAAACCTGAATTTTTGAGTAATATCTCAAGATTGTTTTCATGTTTCCTATCTAGTTTGCAAATAGGCATTAGTCCCACTCTATCTTCTCCTTCCCAGCTCCTAGGGGAGTCAAACATGGGCCACCAACAGGCAGAGCATTAAGGAAGGAGGGAGAGCCAGGCCCATGTTCCTGAGGGGACATGTCTTTTCTCAATTGGGGTCATTGTCGTAATCTGGGCTTGAGTTGCAGGTGCTGGCTTGGTACAGTGCTTTCTTACATTACCTAATATTTTGCGGCTCACACATGTAAACTTGGGAACAGGATTTACCTTATGTTGTATGTGTTTCCTATGATTATTTCTATAAGCATTGTATTTTGAGGACATGATTCCAGACGAAAAAGAAAATTTATGATTCCTTGAAACGCGATAAGACTGCCAAAAATGCATGGAATCAGTTATGGAAGTTTCAAAACTTAAGTCATGGATCTACTTGTGCTGTGATGGTATAAACATTGCAAATTTTTCATCAAGATGGAAAATAAATGCAAAATTTTTAGGAAGGCGGCCCAGTGATTCTTAACCATCAGCCTCACTCTCTACATCTGGATCCTTCTCCCTCTCTTATCTCCTGTGGTTCAAGCCCTATTCAAGCCCTAGGGAAGGAGCTTCTCTTTTTTATCTTTTATTTATTTATTTTTTTGAGACAGAGTCTGGCTCTGTCGCCCAGGCTAGAGTACAGTGGTGCGATCTCGATCTCAGCTCACTGCAACCTCCACCTCCTGGGTTCAAGCATTTCTCCTGCCTCAGCCTCCTGAGTAGCTGAGATTACAGGTGCCTGCCACCAGGCCCGGTTAATTTTTGTATTTTTAGTAGAGACGGGGTTTCACCATGTTGGCCAGGCTGGTCTCGAACTCCGGATCTTAGGTGATCTGCCCAGCTCGTCCTCCCAAAGTGCTGGGATTACAGGCATGAGCCACCGTGCACTGCAGGGAGGGAGCTTCTAAGCTAGAAGCCAGGTGCAAAGGAAAGATGGGCAACTTTGGAGTCACACCAACTGCTGTGGTAGATGGCTTAATTCTTCTTAAATGATCCATGAAGGAGGAGTGTATGTCCCCACTCCACTGACTTTTTGCTTTGCTACGTTACTACCTTTGGCCAATGGAACGTGAGTGGACTTGATATACACCGTGTCTGAGCAGAAGCTTTAAATGCATGTTCTGTGTCTGCCTCTAGTTCTTCCCCTCTTCTCTGAGAATGGACATATTCTACATAGCAGATGCTTCTTCTACCTGGGTCCTAGAATGAGAAGTTACATGGTGTAGAGCCACATGCCACATGAGGACAAAGTAAAGGCATGTTGCTTTAAGCTTTGAGATTTGGGAGTTGTTTATTATACTTCAAAGCTGACTAATATACCTGGATTTGTCGCTCCTGGGCTGTGTGATAGTCAGAAAGTTGCTTCATTTATTTAATTCCAGCATTCACTGATGCTTACTATGTGATAAGTTCTGTTTAGACAGTGGTGATCAAAGAGGAATAAGACAGATTCCTGCCCTGGGGGAGCTCTCGGCATAGCGCAGTTGGAGAGACAGTGAGTTAAGGGCTGTGTTAGGAGCCAGTGCAGGGTCAGAAAGAAGGACTCTTGATTCAGTCAGCGAGATCAGAGAAGATTTCCTAGAAGTCGTTAGCATGGGTACTTCCAGGAAATATCCATGCTAAATCTTGAGGGACAAGCCAGGGGAAAAAAACAAGGGGGAACATTTTTCTTTCATAGGAAATAGCAAGAGCGGAAGCTCAGATGACATTCAAACTGAGGGCTGCTTAGGACAGGGCTGGGACAAGATAGCCCGTGAGATGCTGCTTCCTCTCTCCTCAATTCCATCCATACTCTGAACCTAGCCAAGAAGCTCAGACTCACATCCTAAGTGGCTAGTAGTCACACACAAATGACTGTGAATTGTTTTGCCTTGGGAACTGGCCTAGCAGGGAATTGGCAGCTTTCGCGCTTTCGAGACAAAAGAATTTTGGACGGGCCCTGCTAGCATCATTCCCAGGCACCAGGGCCAGGACATAGAGAGGCTCAAGCCTAGGCCGCTACATCCTCCCCACATCTGACAAAGAATGACCGATTCTGAGTGAATAATTTACTTGTGTTTCCACATCCATCAGACCAAACGAAGAGTTCCCTCAACTGAACAGAATGGATTGCCCGAGTTAATCCCAGAGTCTGTCTGGGGTAAGTGAAGCATGGTAGAAAAGTAATACGGAAGGCTGGCTGCTGGGAAATATATTGAGTCCAAACAGAAAAGAGATGAGAAATGGATAAAATAACAGCCCCGAATAACAAGGTTCTCCGGTGCTAAATCCGGTATTTAACTCCCAAACAGGTTTGAGATATTTAATTACAGTCTTGACCATACCCAGTTACTCTTTCTTTTTATTTTATTTATTTATTTATTTATTTAATTTTGAGACAGTGTCTTGCTCTGTTGCCCAGGCTGGAATGCAGTGGTGCGATCTCAGCTCACTGCAACCTCCACCTCCCGGGTTCAAGCAATTTTTGAACTTCAGCCTTCCAAATAGCTGTGATTACAGGTGCGCACCACCACGCCTGGACAATTTTTTGTGTTTTTAGTAGAAATGGGGTTTTGCCATGTTGGCCAGGCTGGTCTCGAACTCCTGACCTCAAGTCATCCACCCTCCTTGGCCTCCTCACCATGCCTGGCCTTTATTTTTATTTTTAAAGTTATAACTAAGAGCTGCTGGGTTAACCCAGACTCATTTATCTGAATCCTGCCTCTCTCATACTTGACTAACAATGAGTAAGAACACTTGGCTTCCACTAATTAACTCTCTTGACTTCTGAGTATCTGCAATCTACCAGGCACTGTTCTAGGCAATGGGGAGACAACAGTGATGAAGCAGTTTCTACCTCATGAAGCCTACCTTCTTCTAAAGAGTCTTTGCATGTCCTCCTCTGAAGAGGCACTGGCCAACCTGCCCACCAAGGCAGTGTCTCAAAACCTTACTCCTGCCCCAGGCTTCTAGGGCCAAATTCCTTTTGCCAAATTAGCTTCATACATATCCTCTCATTTGATCCTGACAATAACCCTATGAGGTAGCTATTGTTGATCTCATCTCAGAAAGGACACTGAAACTCAGGGGCAAGGGATTTCCTTGGAGTAAGGGGGTAAGAGGCCAGTGAGGGACCAGTACCGCCCTGGACCCCTGGGCTGTACACGTCCTTGCTTGTCTAACTCCTTCTGCTCTGGGCTGGGAGGGAAGCCTATAGGGCTTCCAGCATGCTTCAAGATCCCTTCTTAAATCCTGCCATATGAGACAACATGAACTCTGAGAACATTATGCTAGTGACATAAACCGATCACAGAAGGACAAATGCCACATGATTCCATTTATTTGAGGTATTTAAAATAGTCAAATTCATAGAAGGAAAGTAGAATGGTGGTTGGTTGGTAGGAGCTGGAGGAAGAGGGGAATGGGGAGTTGCTGTTCAACTGGTCTAGTTTCAGGTATACAAAATGAGTAAGTTCTAGAGTTCTCCCATAAAACATTGCACTCATAGTTAACACTACTGCACTTTACTCTTAAAAATTTGTGAAGAGGCTAGATGTCATGTGATCTGTTCTTACAATAAGAATAATAATAAAAGGGTTCCTTCTTTTCTCCTGTGGGCTGGAAATGTGGACCAAGTATCCTGAGTGACTGGGGAGAAGAAGAAAAAGGAGAAGGAGAAAGGAAGGAGGGAGGGCCACCGGATTTTTTCCTGATATGTTGCAGGATGAGGTTACACACTCACTCAATCAACAAGTATTTACTGAACACAGACTCTGTGCGAGGCACTCTTCTAGGCATTGGGAAGCAAAAGCAGATTAGGCAGACAAGATTTAAGCCCTCATAGTTATTAGATTCCAGTAGAAGGGACAACTATACACAAGTAAACAAGCATTCCCCTCTCTCTCTTCAAAAAATTAGTTTAGACTAAGCCAAGGGCTCTGAAGCAAACAGATGGGTATTGTGATAGTACCTTGGGGCCAGGCTGTAGATATTGTGGCCTCTATGAGATGATTGCATTTGAACTGAGACTTGAAGGATCAGAATAAGCCAACCCTGCAGAGGACTTGGGGGACCACCCCAGGCAGAGAGAACAGCAAGCACAAAGGCCTGGAGACTTTGTTGTATTTGAAGAGGAGAAAGGAAACCTGCATGGAAGTGTTATGAATAAGGAGAGTGTTCTAGCAAAGGGTTGGAGAAGTGGGCAGGAGTCAGGTTATTCCAGGCCTTGAATGCCACATAAGCATCTTGGGCTTTATTCTAAGAGCTATGGGAAGCTAATGAAGGATTTGAAGCAGGAGGTTGAAGGATGAAACATGAAACATGAGCTTACCCAGTCTTTCTGCTTTAAAAATGATCACTCCGCCTGATCGATGATCAATGGAGAATAGAATGCAGAGCGCAGGAGAAGAACAAAAAAACAAAAAAAGGACTTTGGAAGCTATTGTGAGAGATGATGATCAGGCTTGTGCTACAGAAGTGGCAGTGGGGGTGAAGGCAGGAGAAAAGATTTGAGATACATTTGGGAGGTGAAACTGATCAGACTAGGCAATGGATTAGACGCGTGAGGTAGAAGAGACAAGGATTTCTTGAACTTCTGAGCAGTTGACTATTTGAAGGTGATATTTTGGTGACATGGAATAGCTAGGGCAAGAACAGATCTAAGCTCCATGAGGAGTGGAAATTAAGAAATATCAATCAAGAAACGTCGACTGGACACCAAAGTGGAGACAGTTGTCTATCTGTACCTGGAGCTCAGAGTACAGGCTTCACAATCAGGCAGTGTGGCATGTCTGGGAGAAACGATAGACACCAAAGTGGCTGGGTTTTGTTAAGAATCCAAGCAAGGGCACTTGTTTAGGGATGGGCGGAGTCAAGAAAGAAGTTTCTTATTTTTTGGCAGATGGTGTCTTTTCTTGAAATAATCGACATCTTCCCACACCTTTGGAAGTTGTTTTCCCCCAGAAGGCGGAGGAATTATGGGAGGCAAGGCTCTGGATCCTCTCTCCTCATTTTCAGGCTGTCCCCAAAATCCAGGAGCTGTAAGACCTCTAGGCCACATAGTGGGAGAAAGGGACATTAGCTAGCAATTACGCCATGTCTTCCCTATGCTCCATCCCTCCGCTACCATTATCAGCTGCTCATGTGTAGGAGGAGCATCCAGTGAGCTCTGGGAACATCGCCCCTGAGATGCATGTGGACACTCACCATCAGGCCCACCTCAGGGAGCAGCACACCACAGCCTAAGGACCGAAGCCGCGTGTTTTTGTAAGTGAAGTGTCTGGTCCGCAACCATGCGCATTCATTTACACTTCGCCTATGACTGCTTTCAAGCCACAACATGAGGGTGGAGTCATTATGGTAGGAACTGTTTGGCCCTCAAAGCTGAAAAGGGGTTACGTGGCAGGAAAAAAGTTTGCCAACTTCTGATCCACCCAGTTAGACCTAGAAGTGTGCCTGGAGCGCTTGTCACTTCCCTTCATTGCTGTTTTGCATCCATGTCATAGACCTACTCCCTGGGCAAAGCTTCTTGTCCTTCTAGCACACTCCGGGTTATAGGAACGACCCTAAGGAAACAACCCCAAACAAGGCATCCTCAGAACAGCCCCACAGCCAGGTGACCTTGAGCCCGGAAGATAGCTTAGGAACTGAAAGACCATCCAGAGTTTAACACTGCTTAACTGCTAAGTCATTTCAGTACCAATCCTTGACCCCAGGAATAAAGACAGTGTCCAGTTCTCTGCCATGATGGTGACCAGGGCACATTCTCATCTCAGTTTCTTCCTCTGTCTTTCTGCTTCTGTTCTTGCTACCTAGTGCACAATCTCTGCCTCATGTTAGTACCCC
Source organism: Homo sapiens (assembly GCF_000001405.40). Lineage (NCBI taxonomy): Eukaryota > Metazoa > Chordata > Mammalia > Primates > Hominidae > Homo > Homo sapiens. The sequence continues at coordinate 34,262,976 of NC_000001.11, forward strand.
CACTAGAGAGAGTTTGGTGGTCGTCTTGTGAGATAATATTGTCACTTTGAGTAGAGCTTCCTGGCTAGACCACGTCAGAGGCCACTGGCAAGCCTGTAGCTTCCTGCCGGTTGGCTTAGGTGTTCTGCTGTGGTCCCTCAGCTGGGGTCGCTATGGGGGTAGCTGCACTGACCTGGGTATTGTCTCCTTCAGGCAGGTTGAAACAGTCCTCAGTTCTTCTCATATTCAGAGGTGGAGGTCGGTGAGTCCTGGCTAGACAGTACCTGCCCTGTAAGCCCCAGCATCTGTCCTCAGCTAAATGACTTCACGTGGTCCCCAGTGACCACGTTTCTTACCAGGAACTGAGGTAGAGGTGGCTGATCAGGGAAGTATCTTGCACCCGATTTGCTGGGGAGACTGTGTTCTCTCCCTCCCATACTTTTCCTCCATAGGGCATTGCTCTCTGCAGCATCTTTACCTAACTTGGCTTCTCCACGAAGTTCACAAGTTATTCAGAGAGATCTGTCCTCCCCACTCCCCAAAATCCTGAGCGAGGCATGAAAAATTCAGTCATTTGGCTTATTCAGACTTTCCAGATGTCTGATGTTGGGCAAGAGATGCATGCTGCTGACGGATGGCACATTTTTACCTTCCACCAATGTGTTTGACATTGTGCAGATGTAGGCATGTGGAAAGGAAGACTGATTTGTTTTATTAATGAACAAGTGATGAAATAACACTGGAGAAACTTGATGAGTCACACGTAATCCCACTCTTCTAATACAACAATCATTTCCACTTTTGCATATTTTTTTCTTGTTTTGTTCATCTTAGATACATAGAAATATAATTGCAAACAAAATATTGCCATCACTTGGTAACTGGCTTCTTTCATCATAGGTACCCTCCCTCGTTATCTTTAAAATTATTGATCTTAATGACTTCCTAGTAGGCCTTGGGAAGGGATATACCATTTCCTTAATGTAGTGATTAAGAACATGGTCTTAGGGTTAGCCAGCCTCATTCAAAACCTAATAGCCCTGGGAACTTGGGCAAGTTAATAATTTAATCTCCCTGAGTCTTAGTGTCTACATCTATAAAATGGAATTAATAGTAATAATTCACAGAGATGTCAGGGTTAAAATGAGATATTACACGGTTGACCCTTGAACGGCACAGGTTTGAACTATGGAGATCTACTTAGACTCAGATTTTCTTCCACCTAGCCACCCCTGAGACAGCAAGACAACCCCTTCTTTTTCTTCCTCTTCCTCCTCTTCCTCTTCTTCGTCAGCCTACTCAATGTGAAGACAATGAGCACGAAGACCTTTGTGATAATCCACTTCCACTTAATGAATAGTAAATACACTTTCTCTTCCTTGTGATTGTCCTAATAACGTTTTCTTTTCTCTAGCTTACTTTATTGTAAGAACACAGTAATAATATGTATAACATATAAAATATGTAACAACTGTTTATGTTATTGGCAAGGCTTCTGGTCAACAGTAAGCTGTTAGTAGTTAAGTTTTGGGGGAATCAAAAGTAATACTCAGATTTTTTTACTTCGTGGGGATTCAGTGCACTAACCTCTGCACTGTTTAAGGGTCAACACTATGTAAGTCTGTGTATCAGTGTATGTATCAACTGTTTATCAGCAAAGATAGGCTGTTATGCTGTGGTAACAAACAACCCGCAAGTCTTATTGGCTTAAAAAAAACAAGGTTTTTCCTTCCTTTGGTTACACGCACATCTTGGGTTGACTGGTGGTGGGGAGAGGGTGGGAGTAGGGAGAGGGTGGCAGTGGGGAGAGGGTGGGAATGGGGAGAGAGTGGTGTGATTCTACTCATTGTAGTTGCTTAGGGACTCTGGCTGACAAAGCAAACATGGGTCACTTCTGTTTATAACTCACTTGACAGAATTACATGGCCCCACCCACCAGCAAGGGGGACCAGAAGTACAATTTTACCTTGTGTTCTGGAAAGAGAAAACTAGAACTATTTGATAATTTCCACAGCAAAGAAGTGTGGAACTATATGCTATTATAATTATTTCTACAACATATAAGCAAAATGAAATAATACATGTAAATTTCTTAGCTCGGCTTCTCAGGAATATAGGGAGCACTCAGTAAAGGGCAGACACTAGCATCATTACTATTATTTTCATTACTGTGCTTTTTCAACTTTTTTGCTATTATAGGTAGCACCTTGCCGAACATCCTCATGCAGATGTTTTTGTTTTTTGCTTCTTTTGAATTGTTTCCTAAGGATGAATCCTCACGAGTACTATTAAGTGCCTAAGCTTTGGGGTCAGGAAGAGGAAGACTCCAATTCTTACTTAACAGAAAAAACAAATTTACTGAATGAGGAACCAAGGCCAGAAGTTGTACTTGCCGTGGTTAAAAATTTCTAGTTTATATTTTTAGGTGCTAAGCAGAGGTAATGAATTTTTACTTTTTTATATCAGGCTACACCCCCTACAACTACAGTTCAATTTCAGCTTTGTGACGCTAGTGTAGGCATTACTCTGTGTCCGACTGGTGTGCAATCTTGGCCCTGCTGAATTCTCATTGGTTGAATGCACTTCAGGTGTGTCACCTGGTGCTGTCATTCACAAAAGCTGAAGCGGAGTTGGAGTAACTACATTTGTTATGACAGTAATGGTGTGCACATTTGATACAGCATGTGGTGTCATGGTCTAGATTCAGACCCAGAGTCTAGCCTGAGGCCCCAGGTTAGAACTTGTGTAGTTTTCCCTCCAATAGCTTTGCTTCTGGCTTTGGACAGGGTACTTCAGTTTCATGTCTTCATTTATTCCTTGATAAAATAGATACAGTAATATCTTGGCATCCAATAGGTATAACACAAACTTGTTATCTCTTCTCTTGCACAGAGGCAAAATATCCTTATGGCTTTTGCTAAGCACAGTCATATTGGAAAGAGAATGTTTGTGGATTTGTCTATGAAATATTTAGATCAGTGGTTCGCATCTCTCAATGTGTATCAGAGTCACCCAGGGGAACTTAAAAACACTGAAGTCTGAATCCCACCCTGAGGATTCTGCTTTAATTGGGCTGGAGTGTAGCCTGGCCATTGGGATTTTTAAAAGCTCCCCAGGTGATTCTAATATTCAGCAAAGTTTGAGAGCTGTTGACTAAACCGGTGGTACTGAAACCTGAGCGTGTTGCAGAATTCCCTGGAGGGCTTGTTAAAACCCAGCATGCTGGAACCCACCTCGAGTTTCTGAATCAGCGTTCAGTAGTTGTGGGGTGGAGCCTGCTAGCAAATTGCATTCCTGACAAGTTCCCTGGTGGTGCTACTGTCGCTAGTGCAGGATCCACACGCTGAGAGCCACTGACGGATGGCACCACTCACTCTGGCACCATTCACTCTCTGTGCATCCTGCCTCCCGGGAAGGGTTTTGCAAGGCGGAAATGGGAGCAAGCCTTGTGGAGGCAGGAGGATGCATAGAATGTCCTCTCAGGATCCTCCTCAGACCTGAGAACTGCGGAGCTCTTTCCTGAGATGCTGTCACTGTCGGCAGAGTCTCAGAAGTACAGCTTGCTCCATAGCTCCTTTTTTTAAGAAGCTGGCAGCCAGCTGAAGCACTCAGATGGGGCTCGGCTCGGATCGGCTCAGCGAGCCTGTGCCACCAGCCCTCCTGTGAACTGCAGACATCAGTCTCCCTCCTTCCATTACCTCCATTAGCACGGTTATTTGTGGCAATTCCTCTTCCTGGCTGCTTGGGATACAAAGTGCTGACTGCGAAGCTACACATGATGTCTGAAACTTCCAGGACAGAAGGAGGGATCTGATGGTCTCTGACCCAGGTGACCAGAGCAGCACCAGGCAGGGGTGGGGGACCATGATGTAGTAGCAGCTGGGGAGGGGGAGGGTGTGGGTAGAAGAGGAGGCTGGCCAGAGTCACTCTGGACCAAAATATCCAAATGAAGCCAACTGGCCTTAAGATACCTGAGCAATTTGAGGACAAAGCAGGAATTTTTTTTTCTCTATTATTATCCGGATAAATGTGGTTATGAGGAGGTGGTGTGTGTAGGGGGTGGGGAACTGTGGGGAAAGGATAGGGATAGAAATATAATATTTTTGCATATCATCTGAATGACTGGCGTGTACATTCTGTGGCATGGAAAGGGGATAATTTAATCATCCTGAGTTTACAGAGGGAAACGCTCAGTCCTACAGACCTTCTGCTTCGGCAGATAAAAGCTTCTCAGAATTAACAACAACAAAAGCAATGGTAATAGCTAACACGATGTAGCACTGACTCGGTGCCAGGCACTGTGCGAAGCGCATCATTTACATTAACTCATTTCATCCTCACATCAACCCTGTGAGGTAGGGATATTATTATTCCCATTGTATAGTCGAGTAAAGCGAGGCTTAGAGTAGTTCAGTGACTTACTCAAGGTCACACAGCTAATAAGGATTTGAACTCAGTCACTTTGGTACCAGAGGCCATGTTTTTAGTCCTGGAGGGGCTGATTGTGAGAGATTCTGGCACCGGCATGGAACCTGAGTTCATTCCACATCTGTGGTTAGGTTCTGTGGGTTGGGAGCAGGGGCATGGCTGCTTCCCAGTCCAGTCATTATGAGGACAAGTGTGTTGCCTGAATATCAGTCTCTCTAGGGTTGTTTCTCTCGCTGAAGTCTCCTCATCCAAAGTGATTCCTGGTCTACTTTAGGCAGGAGAGCAGACCTTCTGCACAAGAAGGCAGAGTTAACTTCACGATCCTCCCTTTTTGAGTCCAGTCTCTCCACCCTCTGGATGCCCTCATGATGCCCTAAGCTCCCCCATCACTAAATCTATCTATACATGCCTCTCTCCCTCCTTTCCAGTCCTACAGGAGGTATCCCATAGCCACCCTCAAATAAATCTAATGGACATATCACTAAAGGGAGAAAATGGTACATTGTAGTTGCAGTTTCCCCAAACATCCAACCGTCTCAAGCACAAACTCATTCTCCCTTCTGCTCATCACTCTTTCCTTCTCTCTTCTCACTAATCATCACCTGGGGGATACACGAAAAAAAACAAGTGGACCAAGAGTTGGTCAAGCCAAAGTTTGGTCCAACTCTGACATTTACTAACTATGAAATTGTCCACAAATCCCACAGTATTGTTAGTGGTTATGAGCAATGATCTATGGCATCAGGCAGACTTGGGCTCAAATCCTAGCACTGCCATTTTTGGACCTAAGGCAAGTGACTGTATCTGTTCCCTTATGTGTAAATGGGGAAAATCATTCTGATCCAGTAGGTTACTGAGAGAACCAAATGACTACAAGCCAGGAAAATGCTCAGCACAATATCTGGCACAGAGTACAAGAATTCAATTAATGGTAATTAGGATAGCTGTTATTATGATTGCTCTCCTCTCTGACTCAGTTTCCTTGGGGGTTGGACTGCTTGACTTCCGAGGGCCCTCCCAGCTCCAGCATCCTCTGACTCATTGGCATCCTTCTTGTTTCAGGTTTTTTATTAGATTTCCACGACTGACTCATCTTTCTCCATCTCTCTCCTTATCATCACCCTCCATGAAAAATGCACCCTCCTTCCCTTTGTATTCAGGCCATTGCCCCATCATCTCTGCCCTGGGGGGTCGAATAATCCAAGCCAGCCAGACCCCTGCATGCCACTGCCACTTGGAGTCAGATTCCATTGGATTTATGAGGCACCACAGGAGTAGGTAGTCGATATGAATAACCATTACGTTGGGGAGGGCTTTTTCTTCTCCCTCTGACTGATGACAGCTAAATTACTGCTAAATATAGGCCCTGAATTTGCATGAATCTGCAGCTTGCCACAGCCAGGCTGGGGGTTTTATTGACAGCTGAGGCACTGGAGGCAGGCAGGCACCTGCTCCAGTACACCTCTTCCAGAGGAAGCATGGAGTCAGGGAGAGTGCACCCCTCCCTCACCCCTCTCCAAGAGATGCTCTCTTCTCTCCAAGCCTCCAGCCTTGTTGGTTCCAAGAAAAGAGCTTAGGCATGGGTTTGAATCCCAGATCTTCCATCTAGCTGTGTGATCCTAAGCAAATTACTTAACCACTCCCTATCCGTTCCCCTGCCTCCGTTTCCCCATTGCTACAACGGGGCTAATAATAGCTCACTGTTATCTCACATAAAGTTCTGACATAGGCTCCTCCAAGTTTCTATCTTGTCATACATATATATATATATATATATATTTTGTCCTTGGGTTATGGCTTCAAAATCCCAAAATGGCAGCTTCAGGCATCAAATCATATTGCAATCAAATTCAAGGAAGGAAAAAGGAGGCAGCTTTCTATGTCACCTCCCTTTTTATCAAAGAGCATAATTTTGCATAGAAACAACAAGGAGACTTCCCCTTTATAGCTCATAGAAATAACAACAGTAGCATTTATTGAGTACTTACTACATGACAGGCACCTTTTTATATACTTTCCATGCGTTAACTTAATACAGCAATCCCAAGAAAGAGGTGCCATTTCTAAGATGGAGAGAGGTTAAAACAACTTGCTCAAAGCTACTCAACAGGTAACTGTCAGAGCTGAGATTTGGACCCAGAAAGCTTGGCTATAGAGCTCAGGTTCTGTAACTGGAATTTAAATGACAGTTGTATGTTCACTTGTTCAGCCTTAGAGCATGACTGGTAAAAGATGAGACCCCAGGGCTGGCGAAGTGACCTACTTTCCCGAGCACATTAGACTTAGCTAATAAGAAAATCAATTGGGGGTCTATAAACTAAGGCAGAAGGGGGAATGGTTTGGGGTGGAAACCAGAGTTGTCTACCCCGCTACTTCCCACGTTGCTAGAGGGTGAAAAGACAGAAAGTCCATCTTCATCTGTTTAGGTTGCATGAAAAAATACCAAAGATTGAGTGGCTTACACAACAGAAATTAATTTATTAAGGGCTGGGAAGTCCAAGATCAAGATGTTATCAGGGTAGGTTTCATTCAAAGACCTCTTCTTTTGGCCGGTAGATGGGCAGCATCTAGCAATGGGATTACATGACCACTTCTTTGTGTGGGGAGGAGAGAAGGAGAGAGACACTCTCTGGTGTCTCTTCTTATAAGGATACCAATGCTATCATAGGGCCTTCACCCTGATGACCTTATCTAAACCTAAGTACCTCCCAAGGGCCCCATCTCCAAATACTGTCACATTGGGGGTTAGGGCTTCCACATATGAATTTGGGAGAGGGTCACAATTAGGTCATAGCAAACTCTAAGTGCCTTTTTCAAAGTAGATGTTCAGTAAATGAAAGTTCCCCTCTCTTCCTACAATTATTGATTCAATTCGTTATTTGGACATGTAGAACAAGATGAACCTTAAGACTCTACAACCTAGTTGGAGAGAGAAGACAAGAAACAGTTAACTCGTGACTCACCATGGCATTTGTTTAAGGGCCAAATGCCTGGGCTTATTCAGAGATTACCAGATGGGACTTCTCCTGTCAATCATGATGGCCAATTTGCTGAACTTACAGATCTACTCTGGACTGAAATACAACAGATCCCAGTTACCTTAGAGACAGGCTTTTGGACCTCTTGGGTTAGACCATTTGAGGATAAAAAAATCTCAGTTGGCAGGACCCGTTTTGGAGAAAGATTATTTTCTGTGGCTGGGGAGAGCTGGACTAAACGTGGATGAGACTCAGGCTTAAAGCCTGTGACATCATCGGAAGATACTAAGGGAGACATCATAGTAAGAAAGAAGCAAAGCACATGGTATCAGGTTCAGCCAGCCTGCCTACAGTGTCTCACTGGGCAGAGCTATGAGTGGGCTGACATTTCAGTGAGAAGTGGGCAGAGAGATAACACCATTGCAGAGTTTGGGGAAAATATCAACCAAGGAGAAGCATTGGCATTAGAAATCAAGGGCTTAGAATCAAGGGCATTAGAAATCAAGGTACCAGCTGCCACATGTATTATGCCAGAGTGAAGGTGGAAATGTGTACCTGTTGCATGGAGTTAATGCAGCCATCTGAGGAAGAAAGCCAGAGAGACAGCCAACCAGAGCTGAGTCCAGGTCCTCCTCAAGGAGTGTGGTTGGTGTGGTTATCGAAATGTCATATGAAAGGCCATAAAATGAGATGCTCCTGTGATGTCACTGGAGGAGCCAAGTCAGGACAGGTGACAAGGGGGCAGGGATGTTCAATGACGCAGCTTCCAAACTGACCTGGGTCTAAATTCCATCTCTACCATTACTAACTGGTGATCTCGGACAATTACTGAAATTCTTCAGATTTCTCACTCTCTCTCTCTCTCACTCTCTCTCTCTCTCTCTCTCTCTCTCTCTGTACTTTACTCCTGAAGACAATGATGGTCCTTGAGGATAACAGAAAATGTGTATGCAAAGTGACCAGAAGTGTCTGATGCACAGTAGCAGGGAGATTGTGAGCGCTATCTTTTTTAAGTTCATGGAAAAGTGGATAGAGACAGGCTGCCTCTGTCCTATGGGCCTTCCTGCCAACCAGAGCAGGTACCCAAGGCTTTGGGTATGAAAGACCAGAGTTGGGAAAAATGTCACCCTGGGAGAAGCTCTTTGAACCTCTCCTTGATGGAAGATGAATCAATGGTCAGCTTCATTTCTGAAATGAGGCAAGTCCTCTAATCCCAACTTTTCATCTCATTTTCAGCATCTCCAAGGCCTCCTCATGGAGGTCCAAGCCCCTTTGTTTTCCAGGATTAACCCAGAGAGAGGCTTGCTTTGAGGCCCTATTCCCACTCCCTAGATGACCTGGATTGGCCATGGGGCTTGGATTCTAGTTGTCTTTTTGAGGGTTCTTGGCAGTGCTCACCCATTCAAAGTTCCATCCCCTGGGCACTCGTGGTCTGTGGCCAGCCCTAACCTCCCTCAGAGCTTAATAGCAAGAGGTTTTTGTCCTGGAAACAGCAACGGGTTAGAATAGTCTTGACTGCTCTTTGCAGAACAAAAGCAGAGAAATCCTTGTTGGAGACTGGGGTGGCTGCCTGGCGTTTTCCTCACCAGATCCCTTGTCCATGTCATGTTTTCTACCCACAGCTTCCCACATCTAATCCTCCAAGGTGCTCAGGGTACCCTGTTTTCTGCCTGGGTCCTCAGCTTGGCCACTCTTCTCACCCCTAAATGGGCTCAGTTTTGTCTCCCTCCTGGAATGCCAGAAAAGACCTGGCTCTCGGTCTAACTCTTCCCCCAGTCATTACTCTGCACTTCAGAAATATCCTTCTCTGCTCAACCTGCCAGCAGCACTGATTCCTCTCGGACCATGAACTGATGGAGTAGGTCTGCCTCTGCCCTCTTAGAGCTTGGAATCTGTCACCATGGCTGGCTTCCCTTGACACTTGTTCTGTTTGCAGTTGCCCTGCATCCCTGCTAGCTCCATCCTCATGTCCCTGTATGTGTCTGCCATCTCCCAGAATGGCTGGCAGCTAGCCAGTCTCTGCTCAGCTGTGCAGGCATGGGAGCTCATAATTTGGAAGCATGAACTTTAGGATATCATCTCTCATTCCCCTGCACACTTTAAATTTGGATATAAAATATTGTATAGGTGTGCATGTCCAACGCTTTCTTCAAGTGGTCCTCGACCTACAAGAATGTTACAATCCTGCGGATGACAGTCCTCAATACTCGTGATCATACATTCACCTTTATGGTCAAAGGCAGGCCTGTGTCTTGTTCACCTTTGTATCAGTTGTTCTTAGCCCAGTGTCTGACACATCATAGGCTTAGCCCAGTGTCTGACACTCATTAAATATTCATTGGGTGAATAAATGATCAATGAATGAATGGACTAAGAGATGGTACATCCTGAATCTAGTGGGGAAGGAAAGAACTTCCTTTCCAAGGCCCCTGGAAGACAAACATGCACCTTTGCACAGACATTGCCAGTAACAGGAAGGTCCTTTGTAAGACAACTTGTTACACTGTTTTTTCTATATACAGCTGAGTTCTGTCCTTCTTCAACTTCTACCCTCTGGCTCAAGCTTTGGCCTGGGAGGCTGCCTGGGATTCACTGCACCTCTTGGGCCCTTCAAAGGGCCACCTACATCAGAGGTTCAGGCATCACCTTCTCAGCATCTGCCAACACAAATGCCATTGCTGTCCCCAGTCAGATACACCCAAGACAAGTTGCGGAGTAGCCCTCACTCTCTGGGAAGCGTCATCCTTAGACAGATCAACTCATTGCAAGTTTCTGTTTCCAGAGTGGACCATAATTCTCTTGACAGAACAAAGAGTATCAGAACAAAAGAGCCTTACAGCTGATATAAACAGATCCCCTTAATTTACGGACGAGAAGACTGAGGCCCAGAGAGGGAAAAGGTGCTCTGCAGGTCATGTGTCTGGAAGTGGAGCCCAACTCCTCTGGCTCCCAGCTGGGTGCCCCTCTCGCTGTGCTCTATGGCCTCCTTCCTGCAGTTCTCAGCATGACACTCGGGGGTGACTAAAGTCCTGCACCTCCTGATAGGCTCCACGTATGTGTCCCTTTGGAGCATCAGATTTTCTGACAGTGGCTCGGGGTCCTCCCTGCTTTGCTGAAGTGTAGAAGGGCCTGGAGGTCAACCCTGAACCCTCAGTGTGTGGGATTTGGGTTGGCAGTTTGTCAGGTGTGCCAATTCCTCATGTAGTTTGGGGTAGTGTTTAAGAGTATGGCCCCTGGAGCCAGGCTGTCTATGGTTCAAATCCTGGTTCTGCCACTTCCTAGCTGTGTGACCTTGGGCAGATTTCTTGTCTTTGCCTCAGCTTCATAATCTATAAAATGAGATAAAATAATATTTAAATCATAGGGCTGCTTGAGGTGCAAATGAAGGCAAAGTGTTTAACTCAAAGCTAGGTAAGTCTTAGCTCTTGTGACTGCTGGCTTCCATCCTGATTTCCCTACACTGGCTGGAGCCAGCTCACCTGGACCAACAACCACCCCTGGGGCAGCCCTAGCCCAGGTAACCTTCTGTGCTACGAGACATTGTACCTGCCGTACGTGAAGCAGAGCTCAGCAGGATTCCCTGTTTCTGAAGACACCTGGTTTCCTATGATGCTTCTAACAAACCCATCTGAGGAGGCTTCTGGTGCTGGGCAGTGTAGCATAGTGGTTAGAGTCAAAATGGGCTCTGAGCCTGATTCCCTAGGTTCCCATCTCAGCTCCACCACTTTCTAGATGTAAAGTTGCCTTGTCTTTCTTTGACTCAGTTTCTTTATGAGCAAAGGAGGGATGATAGTACCTGCCCTGGGCACTGCGTGAAAATTAAATAACACTTATAAAGGACGATGTTTGATGTTCAGTATATCATTGTTAGTAGTGATGTTAGTTTATATTTATTTAGCACTCAGTGTGTGCCAGGCACAGTTTCAAGTGCTTTTAAATATATTAATTCACTTAATCTTCACAATAACCCTATGAAATAGATTCAAGTTTTATCCTCTGTTGTCAGTGAAAAAAACTAAGGCTTGGAGAAGTTGAGCAACTTGTCTGTGATTAAGGTTTGCAGCCTGATGCTCATACACTTATTTACATCCAGCACTGTGGGATTGTCACACACAATAGCAGTGGGATTGTCACACATAATAGCAGTGGCTGCAGAATCTTTTGGATTGGTATTAGAATTTGTGATGTATTTCAAGCAGGTATGAGACTGCCTGGAGCCATCTTTCTTCAGAAAGACTGAGCCAGCACTGGAGATACAGATCAGCATGGAGAAAGAGTGAGAGAGAAAGTAACCTCTGGCAGAGAGAGACTGCTAAATTTACCAGGCACTAACCATTGACCACGCGCCCATGCTTGCAGCCCAGAGGCAAAACAGCTGCTGATACCTCTCCTAGTGAGCACCTGGGCAGAAGGAATCTGATATCGAGACCTGGAGAGGTTTAATTATAACTGTGGCCTAAATTGATGTTGGTGGAAGGAGTGCAGGGCCCAAGATAGAAGAATGTAGATGGAGTCTTGGGTACTGTGGCATAGCCTTGGCTCCCCTAGTCTAGGCTCTGACCCATGGGACCCACATGTGGGGTTATCAGCATTCACAACCAATCTCAGATCTTCTGGCCTTTCCTAAAATGAAGTCAATCCATCTTTCTAACCCTTGGCTTTCTGGGAGCTTGGCCAACCATGATCTATATGCTGACTGCTAAACTCACTCTGAGCAGCTCAGAAAACTGCCAGACCACCCTGTGTATGTCTAAGCAAGACATGGAGCAAGGAAGCAGGTCCTGTCCTTCTCTATTACTGCCAATCCTATGAGACTACCACTATACCCGGCACACAGTAGGTATCAAGGTACGAGCATACCCAGCACCCAGTAGGTATCAAGGTACAAACATGCCCAGCATACAGTAGATGTCAAGGCTACCACTATACACAACACATAGTAGGTATCAAGGTACCAACATGCCCAGCACACAGTAGGTGTCAAGGCTACCACTATACCCAGCACACAGTAGGTATCAAGGTACCAACATGCCCAGCATACAGTAGATGTCAAGGCTACCACTATACACAACACACAGTAGATATCGAGGTACCAGCATGCCCAGCACACAGTAGGTGTCAAGGTTACCACCATGTCCAGCATAAAATAGATATTCAATAAATATGTTACTACTGTTGTAGGGTAGATTTATTCCGGGGAAGGTGCCGAACAGGAGGTCAGATAGGCAGGAAGAAAAATATAATCCTGGCTTCAGACAGTATTCAACAACAAGTGGTTCATGAGGAAGTGGTGCTGGTGGTAGTGGAGGGGTGTCCTTCTCTGTCAGCCAGGTATAGAATCACAACTCCAAGAGAGTGCTCAAAACCCTCAGCACACTCCACCCTATAGTCCAGGCATATAGCATTTGGCACTCACAGGCCCTGCTTAGTTCCCCAGTCAGCAAGTGCTCAGGATTGAAGTGCTCTGAACTCCAGGCAATCAGTGCTCTGTACTCCAGATAGATGGCCATCCACACTCCAGGCAGAGCACAGGACTCCTGGAAGCCATGTCTGATACTCCAGGCATGGTTCTCAATACTCCATTAAACGGTGCTCATGAAGGAGGTACAACTCAGGACTGCAGGAGATGGCACTGGATATTCCACACAGACTGCTCCACACCTCAGGGGCATTGCTGATTGGTAAGGAAGACACACATAATGGGAATGGGTTTCTGGCCTGAGTGTGTGAGTCCATAGGCAGCTGTCAGGAGCCTGGCCAGAACAGAGAACCCCTATCCCAACCTTGGTGGGGGCCTAGTCAGTCAAGCAGATTTTGGAGGACAACCCTAAACAAGAACCCAGATCTATGCTTGGGCCACTGGGCTGGGAGAAGGGCTATACCTGAAGACCCTCACATTTCAGATAATGGATCTTCCCTCCTTTGAGTTACGGTGGGATTCGTCTGCAGTGAGATGGACAGATCCTGTTACTGTACACCTTTTGCACTGATGATTTTTCTTCTAGAAATATTCTAGGTACATGTGATCCTTTCAATGCATCAGTGATGGAACATTCAGTGCCTCGCTTTTTTAAAAAATAATATATCTTGGATATGTCTATATCATCTGTCTCATCTTTTTTCACGGCTGCCTAATTTTCCATTGTATGATGTCCTATAATTTATCTAACTAGTTTTCCATTGATTGACATTTAAATTACTTTTCATTTTCTACTATTGCTACAAATCCTGTAATTATATGTGTCTTTGGCACAAGCATGAGCATATCTGAAAGATAAGTTCCTAGAAGACAGATTGCCAGGTTAAAATGTATGTGCTGTTTTAATATTTCTTTGACAGAGGTCACAAGATTTCCTTATGGCAAGAATGGTGGGCATATACAAAGAAGATGTGGGGGATGTTTTGACACAGCTTTTGGAAAAGTTACAGATATCTACAGGATGCATGTGCTGCCTCAGGAAGCTACCTCATGATTTTGAGGAAGCCAGCCTGGGCTTAGCTCTCACATGCACTGTCTCCTAGGACACACTTGTCTAAAAGCTATGCCACCATGCCATACTCCTGGGACCCTATCTTCCTTAAGTTGGCTTCATGGCCACTCTATTCTTTGATGGATTACTTGTACTCATTCAGGTAATGGGTCTCAGAGAATTCTCAAAGCAGAGGTCATTTGTGTTGGCAGCCAGTGTGCACAATTTTAATAATGACCAACTCACACTCTCACTCAAGTGGAACGCAGACTTCACTACATTCAGCCACCTCCCATTTGCGATGGGCTACTTTCTTGGTGTTCTGAAGGAAGATTGGCTACCCCGTAGGTTCTGCAGCTTCACTGGGGTCTCAGTATGTTCTTTCTCTTAATGGGATTTGAGAAGACATTTGGCAGAGTTATTCACAGCCATGTCATCTCAAACAAAGTGGTAGGCCATGGAGAGTTGATGCAGGAGACACATGGCTCCAGGGTGATCTGGGGTTGAGGGAGGTCTCTGGCGCTGGAGGTAGTTCATGGGGTATACAGGACCCTGATAGGTGGCTGAGGAGAGGTGGACTTGAGGCTCTAGGGGGTTGACAAGGGCAAGCACTGGTTCAGCCTAAGCACTACTGAAGCAGGAACTGTATCCACTGAGCATCTGGTCCACTCTTTCCATTTTGACAAATATCACCAAATTCCCCAGCAAAGGGCCTGCACCAATTTATGGTTCCATGAACAATAGGCAAGTGTGTCTTTCTCTACCCCTGTGCTACCACTGTACTATGTCTTATGAAATTTTTGGATTTTGCCAGTCTAATAGCTGAAAATCATGTCTCATTTAAAATGTGCATTTCTTTAATTACAAAAGTAAGTTTAGGTCAAAGGATACATAATTACAGTTAGATAGGAGGAATAAATTTCAAGAGTTCTATTGTACAGCAAGGTGACTATAGTTAATAAAATATATTCTTGAAAAAGTTTTAAAAAGTGGATGTTAAGTGCTCTCACCACAAAATGATAACTATGAGGTGATGCATTTGCTAATTAGATAGATTTAACCATTTCACAATGTGTATATACTTCAAAACATCATGTTATACATGATAAAGGCATGCAATGCTGTCAATTTTAAAAAATGATGAAAAATATATTAGTAGCCATTTGCAAGTCTTTTTCTCTGAGTTGTCAGGTTGTAATTTTTGTTTGTTTTTTGCTCATTTATTTTTCCTGATAGATTATTTTTCATTTTCTTATCAATCTATAAGAGCTTTTAATATATTAAGTAAACCAGACCTTTGTCATATGTGGTGCAGATTTTTTTTCCCAGTTTGTTAGTTGACTTTTGAGTTCATTTACTGTAATTTTTGAAGTTTAGAACATTCAATTTTTCTACTGAAATGAATCAATTCTTTACTTTTTCAGTTTAAGGTTTACGTCTTGTTTAGAAAGGCTGTCTCTGCTCCATAGCCATAAAAAAAATTCTTCCATGTTTCTTTCTAGTACTTTTATGGGCTTATTTTTTATGTTTAAATCCTTGCTCCATCTGGAATTTGCTTTGGTGTGAGAAGCGAAGACCAGATTCAGATTTACTTTTTTCCAGATGGCAAGGCGGTTGTCTCAACACCCCTTCTTGAATAATCCTTTTTGCCTAACTGATGCGAAATACCATATAATTCATATACTAAATTCCTGTGTGTTCTTGGATTTCTATCTGAATTCTCTTTTCCTTTACCAGCTTGTTCTAGTACCAAACAGTTTTAAGTATTGCTAATTTTTATTATTTTTATATATCTGGCAAGGGTTGTTATTTTCCTTTACCCACTTTTTTTTAAATTTTAGAATTTTCCTGGCTAGCATCACATGGTTATTTTTCCAAGTAGACTCTAAATCATCTCAACTGTTTCTCCTCACCCCCCAGATCCCACAGGTGTGTTCATTGGGGTTGCATGGGCTCATGAGCATCTTTCTTTCCCAGAGAGAGACAGCAGAGTCTCTTTGGGCCAAAGGGCTCTTCAGATAGAGGTCTGTATTCAAGCTTGGAAAACAGCATAGACAGCTCAACTTCTTGGCGAGGTCCCTCACCTTTCCCTGAATCTGATCTTCTATGGTGCTGTAGGGGAAAGAGTTTAGTAAAGTTTGGGACACCTTGGGCTTAAACAAAGTTCAACATTTTTTTCTTGATCATTCATTCAGCAGGTATCAATGGGCCCTCGCCATGCACCAAGGGCTGTGCAAAAGGCTGGGAATCCCGTGGAGAAGAGATCAGATGCTGCCCTGGCTCTCGTGGAGCTTGGGGTCCAGCTGGAGAGAAAAACGTTAGACCAAAACAAATTCCAGACATGCATTTACTCAGCCTCATGATTTTTAAGTGCCAAGGAGGGAAGCTTAGGGAAGGCGCTAGAGGAAAAACAGCCGAGGTAAGGACCTACCCTCCTCCAGGGCAAGGGAAGGTCTTGTTGAGCTTTTACTATGCACATTAGCTGTGGAAACCTTCAAGGCATAGCATTTCCCAAACTTTCTGGCAATGGGACTCTTTTCAGGGGTCTTTATGGGCTCATTTCTGAAGGATGCTCTTTGAAAAATGCCAACAGTTTGCTCCCACTGCAAGGTCTGTAACCCAGATCTGTCTCAGACGAGTCAGGTATCTTCACAGAGGTTGCTCAGTTTCTCTGAACCTCATTTTTCTCATCTATGAAAAGATGTATTAATTTTCTAGGGCTACCATAACAAATTGCCACAAACCAGGTAGCCTTAAACAACAGAAATGTACTCTGTCACAATTCTGGAGGCTCGAAGTCTGAAATCAAGGTGGTGGGAGGGCCACACTCTGGCTGAAGGCAGTAGGGGAGAGTCCCTCCTTGCCTCCTCCCACTTGTGTTGGCTCCAGCCACTCCTTGGGTTGTAGTTGCATCACAATCAAGGTTGTGATGGAGGCAGAGATTGGGTTGTGACTCCAGTCTCTGCCTCCATCTTCATATGGCCTCTCCTCTTCTCTCCCTGTATTTTCTCCTCTTCTGTCTTTTAGTGAGGACACTTACTTGCCTTTGGATTTAGGGCCCACAAAGATAACCCAGGATGATCTCATCTTGAGATCCTTAAGTACATCTGCAAATACCTTTTTTTCCAAATAACATCACATTGGCAGTTTCCCAGACATAGCTTTTTTGGGGGATGGGGTTGGGGGAAAATTCAATTTACTACAGATGAAAATCACATAACTTGTTTCAGAGAGTTGTCATGAGAGGTCCCTGAAACAAGGTGTGTGAGGCAGCCTGCCCCAGAGTGGGTGGGTGTTAAATGTTAGTTTTCTCCTCTACTTCTCCCTCTGTCCTCAAAAAGGTTTAGCACTACTAATTCACAATGAAGTGGCTGGGGCCGAAGGGTTTCTTCTCCCAGCCTACCTCCACTGGAGAGAATTTCATTTTAATGAGGAGTCAGGTGAGGGACATTACTCCTCTCCTTTTTCTGAAGGCTTCCCCCTTCTGAGTTCTGGGTCTCTACAGGAGTTGTTTCTTATCTTTTCTTAGAGGGTCCTAGCTAGCTGCATCATCTCCAGCCTGGGCTTGTCCTTACCAAGTCATCAGTGCAGATGTTTCTGGGAATTGAGGGGTGTAGGGGGAGCCAGCAAACCCTGCCTGAGGCATTTTCCACTTCTCTGACAGCTCTCAGGGGACCCCCATCTTCAAAGAGTGCCTCAGTGCTTTTCCTCATCATCTCCTGGGTTTTCGCTGCAAAACAAAGACAACCTCTCCGACCTCTTCCCTTTTCTGCCATTCCTTGTTGAGATGTGCTTGTCAAGCAGATGTTGAGGGGCCATGAGCTAGATATTGTTCAGGGAGAAAGAAACAAGCATACCAAGAAGTGGCTTAAAGTCCCCCATGCCTCTGGGGTGCTTTCATGGTCTTGTCCTGTATCCTGACTTCCCCAAGCTCGGACCTCCACAAAGGCAGGCCCCATGCCTCGGACCCCATCCCTGTGCCTCTTGGTCCCTGGGCCCTTTTGCAACACTGTCTCTCATCTCCATGCTCTTCCTCCATAGCTCCCCATAACCCCCTGGTAATGACAAATAGATGGTAATTGCTTACATGCAGCTGTTCAATCCTAGGACTGTTGAGAGAGAACTTAATGTCCAAAGAAGTCCCCAAGGAGCCACATGCTGCTTGAATTATGTAAAGGTGAGCAGAGAAGGGTAAATTTCATATGCAGAAATCCTTTATGGCATTAAAGTTTCATGGGAAAACCTGAACCCTTGGACTCATATTTCTGATCAAAGCTTATCTTCTTTCATTTAGCACACACTTATTAAACTCTTATTATGTACAAGACCATGGTGTAGGTGCTAGAGGGGGAAAAATAGATGAATTAATGAGTCTCAGACCTTTCTTGTGGGCTCCTCTATCCCCACATGCATACACCCTAGAACAACAAGCTACTCTGAGATAAAATTATACCCAGATGGACATCATATCATCCATCCATCCCACTATTCCCCCAGTAAGTATTTATTGAGTGCCTGGCGTGAGCCAGGTTCTGTGACAGATACCAGAAGCACTGAGCTAGGTGCAGGATGAGACATCTGTTGAAAGGAAGAAGTGATCAAGTCTTTTTAAAAATCACTTTTAAAATTGATATATAATAGTTGTTCATATTTTGGGAGTACATTTGCTATTTTGATACCTGTATACAATGCGTAATGATCAAATCAGGATAATTGGGCTATCTATCACTTCAAACATTTATGTTTTCTTTGTGATGGAAATATTATAATTATCCTCTTCCAGCTATTTTGAAATACACATTAAATTATTGTTAACTATAATTTGCCTACAATACTGTCAAATACTAGAGCTTATTTCTTCTATTTAACTGTACATCTAACTGTATTTTTGTATTCTTTAACCAACTTATCATCACCCTCCCTGACCTGGCTTCCTAGCCTCTAATAACCACCAATCTGCTGTCTTCCTCTATTTGATCCAACTTTTTAGCTCCCACATGTAAGAACATGTGACATTTGTCTTTCTGTGACTGGCTTATCTCATTTAACACAATGAGCTCTGGTTCCATCCATGTTGCTGTAAATGACAGGATTTCATTCTTTTTTATGGCTGAATAATATTCCATTTTTTAATATTTACCACAGTTTCTATCCATTCATCTGTTGATGGGCATAGGTTGATTCCGTATCTTGGTTATTTTGAATAGTACCACAATAAACATAGGAGTACAGCTATCTTTTCAATATAATGATTTTCCCTTTTGGATGTGTACTGAGCAATGGGATTGCTGGATTATTTTTAGTTTTTTGAGGAATCTTCATACTGTTTTCCATAATTGCTATACTACTTCATATTCCCACCAACAGAGTATGAGCGATCCTTTTTCTCTACATCCTTACCAGCACTTTTTATTTTCTGTTTCTTTTTATAATATCCATTCTACCTGGGGTAAGATGATATCTCATTGTGGTTTTGATTTGTATTTCCCTGATGATCAGTAATGTTGAGCAATTTTTCATCCACCTATTGGCCATTTGTGGTCTTCTCTTGAGAAATGTCTAGTCAAGTCTTTTGCCCATTTTTAAAATCAGATTTTTTTTTGCTGTTGAGTTGAGTTCTTTATATATTGTGGTCATTAATTCCTTGTTGGATGAATAGTTTGAAAATATTTTCATTCTGTAGGCTGTCTCTTCACTTGTTGATTGTTTCCTTTGCTGTGAAGAAGCTTTTCAGCTTGATGTAATCCCATTTGTCTATTTTTGTTTTTGTGCCTCTCACGTGCATGTAAGATACAAACAAAGTTAAGCTTCCCATCCCATTTTCTTTTTTTTCCAGAATTTACATACATTCTGAGGGTAAATGCTCAGCCTCACAAGCTTTTCCTTCCTGGAGCTATTCTTTCTCTCTGCTTTACATCCGTCTCTTGTTCTAGACTTCCACAAGAGCCACCAACACAGAACATTTGTGTGTGGGTAGCAGCAGACCCCTCTGCCCTTGCTGGCTTGCTTCACCCCTCCCCAACATGACTATCTAAACAGAGAGAGGCTCAGTTATGCAGTGCCCATGCTGCTCTCATCTCCATGTGGGTCTCAGCAAGGATAAGAGTGTATTGTGAAGATTCGTCTTCCTGTTGATGGGAATATAAGCCCCACTAGGGTGGGGAATTTGCATGTCTTGTTCACTGGTATATTTCCAAGACCTAGAACAGGGCTTAGAACAGTGCCTGGCACACATGGTAGGGGACTCAAAAAATATTTGTTGAATTTGTTAAATGAATTGTGCCACACCCCTACCCCCATAAAACACTTAAACCAGAGACAACGGTTGGGGGCATCACATAGTGGCAGCAATGGCCAAGGTGGATAGCTCCAGCGTTATCCCTCACATTTAGAATGAAACCCAAAGTTCTCCCCATGGTCGAGATGCATCCTTTGACACATGCATCTCCAGCCACACTGGCCTTCTTGGGGCTCTTTGCTATGCCAAGAAAAATTCAGTCCTCTTTGAAAAGTCATGCCAGGCACACTGCTGCTCCAGGACCTTTGGCCCTTCCTCTGCTGCTCCTGCTTTTTGGCCCTTCCTCTGCCAAAACTGTGCTTGCCCACTACCCACCCCACCCTCCCACAGCTCACTCCCTCATCTTCCTCAGGTCCCTGCCCAAATGTCATCTCCAAACCACCCTTCCTTATTTTCCTTATTTTACATAAGGAATATTGCCTGCCATTATCATAAACATTATTTATGTATTTTTCTCTTCCCTTTGAGAATGGTAGCTCCATAAGGGTGGGGGCTTTGTCTTGTTTGTTTACTACTGACTGTATTCTCAATGCTTAGAACTGTGCCCAGCACATAGCGGCCACCCCATAAATATTTTCTGTTGAATGGATGAATGGAAATGAATGAACATGGGCCCTACTGCAAGCTCTTGATGGAGGTAGGACACGGAAGAGGTCTGGAGGACACAGAAGAGGTCTGGAGATGAGGAGGTTGGATCTGTCTCTCAGGGCACTCTCAGCTCTGATTCTGTGGCTCTGCCTCTGTGACTGTCATCTTCCAGGATGACTTTGTTTGCATGAAGTGGTAAAGAGAGGTCTATAGAGGAGGCCATTACCAGAACAGCTCTCAGAAACAAGTGGCATAAGGGAGGAGATAAAAGACAGATATCTATTTAACTGTATCAAGCCCTATAGAGGTGGATCAATTAGACCATGAGTAGTTGTCAAGGAGGGCAGGAAAGTATACCAGACCTCTGCTTGTCCATGTGGTGCCCTTGTACCAATGAAAGAAATGGTGCCCCTTTCTCTAGGTGCAGGGGTGCTGCATGGTGAGTGGAGTGAGAGCTGGAGTTCAGCTGACACCCATCCCCAACAGGCAGGTGCCTTTGTGCAGGGTACACCTTGCATAACATTATGTGGCAGTTTCAGGGTGTAGCTCAATCAGGGTTTTGTCTGAAAGTTCGCTATGGCATTTCTCTGTTGCATAGTTTAGGAAAAAATAACCACCCTGACTTTCAGCTTGTCCATGAGACCAGCTCAAACTCACATGACTCCTAAAGGGCAGAACTCCATCCAATGGGACAACGTGGTGAGCAGACTTGTATCATCCCCTTGCTATTTAAAGTGTGGCCTGTGGCCAGCTATATTGCCATCACCTGGGAGTTTTCATGAAATGCTGAATTTTAGGCCTTGCCTCACACCTGCTGACTCTGAATCTGCCTGTTGACAAGATCCCCTGGTGACTTCTGCACACATTGAAGTTTGAGAAATATGACACTGTCCTACCCCTGGGTTTCATGCTGTTCTATTACTTTTCTACTCAACTTGGAGTGCGGTTACTTCTACTTTGTCCACATGGCCTGTCACCAAATGTCCACAGGGCCAGCCAGCACAGGGTTCCAGAAAGATCACTGGACACTGAATTGTGCTTCAATGGCTGTGTGACATTGAACAAATCTTTCAATCGTAAGAGTGTAGGCTTCCTAATCTAGGGGAGAAAAAAAGGAATAATGGCTCAGCACTTTTGTGGGGCTCAAATGACATGATGGATGGGAAAGTGCCTTGTTTGTCAATTGTAAAATTCTACCCAAGCACAAAAGATTATTGCTCCCACATAGTGTAATATGAAGACCACCGATAGAGAGCACTTCTGCCTAGAATGCTACTTCAACAAGTTAGGAGAAGGTACAAGATGAATGGCCTTGGGTCGGTGGACTCCAATTAGCAGACTGGAGTAGGCGCAGGAATCCACAGACCCCTTAAGCATACAGGGATGACTGAGGGTTTCAAATGGGGTTTTGATGGCGGTGTTAGCTCCAGTCTGGAGGAATCATGAAGGGGAAAGGTGGGTAGAGGTCAGGTGGGGCATTTTCCAGGAAGGGAGGCTTATGGGGAGTGCCACATGGGATGAGTGAGTGGGAGGAGAGGAAGGCTTCTGCAGATAAACTGCCTGCTCCCAAGTGTGGCAGGGGACACCTTCTCACCTCCTCACCCGCTATTGTATTTCTTATTTTGCATCCAGAGGTTTTGTGCCCTGTGGAAATGATCAATACCATTGGAGCCACTTGGCTGGTCATGATCTTGGGAAATGCCATTTATTAGGAAAAAGTAGCTCAGAACACCATGGTGACCTTGGATTTAGCAGAGATTCCTAAGAAAGATGGGTGGTTGGATCCCACTGACATCACAGCACACTGCCATTAAAAGACTGGACACAGGAAGTGTTCAATAAATTCCCAAGAAATAGATAGGTAAAGGAATGGATGGAGAATTTTGCCTTTAGAAAGTTTTCTTAGTACAACCTACCCTAATCACACTGTTTTAAATTTAAGCTCTCTCATCTCTGGGGCTCCCAACCTCCTGTATCCTGCTCTCTCTCTCTCGCTTTCCTGTCCATAACACTTACCCTCTCATAACATACTATATAAATTATTTATTGTGCACTGTCTGTTCCCCACCCCCCCGAATGGAAGTCTACTAGACGGATCTCTATTTGTTTTAATCTGTGGATACAATCCTAAAACAGTGCTTGGCCCATAGTGGATGCTCCATAAGTGTTTGTTGAATCAAATTGAATTAAATGAATTAGAGGGATTTGTAGGGTCAGACAAATTCTTGTCTGATTTTGCCACCAAATCATCATGTGACTAGGATGATGGCCTTTGCCTTTCTGTGCCTCAGTTTCCCCATGCATACAGTGAGGAGGTTGGATCTATCTCTAAGGGCACTTTCAGCTCTAATTCTGTGGTTTTGCGTCTGTGACTGTCATCTTCCAGGATGGCTTTGGAAGACTGTTTGCATGAAGTGGTAAAGAGAGACCTATGAAGGAAATGAACAGACATAAGCAGGGGTCTTTGTTCTGAGACTTCTTAAGTGCTGGGACTTTGGTGAGATATTTGTCTTCTATTCCATGTATGATGTTCCTAGCACAGTGCCTGGTATGCCTTAGGAACTGACTAAACATTATCGTCTCCCTCTTCTCCCCATCTGGGCTTGCATGCTTTGTTCCAGATGAGCCTTAGCTCCCACAGTCACATAGCAATGATCTGAAAGAAATTGAAAACAGTAATGTACTCCCCAAATGTAAAGGGTTAGTATGATTACATGCATGCCCAACCTCTAACCTCCCTACACACAAATGACACTGAAACCATAATAGCTTTTTATATCAAAATTGTCTCATGATTCACAGCCTTCCTTCTCATCAGAAATGTTGCACCTGATGAGACCAAATTCACATTGGGTTTATCAAAGTCTAATTAAAACTCGATCATCGTGTCTAACATGTTGCCTTATTATTTGGGCTTAATTAGAGTGATGAGACGGGGCTGAGAGCAGCAATTCCAGCAGTGCAGTGATGCAACATCTGCGGAGAAGCAGGGCTCAGCCAGATGAGCAATTATGTTGAACGACACATAAAGCCAGGATCTTTGCATCTGACAGCTGTCTGGCCAGCCCCGCCTCCATTCAGGCTTGTGAAAGCCTGACCTATAAGCTCCCTTCTCCACCTTCCAAAGTAGTGGGAACTGATCAGACCCTTCAAAGAAGAGCATAGCAAAGCCACCACTGTGGGGAACATCCTGCTGTCATGGTTTTTAGTCACTGGGTGAAAGGAAGTGGGAGCATTTGGTAGCAAAAGAAAATGAATTCTCCTTTGGGTCTTGGATTTATGGTCAGGTGTGGTCATGATGCTGCTATGGATCATGCCAGAAAAACTCAGTCCTCTTTGAAATGCCGCCACTCATCTCTTCAGTTACAAATAACCTGAAATTGGGCATTTCTGCCTCTGCTCCCATGGAGAGGCAGGATGCATGGGGCTAACATTCAAACAACCTTCAAAAATGCTCACCAATACCAAAGCTGCAACCTGATCCATTAGGCTCATTATGATAGTGAGGGTAGGATAGCTGTTGCAGCAAATAGAGCCTATGGATACCAAGGATCCCCGTCTCCTGGCTCTCATACTCTTGTATAATTCTCCTTTTTCACTCTTGTGTAAAAGCCCTTAAGGTATGGACTGGACCTCATTATTTATTTCTAGTGAATTGATGTGGCACAAAAAAGGGATGTCACTTCTGAGATGAGGTTACTCAAGATGGAGAGTTCGGCCTCACTCACTCCCTCACGCCAGCTCTTCTCACTTGGTGGCCACTGTCACGTTGAGAGCAGCCCTGTGGAGAGGCCCACATGGCCTGGAACTGAGAGTTGCCTCTGCCTAATGGCCCGTGAGGAACCAAATCTTGCCAATGATCACGTGAGTGAGCTTGGAGACAGATACTTCCTTCCCTAGTCAAGCCTGGGATGACTGTGGCCCTGGCTGACACCCTGATTACTGTCTCGAGGGACCTTGAAGTAGAGGACCCAGCTAAGCCACACCTGGATTCCTGACCCACAGAAACTCTGAGATGATAAATGTTGTTGTTTTAAGCCACTAAGGTTTGGGGCAATTTGTTATACAGCAATAGGTAATTAATGTAAACCCCAATAAATATAATGGCTCAAATACAATAGAAATTTATTTCGGGTAACCAAATTACCTGTAACCATGCTTACAGAGTCCCTGTCATTTTCAACATTTTCAGTGGTTTCCAAGATTGCCCTGAAATTCTCTCCATATCAGCCAGTTGAAAGGGAGTAAAACAATGACGGAGCATGTATAGAAACATTTAAAATTTATTTTTAAATTGTAGTAAAATATACATAAGATACAATTTCCCATTTTAACCACTTTAAAGGGTATAGTCCAGTGGCATTAAGTACACTCACACTGGTGCACATCCATCACCACCATCCATCTCTAGGACCTTTTCCATCTTGCAAACCTGAGATATGGGAATTTTTAAGGGCCAAGCCTAGAAGTGGTACAAATCACTTCCTGTCACATTTCAATGACGAGAACTTAGTCTTATGGCCACACCTAACTTCAAGGGAGACTGGGAAATGTAGTCTGACTGTGTGCTCAAGAAGAAGAGGTAAAGATACATTTTTGGTGAGAAGCATTAGTCTTTGCCACACTTCTGTACAACAGTGTCTACATTCCAAAATTATGCTAAGCCGTAATTACAATGCAAACACCACCAACCCAATGACAAACTAACCTACAGTACCCTATGATCTTGCAGGCTCCACAGCCCCTCATTGGTGTGCTCTTAATTTTAGAATTAAGGGCTTTTAAAAGAAATCTCTTAAAAGGTAGATGGCTATAGATTCCCCGATGCTGCACTGAGAAACTTTGCAAAATGTATTCTGGACATGTAATATCACCATATCAGTGTGTGCTCCCTACACACTTTGTAATGTTTTTTTTTAATTGCCTGGGACATTTGCTAGAACCCAGGATTTTGTTCTCTAGATACTCTCCTCTCCTGATGGCAGCTTCCTTCATCACTGTCTCATCATATCAAAGATGGCTGAAGTGGAACTGATGGTCCCGTGCTGCATGACACCTTCCTTTCCCCAGTGGATAACAGCAGTTTTTAAGACTGGGGACTCTAGGGAAGCCCCACCCATCCTAGAGAGGGGTGGCTTTCACTGTCAAAGACAAAGTGACTTTTGGGGGCCATTTGAATCTTATAGCCAGGGTGACCTATTCCATTTCTTAAATCTCTCATTTCTAGCACGTTTTAGAGTTCATTTTCATGAGAAACTGTCTATCGATGAAATAAGGAAGAAAAGGCAGGAACCCCGTGATCTCTTGCAGTTTCTCTTCTAGCTCACGTATTTGAGTTTAGGGTGAGTGGTTTTGCAAATTCTCTATCTGTGAAAAGTTCATTTGAAGATCCACTGCCTTAGAAATTGCCAGATGAATTGAAATTTCCATTCTATAGGAGTAGCTGGTATTTTGAGCACTTTTAGGTACTTGGGCTCTACTTGTCTGAACTTGGGCTGTACCATGATGGTATCTGAGCAACCATTCCTTTGGTGTATATTGGCTCATGGTGCCTGGCTGGGTGAAGTGCATGTAGCACCCACTGGTACTATTCCTGAGGCCAGAGTTCCTGTCCCCAAGTGTCTCATAGTCTAGGAGCAGAGACATAACATCAGTATGATGCTGTGAGAGGAGGGTAGAATGTGCAGGAGATGTTATAGTGACAGAGAGGAGGGTTCTCTAATCCATTCCCGTGGAAAGAAGGAAAGGCTGAAAAACTTCTTAAAGAGACATATTCAAGTAAAGTTTAAAAGGATAAGTAGGAGTTAGCCAGAAAAAGCAGAAGCATAGAATGCGTAAGGAATAAAAGTCAGCATGAGTGAAGTTAGAGACATGAGAACTTATTATGTACTTGAAACTGCAAGTGGTTCAGGAAAGCAGTATAATGGTGACAAAATAGGCTTTGAAGTTTGACTGAGGAAGCTGGTCTCAGACAGCCTCACTCAGCAGCTGCTTGGCTGATTATTGGGTGGAGTGACTAGACCATAGGGCTGTCATCATCCGAGTGGCTAGCACAGGTTTGCTCACACGGCAGTGAGTCCCAGGCTGGGGACTGGCACAATGTTGCTTTGCCATCTTCTTTTAGCTAAAGTTGGTCAAGGCCAGTCTAGATTCAACAGGCAGATAAATAGACTCCACCGGCTGATGGGAAGAATTGCAAAGTTACATTACAAAGAGCAGGTACAGAGAGGGGTAGCGAATTGGGACTATTTTTGCAAATAAGCTACCATAGAATCTACTCAAGATCAGGGTATAGAACAAAAAAGTGAAGAAAGCCCAGCACGTAACTCTGTCATTCCAGGTCAAGAAGGGGAAGACAGTAGTAGCCTAGGAGAATATGGGAAAACCAGGAGAGTGTGGTTTTCAGAAGCCAGAGAGAAGAGAGAGTTTCTAGAAAAGATACGTAGTTAACAGTGTCAAGCTGCTGAGAACCCAAGGGACATAGTGACTGTAGAGTAACCACCAAATTCCAAATGAAGGTTGCTGGTAACAATGGTGAGGGCAGACTCATGGTGGAAGTAAGACTACAGTGGTTCATGGAGAGAGTGGGCCATAAAAATTGGAGACAAAAAAGTGCTGACCATATTTTCAGAAAGTTTTGATGGGAAGAAAGGAGAGATATTTGGTAGTAGCTAGTTAGGGGTAAAGGAAAGAATAGGTTCTTTTCTTTTTTTTTTTTGAGATGAGGTTATCTGAGCAAGTTTTCATGCAGCTGGGAAGGAGCTGGTAGAGAAATGGAGGAACAATATAGGGAAGAAAGGAAATAATTAGAGGAATATTCCAAAAAGGTGGGAAGGAATAAAATCCAGGCTGAAGTACCACTTTTAAACGGAAGAAGAGACATGTAACTGGTGAGAGGTCAGAAAGGATAGTTTTAGACTTAGGTAAGTTTATATGTTGATGGAGGAATAAAATCCAGGCTGAAGTACCACTTTTAAACGGAAGAAGAGACATGTAACTGGTGAGAGGTCAGAAAGGATAGTTTTAGACTTAGGTAAGTTTATATGTTGATGGAGGAAAGCTCAGGTAGTTCACCTTTCCAGTGGCTTCTGTTTTCTCTGTAAATTGGAGTGAATTCATATGCTCAGGGAGAGAAGGGGAAGTGAGCTTGAAGAGAGTTAAAACTGGCAATAACCACTGTGGAGAATGAGATAGAGAGCTGACAAGGGAAATAGAGAAGGATTGCTAAGCAGCATTGAGGGGCCATTTGAAGTCAGAGACCATAAATTTAGAGTGGCACCAATGATTTATAGTGACACCAATGTGTGTGGATTTCCAGCAGTGCTTAGCAACCAGAGATGAGCGATAATTGGATTCATCCAAAGTTGGTGTTTTTCCACAAGTGGGATTGGGGGAACAATGGGACAAGGGTATTGGTGAGAGAGAGATTGAAATGATAAGAAATGACATCTGAGCTGGATAGCGAAGGAAGTGAAGACAGGAGGGGGCTGAGATACAGAGGAAAATGAGTGCTGGTATCATGGACAAGCAAGGTAACATCTCAAGCTCATCTCTTAGGAGTGAATTTGCACCATGCTTTTTATAGCCCATGCTCTTCAATCTTCTCCACACTTTGGTATCTTCCACAGTTTACTTCCTAGCAAGAACTCCACAGCCCCATGACCCTAACAACTCACAGACCACAAAGAGCTGGGAACACCAGGTAATCAGTGGAGACAGGACAGTGAGCCTGTCCTATCCGCATAGCTGTCTCTCCTGCAAATTTCCTTTTTTATAAAAACGTTTAAGTTCAGGGGTACATGTGCAGGTTTGCTATATAGATAAACTTGTGTCATGGGGGTTTGTTGTACAGATTATTTCATCACCCAGGTATTAAGCCTAGTGCCCATTAGTTATTTCTCCTGATCCTCTCCCTCCTCCCACCCTCCACCCTCTGATAGGCCCCAGGGTATGTTGTTCCCTTCTTTGTGTTCACGTATTCTCATCATTTAGCTCCCACTTATAAGTAAGAACATGTGGTATTTGGCTATCTGTTCCTGCTTAGTTTGCCAAGGATAATGGCCTTCAGCCACATCCGTGTTCCTGAAAAGGACATGATTTTATTATTTTCTTATGGCTGCATAGTATTCCATGGTGTATCTGTACCACATTTTCTTTATCCAGTCTACCATTTATGGGCACCTAGGTTGCTTCCATGTCTTTGCTATTGTGAATAGTGCTGCAACGAATATACATGTGCATGTATCTTTATGATAGAACAATTTATATTCCTTTGGGTATATACCCAGTAATGGGATTGCTGCGTCAAATGGTAGTTCTGCTTTTAGGTATTTGAGGATTTACCACACTGCTTTCCCACAAAGGTTGAACAAATTTACACTCCCACCAACAACGTATAAGCTTGCTTTTTTCTCTGCAACCTCACCACCACCTTTTATTACAGATTTTCAGTGAAACCAGCACCCACTCCGTCGTTTAGCCCAGAACCCTGGGGGTCATCTTCAGTTTCTCCATTTGTCTCCCTGTCCTTCACCAAATCCATCACCAAATATAAGGAGACCTCAGTGGTCTCCTTGCTTTATTCTCCACTCCCACAAATCCACTCTTCACACAGTAGCCAGGATGTTTTTTTAGGAATATGGATTAACTCAGATATAGTCACTTCTCTGCTTAAAGTCCTTCAGAGTTCCCACTGCTTTCAAAATAAAGTCAAAATCAAAAGTTCCTGATTTCAGGTCAAAAAATCATGTAAAAGCGTCCTTGGATAGGAGGCAGAGAACAAATACAAAGTCCTAAAAGGCTGGTGTGGGTTAGTCAGTGAAGCATGAGGGGATGTGGGGTGTTCAGTGAGGAGGAGGAGTCAGGCAGGGCCCGGATTATACAGGCCTTGGAGGGGATTATGGTGAGGAGTCCAGGACAGTCACTTTTTGAAAGGACCTCTCTGGCTGCAATGTGGAGACCAGACAGCTAGGAGGCAAGAGTGACTATAGTTAGGCCAGTGATTGAAGCCATTGTAACAGTTCAGGCAGGAGTGGATTGCACCTTGGACCTCTTGGTGTTGGAGATGGAGGGAAGCAAATGGATGAACAAATGGATGTGGGAGATATTTTAGGAGGTAAAATGAAAGGCTTGGAACATCTTTTCTATCCCCTGCTCCTGTATTTATTGGTTAGTGCTGCCTTATATTCTGAGGTCAATTTCTGTCTTTTCAGGGACTCTTTTCCTGACATTCCAGACTGTGTTATACAGAAGCCCAATAAATGTTTGTGGAACTGACATGATAGAGAAAGTTCTTGTAAAGATGGAAGAGATTTGAGTGTGGATATGGACTAAGGAAAAAGTTCTAGCAGAGAGGTGAAGATTGAAGATGCTAAAGAGAGAAGGTAATCGACAGAGTGAGGTTCTCAAAGAGGAAAAGGGCATGGTAACAGAGGTGGAGGGGTCAGCCTTGGATCAGAGGAAACATGTAGTTCTGCTGGATTACACTGGAGAACAGTAACCTCATGCTGGTGGCTAGACCAGCAATTACCAGATTCTCTTAGTCCGAAGTTCCCTTTTTGATGTCAAAATATTTCCCAAACTTCCAGATACACCTATATTTTTATTTTTTTTTTAACTTTTATTTTAAGTTCAGGGGTACAAGTGCAGGTTTGTTACATAGGTAAACTTGTGTCTTGGGGGTTTGTTGTACAGACCATTTCATCACCCAGGTATCAAGCCTAGTATCCATCAGTTCTTTTTCCTGATCCTCTCCCTCCCCCCACCCTCCACCCTCCAAAAGGCCCCTGTGTGTGTTGTTTCCCTCTATGTGCCCATGTGTTCTCATCATTTAGCTCCAGAGAACATGCAGTATTTGGTTTTAATATCCATCAATTGATAAAATATATGATGGCAAGAAGCTCTATGAATTCAGGAAAACTTTCAAATAAATTTACTTCTTGTTAATCACAACTTTATCTACTTTCCTTTAAAATGGCACATATATGTATGAAACTTTTTTTCCTCTAGAAAATACCCAGTGCAGTAAAACTTTGCAAATCTAGATGCCCTTTGTCCCAGGCTCCTGAGTCTAGTGATTGGGACTCATTTTCTAGTCCAGACCATCTTCTAATGGGAGTTGATCATATCTGTTACTATCTGCCTTCCCCTAGACTGAGAGATCTTTAGGGAAAGGATCTCTGCCTTTTTCATATCCCTAGCACCCAGCATAGGACACAAAACAAAATGAGTTTTTAAGAATTCTGGTTGACATTGTGGAAGTCAGTGTGACAATTCCTCAGGGATCTAGAACTAGAAATACCATTTGACCCAGCCATCCCATTACTGGGTATATACCCAAAAGATTATAAATCATGCTGCTATAAAGACACATGCACATGTATATTTATTACGGCACTATTCACAATAGCAAAGACTTGGAACCAACCCAAATGTCCAACAATGATAGACTGGATTAAGAAAGTGTGGCACATATACACCATGGAATACTATGCAGCCATAAAAAATGATGAGTTCATGTCCTTTGTAGGGACATGGATGAAGCTGGAAACCATCATTCTCAGCAAACTATCCCCAGGACAAAAAAACCAAACACCGCATGTTCTCACTCATAGGTGGGAATTGAACAATGAGAACACTTGGACACAGGAAGGGGAATATCACACACCAGGGCCTGTTGTGGGGTGGGGGGAGGGGGGAGGGATAGCATTAGGAGATATACCTAATGTAAATGACGAGTTAATGGGTGCAGCACACCAACATGTCACATGTATGCATATGTAACAAACCTGCACGTTGTGCACATGTACCTTAGAACTTAAAGTATAAAAAAAAAGAATTCTGGTTGAATGAATGAAAACACATAATCATTTTATTATTATTTAACTTGAGATGGTATCCAGATATTCTCACATATTCAGTTTCTGCTGGGTTTTCCAAAGGAAAATAATTTCTGGTTCAGTTTTCCAAAAGAAAATAAATCATTCTACCAAAAAGACACATACAATTGTACATTCATTACAGCACTATTCACAATAGCAAAGACATGGAATCAACCTAGATGGCCATGCATGATGGGTTGGATAAAGAAAATATGGTACATGTCTACCATGGAATACTACAAAAAATAACAAGTGCATGTTCTTTGCAGCAACATGGATGACACTGGAGGTCATTATCCTAAGCAAACTAATACAGGAAAAGCAAGCCAAATACCCCATGTTCTCACTTATAAGTGGGAGCTAAACATTGAGTACATAGGGCCATAAAGATGGGAACAATAAACACTGGAGACTACTAGACAGGGGAGGTAGGAAGAGGGGAAGAGTTGCAAAACTACTTATGGGGTACTACGCTCACTACTTGAGTGATGGGTTCAGTTGTACCACAAACCTCAGCATCACATAATATACTCATGTAACAAACCTGCATATGTACCCTGGATCCTAAAATAAAAGAAAAAATAAATAAAAATGAAAAAAATTAATAAAATCCTGATTTTCTTTCTCCCTAGTGATGAAGATAATCAAAGTTCAGCCCATTTCCTTCAGGTGCTCCTCTATGTAAGCTGAGAAAGCCTTCCCTGGCTCGGGTTTATTTTCCTGCTTCTAGATACTCTTTAGCAATGCATCATCTTCCTAAAGTGCCTGGCTCAGTCCACGGAGTAAAATGTACTAAACGAGTAGGCACATCCTGTCCTTCAGATGTTCCAGCTTGAAACTCAAATTTCTGCACTTGCACATGCTTGTTTGGCTAAATGTGTCTTGTAGCTTAAGCCACTGCACACAGCTGATCTTTTATTTTGAACATTAATGTATAAATCTGAAGGGAAGAATCACCTGGCTTTATAAAGAGGCATTTCAATCCTTGTCACTTTAATTGAATCCTTTTGATGGTAGAGGCCAGCAGAGACACCAAAACCCAGGATGTGATTCTTTAATTCTAGGTTGTCCTTGGACTCATGGAGAGAAAGCTGGCCCTGAGCTCTTGGGGGCACTGCTCACCAGGAACTAATTGACACATGGATTTGGAAGTTCAGTTGGCGAGTCGGCTGCTATTTCACAGGCATCCCCTTTTGCCCCTGAGAGTGGTTCTTCCAGCCACCAATTTAAAGTGGAGGGAGAGGGACAAAAAACCACCTGCCAGGTATTATGCTTATTACCTGGGTGTCAAAATCATCCATACACCAAACTTCTGTGACAAGCAGTTTACCTATATAACAAACCTGCACATGTACTCCTGAACTGAAAATAAAAGTTAAAAAAAAACAATAAAATGGTAAAAATGTCCCACATGGGCAGTAGACAATGACAGTTGTTGCTCTGGAGGTGGGAAAGGCTGAATGGTGGTCTTGAAATAGATGGGACATGGAATACACACACAGGCGAGCACTCACGCTGCAGGGCAGAGGACCAGACACCTCTCATGTGGACTCCTGCTGACTGGCGAACTCCCCTGTGTCTTCAGCCTCTTCCCCACACCCCATTCCCCCACTGCCTTTTTTGGAAACATGGCTATTGCCTGAGGACAGCCCTGCTCTGGCAGCGGTCTCATGTGGAGCCTGTGTTTTCAAGATCGTGTTTCCAAATACCCCATGACCAAGGAGGGAGGCTGGTTGTTCCCCTTACTCCTTGTGGCTGCGTCCAGACCACCTCTGTCCTGTTTCTGAAAGCAACCACTCTGTTGAGACCCAGGAACTAGGGGTCTCAACACACCCTCCCCCAAGCAGGCATACATGACTGTTGGTGCTACCGCTGACCTGGGCCCTCTCCTACATTCACTGAAGACTTAGTTCCTTGTTCTTTATCTTCTCATTTGTCTAGTTACTGCTCATCCCAAAGTCCACACAAATGACTCTTCTAATACACTGTTGTTATGGGCTGAATTGTGCCCTCCCCTGACCAAATTCATAGGTTGATGTCCTAACCCCTGTGCCCCAGAATGTGACTGCATTTAGAGACAGGGCCTTTAAAGAGGCAATTAAGGTAAAATGAAGTTATATCCAACATGACTAATGTCCTGATAAGAAGAGGAGATTAGGATACACAAACACATAGACTGAGGGACAGGCTTATGAGGACACAGTAAGAATATGGCCAATTGCAAGCCTGGGAGAGAGGTCTCAGAAGAAATCGAACCTGCCAACACCTAGACCTTGGACTTCTAGCCTCCAGAATGCTGAGAAAATACATTTCTGCTATTTAAGCCACCCAGTCTGCGGTACTTTGTTACAGCAGCCCTAGCAAAGGAACGCATCAACTGATAGGTTTGGCTGTGTCCCCACCCAAATCTCATTTTGAATTGTAGTTCCCATAATCCCCATGTATCGTGGGAGGGACCCAGTCGGAGGCAATGTAATCATGGAGGTGGTTACCCTTATGCTGTTTTCGTGATAGTGAGTGAGTTCTCAGAAGATCTGATGGTTTTATAAGGGGCTTTCTCAACTTTTACTCGGCACTGCTCTTTGCTGCTGGCATGTGAAGAAGACGTGTTTGCATCCCCTTCTGCCAAGATTGTAAGTTTCCTGAGGCCTCCCTTGCCATGCTGAACTGTGAGTCACTTAAACTCTTTACTTTATAAATTACCCAGTATCGGGTATGTCTTTATTAGCAGTGTGAGAACGAACTAATACATCACCCTTTGGGTTTTTACAGCTCCTCATTCTCAAAGGACACCCTCTTCCACTTCACCACTGATGCCCAAGGTTTCCCCTTCAACTCTAAATTATTACCACAAATGGTACTACTACCTCCAAAATTAAAATTCCAGCACCGTGCCCTCTGATTACAACCTATCCTTACATTTAGTTTCTCAATTCCCCCTGAAATCCAATTATTGATTCTCATCTCCCATCCCCAGCACACACACAAACACACACACACACACACACACACACACGTTTCCCCCTGCCCTCAGCTCCCCTTTGTGTTTGCTTCTCTTCTTTCACCAATGAGATTTTGTAGTCTGTTACCATAATTATGCCCTTGCAAAGAATCTCAACTCCCTTGTTCATCTCTTCATTTTTTATACTCTGTTGAAAAATTCCAGATATGAAGGAACCCATTCATTTTTCTTCCCCATGGTTATATCCAAGCAGGTTAAATACATCACACATCCAAGGTGACCAGCTTTGCTAGTGTTATTTTTTAATTTTACCCCTTTCTTCACTGAGACTTACATTAAGAAATATCTTACTGGTGCCACACAAGCCTGTCTTTAGGAGGACTCTCATCAGTAGCTGGCAATCCCAGCGTCCAGATTTCCCACTCACTCAGAGGTCTATTTCATGCTTTCTCTCTTGCCAACCTCCTATGCCACAATTTTCATGGCTCCATTCATAGTAAATGCTCCTTTACTTGGTGTAGTATGGATTCAGCTACCCCTGCTCCAAGTGTGACTGATTTTGCCAAGGTTACCAGCAATATCCTTGTTATTAAATTCTGTAGACACTGTACTTTTACTGACCCTTTCAGCTTCTTTAACACAGCTGATACTTCCCTCCTCAAAATGCGCTCCATGACATCGATGTCTTCTCTTTTTCACCTATCCTCTGGCCACTTCTCTGTCTTCTTCGTGGTTTCATCAACTTTCTTCTGTGTGTTCCCCTGGACTTACCTAGGGCTTTGGCTCTCTCTGAACTCTCCTCTCACTCTCATCCTTTTCCAGAGCTTCTGACAGCTTTGCTGTCAGAGGCTGAAGACTCTCTATATTCCCAGACCAAACTCTCCTTTGACGTCCACACTTGTATATCCAGAGATGTCACAGACTTCTCCACTTGATCCTCAGACTTACCACATCCAGATGTTCCCAGGCTCCTCCCTCTGGCCACACACAACTCTCCCAGTCTTTCCCACCTTTGCAAATGAAATGGCATCACCCTTTGCTCAATTTCTCCAGTCAGAAACCTGGATGCTATCCTTGTTTCTCTCTCTCTTCCAATTCCTTCCTTCCCCCACATCCATCTATTATTAAGTTCAGTTCTTCTCATCTCCTAAATATGTCTTGAAATGGTCAATTTTCTTTTCTCTGCTGCTGCTACCTAGTAGTTCTGATCATTTTTATTTCTTACAAAGACAACTGCACTGGCTTCTTTTCTAGTTTCCCTGATTTGGCTCTTGGCTTCTCCAATTTCTTTCCCACACAGCTGCTAGAGTAATCTTTTTAAAAACTCAAATTGGATCATGGTGTTTCCCTTCTTAAAACTCTCCAATGGCTTTCCATTATACTTTTTTAAAAAAACTGAACACTCCTTTTCCTGGCTTAACTGGGCCTATGTGATCCGGACCATGTCTAACTCAATGGTTTTCCATTCTATTCTCTTTTTTCATCAACTCTGTGCCAGCCCCATTGACCTTTTACCTTCTTAAACGACAAGCATTTTGTGTAATCAAGCTTTACATATCTTATTCCATCTGTCTTTAACCATTTCCCTTTTGTGTACATGGCTGTCCCTTTCTTATTTATATATTTTTAAATAATCCTATTTTTTGAAATAAAATTCAAATATATATTGAAATGCACAACATAAGCTGTACAGTTTTGATGAATAGATACATCTGTGTAACTTACACTCCTGTCAAGAAAGCCCTTTCATGTCCTCTCCCAGTCAATTCTCACCCCCAATCCACAGGCAAACCACCCTGTTTTGATTTTTTCACAATTTTTTTTTATGTTTTAGAACTTTATATACATGGGTTAATATAGTATAGCAAATTTTGTGTCTGGCTTCTTTTGCTCAGTACAATATCTGTGATATTTATCCATGTTGTTGCATGTATCCATAACATACTTTTTTATTGTTGATTGGTGTTTTCATTTTATGAATACATCACAATTTTTAAACCCATTCTCATACTGATGTACATTTGGGTTATTTCTGGTTTTGGTTATTAGGAATAAATTTGCCATGAACAAGTTATTGAATGAGTATTTTATTTTATCTCTCTTTGATATATACCTGGAACTGAAATTATGCAGTCACAGGGTAATTCTAGGCTTCACTTTATAAGAAACTGCCAAAACTGTTTCCAAAGTAGATGTACCATTTTATGTCCTCCCTAGCAATATATGAAAATTCTGGTTGCTCATACCCTTAGTAATATTTTGTTTTCAATCTTTTAACTGTTTGCTATTCTAATGAGTATGTAGTACAACCCATCGTGATTTTAATTTTCATCTCTCTGACAATGAATGAGGTTGAAAACTTTTCCATTTGCTTTCCAATTATTCGTATATTTTTCATTGTCTCTCCTTGAGACTCTTGAGACTCTTTGAGACTCTCCTCAAGTCCTTTGACTATATTTATTGGGTTGTTTGTCCTTTTTATTTTGGAATTGTAGTTCTTTATATATTCTAGATACAAGTCCTTTGTAAGATATATGTTTTGTGAATGCTTTAGCCCAGGCTGTGTTTTGCCCATTCATTTTCTTAATGGTGTCTTTTCATGAGCAGAACATTTAAATTTTGATGAAGTCTAATTTATCAATTTCTTATTTTACAGTCATTGCTTTCTGTGCCTTGCCTGATAGATCTCTGATGACCCCAGGTTACAGTAGTATTTTGTGTTTTTTTTTCCTAAAAGCTTTACAGTTTCATGTTTTACATTTAGGTCTGTGTCTATGCATCTTGAATTAATTTGGGTACACAATGTGAGACAGAGTTTGAAGTTTATTATTTTCATGTGGGTCATCCACTTGTTCCAGCAACAATTTTTGAAAGACTTTCTTTTTTATTGTGATAAAATAAATATAACATAAAATTAGCCATTTTAGCCATTTTCAACTGTGCAATTCAGTGACATTAGTTACATATATGGTGTTGTACAACCATCTGTACTATCTATTTCCAAAACTTTTTGGTTACCACAAATAGAAACTTTGTTATCATTAGGCAATAATTGCTCATCTCTCCACCTCCTCACTTAGGCCCTGGTAACTTTTAATCTACTTTATGGTTTTATAAATTTGCTTATTATGGATATTTCTAATAATGAATCATACATTTGTCTTTTGTGTCTGGCTTATTTCATTTAGCATAATATTGTCAAGATTTGTTCATCTTGCAGCATGTGTCAGAACTTCATTCCTTTTTATGGCTGAATAATATTTCATTGTACATATATCCCACATTTTGTTTATCCATTTATCTGTTGACAGACACTTGAGTTGCTTCTACATTTTGGCTATTGTGAATAATTCTGCAATAAATATTGATATACATGCATCTGTATTTTTTTATAATCTCTTTTATCTCTGTAAGGTTGGCAGTAATACCCCACTTTTGTTTTTACTTTTAGTTGCATCTTTTCTCTTTTTTCTTCGTCAGGCTACCTAAGAGCAATTTTACTGATCTTTTCCAGAAATCAACTATGGCTTCAGTAATTCTATTTTTTTTCTATTCTGTGTTTTACTTAACTCCACTCTAGTTTTTATTATTTTCTTTCCTCTGCTACTTTTGGATGTAGTTTGATCTCTTTCTAGTTCCTCAAGGTGTAAAGTTAGGTTATTTGAGATTCTTTCTTCTTTATTAATTTAGGCATTTACATTTATACATTTCTCTTTGAGCGCTGCCTTTCCTGCATTCCATAGCTTTTAGTAAGTTGTATTTTTATTTACATTCATGTCTTTTTTTTCTAATTTCTCTTGTGGCTTCTTTATACCCATTGGTTTAGAGTGTTGTCTTATTTCCACAAATTTGCAGATTTTTCAGTTTTATTTCTGTTATTGATTGAAGTTTCATTCCATTGTGATCAGAAAATACACTTTTTATGATTTTAATTTTTTTGATTTTAATATTTTTAAGTTTGTTAATACTTCTTTTGTGGCCTAACATATGATCTATCCTGGAGAATACTTCATGTATACTTGAGAAGAGTATATTCTGCTGTTGTTGAGTGGAAATGTTCCATATATATCTGTTAGGTCTTGTTGATTTATAGTATTTTTCAAGTCTGCTATTTCCTTATTTATCTTCTGTCTAGATGTTCCATCTATTGTTGAAAGTAGAATACCAAAGTCTACAGCTATTGTAGAACTATCTATTTCTCTCTTCCATTTTTTCAGTGTTTGTTTTATATATTTTGGGGTTTCATATATTTTGGTCCATATTTGTTCATAATTGTTATATTTTCTTGATCAGTTGACCCATTTATCAATATATAATGTTTTTCTTTGTCACTTATAACAGTTTTTCACTTAAACTCTATTTGCATGATTTTATTAAAGCCCCTTTGGCTTTCTTGTTGTTACTATTTGCTTGAAATTTCTTTATCCATCCTTTCACTTTCAACTTATTTTGTGTCTTTGGATCTAAAGTGATCTTTTGTAGCCAGTCTATAGCTGGGTCATGCTTGAAAAAAATCAATTCTGGCAATCTCTGCCTTTTGATTGGAGAATTTAACCCATTTACACTTGACATGATTACTGATAAAGAAGGACATGCTTCTGCCATTTCGCTATGCATTTTCTGTATGTCTTATGAATTCTTTTATCTCTAATTTCTTCTATTTCTGCCTTCTTTTGTGTATAGATGATTTTTTGCTAGTGAACTGTTTGATGCCCTTCTAATTTCTTTTTGTGTATGTTCCTTAAATATTTTATTTGTGGCTACTATGGGGATTATACATAACATCTTAAGTTTATAACAGTCTAATTTGAATTGCTATCCAATTCTGTACAAAAACTAAGCTCCCACTTATGTTGTTGTCACAAATTATATTTTATACTTTGTGTGCTTGATAACAAACTTATCATTTAAAAACTCCATTTGTCTTAAAAGTCGTACATGAGAAAAAGGGGAGATAGAAGCTATAAACACAATTATACTGGCTTTCACATTTTTCAGGTATTTACTTTGCCAGAGGTCTTCCTCATATGGTTTTGAGTTACTGTCTAGTGTCCTTTCATTTCAACCTGATGTACTCACTTTAGCATTTCTTGTGAGGTAGGTCAAAGGGTAAAAGACTTTCTCAGTTTTTATTTATCTGGAAATGTCTTAATTTCTCTTTTATTCTTAAAGTATAGTTTCTTAGGATATAGAATTCTTCATTGGCATTTTTTTCTTTCAGTACATTAAATATGCCATCTCACTGCCTTCTGGTCTCCATAATTTCAGATGAGAAATTGGCTTCTAATTGTATTGAGGATCCCTTGTTGAGTAGCCTCTCTCTTGCTGTTTTCAAGATTCTTTTTTGGATTTGGCTTTTGACAATTTGATTATAATGTATCTTGCTGTGGGTCTTGTAAATTTTATTATACTTGGAATTTGTTGACTTCTTGGATTTGAAGATTTATGTCTTTCATCAAATTTGGGAAGTTTTTAGCTATTATTTTTTCAAATATTATTTTTCTCTCTATTATCCTTCTGAAACTCTCATGATGCATATGTTGGTTTGCTTGACAGCGTCTCACAAGTCCTTCAGGCTCTGTTCACTTTTCTTCATTCTTTTTTCTTTCAGCTTCTCAAATTCTATAATTTCCACTATACTACCTTCAGTTTTACCAATTCTTTCTTCTGCCTCCTCAAATCTGCTATTGAACCCCTAGTGAACTATTCATTTCAGTTTTCCAGAGTACTGACAAAATTTATTCTGATATTTCCTTAATTTTCAATGTTTCTGTGGAAAAATGAGAGCTTAGAGCTGTCAGCTGTGCCATTTTGCTTATATCACCTCTCTGGAAAAACTTTCTTTCCTACCTTTAATTGCTTTGTCATCATTATTGAAAAAAAATCAATTAACACAAATTTCAATATTTTGCTTTTTTGTCATAATTCATTGTGAACTAGATTCTAATTTTCCTTTGTGATTTCATCTTGGGCATGTGAATAATATTGAGGTGTATTATTTAATTTAGAAATATTTATGGCTTTTGTAAATATTTTTTATTATTTATTTCTAATTTTGGTTAGAAAATATTCTTGATAACATTTTAATATTTTAAGTTTTAAAGAGACCATTTTTTTGGCCCAAGATAATATCTATCTTTGTGAATATTATATGTGCCCTTGCAAAGCATGTGTTCTCTGTCACATTAGATCAAATATATATATATATATATATATATATATATATATATATATATATATATTTATTTCCGGTAATTCTACTGACTACTGTGAAATAAATATGATTATGTGTTTTCTGTTTCTTCCCTTAATTCTATCAGTTTTTATTTCCTGTGTTTTAAGCTTTATTATTAAGGGCATATATATTTATGTTCCTTACCTGTTTTTCAAGTAATCATATTTTAATCCTATGAATTAAAAAAAATTGGTAATACTCCTTGTTTTAAAGTCTATTTTATCTGATATTTAAAGCATTATTTCAGCTTTTAAAGATTGGCTGGACATGATGGCTCAAGCCTGTAATCCCAGCACTTTGGGAGGCCAAGGCAGGCAGATCTCTTGAGGTCAGGAGTTTGAGACCAGGCTGGCCAATATGGTAAAACCCTGTCTCTACTAAAAGTACAAAAAATTAGCTGGGCATGGTGGAGTGTACCTATAGTCCCAGTTACTGAATACCAGCTACTATAGGAAGCTGAAATGGGAGGATCGCTTGAATCTGGGAGGCAGAGGTTGCAGTGAGCTGAGATCACTCTGTTGCACTCCAGTCTAGGGAACAGAGTGAGACCCTATCTCAAAAAAATAAAAAACAAAATAAAAAATAAAGGTGTATGAATGGGAAGTTGTTTGCCTTTTTAGAGGAAAGTGTTATTTAAAAAAATACTTCAAAACTATTTGGGTCTTTGTATTTAAAGTGTATATCTTGTAGATATCACATAGCTAGGCCAAGATTTTTTTCCATTCTGAAAATATCTTCCTAATAACTGAAAT
Organism: Homo sapiens; assembly: GCF_000001405.40. NCBI lineage: Eukaryota > Metazoa > Chordata > Mammalia > Primates > Hominidae > Homo > Homo sapiens. Next base: position 34,304,546 of record NC_000001.11, read on the forward strand.
CTATATATATTTAGCACAATTGTTGATAAAGTTGGGCTTATGTGTGTCATTTGTTAATTGATTTCTAATAGAATTTTTATTGAGATAATATAGACTCACCTGCAGTTGTAAGATCATTAAGGGGTAAAAGTTTAGTTATGTAAGAAAAATAAGTTCTAGAGATCTACTATAAAATATAGTCCCTATGGCTAACAGTACTTTATTGCATACTTAAAATTTCCTAAGGGGATATATCTTATTTCAAGTATCCTTTCCACCAATAATAATAAAGGAGGTAGGATGAAACTTTGAGAGGTGATGGATGTGTTTATAGCATTGATGGTTGTAATGGTTTCATGAGTGTATACTTATCCCCGAACATAGCAAGTTGTATATATTAAATATGTATAGCTTTTGATATATCAATCATACCTCAATAAAGCATTTTTTTAAATGCTAAGAGAAATTCCTTGGACTTTTCCTCCAGTTTTCCTCAGTGGAACATTTTGCAAAAGTATAGTATAATATCAAAATTAGGATAGTGACATTGATACAATCCATCAATATTAATTAATATTGGGTATTTTTCCTACTTTATTCTTTGCCAAGATTATTTTATCTATACTAGAGCCTGTATTTTTCCATATACATTTTATAATAAGTCTGTATATGCTTCCAAAATCTCTCTCAGAAATTTTTATAGGCATTCCACTAAACCTGTAGATCAATTTGGGGATAATTAATACATTGAGACTTCCAATCCATGGACATGGTTTGTCTCTCCATTTATTTTGGTTTTTTATTTTTTTGATCAGCATTTTGTAATTTTCAACATACAGATTCCATACATGTTTTATTAATTGTATACCTGAGTACTTTATTTGGAGTTACTGTAAAAAGAAATTGTGTTTTTAGTTTTGGTTTCTACATATTCATAGGTGTGTATGTTAGTAATAAAATACAATTGCTCTTTGTGTATTGATCTTAAATCTTGCAACCTTGTTGAACTCACTAGCTAATTCTAGAAGTTTTCTTTTGCAGTTTCTTTTTTTACTTTCTATGTGTTTACTGATGTCATCTGCAAATAGAATTGTTTTATTTCTATGTTTCCAATCTGTATGCCTGATATGCCTTTTTCTTGCTTCATTACAGTAGGTAGGAATTCCAGTTCTGTTCAGTAAGAATGGTGAGTAGAAGAGCGAAGATGGCTGGCTAGACACAGCCAGGAAAAGCTTCTCCCACTGAGAGACCAAACCATCATGTAGACTAACAAACTCTGAACAGATCTTCGGGAAGAAGGCATTGAGAATGGATACAGAGAGGATGCAGACTCGAGTTAAAGAGAAGGAAGCTGAGAACCCTGCATGGGGTTGCTAAGCACTAGGATGTGTTCCTGGCCCTGAGTGGCTCCTAGAGAAGGGGTGAGTGAAATAAGCGTAGAGTGGCGCACTCTCATTACAGACCTCCAGGATCCTAGCTGTGGGAGACCCCATGACCCTCACAGATATTTGAGTTGGCAGGGAAAATTCCTTTGAGAGTTGGTAAAGACATAACTCTAGTCTGTGAGGAGTCCAGAGGATTTGGCATGGGAATGGGTACACTGGAGCACAGCCATGGGCAGCCATCCCCCAAGGCTTGACATACTCTTCTAGGTGACTTTAGTATTTGTTATCTGCTGGACCTGGAGAGAGCAGGGCTGTCTTGTCCATGGGATGTGGCCAGTCTCATCAGAATACCCCGTCTGCCAGCCTCTCCCAGGGTCCCTCTCTGGCAGCTTGAGCTGCCCAGCTGAAATGCTTCTCAGTGGCTACTGCCATAGCTTTTTCACCAGCAGCCCCCCACCTTCCCATAGGTGGCAGACCTCCACCAGGCAGGCAGACCCCCACCAGGATGTATCTACCTGCAGCCTTCCTCAACCTATGTGCATTCACCCACAGCATCCCTCTGCCGCTCTGACAATGAACACACACATGGGGATCCACTACCACCCCACCAGCACCCACGCACATAAGGACCAACCACTGCCCTGCTGGCACACATGCACCCACAATGCCCTCACTACCCCATTGGTGTGCACTCACCTACAGTCCTCCCACCACAGTGCAGTCTCCTACGGCACCCCCACCACTCCATTGCACTTTTGCCAGCAGCCCACATTGAAGTGTTGTTGGCAACAAACTAGGAACAACTCAGCTTCTCCAGTGCAGCAAGTGCTTGACCTTGAGGGGCCAGAGAACAAAGCTGCAGGCCTAGTTCCAGCCCTCCAGAGCTAGAGCACACAGTCCTGGAGTGCTGAACTGAGCCTCGGCCATCTGAAAGCATCCAGAAACAAAGCCAATAAATGAAACCCAACTTATACCACAATCAAACCCTCCAGGACATCAAAGACTATAAAAGCAAGAAGCCTGATTCAAAGGACAGCAACTTCAAAGATTAAAAGATCAGCCACACAGATGAGAAAGAACTAGTGCAAGAATTCTGGCAACTCTAAAAACCAGAGTGTCTTCTTACCTCCAAATGACTGCACTAGATCCCCAGCAATGGTTCTTAACCGGATTGAAATGACATAGAATTCAGAATGTAAATGGCAAAGAAGCTCAATTTTCCTTGACATATAGGAGAAGGTTGAAATCCCTTTCAAGGAAAGCAGTAATATGATCCAAGAGTTAAAAACGACATAAACATTTTCAGAAAGAATCAAACTGAACTTCTGAAAAATAAAAAATTGATGACAGAAATTTTATCATGCAATTGGATGCATTAATAACAAGATAGACCAAACTAAGGAAAGAATCTCAGAGCTTGAAGATCACTCCTTCAAATCAATGCAGGTAGAGAAAAATAAAAAAAGAAAAAACATCTGAGTAATATGAAATTATGTAAAGAGAACAAACTTATAACTCATTGGAATCTGTGAAATAAAGGCAGAAAAAGCAAGAAACTTGGAAAACATATTTGAGGATATTGTCCAACCTCACTAGAGAGGACAACATGCAAATTCAAGATGTTCAGAGAACCTCTGTGAGATACCATACAAGATGATCATCCCCAAGACATATAGTCATCATACTCTCCAAGTTCATCATAAAAGAAAAAAATCTTAAAGGCAGCTAGAAAGAAAGGGTGGATCACATACAAAGGGAGCCCCATCAAGCTAACAGAGGATCTTTCAGCAGAAACCTTAGGAACCAGAAAATATAGGGGGCCTATATATAGCATTCTTAAAGAAGAGAAATTCCAACCAAGAATTTCATATCCAGCCAAACTAAGTTCCATAGGTGAAGGAGAAATACAATCTTTTTTTAGACAAGTAAATGGTAAGGGAATTCATTACCACTAGAACTGCCTTATGAGAGATATTTAATAGAATGCTAAACATGGAAACAAAAGCCCAACACCTGCCACCACAAAAAGACAGTTAAGTATGTAGTTCATTAACACTGTAAAGCAAATATACAATCAAATATACATAAGAACCAGCTAACAACATGATGACAAGATCAAACCCTCACATGTCAATATTGATCTTGTATGTAGAGTGGGCTAGATGTCTCACTGAGAAGGCACAGTGTGGCAAGTTGGATAAATAAGTGAGACCCAACTGTGTGCTATCTTCAAGAGACCCATCTCACATGCAATGACACCCATAGGTTCAAAGTAAAGGAATGGAGAAAAATCTATCAAGTAAAATGAAAGCAAATAAGAGAAGGTTGCTATTCTTACTTCAGACAAAACAGACTTTAAGCCAACAATGATCAAAAAGGGCAAGGAAGAGCATTATTACATAATAATACAGAGTTCAATTCAATGAGAAGACTTAACTGTCCTAAATATATATGCACCTAGCACTGGACCACCCAGATTCATAAATGAAGTGCTTAGAGACCCACAAAGAGACTTAGACAGCCAGACAATAATAGTAGGAGACTTCCACATCCCATGGACAGTTTTGGGCAGATCACTGAGTCAGCCAACTAACAAAAATATTCAGGACCTAAACTAGACACTTAACCAAATGGAACCAACAGATATATACAGAATACTCCACTCAACTACAGAGTATACATTCTTCTCATCTGCACACAGCACATATGTGAAGATCGACCACACGCTTACCCTAAAGCAATTCTCAACAAATTCAAAAAAACCTGAAATCATACCAACCACACTCTGAGCACACAGCACAATAAAAATAGAAATCAATACCAAGGAGAGCTCTCAAAACCATACAATTACATGGAAATTAAACAACCTGCTCCTGAATGACTTTTGGGTAAATAATGAAATTAAGGCAGAAATCAACAAATTATTTGAAACTAATGAAAGCAAAAAGACAACATACCAGAATCTCTGGTGCACAGCTAAAGCAATGTTAAGAGGAAATTTTATTGGACTAAATGCCTACATCAAAATTTAGAAAGATCTCAAATTAACAACCTAACATTATACCTAGAGGAACAGAAAGACAAGATCAAACCAACCCAAAAACTAGCAGAAAAAATAAAAATAACCAAAATTAGAGGCGTGCTGAATGAAATTGAGATGTGAAAATCCATACAAAAGATCAATGAAACAAAAAGTTTGTTTTTGAAAAAATAAACAAGATTGATAGACCTTTAGCTATATTAATAAAGAAAAAAGAGAGAAGATGCAAATAAATACAATCAGAAATGACAAAAGTGGCATTACCACTGACTCCCATATGAATACATAAAACCCTCAGAGACTGTTATGAACACCTCTATGCACATTAACTTGAAAACCTGGAAGAAATGGATAAATTCCTGGAAACACACAACTTCCCAAGATAGAACCAGAAAGAAACGTGCACAGACCAATAATGAGTTGCAAAATTGAGTCAGTAATAAAAAACCTGTCAAACACAAAAAGCCCTGGACCAGATGGATTCACAGCCAAATTCTACCAGACATACAAAGAAGAGCTGGTACCAATCCTACTGAGATTATTCCAAAAATTGAGGAGGAGGCACTCTTCCCTAACTCATCCTCTGACGCCAGCATTATTCCGATACCAAAACCTGGCAGAGACAGTGAAAAAGGAAAATATCAGACCAATATCCCTGACGAACATAGATGCAAAAATCCTCAACACAATACTAGCAAACCAAATCTGGCAGCACATCAAACTCTAATCCACCATGATCAAGTAGGCTTTATTCCTGGGATGCAACCATATGTTGATTCAACATAAGCAAATCAATAAATGTAATTCTTGCATAAACAGAACTAAAAACAAAAACTACATGACCATCTCAATAGATGCAGAAAAAGCTTTTGATAAAATTTAACATCTCTTTGTGTTAAAAACCCTCAACAAAGTAGGTATTGAAGGAACATACCTCAAAATAATAAGAGCCATCTTTGACAAAGCCACAGCCAACATCCATACTGAACAGGCAAAAGCTGGAAGCATTCTCCTTGAGAACTGGAACAAAACAAGGATGCCCACTCTCCTCACTCCTCTTCAACATAGTACTGGAAATCCTAGCCACAGCCATCAGGCAAGAGAAAGAAATAAAAGTCATCAAAATAGGAAGACACGAAGTCAAACTATCTCTCTTCACGATGATATGATTCTATACCTAGAAAACCCCATAGTCTCTGCCCAAGGCTCCCAGAACAGATAAACAACTTCAGTAAAGTTTTAGGATATAAAATCAATGTACAAAAGTCAGTATTTCTATACACCAATAATGCTCAAGCTCAGAACCAAATCAAGAAAACAACCACATTCACAATAGCCACACACACAAAAAAATACCTAGGAATACAACTAACCAGGGAGGTGAAAGATTATAAAACACTGCTCAAAGAAATCAGAGACATCACAAACAAATGGAAAAACATTCCAAGTTTACGTATAGGAGAATCAATATTATTAAAATGGCCTTAGAACCCAAAACAACTTACAGATTCAGTGACATTTCTATCAAACTACCAATGCCATTTTTCACAGAATTAGAAAAACCTATTCTAAAATTCATATGGAATCCAAAAAGAGCCCAAATAGCCAAAAGTATCTTAAGCAAAAAGAACAAAGCCAAAGGCATCACACTACCCAACTTCAATCCGTACTACAAGGCTACAGTAACCAAAACAGGATGGTACTGGTACAAAAGACGACCCTTATACTAACGGAACAGTTTAAAGAACCCAGAAATGAAGCTGCACTCTTAACAACCATCTGATCTTTGATAAAGTCAACAATAACAAGCAATGGGGAAAGGAGTCCGAATTTATTAAATGGCGCTGGGATAATGGGCTATGTACATGTGGGAGATTGAAACTGGACCCCTTCCTTTCACCATATACAAAAATCAACTCAAAATAGATAGAAGGCATAAATATAAGTCCTAAAATAATTGTTTTAAATCCTAGAAGAAAATCTAAGAAATATCATTTTGGACATGGGCTTTGGCAAAGATGAAGTCTCCAAAAGCAAGTACAACACAAACAAAAATAGACAGGTGAGACCTAACTAAATTAAAGAGCTCTGCAGAGCAAATGATACTATCAACAGAGTAAACAGACAACCTACAGAATGGGAGAACATATTCACAAACTATGTATCCGATGAAGGTTCTAATATCCAGAATCTATAAGGAACTTGAATCAGTAAGCAAAAAACAACCCCATTAAAAATGTGAAAAGGACATGAACAGACACTTCTCAAAAGAAGATATATATATGGCCAACAAGTATATGAAAAAATGCTCAAGATCACTAATCATTAAAGAAATGCAAATCAACATTTCCACAAACCACAATAAGACACCATCTCAAACCAGTCAGAATGGCTGTTATTAAAAAGTCAAAAAATAATAGATGTTGCTGAGGTTGCAGACAAAAGGGAATGCTTATACACTGCTGGTGAGAATGTAAATTAGTTCAGCCACTGTGGAAAGCAGTTTGGCTATTTCTCAAAGAACTTAAAATAGAACTACCATTCGACCCAGTAATCCCATTGCTGGGTATATACCCAAAGGAATATAAATCATTCTACCAAAAAGACACTTGCCTTTGTATGTTCATCACAGCACTATTCATAATAGCAAAGGCATGGAATCAACTTATATGCCCATCAATGATGGACTGGATAAAGAATATGTGGTACTTATACACCATGGAATATTACACAGACATAAAAAAGAATTAGATCATGTCCTTTGCAGCAACATAGATGCGGCTGGAGGTCATTATCCTAACCAAATTAACACAGAAACAGAAAACCAAATACCACATATTCTCATTTATAAGTGGGAGCTAAACATTAAGTACATATGGTCATAAAGATGGAAAAAACAGACACTGGGGAATACTTGAGGGTGGAAGGGGGAGGAGGGGAGGGTCGAAAAAATACCTATTGGGTACTATGCTTACTACCTGGGTGATGAAATCATTTGCACACCAAACCCCAGCAACATGCAATTTACCCACGTAACAAACCTGCACATGTACTCCCTGAACCTAAAATAAAAGTTGGGAAAAGAAAGAAAAAAGAGTAACGAGAGTGTACATCTGCATGTTGTTCCTGATCTTAGTCTTTTACCATTAGATGTGATGTCAACTTCATTTTTTTTTTGAAGATGCTTTTTTATCAAGTTGAGATAATTTCCATCTATTTATATTTTTCTGAAAGTTTTTGTGATGAGTAGGTATTGAATTTTGCCAAATAAATTCATATGATCATATGATTTCTCATTTTTAGCTTTATGATGGATTACATTGATTGAGTTTTGAACACTGAACCAGCTTGGTATACCCCAAATGTCTCATTTGGTCATGATATAATTGGTAATATAATTGGCATATAATTACTTTCATGCTTTGTGAGATTCAGCTTGTTCATATCTTTTGATGATTTTTTTGTTAAAATTAGTGACAGATATTGATCTGTTGTTTTATTTATTTTTACTGTCCTTGTCTGCTTGTGGCATTAGAGTAATATTGACCTCATAAAATTAAGTGGGCAGTGTTCTTTTCTTGTATTAGTCTCCTATTTCTATTCTTTTCCTGTTGCTATGGTAACACATTACCACAAATTTAGAGGCTTAAAACAACACAACACAAATATATTACCTTACAGTTCTGGAGTTGGTTTATTTGGTGCCATTGGGGCTTCTGCTGCTATCAGCTATTGCTGCTCGAGGAGGAGAAAGAGATTTCCCTGAATAACATGGCTGTGTGTCATGGTGAGACCCACCATACAGTTGTCTCCCTACTACTTGGTTTCTATGAGAAGATGAATAGAGTTTTAGGCCTGTGAGGACAATGTGACTTCCTGGACCATGTCACTTGCCATGACTGGGTCTGTTTCTCTAGTGCCACTTGCACACCTAGAGGAGTCTCCAACCCATGGGTACAGGCAAGGTTGTACCCTGTACTTAGATAGCTTGTATTTTGGTCTCTACACAGTGGCCTTATTATTTCAGTGGAAAGGGCGAATCTCAGGCTCAGTAGGGAAGGAGAGTACCTTCCCCAGCCAATCTATCTTCTTTGTAGATGCTGGGCTCACTTGATCTCATTTGAGAGACTTCTATTAAACTATGGAGGAATGAGCATACTTAGGCTTTCTTCTGTTGTTAGACTGAGGGTCAGAAAATGCCAGACTGAGTGGGCTTCCTCTGTTGGGTGAGAAGACAGAAGACACTGTGCTATTCCTCCAGTCCTGGGTTAGCACACCAGCTCACCTTCTTCTTACTATCTTACTATTTTCTTACTAGAGTTCTCCTTTGGTTGTCTCTTGCACTATTTTCAGGGTTTAGAGTTTTACTTACCAGGTAGAAGTAGGGAAAAATGGGTCTACACCACCTTGTGTAGACTAAAAGTCCTAATATTGTTTCTTATTTGCCTTATCTGTTTTTATTTTTTTTTTGTGACTTACTATTTTTCCTTCTTTTGGGTTAGGTGAATAACCTTAATATTCCATTTTGATTACTCTCTTGGCTTTTTATCTATGTCTCTTTTCAGCAATTTTTAGCTGTTGTCCTAGAGATTACAACAGACATTTTTTTCTTGTCTCAATCTATGTTATCTTCTAAGAGATTTATAGTTTTAAATTTTACATTTAGATCTGTGATCCATTTTCCATTAATTTTTGTGAAAGCTGCAAGGTCTATGTCTAGTTTATTATTTTTTTTGCATGTGGATGTTCAATTGTTCCAGCACCATTTGTTGAAGAAACTATCTTTTCCCCCATTGCATTGCCTTTGCTCCTTTATCAAAGATCAGCTGACTCTATCTGTGTCAGCCATATCTAGACTATTCTGTTCCATTGATACGTTCATCTCTTCTTTCACCACTACCATGCTGTCTTGATTTTTGTAGATTTAAAGTAAATCTTGAAGTTGGGTTGTGTCAGTACCCCAACTTTATTCTCCCTCAATATTGTGTTGACTATTCTGGGTATTTTGCATTTCCATGTAAACTTTAAAATCACTTTGTCAATATACACAAGATACCACGCTGAGATTTTGATTGGGATTGTGTTGAATCTATAGATCAAATTGGGAAGAACAGACACCTTCACAATATTGAGTCTTCCTACCCATGTACACGGAATACGTTTCCATTTAGTTAGATCTTTCATGGCATTTCTTTTCCTTTCCAGAGTTTTGTAGTTTTCTTCACATAGATTTTATAAACATTTTGCAATATTTACACCTAAGTATTTCATTTTTTGGTGCTAATGTAAATGGAATTGTGTTTTAATTCCAAATTTCAATTGTTCATTACTAGTATATAAGAAATCAATTGACTTTTACATATTAACCTTGTATCTTGCAACCTTGCTATTAGTTATTACTTATTAGGTTACAGGAGGTTTTTGTTGTTTCTTTGAAATTTTTTACATAGACAATCATGTCATCTGCAAACAAAGTTTTATATCTTTTTTTTTTTTACAAATCTGTACATATTTTTTTCCTTCTTTTGTTGTAATAGCCTGAATGTGTTCCCTTCGAGATTAATGTGCTGAAACTTAATGAACAATGTGATCGTGTTAAGAGACTGAGCCTTTAGGAGGTGTTTAAGCTATGAGAGCCATGCCCTAATGAATGGATTAGTGTCCCTACAAAAAAGACTTCAGAGAGAGAGCCCACCTCTTTTTGCCCTTTTCATCCTTTTCATCATGTGAGGACACAGCATTCCTCCCCTCAAAAGAGTGCAGCAACTGAGACAAGGCTAGTCCCTTCTACTTATGAGTCTGTACAATTAAAACCAAGTTAGTTACTTCCAAGATACAATGGAAATATAGGCACTGAGTAAGCACTCCTTTCCAAAAGGGAGTAGAGATGGGGCTCTCCTCAGACACTGAACTTGCTGGTGCCTTGATCTTGGATTCCCAGCTTCAAGAATTGTGATAAATAAATATATGCTCTTTGTAAATTACCCATTATCAAATACTTCGTTATAGCAGCACAGAGTAAGACACTTATCTTATTGCATTAGATAAGACTTCCAATACTATGTTAAGTAGAAGTGGTGAGAGGTACATCCTTTCCTTGTTCCTAATATTACCAGCTGTGTCTAGTTTCTAACCATTAAGTATAATGTTAGCTGTAAGTTTGTTGTAGATATTCTACCTATTAGGGTAGTTCACTTCTATTCATAGTTTGCTGGAGAGTTTTATTACAAATGGGTGTTGGATTTTGTCAAATGCTTTTTTCGCATCTATTGTTATGATAATGATTTGTTTTTTAATCTGCTGATGTGATGAATTACATTAATTGATTTTCATATGGCTAGTTTTTAATAGCATTTATCACTGTTGTGTATTCATACACACACACATGCACTTCTGTTTACTTTTTTTCATTCTCTGTCATCTCCACTAGACTGTAAACTCAAGCATCCAGTATATTATTTACTCATAAATATTTGTCAAATGAATGAACTATCTCCCTTGATATGGTTCGGGTTTGTGTCCCCACCCAAATGGAAAATTGATACTGGGAAGTGGGACATTGCTATAAACCTACCTGAAAATGTGAAAGCAGCTTTTGAACTGGGTAATGGGAAGAGGTTGTAACAGTTTGGAATGCTCAGAAGAAGATAGGAAGATGAGGGAAAATTTGGAACTTTCTAGAGACTTGTTAAATTATTGTGCCCAAAATGCTTATAGTGTTATGGACAATGAAGTCCAGGCTGAGGTGGTCTCAGATGGAGATGAGGAACTTATTGGGAACTGGAGCAAAAGTCACTTTTGTTACGTGTTAGCAAAGTGGTTGGAGGCATTGTGCCCCTGCCCTAGGGATCTGTGGACCACTGAATTTGAGAGTGACAATTTAGGTTATCTGACAGAAGAAATTTCTAAGCAGCAAAACATTCAACATGTGGCCTGGTTGCTTCTAGAAGCCTATGCTCATGTTTGTGAGCAAAGAAATAATATAAAGCTAGAATTTGTATTTCAAAGGGAAGTAGAGTGTAAAAATTTGGAAAATTTGCAGCATGACCATGTAGTAGAAAAGGAAAACCCATTTTCAGGGAAGGAATTCAAGCTGACTGCAGAAATTTGCATAAAAAAGGGAGGCTAGTATTAATATCAAAGACAATGGGAAAAAGGCATTTCGGAGACCTTTGAGGCAGCTCCTCCCATCACAGGCCTGGAGGCCTAGGAGGGAAGAATGGTATTGTGGGACAGCCTCAAGGTCCCACTACCTTGTGCAGGCTTGGAACACTGCTCTTTTCATGTGGGCTGCTATAGCTCCAGCTATGGCTCAAAGGAGCCTAGGTACTCAGACTCCTGCTTCAGAGGGTGCAAGCCATAAGCCTTGGTAGCTTCCACATGCTGTGGAAGCCTGTGGGTGTACAGAATGCAAGAGAGCCTCTGCCTAGATTTCAGAAGATGTGTAGAAAAGCTGGAATGACCAGGCAAAAGTTTCCTGCAGAGGCAGAGCCCTCATGGAGAACCTCTACTAGGGCAGTGCAGAGGGGAAATGAGAGGTTGGAGCCCCCACATAGAGTCCCCCCTGGGGCACTGCCTAGTGGAGCTGTGAGAAAAAGGCCACTGTCCTTTAGACCCTAGAATGGTAGATACACTGACAATTTACACCACATGCCTGAAAAAGCCATAGGCACTCAATGCCAGCCCTTGAGAGTGGTCATGGGGGCTGCGCCATGTAGAGCCACAGGGATGGAGCTGCCCAAAGCCTTTGGAGCCCACCCTTTGCATCAGTGTGCCGTGGATGTGAGACAGAGTCAAAGGAGATTATTTTGGAGCTTTAAAGTTTAATGACTGCCTTGCTGGGTTTTGGACTTGCACAGGGCCTGTAGCCCCTTTCTTTTGGCCAATTTCTTCCTTTGGAAGGAAAGTATTTACCCAATGTCCATATCCTGATTGTATCTTTCAAGTAACTAGCTTGTTTTTTATTTTACAGGCTCATAGATGGAAAGGACTGGCCTTGTCTCAGATGAGACTTTGGACTTTGGAGTTAATGCTGGAATGATGCAAGACTTTGGGATACTCTTGGGAAGGGCATGATTGTATTTTGAAATGTGGGAAGGACATGAGATTTGAGAGGAGCCAGGAGTAGAATGATATGGTTTGACTCTGTGTCACCACCTAAATCTCATGTCAAATTGTAATCCCCAGTGTTGGAGGTGGGGCATAGTGGAAGGAGATTGGATCATGGGGGGACAGATTTGCCCCTTGGTGCTGATCTAATGATAGTGAGTAAGTGCTCCCAAGATTTGGTTGTTTAAAAGTGTGTGGCACCTCTCCCTCTCTCTCTTTTACCTACTCCAGCCATGTAAGACATGCCTGCTTCCCCTTCACCTTCTGCCATGACTGTAAGTTTCCTGAGGCTTCCCAAGTCATGCTTCCTGTACTGCTTGCAGAACTGTGGGCCAATTAAATCTCTTTTCTCCATAAATTATCCAGTCTCCAGTATTTCTTTATAACAGTGTTAGAAGGGACTAATACACCCCACTTATATTTCTTTTTGTCTACTGAGAAGCTATGCAAGGAGGATAGCAGTTTATTGTAGTCTAGCTACTAGATAGACATGGAAGACACTTGAAAGAGAGATGGCATGATATCTGTTTCTGCTTGGTTACAGACAGCAGGTTTAAGCTTCACTGGTGAGAGGGCTAAAGCGAGTGAGTGATTGAATTGTTTTGCTGTGAGATATCATGGACTTGAGGAACAAGCAGAGTTGCTTTGGGCCTAGGTGACAGAGTGTGACAGAGTTGTAGAGAAGACTGTAATCCTATTTTATAAATATTATAATCCAGCAGGTGGGAGCTCAGAGCTATGGTAATTTGAGCATTAAATGTGACCTCCTTTGCATCTGCAGTCTGCATTTGAGGTATATACAAAGTACAACTGAAACAGAGCCCTGCTTGATATGTCTTAAAATGTCTAGGTTTTTAAAAAAATCCAACTTGTTTATTTCAGGGCAGCTTGTCTTTACCCTGAGTCCTAGTCCTTGGAAATATCAATTCCATTTGATTATTTTCATAGTTTCAGGTGTATTCTCTAATGGTACCCAAAACTAGGCTGGCAAATCCTTCTGGACCCTATGTCCAGAAGATCTGAAATGCTATAATGCCAGAGCCTTCCAGTCTAGAAGGAGCTCTCCAAGAAGCCTGTTTCCTTCATCTCTAGCTATGATTTATCTTATTTTTACTAACATTCATTGTCTAGACTTCTGCCAGCTTGCAACAACTTTTTCTCTTTCAGAAAATCTTAGCCTTTCATGCTGGAAGTCTTCTAATTCTTGTTCCATATTTCTATCCCTAGCTGCCTACAGTGAACATCTGTGGTTTTTTTTCAAGCATTCATTGACCCATTTCTTTATTTAAAGAAAGAATCTTGAGTTTCCTTTGGGGAGCTATTCTTCCTCCACTTTAAGTTCCTGCAGTATGGGTGGGGTTGATCTCTGCCAGCTCTCAGGGCAGGCCCTTATTATTCTAAGCTTATCAGTGCATGGCATAACTTTGAGCACTGGGATGATTCAAGTGTGATTATTTGGCCCCATTGGGCCACAAAGAGTCAGACCCAAAACTTCTTGTGAACGATTAGAGAGAGAGAGAGGGAGAGACAGAGACAGAAACAGAGAGAGAGAGAGAGAGAGAGAATATGAGTCTCTTTCTGCTGTTTCTATATTGTAGAGGATGAAAGATCTGATGAAGTCTTTTTATGGCCACAAAGGAGGCATCTGTCAAAGCCAACGTATCTGGGAGAATGGGGCTGAACATGGCTGAAAGAGACAGAGAAAACTGGGTTCTGCTGACATTGTTCAATCTCTGTATCAAACCATACCTGGAAATAATCCAACCCCCTGAACTTTTCAGTTTTGTAATCTACCAAATTTCTTCCTGATTAAGTCATTTTGGGTTGGATTTTCTGTAATTTTCAGCCAAAAAAATTCTGAAAATTACACCAGTCATCTGGCCTTTAGATACTTCCAGCCGAAGGCTCTCCGCTTGCTTTACTCTCTGTTGTGTGCTGGCATTGATGCTGACTGTAGTGCATAGTCCTTGACCTTGGTTTCCCCCTGGACTTTGAATTGACAGCTCTTGACTGGGCTTGACTTTGGTATCTCCTCATGGGAATGCCTGATCTTGATCCCTCAGTCCCATAGTCTACCTGCAATGCTGAATCCTCACCCACCAACACCATCTCAAGCCAGAGCCCAGTTTTTTATTTCTAATTGAGCACTCTGAATATTTTATTTCTGGAATAAATTTTAGTCAAGTTATTAGAACTTATTCAGAAGTGTCCACAGGAAGAGCTTTTCCTCACTCACCATCTATGCTGATCTGCACGTGGTCAGAATGAAGCAAAGAACTCCAAGCAATCTTATCTTCTAACCACGGTATGCACATGTTTGTACTCATCCTGAACTTCTTTGGGCCTGGGACACTCAACGTCATCTCATACATCAAGTTTTATTAACCTCAAGAGGGAACTCAAGGGAAAAAGGAGGAGGGCCAGGGTATGTATTCAAATAGGATGCTTGCACTTCTTTTAGGAGATATGATGAGGCCTGCCTAGGAGTCACGTTAATCAGTCTCATCTCAACTTCTAATATTAGCTGAAAATCTGTGTGTTCACATATGTTGATAAAACTCAGTGAATTATCTCAAATCCAGCATCTCAGGGTGTCTGTTTCTGCTGCATAGACACGCATATTCTTGAAAGTGTCAGTAGCACTGAAGGTGCCACTGAGGAAATAGCACTTCATCCTTCTGCATGATCCTGCAAGATAGAAAGAATCATGGATTATCCTTTCTTGTTTTATAAGTGAAAATGGCAGAGACTGAGAATCACAGAACCACAGAATGTGTTGCAGAGCCTGAAGGGCCTAAAATTAGCTAAACTTGCTCTTTCAATATACAGATAAAGGGATCAAGGTCCAGAGATGTCAAGTGACTTGCCCGAGGTCACACAGTCAGCTGGTGGCAAAGTCATAATAAAGACCTAGGTATATTTGTTTGCAAAGCAGCACTCCTTGACTATATTCCCCTGGGGCTTAACAGTCATGAGTAGAATTGCTTTTCCTGAAAGTAATATGTCCTTAAAAGTCAGACATCCCTGACTTTTAGTAAAACAGGGATGTCTGACTTTTAAGGACATATTACTTTCAGGAAAAGTTTGGATTTAGTCCTTCATGTAAGGAAATGACTTGTTAGCTCTTTTAAAGCACCCCAAACATAGTGACTTTAAACAATAACCATTCATGATGACTCACAAGCCCGTCAACTGGCTAGGCAGTTCTGGCCTGGGAGGGATGACAGTGCTTCCAGCAGTGCCCCCACCATGTGTCTGCTGTCTGATGGGAACTGATTTGTCTAGAAAGGGCCCAGCTAGGATGGCTTATCTCTGCCTTATGTGGTCTTTCATCCTCTGGCAGCATAGCTTGGGATTGTTCACATAGCAACTTGGCAAGTTTCCAAGAAAGGGTTTGGGGCTTCTTGAAAGGTAGGCCTGGGACTAGCACATCTTCATTTATGTCACATTTTGGTGATCAAAGCAAGTCACAAGGCCAGCCCAGATTTGAGGGGTGAGGAAATAGATTCCACTTCTACCTGGGAGGAGGTGCAAAGTCACATTGTAAGAAGCATGGACACAGAGAGGGAAATAATTGTAGATATTTTTGCAAACAATCTACTTCAGGTGATGTAATCCCTCTTATTTCCAAAAACAGCCTAAACTATCATAGTCTTGGCACAAATATAATAGAAGTTTAATGCATATGTTTCAAATGAGTTTTGCCATCTCGCCATTCATGAGAGTACATGTGAATGAGTTAATAATGTGAGTGTGTGCTGTACCGGAGTGTGTGTGTGTGCATGTACATGTGAATTTGTGTACTCTTAAGTCTTTTGAGATGCAGGCTTCTTTCTGCAAGGACACTTTGTAAAGCCAGGGCATTTTAGGACCAAGGAGAGCAATCTGACCTAAAAGAGCAGATGATGCCAGGCCCCGGCAGACCCCATCTCAAGTGGCAGATCATAAATTAGAGTCTATTTCTTGGTAGCAATAGCACATTGGGCAATAGAGTTTTGTTTTCTAACATCAGAAAACACATACATTTGTCTGCACAGGAAAAGTATTTCCTGGAAAACTGTCTCAAAAAGAGCACACTAGAGAAGAGACATTAGCTTCAAATACAGCCATTTTTCCAGAGTCTTCACCATAAGGAACAAAAACCCTTCAGCTCCCAATCCACAGGGTCTCACCTGAGGGGTCAAGGCCACCACCACTGCCAAGATGCCAGTACATTTTCACTTACCCTAACTTTGTGGCCTCAGAGAGGACAATGTCCATACCCCTTACCTCACCCATACTAAGGTTATAGACTTCCTCACAACTAACATTTACTGAATAGCTGCTGAGTACCAGTCACTTGTCTAGGTGCTAGGTTTATAGAGAAAAAATAACAGTCATGGCCCTGCTGTTATATAGCCCACATTCTAGTGGGAGAAGCGGACAATAAACAAAGAGATAGTCTAATACATAAATACAAAAAATGTGATGAATGATATCAAGGAAATGACAGGGTGTTTTTAAAAAGAGAATAAGAAGGGAATCCAGTTGAGTTTAGATGATTGGGTAAGTCCTCACTGAAGAGGTGATGTCTTAGCTGAGATCTGGAGGAAAAGTGGTATAGGCAGGCAAAGGGAAGAGGAGAGGACCATTCTAAGTGGAGGAAAGAGCATGCGCCTAAGTCCTGGGGCAAGAACAAGTTTAATGCTTTGGGATTTGGAAGAAGCTCAATGAAACTAAACTCTAGTGAGTAGGAGAGTTCAAGATGAGAGTGTAGAAATAGGAGAGACCAAATTATGCATGGTCTTGCAGGCTATGTTATGGAGTTTGCATTCTATTTTCAGAGTAATAGTAAAACAGAGAAGTGTTTTCTCAGACTTTCTCAGGAAATCCAGATATTCTTCACACGCTGTTGTGAATTCTTGGGTTAGGAAGTGTTCTAGGAAACTAAGGTGGAAACACCTGCAGCTCCATCCCCCTATCTCCTGAAATGAACAGGTTTGTGAGCTAATGTCCTTGTCCTCAAGAACCAGCCCAGACACAAGTCCAAAGCTATCCAGTCTCGGTGGATTGAGCTGTACAACCTTGAACTGCACGAGGGTCCCCCTTGCCAGGCCAGGTGGGCTCTTTCTCCCTCCCAAGACTTGTCTTCTCTTCTTCTTGTACAGTAGGAGCCCAGTATGTGCAGCTCCCACCTGGAGTCTCAGCCTCTATCAGTCTTGTCCTCATTCTCACTTCTTTCTTCCTGGCTCCTGGATTGCACCTTCTCGTACTAAAAGCTTCAGGCCCTTCAGCCAGCACAAAACTGATAATCCACTCCTTTACTCTCCCAGAGGTCCTGACATTTGCTCTCCACTAGGGCCCATTTATTCATTAAATGGTCGAGTGATTCTGCTCTTTGTGGAAAGCTTATCTTCTTTGCCATTGACGTGAGCCAATGCTGCCAACATTTCACCACCAATCTCTCCATTTATTCTCTCCTCACCTCTTTCTACCATCTTGCTATGTTGAAAGACATCTCTCAGACATGTCACATCTAATAACAACAGCTAACTTTATCAAGCACTTTCTATATGCAAAGCATTGTCTTAAGTACTTTCCATGCAATGTCTTGTTTAATTCATGTACTATACCATAATGCAAGGGTGGCAGACTGTATTTTTCAAAGATGTCCTCAACAATACCACCAGTTTCACTTGTCCTTCTAGAACCTCTCCACTTGCCCCAACTCTCATTAAGAGGCATAATTTAATTATCTTCCCTGTGAACCTGGCTTCCGTCTAACTTGGTCATAATCAATAGAGCACAGAGTGAGTAATTTGTTGATTTCTGAGGCTTGGTCATAAAAAGTGGTACAGCTTCCCCTTGCTAGAAGAGACACTCTCTTGTGCAAGCTGCTTTGAGTGCCCAAGCATAGGTGTGAGCCGCCTTGGGTGTCCAGGCATAGGAGTGGGCCACTTTGGATATCCAGGCACAGGAGTGAGCTTCCTTGAGTGTCTAGGCATGGAAGTGAGCTGTCTTGGGTGTCCAGGCACAGGAGTGAGCCGCCTTGGGTGTCCAAGCATGGGAGTGAGCTGCCTTGGATGTCTAGGCATGGGAGTGAGCCACCTGGGGTGTCCAGGCATGGGAGTGAGCCACCTTGGGTGTCCAAGCACGGTAGTGAGCTGCCTTGGGTGTCTAGGCATAGGAGTGAACCTCCTTGGGAGTCTGGGCATGGGACTGAGCCACCTTGGGTGTCCAGGCATGGGAGTGAGCTGCCTTAAATGTCTAGGCATGGGACTGAGCCGCCTTGGGTGTCCAGGCATGGGAGTGAGCTGCCTTAAATGTCTAGGCATGGGACTGAGCTGCCTTGGGTGTCCAGGCACAAGAGTGAGCCACCTTGGATGTCCAAGCACAGGAGTGAGCCACCTTAGATGTTCAGGTATGGGACTTAGAAACCCTGGGTGTCCAGGCACAGGAGTGAGCCACCTTGGATGTCCAGCTCAATTGAATCTTCAGATGCAGCAGCCCCGGGTGACATTATACTGCAATCATATGGGATTCACATGTGCAATCATATGCAATCATATTGCAATCACATATCTGCCCATCCCCTAGCTTTTCCAAAATTCATGACCCCCACAGTCATGAGCAGTTGTTTTAAACTGCTAACTTATGGAGTAATTTGTTACAAAGCAATAGTTACCAGAAAGATAGGCATTCTTATGGGTCTTGTTTTATAAACAAGTGTTCTAAGACTCAAACAAAGTAAATTCCTTCCCCAAAGTCACAGAGCTCTTAAGTGATGGAATTAGAATCTTCGGTCTTTCTCTCTTTCTCTTTATTTCTTTTCCTTCCTTCCTTCCTTCCTTCCTTCCTTCCTTCCTTCCTCCTTCCTTCCTTCCTTCCTTCCTTCCTTCCTTCCTTCCTTCCTTCCTTCCTTTCTTTCTTTCTTTCTTTCTTTCTTTCTTTCTTTCTTTCTTTCTTTCCTTCTTTCTTAGACGGAGTCTCACTCTCTCACCAGGCTGGAGTACAGTGGTGTGATCTCAGCTCACTGTAACCTCCGCCCCTGGGGTTCAAGCAATTCTGCTGCCTCAGCCTCCTGAGTAGCTGGGATTATAGGCAAGTGCCACCACGCCCAGCTAATTTTTGTATTTTTAGTAGAGATGGGGTTTCACCATGTTGGCCAGGATGGTCTTGATCTCTTGACCTCGTGATCCACCCACCTTGGCCTCCCAAAGTGCTGGTATTACAGGCGCAAGCCACCGCATCCAGCCAATCTTTTGTCTTTCATACTGCGTGGCCTGTGCTATCACTGTCCACCTATTAAACAACAGTCTATGCAACTTAGTTATGGGTTTGGTATAGGTCTGTAAGTCATGGACCCCCATTCATGGACGGAACTCAAGGTTGGAAGTGCCTGTTCTAGGCTCATTTGGGGGATTAGCCTCAGGAGCTACCTCCAAGGAGAATTCACATATCATGCATGGATGGTCTATGTGCCATGACCACTCTCTCCTGCAACTAGCAGGGGTGTTTTCTTCAACTTCAGAAGGCAGCATAAACTGTGAGTTAAGAACACAGGGACAGGGCTCTGCCATTTAACAGCCCTATGACCTTAGAGCAATCAGTTACTCCACTTCTTGGAGCCACAGGTTTCTCAGATGGAAAATTGATAATGATAGTAGAACACAATTCATAGGGTTGTTCGGGGTATTAAGTGAAATAATGTATAAAAAGTACTGATCACATTTCGTGGCAGTTAGCATGCTCCTTCTTAATTAGTTACTATTGTTAATACAGGTGAGAGTCAGATACACACTGAGCCCTGTGAAAAAAACATGTTCTTTCCCCCACTCCTACTACTCCATAGAACCCCTTTAATGGGACTTAACTCACCTGGTTTTCCTCACAAAAGCCATGATTCAAGGTAGAACACCTCGGGTGAGTAACAAAGCTCACGCTGAGTAAAAAGAGGCCGTCCTGACGCATTGTCCCCGCTCCCTATTTCTTCAGCCGAAGGCAGGATTGCCTCAGCACAATGATTTGGAATCTGAATACCCGACTTCTCTGGCTTTCGGTGTCCTCATATGAAAAATAGAAATGGTATTGATTACCTCATGGTGGCTGTGAACATTCGACGAGATGATGAATGTCTGGCAGTGGAAAACAGTGCTTGGGGAAGACTAACAGTTCTTCCTGGCTGCTCTTTTCTGGGCCATTCTCCAAAGGGTGCTAAGTATTACACTTCTCCCTCCTCCCTGCTCTCACTGTTGTCAGAAACCTCTGGGCTTGTAGCAAGGGATTTCAAGGTGCTGAATTCCTTCTATGGAAATTCAAGCAAAGCTGAGGCACCACCCTGATCCATCCTTCTTGTGGGAATGAGAAAGCCCCTTCCACTCTTGAGGGACAAGGAGATCAGATTTATGGGGCGCCCTGGTATCACAATCACATAGGCTTTGGGAAGCCCATGAAGAATGTGGATTGGAAAGAGCACTGGATTTGAGGCGCAGGAAACCTGAGTATCAGACTTGTGGCTCTTTCCCTTTTGAGCTCTCTTTCCTTGGCAATGGCATTGAGCCTCAGTTTCTCTGTCTTTAAAAATGGGGACAATAGTTATACCTGTCTTACTTGGATTGCAAGCTTATTGTGAAGTTTAAAAAGAACAAGAGGGTATGATAGAGTCTCTGCAGATGTCCTTTATTGCTCTTAGTCTTGGGCAGGAATCTAGTCTACCTACACAAAACTAAGACAGCATAAGCAGGAGTCCTCAGAGAGAAGCAAGGAGCAGAATCTTAGTTCTGTGCACTGGAAACCACTTTCATTCTCCTGAAAGGGAGTAAACTTACTTTATTTTTGTAATATTCTCCTATTTCTTACTCTTGAGAATGGCATTATCCTAGCCAGCCCTGTAGAAGCAAGTCTAGATACCCTCTAGCTCACTGTCCATACCAAATCATCAAGTCTAATGGAGTAAATAAGGATAATTAGTAATTATAGAGTATATGCAATGTACCAGGGATAGTTCTAAGTGCTTTACATGGATCATCTCATTTCATTCATAGAATAACTACTATCAGGTAGTTGCTTTTATTATCTCTCATTCACAGATGAAGAAAGTCAAGTGCAGAGAGGTTAAGTAACTTATTCAAGGTCACACAGCTGGTAAGGGATCCCAGCAGGCTTTGAACTCTGGAAGCTGACTTCAGAGCTTTTGCACATAACCACTACCCTGATCCTCTCCCACCATGCTGTCTCAAGCAACTCTTGCTGACATTCCTATGGTATCTCCTAGCTGGCATAAGTGCCCTGGTCTTACTCTTCTGTAAACCATTCCCTGCACAGCTACCAGAGAATTCTTCCTAAAAGACAACTCTGATCAAGTCACTCTCTGCTTGAAGATTTTCAAGGGTTCCCCATTTTCCACAGGATAAAGTCCAAGCTCCTCCAATCGGCTCATAAATCCCTGGGTGGTCTGGCCCGTGTGAACCTCTCTCCAGCCTGCTTCCCACTGCACTCTGTACATTTTATATTCAGGGACGCTGGATTGTTCTATGCTCCTTCATTCTGCTATATTTTGGTGTCTTAATATTTAATTCCTTATCCCTCCTGATAGCCTCTTCATCAGCTGAAAACTCCTACTCATCCAAGTCAACTACAAACCCTTCCCTGCCCCACCCAGACCCTTCTCCTAGGTTCCTTGAGCATCCTGGGCTTACTCCCATTACAGTGTCTATCGCGTTGGAATGCAACAATTTGTCTGCAGGTCTATCTGCCAATAGACCACAAGTTCCAGAAGGCAGAATCCTCTTTAGCTCTTGACACCTTCCATAAATCCAGTACTATAGGGCATTCATAAACACTGCCAAAAATACTTTTAGGTGTGGAAAATTATTCCTATTTGCATGATGGCACAATACCAGGTAACAGTGCTCTTGGATCCCAACCTATCATCCTGGTTTCCTCACAAGAAGGAAGCCTCAGCAACTCTGCCTAGTCCCTGCTTTACCAAAACCCAGAAATGCACGGGTTTCAGCATCCGCACACCCTCTCCTCGCATCTCCCTCCATCATCTCTCTCTTCTCACTATCTCAGCTCCTGAGGGTCCTTTCCATCCATGCTAGAGTAGACTGCTCACTGCTTGCATCACTAGCCCAGACCATACAGGGTCTACTCCCGGTCCACTTTTCAAACCACCTACTTTCTCACCTAGGTTTAGCTTAGACAAGGCACACATTTTTCAAGACAACATGGTGAAACTCCGTCTGTACTAAAAAATACAAAAATTAGCCTTGTGTGGGCCGGGCGCGGTGGCTCATGCCTGTAATCCCAGCACTTTGGGAGGCCAAGGCGGGCGGATCACGAGGTCAGGAGATCGAAACCATCCTGGCTAACATGGTGAAACCCCGTCTCTACTAAAAATACAAAAAAAATTAGCCGGGCGTGGTGGCAGGCGCCTGTAGTCCCAGCTACTCAGGAGGCTGAGGCAGGAGAATGGCGTGAACCCGGGAGGCGGAGCTTGCAGTGAGCCGAGATGGTGCTACTGCACTCCAGCCTGGGCGACAGAGCAAGACTCCGTCTCAAAAAAAGCAAACAAAAACAAAAACAAAAAACCCCAAAAATTAGCTAGGTGTGGTGGCATGCACCTGTAAACCCAGCTACTTAGGAGGTTGAGGCAGGAGAATCACTTGTACCCGGGAGGCAGAGCTTGCAGTGAGCCGAGATCAGGCCACTGCACTCCGGCCTGGGCGAGAGGGAGAGACTCCGTCTCAATAAATAAATAAATAAATAAATAAATAAATAAATAAATAAATAAATAGGCACGTTTATTGAGTAACCAGGGGAAGCAACAAAGAAAGAGGTGGCTAATAAATGTTAATAAATGTGGGATTTTATGTATCCCAAGCTCCTACTTGTGTCTGCCTTCCACACTAGGCTGTGAGCCTCACAAGGGCATCTTAGGTGCAGCACAGTGCCTAGGCTGGGAGTGTCTGTGAAATGAATGAATGAATGAATGAGTGAGTGAATGAATGAATGGTGACATGACATGTTGGGAGATTATTTGGCTCAATTCTTTGAACAGGACACTGCTAAGAACACCCAGTAGGGTCACCTGTGTAAGGACTACTAGGAAACATACTTTGCACAACATTCCTCGTGGATGGTGTGAAAAAGCGTTGTTCTTTTGGGACTTCCCAGGGCACAGGATGCCTCAGGGCTGAACTCCAGTCAGGGGGAGGAGAAGCTGGAGAAGAAGCAACATTTCCCTGTGGCCCAGGACTGGAATTCCAATTCTCCACTTGAAAGGGAGAACATCATCTAACTTATCTCTTCTCCAGGGTAGACCTGCAAGAGGCTGCCAGGGAATCTGCCAGGTGTTTTATTTTTCCGCATTGGTGTGTAAATGACAACTAGCTGCCTTTCCGGCTGGAGGGAGGTTTCTGTTTAATTCAGGCTCTGGAGAGATGTCGTGGCAACCCGCACCTCCAGCGGAGAGGTTTATCTAATTGCACATGCAGGCCCACCTCCCTGTTCTGCTTCAGGAGGCTTTGCTGTTTATTGCATGCCCTGCCGTGCATGAGCTGTCACCTCTTCTGTGAAGCCTTCCTAGCCACGTGGCTCACAATCCCCACCAGAGCCCCCTCTCTCCCAGACTGCATCAACCATATATAACCCAACCTGGCAGCAGTCTACTCATTTGCTTTTGCTACGTAACCACCATGCTACAACTTGTAGGCTTAAAACAATAAGCATTTACCAGCTCACAATTCAGTGGGTGGTTCTGCTGGTCTAGGCTGGGTTCCCTCTGGCAGCTTCAGTCACCTGTCAGTCAGCTAAGTTCTGCCAGCCTAGTGAGCTACACATCTCTTGTCTTCCAGGAGGTTAACCCGAGCTTGTATGCATGGCTGTGCAGGATTTCAAGGTGAGTACAGAAGCTGAGGGGCTCTCTTGAGGCCTAAACTCTGAATAGGCACAACATCCCATCTGCCCCATTCTATTGTTTAAAGCAAGTCACAAAGGCCAGCATTGATTTCAGCATCTGGAAAACAGGCTTCACTCTCCAAGGAAGGAGTTTGAATCCATGTTGCATAGAGGTATGCATGCAGGAAGAGAAAGAACTTGCAGCCATTTGACCATCTGCAGGTGGTCTGTTATACTGGTTTATTATTTAAACCTGGTCCTGATAAGGATTAGGTCTGAGGCTAAAATCCAGGAATATGAATTCCAAGTAACTGTCACAATAAAGTCTAGCATTTAGCCTATAGCTTGGGCTTTGAAGTCTACAGTCCTAGGTGTAAATTCTCTCTCTGCTGCTTATTCATTGTGTGACCTTGGGTAAATCACTTCCTTCTTTTGAGCTTCCATTTTCTCTTCTGAAAAATAGTAATATTAATAATATCAGCTTTGCAGGATATCTGTAAGGACCAAATGGCGTTTGAGCATAAAGCCCTTAGCACGGTGCTTGGCACAAGGTAAATGCTTAATTAAAGTGGCTTTTATTATTATGATTGTTCTTAAAAACAACGGATGTTTTCTCATCTACCATAAACTAAAACAATGGAATCCCCTCTCTCATATTCTTATACTGTGAGTTCCTCAAGGGCACAGTCTATATGTACAAACATATTCACTATAGCTTTGTTTATTATAGAAAAAAATTGAAAGAAGCATAAATATCCAACAGTAGGGGGTTGGTTAAATGAATTTTACTCTATCGACCCAAAGGATTGCAATGTAGTCATCAAGAATGATGTAGAGCTGTGTGTGCTGACATTGAAAGCCAAACATGATGTATTGTCAAGTGGAAAGGAAGGTTGCAAAATAGTACATATAGTACAAAGCCATCTGTGTAAAATATATTTATGTGTAGATGTACACCTAGAGGTCTTGGTGGAAATATGTAAAAAATGTAAAGATGGGAAGCTGTCTAGCTTCATGTTGTAAGATTATAGGATTTCCCCCCCTTTTATCTTAGCTTTCCTAACTTCTCTTCAATGAAATGTATCAGTTAAGTAAATTTCTTTCAAAAGTTGCAATGGGAGAGCCACTTTGGGGCAACATAAAGGCAAGACTTCAGAACCACTGCTATGTGCCAGGCCTTGAAGGTGGCACTAGGAGTTTTTGAGCCTCTTAATTCCAGGCTGTGTGCTGGATGCCTCCTCCCCGAAGCTCTGGGGTGTGTTTTCACAGAAGCTACAACAGTTCACTCCTGACCCTCACTGTGGGATCGCTTTTCCCTGAGGGCACCAACAGCTGCTTTTTCCTTTCTTTGCTCTTGGAAACATTCCAATAGTTCCCAGGAAGCCAGTGTCGAAGGGAGAGGTAGGGTAACTTCTCAGGGGCTGTTCCATCCCCTTTCCAATCAGCTTGGGAGATGGAGGGACAAGGACCAGACCCAAGTGTCCAGGCTTGCAGCTCAGACCAGGGCAGTGGATGGGGGCTAGAAGACCAAGAACTTTCAGGGTGTAGGACCAGGGACTCTACTACCCTCACTGGTGCAACCAGAAAGGAAGGTACAAGTCAATGGCAGCACCAGAGGTACAGAGACCTGACTTAGAGGGGCTGAGCTACTTAAAAATTAAGAATGTCCACTAGCCATGATGCAGACACTCATCTCACCCAGGAGACCCCTCAGGCCCTCAGAGAAATAGATATCCCACCCCAGGCCACACTGTGTTTCCCCAACTCACCTAGATCCCCAGCTGAGTTCGCTCCGGAGACTGTGCACTTTCATGGGCCCTGAAGCATCTCTGTTAGGTACTTCCCTTACTGACTGACCTAGTTTCTCCTGTAGGAGCCCCTGGGTCAGTGTATCCTCTTAAGGGTTTGCGAAAAGCAAAATGACCAACCCCAGCCACTTAAACAAGAGGAGATTTGATGCTTCTTACCAAAAGCGCATTTGCCACATCAGGAACTAGCATATCCCAGTAAGAGTGGGTTATGTTGATGATGCAGCTGTGGCCGGATTCTAGCAGCTGGGCAAGTTTGAGTGTGATCGTTGATACCGCACAGTGACTGGGGGCTTTTAGGGCATGGGAATCGGAAGATTAAGATAACTGAGGAAAACAGTTTGGGGAACAACGCAGTGATTTTTAAAATATTTGGCTGAGGCATTTCCCTAATAACACTTTGGATAGATCAATGAGGCCATCTCCCTGGTTAACCACAGAGAAGCATGGTGGATATGGCTTCCGCCCTTGTCATGCCAAAATGCAAACATTTGTGGGCGTGTGTGGATGTGATGTTGAGTCACAATATTGTTAATTATGAGGAAGTTTAGAAATTGAGGCAAACTTTCTCCCACCCCCATTTGCCAACAAATTAAGGCAGGCTGGCTGTGAATTACCAGCCATCATTCCTCCCTTTTCCAACTCCATAATTGGGTTAGAATACCTCTGTTAGACTATGTTGCCTCCAGAACTTGAGCTAAGTTAGAGCCTTTTATAAATTAGGCTATAAGTGGGAATATGTTTTCCCATCTGGTATCTAAATTTAGAAAATCTGCCATTTTGCATGAGGCACTGAGATAAACAGCAAAGCCCAGGGTTCTGTGGTATTTGTGTGGCTTGAGACGCAGCATGTATGCATAGTAGTGGTGGAATCCCTGGGCTTTATAGGAACTGCTGAGATGCCACTTCTGACTCTACTACTTATTATGTTGTGGCCTTGGACAAGTATCTTACTCTGTCTGTGTCTCAGTGTTTCCATCAGCAAAATGGGGAAATGAGAGCACCAGCCTCATAAGGTTACCATGGAGTCTTTGTAAAGTGCTTAGAATGCCTTTACAAGGCACAGTCCCTGGAGCGAACTCATCTGGGGATCTAGGTGAGTTGGGGAAACACAGTGTGGCCCGGGGTGGGATATCTATTTCTCCGAGGGCCTGAGGGGTCTCCTGGGTGAGATGAGTGTCTGCATCATGGCTCGTGGACATTCTTGATTTTTAAGTAGCTCAGCCCCTCTAAGTAGGGTCAGTCTCTATACCTCTGGTGCTGCCATTGACTCGTACCTTCCTTTCTTGCCACACCAATGAAGGTAGCACAGTCCCTGGTCCTACACCCTGAACGTTCTCAGTCCTTTAGCCCCTGTCCACTGCCCTGGCCTGAGCTGCAAGCCTGGATACCTGGGTCTAGTCCTTGTCCCTCCATCTCTCAAGCTGTTTAGAAAGGGGATGGAGCTGCCCCTGAGTTCCATATGAGAGGAACCAAGTAAACCTTAACAACCACTATTCCTAGGCTTAAACTGCATAAAATTCCAAGTGCACAAAGGCATCCTATTACAAGAGATCTTCTGGAGCAACACAAGGTGAATGTGGCATTGGTGCACTCTCTTTTCTGAGAAGGTGGCCTTCACTGTCAGAGTTGTCTGCCTTAACCCAGCTGGAGTTACACCCAACTCTCTGCCTGCCTTCACCCCTGCATCCTTACAGCCAGATGTGGCTGGAGGGAAACCTCTAAGGGCTCTCCTCTTCAGTGTATGTCCACCCAAGTCAAAGAGACCCTTAACACAATCTGATAATTAGGCACCAGACCCTGACTCCTGCTCTCTCTCCATCTCCTGAATAATTATTTCACACCTCCTCTTCCTTCTCCTCCTCCTCACTCTTAGTACTAGCCTTCCTCCCTAGTTCCCTGAGAACATGGACAGGCTCAGAGGATAACTTTCACAGCTTTTCAGAGCCTCGGTATCTGCATCTTTGCCCGTGCTGCCTTCCCTCCTGTTGAGCTGTGCATGCTCCTGTTCTAGGCCACTCTCAACCTATGCACCAGATTTCATCCCTTCTTGTCTCAGAAGGACATCCATTGATCCTGACAATATCTCCTCTGTTTTCCTCATATCAATTCTCCTTTGCTGTGGCATCATTCCCATAATCATGCAAACATTGTTAAAACAACAACAGTCTTTATGACACCTCTCCTACCCCAGATCCTCCCAAATCTCTCCACACCTCCTTACAACACTGTTTTGGAAGCATTGCCCATATGTATGCTATCAACATCCTTTCCTCCCATTTCATCGAACCTGTTCAACTCGCTTTTATTCCTACAGCTCTGCAAGGTCACTAGCAACTTTTTGTTGCCTAATCCAAGGTCAGCCCTCAGTGATTAACCTCCTCAGCCTCTCAGCAGCAGCTGACACAGCCACTTTCCCCCTCCTGCCTGAAACACTTTCTTCTCTTAGTTTCTTATCCACCTCTTGCCTTATTGGGCAATTTCAACCTACTTAGAGGTTGGTTCCCTCTTGTCTCTCTTGCCTTTCAATGTTGACGTGCAGTTTCACTCAGTCTCAAACTTTTTCTCTTCTCTATCTGAACTAGGTCGTCCTATCTGGTCTCATGACTTTAAACTCCATGTTTAGGCAGAGGACACCCAAATGTGTAACTTCAACCCAGATATCTCCCCCGAATAGCCACATATCTGATTATTTATTGAACATCTCCACTTGAATAACTAATGGACATCTCTACCTAAAGTATCCAAAACTGAACTTCTCATAGCTATCACCACACTAGCTCCACTTGGACTCCCTCCTATCTCAGAAAATGGCAATGTTATTCTTCCACTTGTTCAGGCCTCAAATCTTGGAATTATCTCAACTCCTCTCCTTCTTCCCCCATATCCAATCTGTCAGCAAATCCAGCTGGCTCTTCTTTCAAAATTAAGCCAGAATAAGGCTTCTTTTCACCACTGCTGATATTACCACCCTGGCCAAAGACATGATCATCTCTCACCTGGATTATTTCAGTCTTCTTCCAATTGGTTCTCCTGCACTCCTGCATCTATTCTCAGTGTAGCACCTGGGTGAGATTTTGATCCTTTAAAAATACACATCCTGTCATATCACCCCTCAGCAGCAAACCCTCCCTTAGCTTTCCTTTTCACCTCGAGAAAAAGCCAAAGGCCTTGCAGTGGTATACAAGGGCCAGAGGCCCCCACTGCCTTCTGGACCTCAGCTCCTGAGGCTCTTGCTGACACTGAACCTGCTCAAACCACACTGGCCTCCTTGTTTTTCTTTCAGTGTATCAAGCAAACACTGACCTCAGGCCCTTTGTGTGGGTATTCTCTCTCTAGAAATCTCTCCTCCAGTGATCTGCATGATTCACCTAATTCAAACCTTGCTCAAGTGTCACCTCCTCAGAGACAGCTCCAATCCCTTCACCTCTGTTGCTCCCAAACTCCTTCCTCTGCTTTATTTCCCTCCATATTTCTTCTCCAATAGCAGAGCTCCTCATCTGTTTTGTTCACTGCTATAGGTCCAGAACTTAGCACACTTAGTAGTTCTCCATGAACTTTTGCTTAATGAATGGATAAGTAAACCTACTCTCCCCAACTCCTTGTCATGTGAGTTGTCATGGGAATGTGGAAGGTATAGTGTTGGGATGACAGCATGATGGGGTCAGTGGGAAGGACCTGGGAGGTAGATACAATTTTGTAACTTGTAAATTATTTAAAAGCCCTCTCTCACTGAGTAAGGTTTGGCCTGGGGCATGAAGGCAATTGGGTCTTCTAAGATTCTGCAATTCTGACATCTCTGTCTTAATTTACATAATTCCAAGGGCTACCACTGGTAAGGTACAAGGAGATCCATGAATGGTGTATGTACCATGCATTTGCCACAGATTTCCATGGGTATGTTATGTCTTCCTTAAAAACCTCTGGTGGGCAAGGAGGGGTGTTTGATGTTTTCTGTATCCTTTGGAAATCTCATGATTGTAACATGAGTTACGTACTTACTAAAGGCTGATTGATAGATTGATTGCACAAAATGTAAGAGGAGCCATGAAGGCTGGGAGATGTTCTGCAATGAGGTTTACCATCTAACTCTGTAACTAGAGATTTAACTAATTGATTGCCCTTTGCAGTTACGGTGAGCTTGCTTACCTGTATTCTCTTCCCAGTAGAGCTATTAGACAGTACAGGCAATAACCCCCAAATTCCAGTGGCTTAAAAAAATACAAGTTCATTTCTCACCCACGAAAAGCCCAATCAGTTGTTTGGAGGGTGCTCTACCAGGAAGGAATTATTGGGCCCAGGTTTAACCATTTTGTGGTTCCAGCACCCCTAAGGGTCTGGGAGTCCTCTGTTAGAACCCCTGCTAACAGATGTGGAAAGAGAGGAGATATCCTGAGTGGGAGGACTGTGTGGCAAACATGCCCACTCCCATTCCCTTGGTCAGAATTCAGTCACATGATCACACCTAGCTTCAAGGGAGGTTGAGAGACATCATCTAGCCAGCCATGTGCCTGGGGGGAAAAAGAAATGGTTTTGATGGATAGCAGTTGAGTCCCTACCATGACGGAGAAACTGAAGGTCAACATTAGCCTACCCCAGACCACATAATGACAAATTCTGTTTCTCAGGTAACCTTGGGTAAGTTAAAATCACCATGTCTCAGTTTTCTCTCTCCAAAAACCCTCTTCCTCAATCCCCTTTTCTCCTGATCCTATTAACTTTCTATGAGGGTGAAACATTTACGATTTGTTTACCAGTGACTTAGCTACTTTTTCTAGGTTCTACTGACTGGTCTGTCTCGCAATTCATGCTGAGATCCAAGATCTACCACACTAGAAGCTTAGCGAAAGCTTCCATCTTTTTACACTGTTATTACTAGTTATTGAGAATGTCCCAGGAATAGCCAACAGCTCATGCAAAGGTCTCAAGGCAGGAAGGAGTTCAAGGGGGCTGGGAAGCATCTATGGCCTGGAGGCTTGGCATGAGGTGCCTGGCATCGGGCATCTCCAATCTACACTGCCAATTGTGTGAGCTTAGACAAGTTATGTAATATCCAGGGCTGTATTCATTTCGGTTTACTAGGGATAATAGAGGCATTGATCTTATAAGTATATTGTGATGATTCAATGAGATAACATATCTGGAATACTAACTATGCCTGACTTGTTAGCTGTTATTATTGTTACTATATCACCATAATTATGTTAAAATGATCAGCCAACCTTTACCTGGGTCCTTGTTTCAGAAAACTTTTCCCTCTAGGCAGCCTCTGCCTTTCTAATCCAGCATCTACATGGAACAACCACGGCCTCCCAGGGCAGATCATGTGTTTGTTGTAGCTGCTATGGCCCCATTGAAACCCAGGTTCCGGCCCTGTGGCCCTGCTTCTCAGATGACTTGTGCCCTGAGCACATGAACCTCGATCAACATCAGATCCATCTGTCCACTCTTGCCCTGCTTTTCTATAATTGCATTTGTTTTGTGCCACATAGGTCAGAGTTACATTCGTTGGATTGGTCATTCTGGAAATCCCTACTCTGCCAGGAGTTTCATATTTATCCATGCTGCAACTGTCTTTGAATTTTAGCTCAGATCCACAGCCAGAAGATTCTCTGACAACTGACAGAATGAAACTCTTGTGAATGAGGAGACAGGTTGGCCTGGCTTTCTGACGCTCCCGGCTCCCTTTCGGACCCCTTCCCTCAGGCAGACAGGGAGCCCTCCCTGCTCCTCAGGGTTTTGCTCCAGACATCCAGGGGTCAATGGGAGGTCCAGAAACCTGCCAGGTGAGGCCTTCTGAAAACAAGAAATCCCTGTACAACCAAGGGAATCTCTAGTCCCTCATCTCATGGCCTTTCATTCCAAGCAACAGGCAGTGACAGGACAAAGCAACGCTGACAGCTTGGTGGAGCTCATTGTGGCGGAGGTGTGAGCTGAATGGAGCTGGCTTGCTGCTGATGTGCCCTGTGTGTTTACCTACACACCACAAAGGAAGCAGGTTTAACCCTTCATGGAGCCTGTCTCCAATCTAGCTCTGATTGTTCATTTATTCATTCGTTTGTTTAATCAAGTGCTCAAGAAGAATTTAAGAAGAATTTAAAAATACTTCTTATGTGGCAGGCACTAAGATTATACTGGGAACACCAGTATAAATAAGACTGCTTCTCTCCTTGAGAAACTCGTGTTCTAAATACACAACAGATTAAAAACAGGGTACAAAATGCTGCAGTAAAAGTGAGCGTTGGCCAGGCTCAGTGGTTCATACCTGTAATCCCAGCACTTTGGGAGGCCAAGGTGGGTGGATCACTTGAGCCCAGGAGTTTGAGACCAGCCCGGGCAACCCCATCTATACAAAAAATACAAAAATTAGCTGGGCATGGTGGTGTGCACCTGTAGTCAGTCCCAGCTACCTGGGAGGCTGAGGTGGGAGGATCGCTCCAGCCCAGGAGGCAGAGGTTGCAATGAGCGAGATCACGCCACTGCACTCCAGCCATGGCAACAGAATGAGACCTTGTCAAAAAAAAAAAAAAAAAAGTGAGCATTAAGTATTATGAGAACACAGAGTAGGAAGGGGGCAATTTGCCTGATAGGGGATAGTAGGTCCGAGAAGGCTTCCCTAAAAAAGGAACATAACAATCTTGAAGAAATGGGCAGAGAATCTGGAGTGTGTTGAATAAAGTTGTTTTCGTTTCAGGTAACAGAAAGTGACTAATTGGTTAAAACAGAAGACAGCTATTGGGAGAGTCCTTGTTGTTTCAAGGAATCCAAGGAAGAGATGAGCAAGTACATCTCAAGAGCTGCAAGAAGCCAAACGCTCTATAGAGCTTGCATTGAGTTTGCATCTTCACTAACTCCTAGTCTCTGGGTCTTTTTTGGGTCCAAAATTCCAGATTTTTACAAGAACTTGATTGGCCCAGGTTGGTTCAGAGGTCCATTCTTGGCTTATTTATCTGGACCTGAAGGCACAATTCAGGTAGCTTAGACTCAACCACTGAATCCATGGCCTCTGGAGAAGAAGGCTTCAGAGAAGAGAGGTCAC
The DNA here is from genome assembly GCF_000001405.40 of Homo sapiens. Lineage (NCBI taxonomy): Eukaryota > Metazoa > Chordata > Mammalia > Primates > Hominidae > Homo > Homo sapiens. The sequence continues at coordinate 34,337,786 of NC_000001.11, forward strand.
CATGGGCTTAGTGCTTACCCCAAGAGATGGCTTTTGCAAGGAGACAGGGCATTCTGGTTGGAGAAAGTAGTGTGGGCAAACACATTGAGACATGAAGGCTGAAAAAGGTCCATGGTGTGATTGTGGCAATACAGAAAATTTGGGGTTACTTCCGTTGTGCAATCTCTATAACATTGCATGTAAATGGAATATCCATTAATCATGTCATATTTTGTATGTAGGAAGGGAACCTGATATTTACAGTCATTTTAGTTAAGCTTTCTTGACTAATTTAAGCCAAAAGGGCACTTATTGGAAACTTATAGGGGGTGGGCACAAAATTGCAAAGGAGTGAGAAAAATCATGTTTCTAATTGGCAGGATCTGGACATGTCCTGCAAATTGTGGTGACAGACACCTCTCTGCCTTCCTCTGGTCACCACTGCTGGAATGAATAGAGTTGAGCTGTGTGCAGCAGGATGCCTCCAGAGACGTGCAAGCCAGACATGAGGTGAGGGCAGGATTCACTCGTTCTCAGGAAACTTGTCCCACAATTAAACAGCAAGAGTGCCAATAGGTGGGAGGATTCCGACTTCTTCAGGTGAACAGCTTGCCTCGTCTTGGCTTGGGCACACTTTAGAGGAACAATTGTTTTGTAGAGGGGTGGCCGTTCTGGAAACCAAGTCTAATGGCTGGTGTGGATGTGGAGAGTCAGGAATCAGCCATTGCTTCAGGGACTGTGGAAGAGGGTCCAAGATCTCTGTGGAGTCTGAAGAGTGTGCAGGTGAACTGCAGACAACGCCAGAACTGTGCATCCCTCTTCCTTTCCTCCCCCTACATTTTACCTCCCTAGAGCATTTCCACACCTACTGATGCCTTGCACCATGGAGATTAAATCTACAGACACTGGAGTCAGACAGGCTGGGTGTGCCTTCAGCCACTGCCCCTTTCTAATGAAGTGAGCTTAGGTGAATTATCTCACCTCTCTGAACCTCAGTGTTGTCTTAAAAAACATGGATATAATTGTAATCATGTCATTGGGTGGGTGGTTGTGCAAATGAGATAATGAATATGAATCACCAAGCCTATAGTGGATGCTCAATAAATGGCAGTTGCTTTTATGGTTGTGTTTTTGAATTGGTATTATTGTCACCACTCAGAAATGTACATGCTGGTTCTCAGCCTATGGGCCTAAAAACAAACACCCATAAAAGGATTTCTCTCTCTCTGTTCTTCTGGGAATCTTTCCAAGTTTTGTTTCCTAATTCTGCTGGTCCACCTTGCCTGTTCCTCATTTATGACTGATCATCATAGATTTGCATTTCTATGATCCATCAAGACGAGGAAGGAGATGGGACCAGATGGAACCAGGATTGAGCAGGAGGCTCTACTCTGGCACTGGACTCCCAGAAAGATTGCTATCCATCCTTTATGCCATGCTCATAGGGGCATGGAGAACTCAGACTGGACCCCTGTCATCTCCTGTATTGCTTAGGAAAGCATTTGGCTGCAAGTAACAGAAAACTTGGTTGAAAGTGGTTTAAACAAATAGGGGTTTATTTTTCTCACATCCGAGGTGCCTGGAGGCTGGAGGCTTCTGGAAATAGCTCAGCACCTGGATAATGTCAGGGGTGGCATCTCTGAGACTCTCCTGGCCTTTACATCTGCATTTTGCTTCATGACCACGGTTGGTTGCTACAGCTCTGGACAGGGCACCTGTGTTCAAGGTAGGAAGAGGAGAAGGAGAAAAGAGAGAGAGACAGCTCCAGCTCTGCCTTTCGCCCTTCATCATGGAGGTAGAAAACTTCCCAGAACCACTTAGAAGACTTCCAGATGCCACTGGCAAAACAAACAAACAAACAAACAAACAAAAAAACCAAGGTACAAAAGCCAACCCTACTTGCTGGGAGAGCAAAGCCTGGTCTTGTTATGTTCAGATTAGGGACAAATCTGGCTTGTCTACAAGGACTGGACACATCATTGCTATGAACAAAATCAGGTTCAATGAGCAAGGAAGAAAGAGGGAATAGATATTGAGTGGGCAAGAAACAGAACCTGCATAGTTTCACCCCCAGAAATTTAATCTTTGGGAGTGTGAGACACAGCAGGAGAGCTATGGCCAATGAGGGGCTGCATCCAAAGTGGGTGTGTGAAGCACATGCCATTGGAACTCCTCCAGGGCATTGGTAGGTGTGGAGATGCTCTAGGGAGGTAAAATGTAGAGAGACACAAGAAAGGGTGTGCACAGTCCTGGCCTTATCTAGAGTTCACCTGCACACTCTCCACGGAGACCTTGGACCCCCTTCCACAGGCCCTGAAGTGGTGGCTAATTTCTGATGCTCCACACCAGCATCAGTCATTCACTTTGGTTCTCAGGACAGCCACCTCACTATAAAACAATTGTTCCTTCCAAAGTGTGCCTGAGCCAGGACTAGGCAAGCTGTTCACCTGAGGAAGGCAGGATTCTTCCACCCCACTGGCATTCTTGCTGATCCACTGTGAGGCAAGATTCCTGGGAACCAGTGAATCCTGCCTCCACCCCATGTCTGACTTGCACATCTCCGGAGGCCTCCTAATTAGATTGCTCCGAGTATCTGTTTGATCCATGTTGTAGTTACTGTTTGGGCCTTTTCTAAGTCCCTTTACCTGTTCACACATTTCCCCCTGTGCTGCTGTTGCTGCTGCTGTTGCTGCTGCTGCTGCTGCAACTGCTGTGGCTGTTGGCCTATGACTAGTACCTCCTCTGAAAATTTGCCCTGGGAATGTAGGAAACTCCTGGCCTGGAGAAGTCTGAGAGGTTACACTTAATGGCCAGTTGGTATGAGCAGATAAACACTTGGCCTTTTTGTCTCACCGAATCATCACGCTGTGGTGTAATTTACACTCCAAAGCATCCCCTTGGGTTGGGCAAAGCTAGACTGTCTGAGTCCACAGTCTTGCTTGGCTCTTTTTCCTTCTATTTCCTGCTTCCTTCTGCCCGTTACAGGTTTTCTTGAGGAGCTCTTCCTCAACAAATATTAAATATTTCAGGCTCTCTTTCTAAAGAATGAAACCTAAGGCAAACCCTGTGCCAAGACTGTGCTTTGCAAGTGTCATCAAGCCTTGGGTAACATTCCAGGACTTTCACCCGAGATCCAGTTGACCCTAGTAGCAGGAATCCTCCAGCCTCACTCCCTTGTCATCTACCATTTTTTACCTCACATATGGAAGACCCTCCTTCACGCCCAGCTTCTATATTCTCCTGCCTTCTCATCCCCACACCGCTCTCTGCCCCCTCAGCTCTGATCCAGTCTAACACTCCCATCCCTCCAAGTCCTCCTCATCCTGTGGCAAATGGACTTCCCTACAAGCTCAAACTCTTCCCAGAACACTTCTTTCACCTCCCACATTAACCGAGAATGAGATCTCCCCAGAGGACACCGCTGCCTCCCTGGTCTTCTCAAGCTGATGCTTCTCATACTGCCGAGGTACAAAATCTCAGGTCAGCATTCTCCTTGCTCCTCATGACCACTTACAAGCCATTACGCCTCCGCCCTCATGTTAAAACACATCTCGTTTGTTTCCCACACCATCTGGCCATATCATTAAAATCAACCAATGGCATTTCCCTTCACACAGCAATTCCCCTTCATATAAAAATATTAGTGCAAACTGAAAGGATGTAGGTGAGAACATTTATGATAACACTGCTTGTGACAGTAATAAAAAGAAATTGGAAAGAATTAAATATCCATCAACAAGAAGTTGACAAAAAATTGTAGTGTAGCTGCACAGTGGAAGTGAAGTGGTAAGTTTTTTGTACTGACATAGGAGATGTGTGTGATACATAAAAGTGAATTGAACAGCAAATTTGATTGTAGACAAATGTGGTATAATCTCATTTTGTTAAAGGAAAAGAGAAAACATGTATCTGTTTATAAGATTAGGAGGATTATCCCAGGCCTAGGCTGAATGTCCCTTGGTTAGCAATATCCCAGCAGATGCTGCTATAGTTTTGGCCAAGGAACTGCTCAGAAGCACCACACAATCTTCAGAGTGCATAAAATTAGAACAGAGATATCTATGTAGCTCTTGATACAGTGTACTGAGGCTTGATTTGTCCTCCCGGCAGGAGTCTAATAGGTGGTACTAAGATTCAAAAGCTCTGAAAACCCCATTCGTAGAGCTCTTTTAAATATACATCTCAAAATTGTGCATGTGACAGAGTCCCCATCTCATCCCTCCAGATAGGAGAGATCCAAGCAGGAAGTCTGCCTGCAGTGCCAACAAGTTGTCATAAAATTCTAGCTTTATTGCCTTCTTTTCCCATATCAATCTCCCTTCCTCCTGCAAATAGCAATCAAGTCAATCTAGCATTGTCTCTTCCCTTCCTATGTCTTGTCAGCAAGGAAACTGACAAGTGTGGAAATGTGTGGGGCAGAGACATCCACAGGGCTAAATGTGAGGATAGGGATGGGGGAGGGAGGCTTTGACTTCGCATTGATTGCTTTTGTAATCTTTGAGTTTGATGCTAGAATCATACATTATCTTTGTAATTGCAAAGAAAGATTAAAAATGAATTTAAAAAAATACCACTTGACCCTTTATGACACAGTATACTTACCTGAGAAGAAAACCCTGATATAAAGGGTCCTATTGAATGTAGCGGTTAAGAACAGGAATCCTGGCCATATGTTACCTGGGTTCTAAGCCCACCTGTTATTAGCTTTGAGACATTGGTAAGTCACTTAACCTCTTTGCAGACTGACTGCACAGTTTGTGCTCTACACAACTCTAGGGGGCACCACTGACATAGACTACCCTTGGAGCTGTGTGGTGCAGTGGCACAGGGAAGCCCTGCCTCTCTGCTCTTTATTTTCTTATTTGTAGAATCACTATAATAATAGTACCCACCTCCTAGGCCTATTCTGGGTATTCAGTAAATTAACACACATGAAATGCATAAAGCTGTACCTGGAACATAATAAGTATACAATGAATATTAGCTATCACCATTATTACTATCACCATCACTACCACCATAATCATTAGCAGCAGCAGCAGCAGCATCAAGATAAGTCCAGGAAGAAGATCTGTGTCCTTAGGTCTCAATCCATCTGATCTCTTGAATACAAACTCCAAACTGAGCTCCAATTCTATTCAGAGAAAAGATATTCACCTTTACTCAGAGATGAAGGTTCCATTATCTAATGAGGGTCTCCTAGAGAACTCTTCTCCAGAGATGCAGATGGCTTGAAGGCAGTGGTGCCTTCAGGAGATGGAGCAGATCTAGAAGTCTCTCTGAAATTGCTATAAGCCAGGAAGGAACTCTCCATAGTCCTGGTCTTACGAAGTCCAAACTGACTTTGCACCATCTATTCTACATAGTTCTGATCATTGGCTTTGCCACAGGCAATCTCATCAAGAAGCTCCCTGTTAAGACTTTGCCTACACTCTGATAATGTTTTACCTTTCCTTGAAAGATTTACACATTAAAGGATTATGAATTCAAGTTAAGATTTTTAAAATCTCCAATAGTGGAATTTATCAGGCTGGGTCCACCCTACAAGTGCCTATCTCCAGCTAACCCTAAGGAGAATGCACCCCTGTTTTCTTGCAAAGGTCTTCATTATGGTCCCATAAATATGTTCCCTTAAGTCAAATATTTATATGCAGAGAGAATGGATATGTGTCACTTGTAGCAGAACCTGTGCAAAGAAGCTGATGGTACCAGGGAATACTCCAGTGTATTCTGTCATTAGGGCAGGACTGGAGTGCTGTGTATGAGAGTGATAGTCAGGGTTCTAACCCTGCACCCAGGAATGATACAGAGGGCAGGAGTGGTAGGTTGTGGGAAGACTTGGAGTTGCCACACCCAAGGCTTATCTCTGGCACATTGACTTCTGGATCTGCTTAGGGGAAACTAAGGAAACTTAGGGGAAACACAAGAAGCCAAAGATGCGGGCAGTCCTTAGAACTGGATCTGAACTTTGGATAATCTTGGACTTGGTTAGTGGTGGTGGAGGTATGGGACAGGGAAAGAGCTGTCCCACACTCATACCCAGTTCTAGCCCTGTGACAGACTCAGGTGGCAGCCCTGTAGAGTCTGAGATTGACATCTCTGGGAAAAACCTCACAGGCTTCATCTCACCTTCCTCATTTCCCCATCCTCCTCCATTGCTTGTGAGTTCACTCAACACAGTTCCTCTATCCCAAACTCCAGCTGTCTGACTCCTGACTCACAACCCACCCACCCGACATACATTCCCAGTACAGGCAGCAGCTAAATGGTTACATCCTGGTTGTGCTCTGGTGACTTCCCTATTAACTCCTATAACATCGCTGTGCCTAGAATAATCCTATGCCCTTTATAATCTGTCTCTAATCTTCACAACAAGTTGGTCAAACTTCTTGTTGTGCCCATTTTAAAGTGAAGGAAATTGAGGTTCAATTCTCTTCATTTATAACATCGGGGAGAATAAGACCTACCTTGTTCAACTACCTTGTTCCTCCTTGTTCAAAGCTTATCTTTGACATTTGAAGATAACGTTTATGATAGGCACAGAAGCTTTGGAGTTAGGTCGTGCCATTGTGATGGCTAATTCTGATCAAGATTAAGAGCAGAAATAATGTGTGTCACTTTGGGGAAAATGCAGTCTTCAGCTCTCAGATGACTGTCCTGTCCAGCTCTCTCCACTAATATGGGAAACCATGTGTTAAGATATCAGAGTCAAAGATGGAAGCCCACCAGACTTCTAAGGTGCTGATTAGAAGGGAACTGCCCTGGAGAGCCACTGAGCTTGCTGCAAACTTTGCATGGGTAATAAACAAATCTTTACTGTGTCAGGCTACTGATATTTTGCAGGGTTATTTGTGTATTGAGGACAAGGCACTCAATACACGTTGTCATCGCTATTATATCCAACTCCATTGCTAAATGCTATGCTCCTCAAGGTCAGAAATGCATTTCATAGTTTCAAACTCACACTATTTAAAGGAGATTTTGCCCTGAAAGAGGGTTCTCTAACATGCTGATGATGTGGATCAACAATTCATAGAATAAGTATCTTTGGAGATACTTCCTTGTTATGGTCTGTCCCTTCAATGTGCTAACTTACTGGAGTAGAATAATCATAATCATAATGATCATTATTATTACTTATTAAGCATCAACTATAGGCCTGGGACTGGGCTGAGCATTATATAAGCATGGCGATATTTAATTTAAACAATGTTGGAGCCAGTCCAAGTTTCAAGTTGCAGAATTTGAAAAGGAGGTTTTATCTCCATATCCCTAACCTCTTCCTTATACTCAGAGATGTATTGACCCCTACCTCCAGGCCCTATTACTCTTGAGGTGCATGCCTGAAATATCCTTACCATCCTGGCTTTCTTAACAGCTTAATTGCTCAGCAACTCATTTGGAGCCTGCAGAAAACTCAGATCCCGAAGTACTTCTGCTTCCCCCTCCGTCTTCTCCTGGCATCTCAGCATTGGGATAGTAAAATACACTATCTAACCCTTGATTAGATATTGACTTCTAGAAATCTATAGTAATACTAATAGCAGCTACTGTTTATTGAGCTCTTACTAACCCATTAGCTTGTTTGACATCACAAACACCCTGAATCAGTATTATTACAATTCCCATTTTACAGATGTGCAAATTGGAGATTAAGTCATTTAACCAAAGTCACCCAAATAATCGTCAGAGTTGAGAGTTGAACTTATGTGAGCCTCACTTCAAAAACTAAGCTTTTAACTACCGTACTTGAGCCATTCTACCTTTATTGTATGTCTCAACTGTGTTGTCCCAACAAGAGCAGAAATGTTTTTAGGACATGGGCTTTTCCAACGGAAGTGGTTTAATGTAGAGGAAAAGATGTGAAATTTTTTTAAAAAAATAGTCATGAGCTTGAATCACAGCTTACCAGTTACTGGATGAGAAGTATGTCAGTGAGGACAGAGACGTGGGCTATGAATTGATCACAGAAACAGGGATGAGAAATGAGAAGCTGGGCTATGATGAGTTGAAAGTTTGGGGCCTCCGATAAGAATGTCTGTAAAAAGGCAGAATAAATAAATAAATAAATAAACAAATAAATGTTCAGAGGCTGGACAAACCGTGATAAACATGGGTAGAACTCATAAATATCTAGTTCTTTTCTTCCTGGTCATGCCATGTGACTAATTCTGGTCAAGATTATGAGCAGAAATTATGTGTGTCACTTTTGGGAAAATGCAGTCATAAGCTCTCAGATGACTGACTTGCTCTCTCCGGTAACATGGGAAACCATGTGTTAAAATATCAGAGGCAAGGATGGAAGCCCATCAGACCTCTAAGGTGCTTATTAGAAGGGAATTGCCCTGGAGAGCCACTGAGCTTGCTGTAAACTTTGCACGGGTAATAAAATTCTTTGCTGTGTTAAGCCACTGATACTTGGGGGAGGTTATTTGTTATTGCAGCATAACCTGTGTATCTTAACTAACGCCCTTGTATAACCTGTACACTTCACCCAGCCTGATGAATAAAGAGTTGGGGGGTGGGGGAGAATGGCCAAGTGAAGGCTAATAACTGGCAATGGGCTAAACTGGAATGATGAAGTGTTGTCACATACCAAGAATGGAGACTGAAGAGTCTCAAATGCCTCTTGAGCAAGTAGTGAACATTCAGGAGTGAATACTAAACGTGGGTGTCAGGTTTACCCAAAGGGCCAAAGCTAGAGGCAGATCACAAAGGAAAAGAGTTGATTTTGCATGCACCCTCACCACCCCCCAAAGACCTGTACAAGCAGGTACAATTGTTGCAGCTTCTGGTCCCCTCATTGTTCCTGACACTGAATCTCCATGGAGTCAGATGTCATTTCAGGTGGCTAGCCCCTCCTCTAGCTTTATCCTCCATAGGGGTTTTCGAAATGCTGGGCACTGAGAAGATGCAGTAGGGCTGTCAAGGTTAGATGACATCTTCAAGACCCTACTCAAATGCTGCCTCTTCAGAGAAGTCTTCCTACATTGCACATGCCAGATTCATCTTGGCCTTCCCAATCTCTCCTAGCACTCAGACTATACTTATATGGTAACATCTACCCCTGCCTGCCTCAATCCAGAGTTCCATGTGCCTGGTTCTGTCTGTCCTCTAGGTAGTGAGCTCTTGGAAGAAAAACACCAAGTCTTGTCCAGATTGGAGGCTTGCTTCCCCAGTACTTTACTCCCTTCTTTGTATACCTTCAGTTGAGTGGAACTGAAAAGAAAGCTTGCTGAGCTGACAAAGGGAAAGGTGAGGCTTGCTGCAACCAAGCCTTCTTTCCAACCTGAAATGTCAGGGTTGGTTGCAGCAAGCTTTTCCTGTGGCTCTCCACGTTGACCTAGACATTTCCATAGCACAAATTATATAACAATAAGGTTATTCGATTAATATCTGTCCACCCTACTCACACTTAACTTTGTGAAGGCAGGGTCTGTGTCCATTTGGTTCATGATGAATATTTTTAGATCCTACCATGGAGTCTGGTCCATGGTAGATGTTCAATAAAGTTGTGGAATGAATGAATGAACTGATCTGTGAATTCAAGGGGAAATATCTCCTCTTCTTGCCAATGGACTCGGTCTCCCGAGACTTTCTTTTCCAGCTTTGTTCTTAGCCAACTTTTCAAAAGAGGTAATCAAATTCTGACGCTCTTTGTCCTCAGTCTGCTGGCCTCACTGATTTCCGAAGAGAGCTCTTCATTGGAAACTTCTTTGGCTTTTCAGGACAGGGACAGAGAGAAATGGGCCCTTCATTTAGCTGATTGAACCAACAAAAGAGAAGTTTGAGACAGAAAATGAATATAGATCCAGCTGCAGCAATTAGAGGGGAAATCGATAGAACATCATCAACAGCATCAGACCCGTGTAAGTCAGTGTCTCCAGGGATGGGTCGGCAGAGCAGTGTTCATTTCATTTTTGTTTTCCTAACTTAATCCCCAGCAAGTGAAGATGGATAGGTGTGGTGGGTGGGGAGGGGGTGATAGGAGAGTAGGGAGGAGGAGACAAGGCAGAGGCAGGATGGGTTGGAAAGGGGAGCACAGGATCCCTTCCTACATCACCTCCCCTGCCCATGGTGGGCAAGGCCATGGGGGGGGGGCAAGTCACATCCCTCTCCCAGAACCAGTTTGAGAGTCACATGGGATTTGCTTGGGTTTGAATCTCTGGACCACTATGGACTAGTATGTGGTTATGGGAAGTTTACTGAGCCTCACTGAACCACACTTTTCTCATCTGTAAAATAGGGATTGTGAGGCCTGCTACACTCAGAAGGAAGAAATGAAATAGCTTACACAAGCCTGGACAGCAGAATGTGGCTACAATACCACAGTCCCGGAGTCCAGGCTGACTTCTTTAATGCTCCCTCGCTCCGGGTTTGACCCAGTGAAGGTTCTTTTCTACTTTTTAAGCTTCCTCTCTTTGTGTGAACGCTCTCAGCCTTTATTGGGTCACACATGTCTCTGAGATTTTAATAACAAAACTAGAGGTTCAAAGAATAGATGTGGATTCACAAAGATCTGGGCTGAAATACTGGTTCTACTTTTTATTTTTATTTATTTATTTTTTATTTTGAGAAGGAGTCTCACTCTGTCGCCCAGGCTGGAGTGCAGTGGCACGATCTCAGCTCACTGCAAGCTCTGCCTCCGGGGTTCACTCCATTCTCCTGCCTCAGCCTCCAGAGTAGCTGGGACTACAGGTGCCTGCGACCATACCTGGCTAATTTTTTCTGTATTTTTAGTAGAGACGGGGTTTCACCGTGTTAGCCAGGATGTCTCGATCTTCTGACCTCGTGATCCGCCTGCCTCAAAGTTACTGGCTGTGTGATCTTGGTCATATTACTCAATCTCCCTGTGCCTTACTTTCTTCAAGAATAAAGTGAGGATAACAATAGTCTCTATCTCATAGGGTGTGATGTGAATTAAATGAGTTAATATATGTAAATGCATCAGTGCTTAGAGCAGTGCCTGGCACATAGTAAGTTCTGAGTAAATACTGTTATTAATAAAAGTGATGGAAATGCCTCCAGTAAAATGCACACAGGCACACACATGCATACAACCTCGTGAAATTGATCCCTAACTCTTGCTTAGTGATTCTTGCAGGGAAGAGTCCAGGCTCTAGCTTAGCATTTACTCCTGGGCATTGTCTGGCTCTCGTCTACAGAATCAGATCTATAGGTTTATGGAGCCCCTACCTACCCTCCTGCGAAAGGCATTTCCCAACTCTCCCGCATAACATCAATCCCACACATTTACCTCGGTCCACTTTGAGCCCAGATGAGGACTCTGTCAGGCAGTGATTTAGGGCAGAGACTCTACTTGGGCCTGAGAGATGGGCCAGCCAGCCAAACTAGGCTCAAGGAATCTTGCAAACTTCATTTGATCTGGGCATGGGTTGACACCAAAAAAGTTGGCCCGGCGCAGGGAGGGGCATTCCTGGTTATATCAGGCTGAGAATGTATTTAATGGGCCTGAGAGACCCAGAAAATGGCTGAAAACAGGGAATCAGAGCCAGCCTGGAGAGAAGCATGGGGGATCTCAGGGAATGGGAGGCAAGGCCTCAGCCAAGAAAGCTGCAGTATTCAGGACTTAGGAGGCCCTGGAAAACCAGGGGCTGGGTCAGAAGCCTGTCATTGGGGGCACAGCACACACGCAGGAGGGGGAGGCTGTGGCTTGGGACCTGTGGGGCTATCTCCAGCTCATGGGGCAAGCATGACTCCCTCTTTCACTAGAGGGACAGGATCCCCCACCATTGCCAGGCTGGTGTCCCGTGAGTCCTGGGACTGAGGCTGCAGTGGGAGAGTTTAACTTTGCCTCTCAGAGAAGGGAGTTGGCTGCCAGGAACTGACCCCAAAGGTCTGACTCTTCCTCTCCAAAAGTGCTGGAGATGCTGCTTCTCCTCTGAGCCAGAGAGAGTTGGGAAAGGATGTGGTAGCTGGTAGGGTCAGAAGGACCTGCAGAACAGAGCTGGACTTTCAGATACATCTGTCTAAGTGGCTGATGTGTAGGGAAAGTCAGACTCAGCCAATGGAGCTGCCATCCTCCACCACTGTGATGAGCAGGCCAACCAGCTGCTGGGATGGGTCGTCCATGGATTTCTTTAGCCTGGATTTGCTATGTTAAAGGAAGTGACGAAGAAGTGGGCAATGCTAATGTTGTCCTCCTCCAGAGGGGACCTCAGTGATGTAATTCCTGCACATGGCACAAGTCATGCACCTCATGAACCACAACTCTTAACCCCTTGCCATAGAGACAGTGGAGTAGAAAAAAAGAAAGGATTTGAGTATCAGTTAAGCCTAGGTTGGAATCCCGGCTTAGCTGTTTGTTAGCAGTATGACTTTGGACAAGTGACTTAACTTCTATGGGCCTCAGCTTTTAAATCTGTAACATGGAGAAAAATCATACCAACTTTAACAAGGACCTCAGCTTGAGTCTAAATGAAATTCAGATATAAATGGAGTGGGCTCATCAGAAACTAGTTGGTATAAGAACTGATAAAGCATTTTATCCACACATCCACCCACCTACCCATTCAACAATCCAACTAACCAACCATTTGACATATATTTATTGAATGCCTACTCTTAGCTAATTAGAAGAAATTCTCCCAAGGAATCAGATGTCAAGGTCTTGACCCGGTAAAACAGCCTAGGACTGAATTTGAGTTGGGGGTGGGGGTTGCGAAAAGAGGGAAAGAGAAAAAGAAACGGGAGGACAGGGAGGTGTGATTCTTGAGTACAGCATGGTTTCTGACACTTGTGTTTTTCTCCCAGCCTAGTCCCCACTGGTGTCATGCCACTGTCCAGTGGTAAGTGTAGGGGGTAGGTGAGAGCGGGGGCATTGATGGAACCATTTCAGCAACTGCATAATACATCATGGCACAAACAGAACTGCATCAGGGCCTCACTAACAGATATGGCATAGAGTAGAGGGGGAAGAGACAGACTTCTTCCTCAAATTTTCTGCCATGCAGAATGGCAGAGTGGAGGCTCCAGTGCAGTGGCAGAGAATGCAGTGTCTGGTGGTTCCACTGTAGGAACATGGTTGCTGGTGAACAGCAACAGTAGAGACCATGGAACCTGGCAAAGCCGGGGGAAAAAGCAGGGAAAAAGCAAGGAAAAGCAACTATGAGCCAAGATGACAGGACCCCTGGGAACCCACAGAAATATTTGTAAGAGGCTAGAGATTATGCCCCAGCATTTGGGGACAACAAATCTGTGAAATCTGAGTAGTTATGAGTAATGTGGTCCCATTTGTACCTACAGGTAGGCAAAGCCTGTGGTGGTCCCTGTTACACTACTTCGCAAGGTTATTGCACAGACATGTGGTGATATGTTTAAAGAGCTTGGTCCATTGTAGGTCTTTAAAATAAGAGTTATAATAAGAATACTATTACTGTTGCTACTGAGGTAATTATCATGGCACAGATTTAGGCAGGTATGTTGATGGCCACCAGTTCTGGCTGGTTGAGCAAAAAGCATGCTGAGAGGAAGAGAGAGAAACCCAAATCCTAGTTTTCTAAGTTTGCATCAATTTCACACATTTCCAGCCCAATGCTCTGGAAGGAGGAGGGTGGTCTGGCCTGCTGACAGCTGCCCATAGCTGTAGCATGACAGGCCAGGGACTGGCAGGAAGGCAGCAAAGGAAATAGAGGGAGCTGAGGGATAAGCCACATGGACACAGAGCCCTGGCTAGGCCACATGAAGTCCTTGAGGGCTTCTGTGACAAGCTCATGCTGTGTTTTCTGTTGGAATGGGGTTGTGGAAGTAACATGTATCAATACTGATTGTGTGCCAGGTGGTAGGACCTCGTACTGAAGAGGACATGGTCTGCTAGGGGCATCTGTTCCTTGTGCCACTCAGCATCCTCACTCCTCTTCTGGTTGCTTCTCTCTGGACAACCATCCCCTTAACTAGCCTAAACTTAAATCAATCACTGTGGCCTTCTACTGGCTATGGTGGTTGAATCAGGGAGGAGCATAAAGTCTGATCAGAACCTGCAGGTACAATGAATCTTTCTTGGGGAATCTGAGATGTTTCCTTGGCTAGGCTAGAAGCAAAGAGGGTGTGACTGCTGGAACTGCTACAACGCTCTTCCTACCACAGGGGAAATTCCTGTCTGAGAAAGGAGCCAACCTTGAAGACAAAAGTACAGAGATAGAAAAAGAAACCAGGACATGCATGGTGAAATTCCTTGAGCCTCTGTACCAAACTGCACCTGAGGCAAGTCCTATTTCCTGGAACTTAAGAGTTACAAGAGCCATAGATTTCCTTCCACTTCATCCAGTTTGGATTGGGCTTTCTTTAACCTGCAATTGAAAGAAAATTGACTGAAACCAAATCACTACCTTCAGAGGGCTTTACTCTCTAGGTGGGGAGAGAAACAAGAAAAGAGGTAGTTTGCTAGACTTTCATAGCTTCTCCATGAGACAAACATGGGCTGTGGGAGCCACCAGGGCTATGTATGAGTGGAGTGTCCCTCAGTCCTTAAGAAGAGGGTGGGCTGACATGTCGGAGTTGGGTGGTTGGTGTAATAGCAGAGAATACCTTTGTTCTCACGAGTCAACATTCTCAGTTACTTCCAGCCATTTACTACTTCCAGTCTCTAATGCCTTCTAGTACCTCTATCCCCTGCTTTTAGATAACTTACCTAATATCCACCCATCTATCTCTCTATCCATCCATCCACCCAAGCATAACTACAGTGTTGCCATCTCTTCCAGCAGGAAAGCTAAATCAGCATGGTCTATGTTTAAGGTCCTAGGAGTTCCATGCAGTTATGCCTTGGGTGCAAGGTCAATTCAAGACATCATCATGTAGGGCAGCCAACTCTCTCTACCTTGAAGCTGACAGAAAGTTTTTGGAGGGGAAATTTAGCAAGATCCAGAGGGAGGGACAGACAGGAGGGAGAAAACCAAGGTGGAAGGTCGTCTTCGTAGGACCACAGCCTCTGCTCTGAGTCAGGTGTTCTTGATGACAAGAACATCCTGCTGACTCTTCTGGGAGCAAGGAGTGGGGCTCTTCTTTTCTCGTGCAGTAAGTTTTGCATGAGAGATGTGAGGTTAAAAGGCAGACTTACTAATTATGCTGCTCATTCATACCTTCATTCAGCTCATTGCCAGTCCTGTGCTAGTCGCAGAGATGCCCGGGACTCATCCCTGCCCTCAAACAACAGATGGTCTCATACTAACAATTGCTTCATGCTGGGAGTCTTCTGTGGTACTCAGGTGAGTTCCTCTCTGGCTATCAGTCCTCAGCGCCAAACATGAGATGAATCCAAGTCTGGCTTCTCTCAGAGTTGAGGGTCCAGTCCTGATGCAAATAATACTAATAATTTCATTATTTTTGCTAATTCTGCCAAATCCCATTATTTTGGCACTTTACTTTCTAAATACAAAGTAATTCTTGGTTAATTTAGAAAATTTGGACTGCACACAGGAAAATACAAAGGAAATAAAAGTCAGTAACCCACTGCCAAGTGAAAAATCAAGTTAACATTTGGAAAATACATGTTTCTAGGTATATACACACACACACATTCATAGTGTTGTCTATATTGTTTTATGGCCTGCTTTTTTTCACTCAGCCATACATTATATTCTCTTATGTCAGTAAATATTCTTCTACAACTTTGTTTTAATTATTCCATAGTATCCCTTATTATGGATATTTCATAATTTATTTAGCCAACTGCCTGTGGTTGGATATGCAGGTTATTTTTAGTTTTCATTAACATAAATAATGCTTTATTGAATATACTTATACATACATAATTGCACATATATTCCCCTTGATCATTAAGACAAATTCCTAAAAGTAAAATTGCTGAGTCAAGGCTATGGATGCACATTTTTAAGGCTTTTGACAGATATTGCCAAATTGCCCTCTAAAAAGATTACACCGATTTAAGCTCCCTCCAGCAGTGTACAAGAATGCCCAATTCCCTATACTTGTTGTTGATTTAATTTGCATATCTTTGTTTCCAGTGAGATTAAATTTTTTCTTATATGTGTATTGTCTATCTGTAATTTTTCTTTCGTGAATTGCCTATTGATGTCAATTGCCTATTTTTTATGGGGGTGCTTATCTTTTCCTTTTTGACTTCTGAGAACTCTTCTTGTACATCAACCTTTTGTCTATAATATATGTTTATTATATTTTCCCCAGTGTCTCATTTGCCTTTTAATTTTGCTTTTGATGTTTTTTAACCCAGTGAGGAATTTGTTTTTAACTAATCAAATTCATTAATCTTTTCCTTAGTTTTTGCTTAGAAATGCTTGAATGCTTAGTAATGTGTAGAAAGGCCTAACCACCCCAAGTTGATATAAACGTTCTCCTAGAATGTTCTGCTCATTCTTTTACGGTTTAAATTCTTTTGTATTTAACCCTTTAACCACCTGAAATTATTATGTTGCTTGTTATGCAGTAAAGCTGTAATGGCTATAACTTTAATTATTTTCCCAAAGAGTTAAGAAACTTTCCCAATGCTGTATCACCCTTTCTCCCCTGTTTTGAAGCAAATCTATGGGTGTAAACAATACCTGCTAGCTCTAGAGATAACAGTGATTTATTTGAATGGAGTTGTAAACTGAAGATGTGGTGGGGGCATCTTTGCCTCAGTTGGGTCCCTGGAGTCTATGGCTATTTATCCAACAATATTTACGAAGTGCCTACAATGTGCACTCTGGGAGGTGCTGGGAAAAGAGGGGAGTAAGAGAACATTTCTGCTCAGTCTTTCTGGTGTCTGTACCAGATATGTAGGAGATGCTGTGGTGTATCATGCAGAGCCCTCTACAGGACACAGCCAAGGCACTTATTTACCGAGTGGTCAAGAATGTTACCTGCTGACAGCTTACAGTTCCCTCCCTAGAATTTCCCTCCTTCCCCCAAAGGGTACTGCCTGGCCCAAGTTATGTACACTCCCTGGGGACAGCCCAAATCCTACAACTGGTCTATGAGTAGAATCAAAGGCCCAACCCCCTTACCTTAATTCAGGACAACTCTGAAGGGCCACCCAGCTCCAGCGCTCCCTGTGGGAACTGCTGAGGTCTCCATTAAAACTACTACATCCCAACTCAACCTCTCTCTCTGCCCAGTCCTGTTTCCCTCATTTGTCCCCTTCCAGATGTTCTTGAAACCACTCGCTCCTCCCATACTCTGCACAATAAAGTCCCTGTATGCAAATTTCCATCTCAGAGTCTGTTTCCCTGAGAACCCCACCTGAGACAAGGTGCAAGGTTGTGGCTTTTGCAAGGCTGAAGAGGGGTGGATGAGAGGGTGACCCCTGGGCCATAGCAGGTTGGCCTGGGCAAGGCTCAACCCAGCAGGCTTGGCTCCATCATCTTCATCTTCACAAGAACTTTACACATCAGGCTGTATCTCTTGAATTATATAATGGGCTCTGAATAGAAGAAGGACAATTTAGCATGAAAATTATGAGTTTGAGTTTTAGCAACAGAATTATGGTTTCAGAAGTCCTCTCCTGGACAAACTTGCAACAATTAGGCCATGAGCTCAAGGACAAGATACTAATAAAATGTCACAATTTAATTGGCTTGTTCTCACCCAGTCCCACTGGGTGGTGCTTCATTTCCCTGACCTGAACAAAACTGGGCGCTTGTACTTTAAGCTTTAAACATAACTAGGCTCTTCTCTTAGGAATATTCACATAATTGCTTCCATTTCTTGGTGGCTGTTGACATGCATGTGTGTGTGTGTGTCCGTGAAGCATGTGTGTGTGTGTTTATAGGAGGCTAAAGCCTCAGACTGAGGACTAGACTCCTCTTTAGTTCAATCACCACAAAGGAGACAGAAACATCCCAGCTCCTCCTGAGTTTTCTACATGTAATCACACACTTTGCTTTTTCCCTTTTGGCTATAGCAAACCCAACTTTACAAGCCCAGACAATAAGATTTATTACCTCATATTACAATCAGGCCAGAGGCAGGCAAGCTCTGGGTTGATTAATTTAAAAGCCCACCGATGGCATCGAGGAGGACCTAGGCTTTTTTTATATTTTCTCTCTGCCATCCAGGATATCTTGGCTTCATCTGAAGTCTGATTTTCCCCATAGCTCTACAGCCATTTCCAGCCATCGTATCTAGACTTGTTGACACTGAGAAAAAGACAGCACCTTCTCTTCTCTGGGTATGCTTTTAAGAGCGGGTAGATCTCTCTTAGAAGCAATCCTGCAGATGTTCCTCCCAGATTACTGTCCAGAGTTGATTCCCAGTCATTGACAATGGGGATGGGATTAGTTTAGACTCATCAGGATGCACCACTCAGGGTTGTGTCCACTTCCTCCAAGGCACATGGGCAAGTTGGGGAAGGTGGATATCCAACAAAATAGGGGTTCCACTGAAAAGGAGGGAAGCAGGGGTGGGAACAGATATTGAGGGTTGGCAACCACCCTGTCTGCCACCCTTACCAGCTCACATGGGCAAAGGCAGAGCAAGAATGGTTTGCTTCAAGGCAGTGCAGGGGAGACCTGCAGGGCAGGATGGAAGGTAAGAGGAAAGGAGGACTCTCACATTTCACAAGTGAATCCCCTTGTGTCCAGCTGCTCTCCCCTGCTGTCTGCCCCTCACCAGCTGGGATCCAAGCCCTGCTCTGTTTGTCATGAAATCTTGAGCACATCCCATTTTGCTCCATTCTTAAAGATCTGTAGTTGAGTGATCACAGGAGGAACGGCTGGCTGGGAGTAAGACAAAGAAATATCTGAAGAGCGCAGGTCTCTCTGAGCTGCCCATAGATCTTCTAAGACTTTGAGGTGATTACAAACAGCCCCTAATATCTTTGGGCAGATCTTTAGCATAATCTTTAGACTGTGCTGGTTGGAATAAAGATTAGTAGGGATAAAAGACATCCAAAAGAGGAGAAGAGGGTGTCACAATCAAACACTGAGCTACCCTGTTTGTCCCTTGCCCATTGGCCCAGACAAGCCACATACTAGAGTTATTAAAACACTCGCAAAGATGGTTACCAAGCCACAGTTTGTTGATATTTAAGGAATCATGCAAGTCTGGAAGTGACTGGAAGTCTGGAAACAGGTAAATGTCATTCACATTTTCAGTCATCATAGGGGGCAAGTTCTATAAGCCATTATCTCAACCCAGAAAAGGGTATCCGGTGTCTGTAGGGACTGGACTGTGAGTGCCCAGACAAGGATGCGAGGCTCACTGCTGGTCTGCCTGGGTGCATTTAGAATAAGTCATGTCAGACTGACCTGATTTCCTTCTTTGCCAGGGCCACTTGAGTATTGAGAGCAGGGACATGTGGTAGACACAAGGTCAGTTCCTGCATGACCTAGCTCTACCCTGCTGCACACTACTGAAAGTCTCAAGTCTCTCAAGCCAGTCTTGCTCAATCTTGGCAGTGAATTCGGTGCTGCAGAGGTGTTAGTCTGGTCCACCAATTTTGCCTTCTGCTGGGATATGCCGGCACTATTCACCAAGGACCTGAAACCAAGACACTGGGCTTCTGAGCCCACGGTCATGCACTCACTCATTCACCTATTCAGTTTCTCATGCATCCATCTACTGCCAAGAATTTACAAGTGCTCCCTGTGTGATAGGAAGGAAGCTCAATTCTGAGGACAAGGTGAGTAATGAAACAGACACCGTCCCTCCATATGTGGCTCATGCAGTCCAGTGGGGGCAGAAAGGGAAGGTCACCACATCCACTCCCCTGCGTTTGGATGACAAGAGCAGTTTTCAAATTTTAGTGTACACAGAAATCGCCTGGGGCTCTTATTAAAATGCAGATTTTGATTAAGCAGACCTGGGACAGATCTGAGGTTCTGCATATTGGAGAAACTTCCAGAGGAAACTCATGTCCTTCATCCTTGGACCACACTTTGAGTAGCAGGAGACTAGAGCACCTTGCGGGGTGGAGGGTGCTAATTCTCTGTCCTAAGAAGGCAAAGCCCCAGCCATCTTGGCAACAGTCTGGTATCAGATATCTGCTCATGAGTGCCACCCTCCAATATGTCTAGAATATCTATCCATCATCAACCTCAGCAGGGAAATTACTTCACTCTGGCCAGGTTAGTACTGGTTCTCTGGAGGCTCTTTTGCACATGTGTAGAATCTCTGAGCTCCAAGAATAATGTGGGGAAGATGGTACAGAGCTTGGCAATTCAACCAATTTACATCTTTCTTTGCCGTCTGTGTCTGCTCATCCTCCTCCTCATCAATCATCCTCATTGTAGCTAACACTTAACCTCACACTTCCCACAAGCCAAGCATGTTCTTATCATATTACCATTGGCATTAACATATTTAAATCCCACAATCAAGCCTGTGAGGGAAGTACTGCTAATAGGTAGGTATGTATTAGTACTCCCATTTTGTTAGTTGGGGAATCTAGGCACAGAGAGGTTAAATAACTTGCCCAAATTCACACAGCTGACAAAAAATCTGGGCTTCCTGGCTCCAAAGGCCATGCTGTCAACCGTTAGCCTCTACATTTTATTGGAGACTATAAAAAGACTTTGCATTCTTCCATTGAGAATTCCAATGAAACAAGCCAAAGCTAAACAGGGGAGAACCTCTGATTCCTCTCTGACAGGTCTCTGCTGTGGCACAGCTTGGGAGGAGGAAGAAGAGGAGGCTGTGGACAGGCAGAGACAAGCAGAGTTGGGATGCATTGACTGGAATACTTTGGAATCTTGGTGAGATTAGATCTGCCTATTAAATTGTAACTTGTGAGTGGATTTGGGGAGCTAAGGGGAGGTGGAGGTGTGGAGGTGGAATGTGGTTGCTCTTGCATAAAGTATGGGCCGCACAGGAGACAAATGCCCTGGCTCTCCTTGCAGAAGCTGGAAAGTGATACAGTCTAGGTGTGCAAGACGGTGGGCACCCAGTGGTCCTGAGTCCAAATGGGTAATTCTCTTTTTTTACTCAGTGTGGGGACCACTGTAGGGGCCCCTGTGGGTAGATCTGACTGAAGAGGCGCCCTGGGGAAGCCAGCCACAATATCACTTTCTTCTCCACTCTAGCCTCTGCTTCCCAAACATTTTCTCAGTGTGGGATTGATGCCCTGGAGGCAGAGGGGGAACAGGAAATGAAAACCCCATGAAAAATGCAATGACTTCATTTTAAATGTATTAAAGAGCCTGCTCATTTATATTACTGTTGTCCCCAAACAATTTTATAAGCTTAACCTGACTTAAGTTTTGCCTTGGGTTTCCCAAACCAGCTTTGATTTGTGGGGATAATTCACGACTACATGGAGACAAACTTTGCTCTAAATATGCTATCCCTAGCTGAATCCTCACAAAGATCAGGCTGACGAAAGGCCCATCAGATCACCCAGGCCTCAGAGGCTGGTACTGGGGCCAGGTGAGTGCAGTGGTGTGGGCCATCTGACCCTGGATGTTGCTGCTGTACATGACATGAAGTGAGCCCAAATGCAGCACAACCCCCCAGATTCCTCTGACACTAGCATCCAGCCCTTGCTTACCCTGTAGGTGCATGCAGCCCTTGCTTAACCTTACACATCAGGGAAGAAGGCAATTTCAGGGATAAATGAGCCACAATTTTCCCCTTTCCTTCTAATGTTCCATGAGACCCAAAGTTTCTAACTTTGTGTCTCTGGAACTCTATTTTCTGCTTCTGAAAAGTGGAAGAAAACTTTTGCTTTTGAGTAGCGTTTATGAAGAGACAGAGGCTCCCCTACGTAAGCCTTTCTAAGCTTTGGGAAGTTGGGCCACTCATGTCCCCTCTCTGGGCCCTAGAGTCCTAGTCTGTAAAACAAGAGGATTGGGCTAGATGGCTTTCAAAAACACTCACCTTCATTGAATTAGTGAGCATGTCAGTTAATGGGAACTTCAGGTGGGGGTGGCAGAAAATGGGGCTGGAGAGGCAGTGAGGGAGTAGAAGGTGCTGGAGTTTGGGCTGGTGGGGTGGGGACTGGTGCAGCGACACTGCAGAGAAGTATATGCCCTATGAACCTGCAATCCCACATGGAAATTCTCACACCAATCCAAAGGGGACATGTACAATAATATGCATGGCACATGCGATTTGTCAGGGAGAGAGCTGGAGGTGAGCTTAGTGTCCGTGCAAGGCAGTGGAAGTGATGGAACTAAGTGTATGTGCACCAACATGAACAGAATTTAACACAGTGAATGAAAAAATAAGAAACACGTCAAGGTCTTAATACACTATTGCTTATGCAGATGAAAACAATTCTTATTTTCCAAAGGTTCATGCAAGCTCAAGGATACCCATACAACATGTGTGTGTGGCTGCCTATAATAGGGAGAATAGTGACAAAAGAGAATACACATCAATCAGAAAGATCCTGACATTAGTCCCCCACAGACCAAGGATTATTTGACCTTGATTAACTTGACCTTTTGCACGCCGGGTCCACAAAAGAGCTCCAAACAAACAAAACAAAAATCCTACACTAACAACTAAAAGCATTCCTGTGTAGGTGATGGGAAACAAAAGAAAAATATTTTTGTTCTTTGTTTCTGTTTCTGTAAGCAGGAGAGTGATAAAATTTTACTTATGTTTTAGAAAGACTTCTCAGGTGCTTATGAAAAGAAGGGACTCCGGAGAGGGAGGGTCTGGGGTTGGGGAGGCCTGTGAGGAGGCTGCAGCCAAGTCTAGGGGTCAGTGGTAAGGCCTGAATGAAGGTCATGGCCAGGTGGGGTTGGGATGGGGAGGGGCAGGTAAACCTCCACGATTAGGCCCTTTGAGAAGGGTACAGGCTTGTGAGCTTCTGGGTCACCTGGTGGGTCACAGAGGAGGCCAGTTCTGGTGTACGGGACAAGATTATGGACCCGACCAGACTTGGGCAGGGGCAGTAAGGAAGTAGAACCTGGGCGGACTACTCTGGAGTAGCTCAGTCCCTTTGGGAGAACACACAAGACCCCAGGGCCAGGAGGGCATCCCCAGAGGCTGAGCTGAGAGGTGCCCATAGACAGGGCACCTGGGGCTAGGAAACAGGGTTAGGTGCTGCTTGCAGGTGCTGTGTGGACAGGGAAGAGGAACTGGATTGGATTATTTTGTCCTTCGCCTGATTCATATTCTCCTTCTGACTCAGCCCATTCATCAAGCCCTATGTGACAGGGGCTTTCCATCCATTACCACATGTAATCCTCATGCCATCTTTACAAGGTTAGAGCTACAGAGGTCAACCTTGACCCTGGGCTTTTAACCAGATTCGCACCCTGCCCCACATAGGTGCCTTACCCAGCTCCCGGCAAGCACTGCGGACCTTTCTATCTTGTCCACTCTTTCCTTATGCCTTGCCTGGCTCCACTCCTCTTACCTTGCTTGTTTCTTGAACTCCACCCTGGAAAACATTGCCTCCCCAGCTCCCCAAAGGCACATCTTATTCCTATCATCTGGCTCCTCCCTATCCTGTCCATTTATCTCTGACCATCAAGACCCTGAAGCTTTTCTAGCAATTGTCAGTCAGGCAGGTGAATTGGCTCTTGTAAGGCCACACAGCCAGGGCAAGTGGGTTGAATTCAGGGGCAGTGACTCCAGGTGCAGCACTCTGGACACTCTCTGGGCTATGGGGAAAGAGAGCCAGGATGGCCCTGAGGTCAAGCTGCTGATCTCCAGAGACCCTGCTGTTTGCTCCCTGCCCGGATCCTGGGAGTCACTGGAAACAGAGCTCAGAGGAAATGTCTTTCCATGGCAGATGAGCCTCAAAGTCGATTTCCCAGGAGGAGCCCAACAAGGTCCTTGAAACGTGGACATCAAGGAGGAAAATCAATTGTCTTTTAAGTTTTCACCTTGATGATTGATCTGCTGCTTCCAGCCCCTTTTTTCTCTCTCTCAAGTCTGCAGACGTGGCCTCTCTCCTTTCACATTTTTCCCCTCTCATCTTTAAAGTGTAGGGTTTCCTGATTCTGATCTGAAATACACTGCCTCATGCAAACTGACCAGATATTGGTCACATGATTCCGAACTTTTTATTTTCTCTGAAGGAGGCCCTAGTTAGCCCATAGCAGGGACTCATGTTTGTCTGGTCCCTGCTATGTGCCGGGTCTTTTTGCAAGCATAGCATCACCTCATAGTTAATTCTCCCCCAAAGCCTGTCCAGATGGATTTTATTGACTCCAGATCTCAGATAAGGACACCGGAATTCAGGGGAGAGAAGCAAACTGCTTGATACCATACACATGGTTTGCAGGTGGTAAGGCAGAACTGAAACAGAAACAGTGCTTGTCTGCCTCCTTTCTCAGAACCAGGACTGAGCACCCCAAGTGGAATGGGCACTTCAGCTGGGCAGTGTTAGAATCTCCCTTGACCTTGACCACAAAGAGGTTGAGTTATTTAGGAAACCAGCTCCTAAAAAATAGAGGGCTGTGGGGTGCTGTTCATTCATTCAGTATATACTAAATACCACCTCTTTTCCCAGGCACTCTGCAGGGCACGGAGGGCAGATACATGAGCAATATAGAGATTCCTTTCTCTGCAGACATTATGGTCTAGTAGGAAAGCTGACTAAGAAAACATGACCAAGTGAGGTAAGAGCTGTTGTAGGGGAAGTACAAGGCATTTGGGAGTATACACCAAGGACTTCCAATCTCATTCAAGGAACAATTGGAAAAGGAGTCCCAAAGAAGAGGCTGATAATCTGAGATTACCACTTTGCTATAGAATGGGTAAGAGTTAATCTGGCCAAGTGGAGCAGTGGGATTGGGGCGGGTGTGCCCGTCGGAGTGGGCAACAACAATCACAGTGAAACTTCAATGTCTTCCACCATGAGCCAGGTAAGTCCCTTAGGACAGGGACTGTTCTAAGCACTTGACATGTGTTAAGTCATTTAATTCTCACAGAAGCGCCATGATAGAAAGTCCAGAGGAAGAAAGAGGTTTAGTAGGTCTGAGGCAGATGCTTAGGGAGAGAGGATGCTGCAGAAAAAAGCAGGGACATAGACAAAGTAAACAGGGTTGCCAATAAAATTCGAGATACTCAGTTTGAATTTCATATAAGCAACAAGTTTGTTTTTAATATAAGTATATCTCAAATATTGCATGAGATATACTTATGCTAAAAGAATTGATGTTTATCTGCAATTCAAATATAAATGGGTGTCCTAGATTTCTATTTGTTAAATATGGCAACCTTTGTTTGTGAGCCATGTTGAAGGGTTCAGCTGCTGGCCTCAGAGCAGTGAGGGCTCTTGGAAGGTTTTAAGGAGAGTGGCACGGCCAACTCTGTGCAGTAGAAAATCGCTTTGGCTGCATTATGGAGAGAAGCCCAGAGGCAGGGAGGCAGTTTAAAGAGCACAGTTCTAAGTCTATGGAAAGCACCTGTTCTCCAGGTCACAGCACACATCAGCCAAGCATGTTGCTACGTTTCCCATGCCCATCTCAAGTAGCCCAGGTGCTCACTAAGTAAGCATTGAGCACCTGCAACATGGAGATCCCAGAACGGCTTTTGAACCTGGTTAGACCAGTGCCACGATAAGTGATAGGCCCCTGAAGAGCCCAGGTAATGGGCTTCTAAATCAGGCCTTGGGCAGTGAGCCACAGAGCAAACCAAAGAAGGCTTTAGGGAGGCTTGAGCTGGGTTCTGATGGATGCATTAGGAATTCAGCTCTCTCTGCTACAGCTGCTAAAGTATATCCTAACTAACACTCTCTTAGACTGTGCCTGCTTCTGTACCCGTGGCTTTATGAGTTGGTCTGTGTGTAGTTGTATCTTCTACTTCATATTAAAGGAACATGTTTCCTTTTCCTGTGGCTATTGGCATCTTTCCATCAATCATATCACTGTCACCTTGAGACAGTCACACCCCAGGGAATAAGGGAAGGGTGTCCAAGCCATGGAAATGGCATGTGCACCAGTGTGGAGACAGAGAGCAGCATGATGCCTTCTGGAAAGTGTGAGGAGCTCTCTGGAATAGGAGGGGCTGGTGAATGAGGGGAACAGTAGTAAGAGCTGGCAAGACCAAGCTGGCAAGACCTAACAGTAGTAAGAGCTGGCAAGATCTGGAATTGGAGGGGCTGGTGGGTAAGGAGAACAGTAGTAAGAGCTGGCAAGCCCTAGGTCATGAAGAGCTTTGTGCCTTAAGACATGGAAACTTTCACTAAATACTTGTGGAGAGACACTGAAGGATTGCAAGCATACGACTGACATGATCAGACAGGATGGTCTCAGGAACCACTCTGAAGACAACTCTGGCTGTGTTTTGGTTGTTCTCAGAAGACAACTCTGGCTGCATTTTGGAGGGTGGTTTGAAAAGAATCTACTGCTGCTGAGAGAACGTGAGAGCACTGGGTCTTGGAAGGAGACAGCAGCAAATCAGAGGAAAGAGACTCTTCTCTGGGTGTGTTTTGGAGCCACCCCTTTTCGCATTCAGGAAAGAGAGAAACCAAGAGACAGAGAATGCCAGAGAAAGGGTGGGGCCTGTTCTGTCTGTATTTACAAGTCTGAATTCACATCCGTGGATTTTGAAGGTGTCTTTCCACCCAAGGACTTGAGAGCTGTTATAAGGCATAAAAGAGATTTCTCACTGTATTGGCTAAGCTTTTCCTGAAATCATGCTACGTCCAAACCCCCACAAATGTAGTAGCTGAAAACAGGAGTCACTGATTGGTACAACTAGTGGAACTAGAGCTGTTGTAAGGGAAGAGTATATATTTATTACGTTTATTTGGAGTTGCACCTATTTTCAAGCTGCCGGTCTGTAGATTAGCTAGAGTGCCCTTGCTTCAGACCCTAGGTCTGTAGGTCAACTGAAGAAATTCTGCCCCATGCATCTTATTCTGGAGCTCAGAATGTTCTTATCATGTAAGTTGAATGCTCCCAGAGGGCCAAGCAGAAAAGTATTAAGGTATCTCATCTTAACACTTGGACCTCGCTCCTTGCTACCCAGATTCTGTTGGTCAAACAAGTCCCATCGCCAAGCTTCACATCAAGGGGGTGGGAGGCTATATTCCTCTCACAAAGGTGGAGGAGAAATTACATGTTGAGCAAATATCTAACTATCACAGTTACTACAGAGGGGGACTTACTAACCCAAGGTCAAACCTGCCTGATCACAACAGAAGAAAGTGCCACACATGTGGTCATACCCTTCATTATGACGTGAGCGCTCTGTGCCTTGGGATTCCAGCTGAAGACCAGCATGCCCGCAAGAAGTCTAACCCTCTCCTGGTCTTTCTAAGAAAGGCATCTTGAATGAAGGCCAGAAATTAGGTAGGATCTGCATGTACTTTACAGGGGAAAGAGTATAGCAAAACTTGCAGCTTTATCATGAAGAGTATTCACCCCAAAATTAAATCATAGCCAAATGAATACTGAGGCTCGTCCACTAGAGATCTATTTTGATGGGAGGCAGAGGAGCCTATTGGGAAGTGAATCACCCCAAGGAAAGAATGGGTGAGATGCATAAAGTGGTGAGTGGTCCATGGGGCGATATGAGAAGGGGGAGCTCCTAGCAGAGTGACTCATCTATTGCTCAGTGCCACTCAATTTCATGAACCTCTGTCTGGGTACAGGGTGAAAGGACGTTCATGGAGAGTGAACAGCTTCACAGTGCTTTTGCTGTATGGTTTCTAGGTGCTTTGGAACCAGGACTTTTTACAGCAACAAGTGTGTATCAGTGTAAGTTTCAACTACATATAAAGACCCCAAATGAAAGCAGCTTAAACAAACTTGTGTGGTGGTTCCTTGGTGTCATTATGGAGCAAGACTGTGTCATTCTCAGTAGGTGACTTCCATTCTCAAGGCCAGCTCATGGTCTAGGAGGGCTGCTGGAGCTCCAACCATCACACCTGCATTCCAGACAAAGTAAGGAGGAAGGGAAAAGGAAGTGAAAGGGTATACCTTCATTGTTTTAAGATGTCTTTGAAGTCTCACGTTGCATTTCTGCTTCAATTCTATTGGTCAGAACTTACTTTCACAGCTGCTTGTAGCTGCAAGGACTACTGGGAAGTAGGATCTTTTCACTGGATGGCAATAAGTCTAGCTAAAAATTTAAGATTTTCAATAAGAAAAAAATGATAGTGGAAGACCACAGCATTCTCTCCCACAAGGAGAAAACACCAATGTAGATATCCTTGATGTTGGGTGGCATTAACTTGCTCTAGAGTTGGCAGTTCCTCTGGTTGAAGCACTGGTATCTGCCGTATTGCTGCAAGAACTGATCAGTTTGCTACTGTGAATATCAGAAGTCATCCCATAGTGACCTAGAGTGGAGAGGAGAAACAGGATGCACATTGATGGTTGCCAAGAAAAATAATATGTAGGCACAATCGGACCCTAGCAGGAGGCTCCCAGAGAGCCCCACCGAGTCTGTTAGGATTAAACTAGGGAACTACTGTATGTGCCTGAAATTGTGAGTTCCTTCCTATCCCAGATGGGATAATCCAGGAGCCAAAAGTTATGAGCCTTAGTCTAGACCCATTGCTGTGTTTCCTTGGTCACACAGCATCCCACACCCTCCACCTCCCTGTGCCCCTGCCCCATAATTCTGCCCCGGATTCTTCACTGTCTGTGTTACTGAGCTATGGAAATTGTGTTCTGATCCACAGGGACTTCTTAAAGCTAAGAGCTTCTTGTGGGACCTGAAATTGTCCTCACAGTGATTTCATTCAAAGTAATAACAGCATCAGATGCTATAGAAATCTCATCCTCATGATCATAAGCATTTATAATAGCCCATCATTGAGCAAGTGCTTACATTGGAGAGGAATTTCCATGGAGAAAGTCGATCTTTCCAAAAATGTTAATTTTTTGTGTGAGGAAATTAAATGAGATGCCAAATTGTCTCTGTCATTATGTTGCCCTTCCCTCCTGAGCATTTACTGCTCTGATCAGTATGACATTTTCACATGCAGCAATGCAGATGGGGAAATTTGCCTCCTGATGGAGACCCCTCATTTGCCCATTAGCCAGCTCTGCATAAGCAATCAATCGCCTGCTCCAATTTTAGGGCAGTCAGAGCATCAGAGCAGAGTTAGAGATCTCCAGACCCTGAAGATCTGGCCACCTTTTGAGAGGTGAACAAGGGAAGCTCTCCCCGTAACAACAAATAAAATCAAGCCTCTGGGAGACAACAGTCTTGGAATATGTGCATGAGGAATTTGGGGACACCCAAGTCCTGACTTGTCTTGTTCCTTCATGAAAGACCAATCCCGGGTGATGTCCCTTACTCTCCTTAGCTATGGCTGGCTTCTCTTTACGATCCATTCCAGTTTCACACCCTGCTCTGCTGCCTCAAGCTACCTTGGGAAACACCCACCTAGGGGACCCTGGTGAGCCAGCCCTGAGCACACCCCAGCTCTCTCACCCACTCACCTCAAGAGTAAACCCAGGCATCCAGCAAGGGGTCGTGTACACAGGGTTATTGCACCCCTTGGGTACTGTAGTCATCTCCTCTAGGGATTACAAGCTTCTCAAAGCCCTAAGAAAAATATGAGGCATGAAAAAGGAAACTATTGACTTCAAAATGAAAAAAGAAAGCAGCAAAATCAAAATGAATGTGTTTATGTAAATGCCTATGAAGTATAGCATTATGTCACCTTCATTAATTGTTAAATTTAATATTCATAAAAATGTCTTTACACTTAAAAGCTATTTGCAGGTTAGTTACTCAGAGCCAAATTATTTTAAAAGCAAAATCATAAAAATCCCCTCAATTTTTACAGCAAAAATTTATATTTGATGTGGGATGTGGGTATATTTAAATATGTTTGATGTGGTGTGGGGTAGAACCTCCAGAAATGTGCACTTAGGGCCTTTGAAAGTCATAAAATGCCTGTGAGTATGTGGTCTTGAAAGAATGTAATGAAATATTAAAGAATCTGTTAGATTGTACACCAAGCCATCTAAATGCCACTATGGCAGTGGTTACACAAATTATAGCAAACAATGGATTAGCATGCAACCATTAAAAAGAATGAAGTGAACTTATATGTGCTAATAGAAGAAGATATTCAAGATACACTGTTACATGAACAAAGAAAGTTGCAGAACGACATCTACAGTGTGTTTTATTCTGTGTCAAAATACTTTCTGTGTGTGAGTACACAAATAATTATGTAAATGTATGCTGTTATATAGGTGAAAAAAGTGTCAAAGGATCCACAGAAAGAGCAGTAATTTACCTCTGAAGATCAGAAATGAGGGGTTAGGAGATGGGGGACATCTATTTTCATGTTTATAATACTCTATAATATTTATCTAAATTGCAAGAAAAAAATGATAGGTGCATATATTACTTCTATAATTTTCAAACAACAGCAACAAAATTGCAGAAGGGAGTGATATGCAGGAAGACCTGAAAGGGAGAAGTTTGCAAACGAGGAACTGGCACTGTTGATCTAGCACCGTCCATGGGCTACACCTCCGAGCATGGCTGACGTGGCTACCGAAGTGAGCAGAAGGGGCATCCATGGATGGTTCAGCTGACTCAGCAGAGCCTGGAGGACACAACCCTGCAGATTTTTGTCCTTGCTTTGCTCAAATTCCATATGCATTAAGCAACCTTCTGATTCAATGTAGTTTCATGATGCAACCAACATTTATTGAGCATTAATTGTATTAGTTTTCTGCAGCTTCTTTAACAAATAGACACACATTTAGCGTATTTTCTTACAGTTCTGGAGGTCGGAAGTTCTAAATGAGTCTCACTTATTTAGGTCGGAAGTTCTAAATGAGCTAAAATTAAGGGGCTAGCAGGGCTGCATTTCTTTCTGGAGGGTATAAAGGAGAATCCATTTTCTTGTCTCTTGCAGCTTCTAGAGGCTGTATTCCTTGGCTGGTGGCTTGTTTCCATCTTCAAAGCCAGCAGCGCTGCATCTTCAAATTTCTCTCTGACTCTGATCTTCCGCCTCCCTCTTCTGTGTATAAGGACCCTAGTGATTACATTGGGCCCCCCTGAAAAAAATCCGGATGCTCTCCCCTTCTCAAGGTCTGAGGATTAGCAACTTTAATTCCACCTGCAAATTTAATTCCCCTTCGCCATGTCACTCAACATATTCACAGCTTCCGGGTACTAGGACATTTTGTGGGCCATTATGCTGCAACCACACCAATTAAACGCTAAGTGCAGCTCAAGAATCTAAGAATACAGTAGTGAGCCAGATACAATCCTTGCCCTCAGGACCTCTTACTCTAGAGAGGAGGCAGGCAGCATGCTGGATCCTCCAGGTAGACCTGCAGGTAGGAAGGGGTGGCCAAAACCAGTTTTGAGATTTTTAGCTCACCCTCCATCTCAAAGGTATAATGGGTCACATTTGAATGTCGGAGGATGAGAGGTGGGGTGATTTATTAAAGAGAGCTGTCTGTGAACTGTGTGCCCACCACCACCCCACAGGGAAGGGAGGTACAATCCCCCTCACCTTAAGCCAAGTGGAGAAGGAGGCTCCGAGGGGACCTCTTGGAAAGCTTGATATGTGTGCCTTGGAAATAGAGGGAGACAATGTTCTGGTTTCTGACACTCATTTAAAGCAAAAGCTCAAGGCTCAGCTGATGGGGTGAAGGAGGCTGCGCTGGGGATACCAACAGAGCAGAGTGACGTGGAGGCCAGGTTGCCCAGGAGTCAAGTGGACTCACAGAGACAACTAGTCTGGAGACATCGTCAAAAGGAATTTTCCCAAGAAGGGTCCTTGAGTTAGCATTGTACATTACTCAAGCCCAGAGAGAATCCATGCCAATCACTGCCAGTCCAGTAAGGCCTGACCTTTCTCTCTCTCCCTCTTCCTGCTTATCCCTGAGGAGTCACTGACAGCCTGGGGAGGGGTGAAGGTGGAGGGAGGGATGGGCAAAGAGAGGAATGGAGAAGCAACCTCTCACCCTTCTGCCTCTGCCCCCACTCCCCCAAAGCAGGCTCAATCTCAGGAGAGGGAAGAACTGTCACTTTAAATACAGCTTTGAGATTTAACTACTACACTGCACTGGATATGGTAACTACTGAAACCAGATAATTTGGTGCCCGAAGGTGACCACAAGACTTTATTATAAAGGTGTGACCAGCCCACATTAGGAGATCAGCTGAAGATTTCACCCAAGAGGTAGGGAAGTGGAATTTAAAAGGATAAGTTTAAGCAAAGGGTGTTTTTTGCTTTCACCCCAGCATCCCGCTCATTCGGTGGAAGCATCGCAGATGCTTTGCTTCTCCTCTGAGGCCAAAGTCCACGCTGAACTCCAGGCCACTCGGCTGAGGCCTTGGCATCCAGTTCCCTTCTTGCCAAAGCCTCCCTCTAGGGTTGCCGATCCCCATCCTAGATTTTCTACTTCTTGATTGGTGCTCACCCACTGACTGGCTCCTAATGGCCCAAATCCATCCTGCCCTCAGGTTTCCAGATTTCCTTCAGTAGCCAGGTTCTAACCCCACCCAATTTCTCCCCTCTCACCCCACCATGCTCCAGGCTGTCCTTCAGATGCACCAGAGTCTGTCTGGTTTGGACAAATAAATCTGTGCTTTCTCTCTCGGGCCCTCGTGACCAAGGCGGGAGCATTTGTAGTTGCTCCAGTGGTCTCTGGAGTACAGACTGAGCCTGCTGAATGGTTAGAGTAGGGAGAAGCTGGGCTCCTGCTCTGAGGGGCTTCCTTCCAGGTGTCCAGGACATGGGCACTTGTAAGCCTCCTGTTAATTGCACCTCTGGCCTGCTTGTGAAAATACATCCAGGGGAGAGAAGGGTTGAAATTCTCAATGGATTCACAGTTTCACTGTCTAACGCTGGTTTGCCTTTGCAGTCTTACATCTGACCACACATACACCTGCAGCCTCACTGAGTCCACACTGGGCAGCTGTCCGAAGACAATGTCGATGACAACAACAGTAGCTAATACATGTATAGAGCTTACTGTGTGCCAGACACTCTTCTGAGCTCTTTATGTGTATTAACTTCTAAAATCTCCACTCCTATCCAATTGGTACTATTATTGTTTTGTTTATAGGTGAAGAAGCTGTGGCACAGAGATGTTAACATGCCCAGAGTCGCACAGCTAGTAAGGGGCAGAGTCTTGTTCCAGCCTTCACATTTTGGCTCAAGTTCTTCTGCTTAACTGCCATGCTCTGCTATTTGCCTTTGCTCATACTGTTCCCTGTGCCTAAGGCGCTCTTTCCCTTCTTATTCTCTCCTTGAAGTCCTACTCATCCTTCAAGGTCCAGCTCAGAGGTGTTCTTCTGTCTTCAATTCCCTGGTCCCCGCCCCCATCCCCTGAGGAAGACTCCTCGGCCTGTCTGGGCTGTCAGTGCACTTGCTACCCACTTCAGTTAGAGGAGTGCATTGCACTGCCTGCATTGTTGGTTCCCAGGTCTGTCTTCTCATGTGGATGGTAGCTCCAGAGGCAGACACAGTTTCTTTGTAGCCTCGGAACTTATTGCAGAAGTGCTGATGGACTGAAGTGAATTTTCCCTGGGTCTCACACCTATGATTGTATCCCATCCCCCTGATTCATGCAAGTTGATTGTGAAGATGTGGGCTGTTGGGCTCTTTGACATGGCTGGGGCACCTTGAGAAGAGCTCAGAGTCTGGATCAAGAGCTGAGGCCAGTGCAGTGTTTAATGCTGAAGGGCTACATGGAGCCTGATGGACTCCTTTCATCTCCTCCCCTGGGGACCTGTGTGCTTCAGTTTGCTTTGTTCTCACAACCTCAGCGAAAGCCTGGCTAGCCCGGCAGGCTCAGGGGACTGTTAGGCACTAACATGTCTGTGTATATTGAAAGTGTCAACTGGAGCCAGGTGCGGTGGCTCATGCCTATAATCCCAGCACTTTGGGAGGCCAAGGTGGGCAGATCACTTGAGGTCAGGAGTTCGACACCAGCTTGGCCAACGTGGTGAAATCCCATCTCTACTAAAAATACAAAAACTAGCCTGGCATAGTGGTGTGTGCCTGTAGTCCCAGCTACTCGGGAAGCTGAGGCATGAGAATCACTTGAACCTGGGAGGCGGAGGTTGCAGTGAGCCAAGATTACACCACTGCACTCCAGCCTGGGTGACAGAGTGAGATTCTTTCTCAGGATAGATAGATAGATAGATAGATAGATAGATGATAGATAGATAGATAGATAGATAGATAGATAGATAGATAGATAGATAGATAATAGATAGATAGATAGAAAATGTCAACTGGGCTCTTTACCCCTGCCCAAACTGCTGCCTCCATTACTCAGAATCCTTGGGAATGAGGCCATTGTCCGAAAGGCCAACTCTTGGCCAAGTATCCAACTGGAGAAAAATCCCTAGTCCAGGCTGACTAGGAAAAAGGGATGGGGCTGAGGCTGAAAGCTATTGCATAAGTTGGCAGTAGGGGAGCTCCAGTATGTTCTTTTCCAAGGCCCTCTACAGGCATCCCTGGACACCTCAGGCTTCTCACTTGCATGCTAAAAGCAGAATCACTTACTATTGCCACTCATGTATTTCATAGAGCCTCAGAACCAGAATCAGACTGCAGGCAAGGCAGTGTCCAGCTGCCAACTCCTCATTCATACTAGATGTTCAAAGCATGAGGCATCTGTGGGAGAGTCAGGTAAATCAACCCTGTGAGCAGCTGCATACAGGGGTCTGGGCCAAGGCCAGGGAAGAAGTGGGACCCTTCAGCTGTACACTATCCACAGGATGCACTGCTAGCTTATCCATGGACCCTGGAGTCTAGCAGAAGGGTAGAACATGCACACACATTGCACATACACACATGTTCCCATACACATGCACACATCACTGGAAGAACTGTCTGGTGGCACAGCCTGGGAGCTCTGAGGAGGAGGCAATAGTATGTGCTGGGAATGCCAGGGAAGATTCCTGGAATAGTGGGCTTGGTGGGTAGGTGGAGCCAGGCTAAGGAGAATAAAGAAGCTGAGTGCCATTTAGAGTGGCTGCGTCTCCT
Organism: Homo sapiens; assembly: GCF_000001405.40. Taxonomy (NCBI): domain Eukaryota; kingdom Metazoa; phylum Chordata; class Mammalia; order Primates; family Hominidae; genus Homo; species Homo sapiens. The sequence goes on from NC_000001.11 coordinate 34,372,578, forward strand.
GCCCATTCATGTTTCAGCTCAACTGTCACCTGGTATGGCTTTCCACTGCCTCCCTAGAAAACAAACCCCCCTGTCACTTCCCATCCCATTACTCTGTTTTATTCTCTTCTGAGGACTTACCCTATTTGAAATTATCTGTTTTTATTTGCTTGTCGACTTGTTTGTTTATATGTTTACATGTTTATTGTAAATCTAATTCCATCAGGGTGTAAACCTCCATTCAGGCAGGGACTTTACTGTTTTGTTCATCCCTGTATTCCCACTGCCTGGTACATTTCAAGTGTTTAGTTTTTGAGTGAATAAATGAATGCATGAGCTCATGAGTGGAAAGATCAAATAGAAACATGCACAACTATACTGCCAGCAGGAGACTTTTCTGTGCTCCCTTTGCTTTATTTGTGAGAGAGGCAGCCTTTAATTTTGCTGATCTGAACCCCCACCCCTTGAGATTTATGAAGCCCTACCCGCTGCCTGTGAGCCATGGCCTTAGGAATAGCTGTGACAGATCCACCTGTGGTCATCACTGTGGCTGCATGCCCCAAACCAGCCAGCCTAGACAGACACCCTAACATCCACTTCTACTTTTAGGTCTCTCTATAGCCCAAATCACCTGCTGCAATAACCTGATCAGGAACTTGGGGGTTCTTATTTCCTATTAGTGAAAATATTCATTTGTGGAAATTCTGGAGACAATGCCATGCATTTGTCACTTTTATCCCGGCTGGAGTGGAGCTGGAGGCATTCAGACATATCAATATGCAACCATGAATATCAGGACATATATCTTTCGCTGGGAAAATGTACAAGGGGCTTCAGCCTCAAAATAAAACTCTTAGCCAGAGGGAGGACTTAGTGATCTGAGGAATGTCTTTTAAGCCTGAGTCTCTCTGGACCAAAGGGTGGAATTATTACAAGGTAAATAAATCAGTCCTGTTCCTCTTCTAGGATCAGGTAGCTTTGAGAACTTTAGTGACCCCAGAAACCTTGGATAAACCATTAGAGCTTGACTGTAAATCTGAAAGCAATCCTTCTTCTCTTTTAAAAAGAAAACCTTTGAAAATGATGTCAATTATCCCCGCCTTAAAATAAAATTTTATTTTATTCTATAAGTGCATGTTCATTGAAGAAAATTTGAGGACAAAGGATGACAAAAAGAAGGAAATTATCATAATTCTATAACCTAAATAGAGAAAACCATGCTAGCAGCTTTCTTTCTTCCTCTCTCTCTTTCTCTGCTTCTTTCTTTATCCCTTTGTCCTTTTTTTCCTAGGGAGATACACATATATTATATATGCTTTTCTCCAAAATCATATAGCCATATGCTTAGTACCGTGTTCACACACAGACTTACAAATGTACTGTGAACATTTAGTGATTTCTGTCTGTATTCTTTGAGAAATATGGTTTTAAATGGCTTTACTACATTCATATTATTTTTGTTCCATGATATGTATAATCATCCTCTTTTGCTGGGCATTTGAGTTGTTTTAATCCCCTATCTTCTCATCTGTAAAACAGAGATAATAATGGGATGTACCTCACATGGCTGTTTGAGGATAAAATGAGATAATGCATGTGAAAGGCTTGGCAGAGTGCCTGACCATTTTACATGCTCAATAAATAAATATTAGATTTGCCTCTTATCATCCATTTTGACCCACCTTAAAAATGCTGTAAAGATCACTCTTGTAGTTAATTTTAATGTAAATTTCTGAATGTTCCCTTAGAATACATTCCTAGGGAGAGAATATCTACACCCAAGATTATAAATATTTTTAAGGGTTTTGATATAGGAGTACCTGTTTCTTGTACCCTCTACCCAGCACTCAGTAATATATGTACTTTAATCTTTTTCAATTTGATAGACATGTTATTTGAATTTGAATATCTTTGTCTACTAGTGAAGTGGAATTTTTTTCATATGTTGCTTTGCCACTTGTGTTTCTTTATTTGTAATTCATCAGTTTGTGTGTTTTGTCAAGTTTTTTCCTGCTGAGTGCTTACTTTTGTCCTAATTGATATTAATTTCTATATAGTCAGGACATTAACCTGTGTGTGTGTGCATGCATGTGTGTTTGATATCATTTTCTGGTCTTGTTTGTTCTCCTTTAAACTTGATTTATGAACTTCTTGGTAAAGAGAACTTGTTGTCTAATATTTATGTAGTCAAGTCCTACATTTTCTTAAATTGCATTTTTTTTCTTCCTTTGCTTTTTGGTTTAGAAATCCCCTCTTCACCCAAAGATCAAGCAAATATTTATCCTGGTTTTACCACTGTTTTATCTCAGTTACTTTGTACTTTTATCTTTTACATTTAACATTTGAACTTCATCTAGGTAGTGGTTATGATGTAGTGATCAATTTTGTTAATTTCCAATAATTAGCAACTTACTTCAGCATGATAATCATCTATTCTTTACCCAGTGTCATGAAATACTACCTTACTTACGTAGGTCTATTCTGAGGGTTTCTAGTATGTTGCAGTGATATTTTCATTCTTTCACCTATACCATACTCTCTTAATTAATGCACCTTTAAAATATTTTTAATATCAAAAAATAAGTGCCTCCTTTATTCTACTGCTGCAATTTTTATTTGGATTTTTCCCATATTTATTTTTTCAGAATAACTTAAAATTCATTTTGCCATGGTTTAAAAGATTCTATTTGAATGTTTATTAGAATTTTGTTTTATTTTTGAATTAATTAAAAATAAATCAAATCTTTAAAAAGTTGAGACTTCTTATCAAGGAACATGGTATATTTTGACATTAATTCACTTCCTTTCATGTCCTAGAGCAGGGTTTTAAATTTTCTGTGATATAAACTTGGACGGACTTCAATTCATCATTTAATTGGGAGTCTTTTAATTTTAACAAGAGAGCTTAGCTCATTTATATCTGTTGTCACAATAAAAAAAGGTGTCTTTGTTATTTTAAGCTTTTGTTTTTATGCTTGCTTACTGTTTTTTTTTTCAATTTTTTTGTGGTTGCTCTATGGAAATACATTTTCTGTGTATTTGCCTTTCCTTTTGCCTCAGGAATTTGGAGTTTATATCCTGTTTTTGTCCTAAAAAGTTGTTTTTAATTTAAAAATGACTATTCTCTCTACTTCATGTCAGAAACCTTTATCAATACTTACGAAAGAGAAGAAATCTAGGAAACTTCTGCTTCCCTCCTATTACTCCCTTTTCTCATTTAAAAGAAAAAAGAAATATAGATTATTAGAGCTGGGTTAGCATTAACTTATTTTATGGTTTTTAAACAAAATATTGCAAATTATGAAACTCCATTAAAGATCATCATTTTGCCTTGACTCCATTGCATAGTTTATTCTACGGTTCTTTAAATTATGGCTTCCGCAGTGTTAAATTCTATCTATAATTCATTTCTTAAGCATTAAGCCATATCTTCAAGTGATTCTTTTTATTGCAGCCCCATGGCAAGTGTACTCTGAGCCTTTCATGTATGAGAAAACCTCCCCGCTGCTCTCACAGGAATGATAATCTGGAACGACAATCAGAATTCTCCATCACACTTTTCCTCTCGTATTGCTGCTTCTTGTCTAGTGTTTGCTTTTGTGGAGAGATCCAAAGCTGGTCTGATTTTCTTCCTTTGTAATAAACTTCCTTTATTTTCTTTTACGTTTGGCAAATCATTTTCCTTCTCTCTGAAATTCAATCTTTTCCCTGAGATGTTTTTAGTTGTCAGTCTGTTTTCCTTTCCTGTGGTGTAGTAAGTCCTTTCAACCTGCAGAAACAGCAGACAATGTGTTCCGATTGTTTTTCTAAAAAAGATTAATTAATTCCCCTTCATTTGCTCCAGCTTCACCTACTCAACTTCCTATATCTGTCTTGAATTTACTGGCCCTGTGATTGATGCCTCTTTTTTTCAAACCTCAATATTTTCACCTTTCATTTCTTTTCTTTTGAAATGAGGGAGAATTTCCCCCTTCTTGCCTCCCACTTTGCTGTTGGTTTCCTCAAGAATCTAACTTGCTGTTCTTTGCCTTCATTGTAATCACTAAATTAAGCAGTTGTGTTCCATTTTCATGAACTTTCTCAAAAAGAATAACGTGCATTGGGTGCTTCTTGTGTGCCTGACGTTGTGCCAAGTGCTGTTCACACATTGTTATCTTGTTTAAGCTTTGCAATGCTCCATGAAGAAGGTGCTATTTTAAATCCCCTATTTATGGGAGATTGATGGGCTCTAGAACTTGTCCAAGACCACAGAGCCAACAAGTGTGGGGCCAGAATTCAGCTCAGCCTCCTCCCCCTCACCCTGTGTCATCTCCTAGTCTAGTCTGTCCTAATTTGTCCTCTCTTCATACCTTTCTGGATGAGTTTCTGCTTTAGATTCATAGATGCAATGACATTTGGAATCTCTTTGAGAGGACAATTAAAATTTGTCTAAAATTATCTCTTGCTTCTTTCAGTAACTTTACTATTTAGGGAGACATGTTATCCAATGTCTCAGATGGTCCTCTTCTTTTGAACTTCAGTTTCGTTCCTCATGTCTGGTTATTTTCTGTCCCTTCACCCTGCCATGGGAAAGTTCTGGCTGAGACTGACAGGGTGGTCTTTGTTAAAATATGTCAGGTTCAGACACAAGGGAGAAGAGAGAAGATTAGGTTCACTGAAAAAGTACTGGATGGTCCATACTCAGACTCAGCAGTTTGGGGTAGGAAGGAGGGAGATAGGGGAGTCAGATGCTGTGAGGTCCTTTGCCTAAGAGAGGTGGCCTGGCTGTTTCTGGTGAGGCAGGAGGCAGTGGTTCTTTCTTCCCCTATCCCTGTCAGGAACTGGGGTCACTACAGCTCCCAGCCCAGTGAGTCCCTGTGCCCTGGGGCACTTCCCTAAGCCCTGGCTGGATCCATCCATGCCCCTGGGCATGCCCACACCATCTTTGCTTCTGGGATTTCCCTCTGAGATGTTGGGGGGCAGGGGTGATAATAGTGGAGTTCTGCCAGGATCTCTTTCTTTAACTTCATGGGAGCCCCCCAATCCATTTTCTATAGACTGGGCGCATGTCAGGCCACCCCAATCTCAGAACCTCTCTGGAATATTCTTCCCCTTGCCCTTCTCAGGACTGACTCCTTCCTGACATGCAGGTATTAGCTCAAAACTCACCGCACTTGGAGAGCTTTCCAAACCACCCTGGAGTAGCCTGCCTACCCATGTGCGTTTCCCATCACAACTCACAGCACTGCTCATTCTGAACTATCTTGTTTATGTACTTGTGTACTAGTTTTCTGCCTGTCTCTCCAAACTAGAATAAAATCTTCATGAGAACAGGGATCTTGTCCTTCCTATTCTCTTCTGCGGATCCCTAGTACTGAGAGCAGTGCTTGGCACATAGGCAGTGTTCAGTAAAGAGTGGCTGGATGAGCAAATAGATGTACCCCATTCTCTTGCAAACAGTCTGCCCTCATTCCCTCTGAACTCGTCTGCCTCCATCTTTCAAAAATCCCCTAACATTCTTATCAGCTTTGCCCATGTTACAGCACCAGTGTACACCCTCCCCTGCTCTTATATTCCACCAGTAGTTTTAACCTGACCAGGGTGGAGGGCTGGAGGTGAGGCAGGTGGAATCTGTGATGAGAGCTCTGGCTTTCCTGGAAGTTCAAGTTGAATTTAAATCAAACCCTTCCTCTCTATGCCTGGCCTCATAGGTCATGTTCAAGAAGTCAGTGAGATCATTGGGGAGATGGATGAAGCACAGTTCTGCCTGGAGTGACATCTGATGGGCCAGGTGACTTCTAGGAAGGCCCTCCACACTCAGGCTCCCTGTTACTACTCTCCAGTCGGGAGGGTCCCAGCGGCTTTGAGGAAACCATCACCACAGCGTGACATCTCATCAGATGTACCCAGTATGTGGGTCACCCACGAGAAGTTGATGATCCCCTCTGCTCTGCACCCTTCCCAAGTTAGAACCTGCCCTCCATTCCCTGAAGTCACCTGAGTTAGGGTCCTTTGAGCAAGTATCCCAGGGAGGCTCAAGCTTAGATGCAGGGTTTCTGCTCCACCTGGCACGTACAGAGTGGAGCTGGGCACACATCTGTGTAGCCCAAATAACAAATTCACAGATTAACAAACTCTGAGCTGAAGGGACCTTGCCCATCTTGCCCAGGCTCCTCACTTTATAGATGAGGCAGCTCCAGCCAAGAGAGGTAAAGAGACTTCCCCTAAGGTCATATGATGAGCAAATGGCAGAACCTCCACTACATCTTTAGAGTCCAGATTCCAGTCTAGGACATTCTCGCTCAATTGCGCCTCAGTTTTCCCAAGGATGTAGGATTCTAAGCTAGGTAGAATGGAAAGCAGTAATTGTTATCTCCACCCCTCCAGCCTTGCTACCCAGAAAATTCATTCCCCAGGAAGCAAGTGGGTCATATTAACCCTATGTTGCTCTGTTCCAAGAAGACAGAATCCCTTGCAAGGAGGGGGAGAAGCCTGCCCTGACACTACGGGATGCTGTGGGGGAAGGGACGTTGGTTATCACTTAAAGCCTGCTGTTCCGGAGTGGCCTCTCCTGTGAGGGGCCGACTCACCAATGCGGGGAGGTTTGGACTCGGTCTGGGCAAAGCATGATTAGTTCAGTGTTCTGACTCATGCAATGATGTCAGGACCATTGCAGGGCACATAATCAGGCACTCCAGAGAAGAAAAATGGCCACGATTACCAGTTGGAGAGGAATATTTCAAACACCTTAAGTCAATAAGGCTTAAAACTGGGGGCTGTTTCTCCTCCTTTCTCAAGGCAGAAACTGTCATGGAAAACCCCAGTGCTATAAAGTGCACCCTCTTACAGGAGCAAGTCCAACAGGATCTCAGGAGATGAACCCTGGGAGGAGCCCCCGGTTAGGAAGCTTTGCATTTTAAGCGGGGCCTGACTTCACAGCCCACGGCTGGCAAGGCCCATCTGAGGAGAGCAAGCTACCCATTAGTCTCTATCACAACATTTCATTTGAGGGTGTGCCAAGGAAAACCACCTGATTGGCAAATAGTAAACTCACTTAATAGCCTCTCTCCCTGCCAGACATAGATTAAAAGTGAGATTTTTTTTGCCTAAATCACATTTTATTTTCTCACCAGCTGCTAACTCTCTGAGACAGATTGGGAGATAAATTATCACAGCAGTGAATGAATCTAATTTTTCAATATAATTCACGGTAATTCTATATTTTCCACACAAGATGGAAATAGCACTGGCTCTTTGCCAAGAGTCAAACTTTCAAAAAAACACAATATCCTGGACTCCCAGAAGTCTATGAGTTTGGAAGGTACAGAATGAGCAGCTGACGGAGAGAAATCTTGTTGGCTTGAGCAAGGGACAGGGGACAGGGATGAGGAAAGGGGTTAGAGGGAGGAGGAGGGAAGATGGCAGAAGGAGCAGGGCCGGGAGACAGAATGTACTCAGACGCCACCACCCCTTCCTTGGCTCACAGCAATTCAGCTCCATGGGCTTCTCTGCGCCTCCAACATTCCTGGTTTGTCTCTTCTTTCTGGAATGTTCTTCCCCTGGCTCTTCACATAGTTCATTCCTGTTCTTCATTCAAATTATGACTCAGATGTTCCCTCCTGAGAGGTCAACCTTGACCACTCAGTAGGAAATAGCTCCCTCGCAGTCAGGTCCTCTTCTGTGACCCCATTTTGGTCCACTGTCTGAGATGCTGAGTTTATTTTTCTTTGCTTGGGTATGGGCCCCTCCATAGAATGTCAGCCTCACATGAGGAGGGGGCCTTCTTGGTCTTGTTCAGTGTCTGGCACAAAGCGGGTACTCCATAAATATTTGTGGACTCTGTGAAATATGAACAGGAAAGGAAAGGAAAGGAGTCCAATTTATTGCAAACACCTCTTCAGGTGCTTAGTCCCAATAGAATGTTGAGGGTGTCAGGTAGCAATTTGTTATTGTTAGCAGGTTATTGATAGGAATTTGGGCAGGGGAATGGATAGAGCAGCCCGTGATAAGGCAACCTGGCTTGGCCGTGAGCGTGACTGCGCCTTGTGTCAGTGAATAATCTCTCAAGGCTCATTTTTCTTCCCCAGGGCCTTCCCCTGTCAATATTTCAGGAGAAATTAAAAACGGTAACTATGAGGAAGGTTGTTTTCTAAAGAGTGTTTCCCAGTTGGAATCAGATCAAACACAGCTGGGGCTGCTTGCCTGGTGCTGCCTGACCTGCCTTCCAGTTGCCCCCAGTGACCCCAGGAATGGGCCTGCACAGAGTGCTGGGGCCTTGCAGCCGGGGCCCCAGCAAGCCATCCAAATGAGCTTAAATAATTGAAAGAAGTGGCATCTGCCATACGGGAAGAATGTGGCCGCGCTGTTTGCTTTAAAGAGGCTGAGACCAGATCTGGCTTGGATCTGCAGGGAATATAAATGATGCAATTAATTCCCTATAATTTACAAGTCGTCATTTGCACGGAGCTCTGCGAGAAAGGATTTGGAAACAGTATATTGAATGCTGTGGGCTCATGTGAAAGAATCATCATTCTCTCCACCTATGGAAAACCAACTCAGTGTGGAGGGCTCAGCCTGAGTGCTGCCTTGCAAAGCTTTCCTTGAATGACCCGCCTGCACCCCAGTTTATTTTGTCTCTTCAGGTTACTTTACCTGCATTTAGTCCTCACTTAATTTCTGCTTTGAATTTTGGTTGTTTCCACCTCTTTCAAATATTGAGAACTCACTGAGGGGTGAAACCATGTGTAAAACCTCTGGATATCCTCCTCCTTCCCCTCCAGCACCACTATTGTTTCTTGCCCATTGTGTATAATCAATAAATATGTACCATATGGCATTGCATTGATGACAAGGCCGGCTAGCCATTCTCTGCCAATGCCAGCCAAGGACCATACATATAAGAAAAAGAGTCCTAGATGGATTTAGTGAGCCTGATTAGGTGGAGAGAAAGAGGGAAGGTTTTTTTTGTTTTTGTTTTTGTTTTTTATTGTTGTGGTGGTGGTTGTTTAGATGGAGTCTTGCTCTGACTTGCCCAGGCTGGAGTGCGGTGGCGTGATCTCAGCTCACTGAAGCCTCTGCCTCCCGGGTTCAAGCAATTCTCCTGTGTCAGCCTCCTGAGTAGCTGGGACTATAAACTTGTGCCACCATGCCCGGTGAATTTTTGTAATTTTAGTAGAGACGAGATTTCACCATGTTGGCCAGGCTGGTCTCAAACTCCTGACCTCAGGTGATCCACCCACCTCGGCCTCCCAAAGTGCTGGGATTACAGGCATGAGCCACCACGCCTGGCCGAGAAGGTTTATTTGCTTTCTTTGTGGTAGAAGTTTTGCATTTTTGCCCCACTTAGATAATAATATCTCAATGTTCAGCTGAGGCTCCCCCACTTCCCTTCTCTCAGTCCATCTGTTTCAGATGAGGCTGACTCTACCCCCAGTCCTAAGGGCAGAATACATGACTAGAGGAGTCAATCGATGTAGTCAAGGAAATGTTCAACCGCACTTATAACCAAAGAATAAAAAATTAAAACAATGAGATAACATTATTTCGCTATCAGCCTAGCAAAGATTAAACACAAAGATAATACTCTGTGGTGAGTAGATAGTTATTAATATGGGTGCTGTGGGGTATTCATAAACTGCTGGTAGGAAGATAATTTGAAGAATGATTGATAAACACATATTAAAATCCTTAAGAACATGCAAACCTTTCATATGCATCTAGGAAACTGTTCTTAACAAATTGCATTGATGACAAGGCCGGCTATAAAAAGTCTTATTTATTTAAGTGAGACTGTGTATATCTAGCTAATAGAATAAACATTGCAGTAAGTGTTCATAAAACAATGAAAAATTGAAAATAGCTTCAATGTCCAGTAGAAGAGAATGGGTTAAGTAAATTTTGGTGTAGCCCATAATCAGATATTATGTATTTATTAAAATTGCTTTAGAATAAAATTTATCTAAATAGAAAAATGTTTATAATAAGTGATAAGGCAGGCTAGCAAATAAAATATTTTATATATATTAAAATTGAGAAATATGTACAACTGGTAATAAGAGTTTTCATTCTGAATGAAGAGATTGTAGTATGTTGAAATTTTCTTCTTTTGTATTTTGCTCAATTGACTCATCTTTCTAAATTGTCATATATTTAATGCTACTCCCCACCCCTCATGGCTACCAGCTTGGTTTTAGCTGCCACATACCCAGGAACACCAACCAGAATAAATACCAAAAAAAAATACACCTAGGCATATTATATTTAAACTCAGAAAACCAAAGACATAGAGAAAATCTTGAAAGAAGCTGGGGGAAGAGAGTGTGAGGGGAGGAACATCTTTCCTATAGAGGAAAAAGGATAAGAAACACATAGGACTTCTTTTCAAAAGCCATGCAAGTAAGAAGTGCATGGAGTGAAATATTTAAAGCGTTAAAAAAATAAGAAGAAATCCACCGACCTAGAATTCTGTATCCAGCAAAAATATCCTTCAAAAGTGAAGGGGAAATAGACTTTCTCAGACAAACATAAACTGAAATAATTTGTTGCCAATAAACTTGCATTGCAAGAAATGTTAGAAGTTCTTCAGAAAGGAGGAAAATTATATAGGTTGGAAACTCATAGCTACATAAAGAAAAGAGTGTTGCAGAAGGAAAAAACGAAGGCAACATAAAATCTGTTATTTTCCCTATTCTTAACTGATCTAATAACTCTTTGCTCAAAACAATGATAGCAACAATGTGTTGGGTGATTATTATAGCTTGTGAATTAGTAAAAGAATTACAACAATGTTATAAGGGACAGGAAGGAGGAATCAGGAATAATCTTTTATAAGGTACCTGTACTACCCATAAAGTGGTATAGTGTTATTTGAAAGTGGACTTAGACATACTGCAACTCTAGGACAATCACTAGATAAATTTTAAAAAGAAGCATTATTGATATGGTAAAAGAGGAGAGAAAATGGAATCATATAAAATCCCCAATTACAACCAGAATATTGAGCTGGTCATAAAAAAAGAGAGACAGATTTTTTTTAAAGAAACAAAGAACAAGTACAATGAATAGAAAATAGAAACAAATATGGTTGTTATTGATTAAACTGTCCCAATAATCTTGTTGTCTTTTTAAAAACTTACTTTAAATATAAAGACACAGATAGATTAAAAGTAAAGGGATAGACTTCTGATTTCCAGTCCAGCATGTAAGGAGCTTGGAAGTCACCACTCCCATCCTCACAACAAGATAAAAGCTGAACAAACAGAAAATCAAAAACTCTTCATAGATCTGTCAGAGAATTTAGGTCACAGAGAAAACTGTTGCCCCCAAAATTGGAGATGCAGGCAAATACAAAAAATCACAGCTTACTGGAGCAGAAGTTCAGGAACAGAAGCCTGCTGCTGGACCCAGAAGTAGGGTAGGAGAACTTATGCTGTAACTGATGAATTACTGAAGCCTCAGTGTGGACATGCTTGAGAGAAAAAAACTCCAGGGAGGCCAGTCTTAGGGAGGCTCCCACATCTACATGAGTTTTATCTCCAGCAGTCCCAACGGATAGATTCTCAGGGAGTTAACCTGAGATAAATCTCGTGCTTATGACAAGAGCACGGGGAAAGTAATCATCTGAAAAATGCCCAGAGCATTCATTCTTCTTTAATGAAAGTCATCATCAAAGGAAACTATTTTACTAGAGCCTCACTGACCTGGGGAAGGGAAACCCCCGACTCCAACTCCCTATAGCATTCCCGTCTTTCATCTAAGGGGTTGGGGTGGGGAGAAGTAAGAAGTACTTGTGAAGGTCCCAGCCCAAGGCACAGGTTCTCTAAAAGACTGACACCTGCCGGGCGCGGTGGCTCACGCCTGTAATCCCAGCACTTTGGGAGGCCGAGGTGGGCGGATCACGAGGCCAGGAGATCGAGACCATCCTGGCTATCACGGTGCAACCCCATCTCTACTAAAAGTACAAAAAATTAGCCGGGCGTGGTGGCGGGCACCTGTAGTCCCAGCTACTCGGGAGGCTGAGGCAGGAGAACGGCGTGAACCCGGGAGGCGGCGCTTGCAGTGAGCCGAGATCGCGACAGAGCGAGATTCCGTATCAAAAAAAAAAAAAAAAAAAAAAAAAAGACTGACACCTAATCATAGGACTATTGAATACTTCCCCTACCTCTACCCCTTATCACGACATCAGTAGGGCCTCAATATACTCCCAGGGGATTGCAATAGGAAGAACTACATTGTCTCAGTCCTTATAAAGAAAAAGTCTCCAGGGAAAGCCCAAGATAACAAGAGAGACGAAAGCAAGTACCAGAGGAAATTTTAGCCTCTGACACCTATAGCTACAGCAAAGAATGAACAGCCTAACTCTTGCCCAGATAAACACAAAACCTCACACCAAAGGCCTATTTGCCTCATTTCCCTTTTATGTAGTACAACACGTCTGCTTTCAACAAAAAATTACAAGGCATACTAAGAAGCAAAAATCAAAGTTTGAAAAGACAGAGCAAGTGTCAAAGCCAGACTCAAATAGGGCAGAGATTTTGGAATTATCAGACCGGTAATTTAAAATAACGAAAATAAATATGCTAAAGGCTCTCATGGAAAAAGTGGACATCTCGCAAGAACAGATGAGTAATATAAGCAAAGAAATGGCAATTCTAAGAAAGAATCCACAGGAAATGCCAAATATATATTTAAAAAACACTAACAAAAATGAAGGACTTCCATGGGCTCATCAATAGCTGGACACAGCTGAAAAAAATGAATGAGCTTGAAGAAAGGTCAGTAGAAACTACTACTCATACAAATATGCAAAGAGAAAAAAAAGAATTAAATAAATGGAACAGCACACCCCAAGAACTGTGAAACAATTGCCAAAGATGTAAAATACATGCAATGGGAATATGAGGAGGAGAAGAAAGGGAAAAAGGAACAGAAAAAATATTTGAAGTAATAATTACTGAAAATTTTAAAAAATGAATGACAGATATTGACAGATCCATAGAATGACAACCACCAGAGACACAAGGAGCACAGAGAAGAGCAAACAGGATAAATACTCCCCAAAATCTGTACCTAGGCATATCATGTTCAAACTGCAAAACATCAAAGACAAAGAAAATATCGAAAGAAGCCAAAGAAAAAAAAACAAAAAAAAGGTTAATAAAAATAGAAACTATACTAACACAAATCAAAAGAAAGCTGGGGTAGCTATATTAATTTCAGACAAAGCTGACTTCAGAAGGAAAATTGTCAAAGGCATTACTTAATGAGAAGAGCTCTATCCTCCAGGAAGACATAACAATCCTTAATGTGTATGTGCCTAACAAGAGAGTGTCAAAATACAGAGACAAAAACTAGTAGAAATGCAAGGAGAAATAAACAATGCCATTATTATAGTTGGAGACTTCAGCACACCTTTATCAATAATTGACAGATCTTGCAGGCAGAAAATCAGTAAAAATAGTTTAACTAAACAGAACCATCAGTAAACTGATTTAATTGATGTTTACAGAATACTTCATCAAACAACAGCAGAATATGCATTATTCTTAAGCTCATATGGAACAGTCACCATGACAGACAACATGCTGGACTATTACACATACCTCAACAAATTTAAAGGACTAAAATTGACACAAAATATGCCCGAGGACACAGTGAAATTAAACTAGAAATCAATACCAAGAAGACAGCTGGAAAACCCCAATGTATTTGAGATTGAACAACATAATTCTAAATAACACATGGCTCAAAGAGGAAAACTTAAAGATATTGTGAAGTGTGCTGTGCACAGTGGCTCATGCCTGTAATCCCAGCACACTGGGGGGCTGAGACAGGAGGATCACTTGAGCCCAGGGGTTTGAGACCAACCCAGGCCATATAATAAGACCCTGTCTCTACAAAGAAATAAAAATTAGCTGGGCATGGCAGTGTGTGCCTGTAGTCCCAGCTACTTGGCCATTCCGAGATGGGAGGATTGCTTGAGCCTGGGAGGCTGCAGTGAGCCATGATTACACCACCGCACTCCAGTCTGGATGACAGAGTGAAACTCTGTCTAAAAAAAAAAAAAAAAAAAAAGATATTGCAAACTAAATTAAACTGAAAATATAGCTTATCAAAATTTGTGACTTATAGTGAAAACCATGCTTAAAGGAAAATGTATTACATCACATGCATATATTAGAAAAGAAGAAATATCTAAAATCAGTAATCTAAGCTTCCAGCTTCCACCTTAGGAAATTAGAGAAAGAAAAGCAATATAAAGCTAAAGCAAGCAGAAGACAAATAATAAAAATTAAAGCAGATACCAGTGAAATTGAAAACAGAATGCACTCTATTTTGTGGAAAGAGAAAACAAGACCAAAAGCTGGTTTATTGAAAATTAATAAACCTCTACCCAAGCTTACTAAGGATAAAAAAGAGAAAAGAGACAAATTACTGGTATTAGAAATGAAAGAGGGGCCATCAGTACTGATGCAATGGACATTAAAATGGTAATAAAGGAATACTAGAAACAACTCTATGCTCACAAATTTGATAACTTAGATAAAATGGAACAATTCTTTGAAAGACTCAATTTACTAAAACTCACACAAGAATAAATAAATACTCTTGATAGTCTTAACAGATGTATTGAATAAATTTAACCAATAATTAATAACTTTCAGAAAAGAAAACACCAGGCCCAGATGGTTTCACTGGTGAATTTTACCAAATATTTAAGGAAGAACTGCCACCAATCCCTACAACCTCTTCCAGAAAATACAAGCAGAGGGTATACTTCCTGACTTGTTTTATGAGGATAATATTATCCTAATACCAAAACCAGATGGAGACATTACAAGAAAGAAAAAACATAGATCAATGTCTCTCATGAACATAGATGCAAAAATCCTTAACCAAATATTAGCAAATCAAATCCAACAATGTGTCAAAAGAACTGCATATCAGAACCAAATGGGATTTATCTCAGATGTGCAAGACTTCTTCAAAACATAATAAATGTAAATCATCACATCAATGGGTTAAAGAAGAAAAATCATATGATCAAATAAATAAATGCCAAAAAATATTTGACAAAATCCAACGCTCATTCATGATAAAAACTCAGCAACCCAGGAATAAGAAGAAACTTCAGTTTGATAAAGAACATCGGCAAAAAACCTAGAGTTAACGACGTACTTAACGGTGAGAAACTAAATGCTTTGCCTTTAAGATAAAAAATAAGAATTTCCTCTCTTACCACCCTGATTCAACACCATACTGAAAGTCCTAGCTAATGAAATAAGACAATAAAATGAAAAACATGCTTACAGATTGGGAAGGAAGAAAGAAAACTGCCTTTGTTCACAGACAGCATGATTGTCTATGTAGACAATCCCAAAGAATCAACAACAACAACAAAAACTCTTGGAACTAATAAGCAATTATAGCAAGGTTTCGTAAAAGGTTCATATACAATGTCAAATTACTTTAATATATACTAGCAAAAAGCAATTGGAATTTGAAATGTAAAATAATATTATTTACAGCAGCCCCTCCACACATTAAATACTTAATAAATCTAACAAAATAGGTACAAGATCTATATGAACAAAACTATAAAATTCTGATACTGTTGAATTCTATTTGCTAATATTTTATTAAAGACTTTTGTGTCTATATTCATGAGGGATATTGGTCTGTGGTTTTCTTTTTTTAATTTTTTTTTCTAGAGACAGGGTCTCCCTATGTTGCCCCAGCTGGAGTGCCATGGTGCAATCTTGACCTTACTGCAGCCTCAAACCCCTGGACTCAATCCTCCCACTTTAGCCTCCCTAAAAAATCTGGCTATTTATTATTATTATTATTTATAGAGACAGACTCTTACTGTGTTGTCCAGGATGGTCTCAAACTCCCATGCTGGTCTCTCAAAGTGCTGGGATTGCAGGAATGAGCCTCCACCCCCAACACAGTTTTCTTTTTTTATGTTTTTCTCTAGTTTTGGTATCAAGGTAACACCAGCTTCATGAAATGAATTGAAAAGTGTTATCTCTTGTTTTCTGCAAGAAATTGTGTAGAATTTATTGAATTATTAAAGAATTATTAAAATAATGAAAGAATTATAATTATAATATAAATATTAACATAATTATAATATAATATATTATAGTATAATTAACATAATAATTATAATATAATAATTATAATATAATATAATTGTTATAATATAAATAATTAAAGAATTATAATTATAATGTAAACATAATTAAAGAATTATTCTTTGAATATTTGGCAAAATTTCCAATGAAATTATCTAGGCCTAGAAATATTTTTTGGCAGCTTTAGAATTAATTATTTAGCTACAGGCCTATTCAAGTTATCCATCTCATCTTGAGTGAGTTATGGTAGTTTATGTTTTTCAAGAAATTGGTCCATTTTATCTAAATTGTCAAATGTTTATGAATAATATTCACAGTACTGTTCACAGTGTTTTTATTTTTCTTTTGATGTCTGCGGAGTCTACAGTGACATTCCCTCTCTTGTTCCTGATATTAGTACTCTGTCTTGGCTTCCTTTCTTTATCAGTTTTGTTAGTGGTCTGTCAATTTTATTGATATTTTCCAAAAAAGCCTTTTCTTCCATGGATTTTCTGTATTCTTTTTTTCTTTTTGACTTTATTAATTTCTGTTCTTTATTATGTTCTTCCTTCTTGCTTTGGGTTCATTTTGCATATTCTCCCCTGGGTTGTTGAAGAAAGAACTTAGATTACTGATCTAAAACGTTCCCTCTTTTCTAATGTGTACATTTAGTGATATAAATCTTCCTCTCATCACAGCTTTATCTGTGACCCACAAATTTTTATATGCTGTATTTTCATTTCTGTTTAGTTTAATGTTTTCAATTTTTTTTCCTTGAGATTTCCCTTTTGACCTATGAATTATTAGTAGTATATTGTTTGGCTTCCAATGTTTGGATATTTTTCTGTTGTCTTTCTGTTAATGATTTACAGCTTGAGTCTATTATGGTTGGAAAACACACTGTATGGTTTCAATTGTTTTAAATTTGTTGAAGTTTGTTTTATGACCCAGGATATGGTGTATCTTGTTATCTGTGGACATTTTAAAAGAATGTGTATTGTGCTGTTGTTGGATGGAGTGTTCTATCAATAATTAGATTCTATTGTTTGATAATATTATTGTGTTCTTCTATATTCTTGTTGATTTTCTGTCTAGTTGTCCTATCAATTATTAACAGAAGGGTGTTGAAGGTCCAGCCATAATTATCAATTTGTCTATTTTCCATTTCAGTTACATTAGCTTTTCCTTCACATATCTTTATAGTTCTCTTATTTTGTGCCTATGTATTTATGATTTGTTATGTCTCCTTAGTGTATTGACTCTTTTATCATTATATAATGTCCATTATCAGCTCTGGTAATTTTATTTGCTCTGAATCTACTCTATATGATATTAATATAACCACTCCTGCTTTGCTTTAATGTTTGCATAATATATCATTTTCTATTTCTTTTCCCTTCAACCTGCCTATATTGTCATATTTGAAATGAGTTTCTTGTAGACATCACATAGTTAGATCATACTTTTTAATCCACTCTGCCAGTTTTCTCTTTTAATTGGTAAATTTAGACCATTTACATTTAATATAATTATTGATATGTCAGGGCCTAGGTCTGCGATTTTATTTTTTGTTTAGTGCTGTTCTATTTTTTGTTCTTTTTCTTTTTTCCACCTTCCAATTGGCTACTTGAATATTTTTAGAATTATATTTTTATTTTTATGTTGTTTTTGTTTATTTATGTGTCACTCTTTGTATAGGTTTTTAAATTGTCACTCTAGGTATTACATTGTGTATACATATCTCACCATATTCTACTGGTGTCATCATTTCATCAGTTTAAGTGAAATATAGGAGCCTTACTTCCCTTTATGGCCCTTGACCCTCTCTCATTTGTAATATACATTGTCTTAGATATTTCTTCTATATACATTGAAAGCCACATCAGACACTGTTATAATTTTTTGCTTCAACTGTCAAATGTAATTTTAGAAACTCAAGAAGAGAAGAAAAATCTATTGAACTTGCCCATTTTTTTGTACTACATTCTTGCTTCCTTCTGGATGTTCCAAATTTCCTTCTTTTATCAGTCCCTTTCCGTTTAGAGAACCTCCTTGAGCAATTATTTTAAGACATTTCTGCTGGTGACATATTGTCATAGTTTTCTTCATCTGAATATTTCTTAATTTCTCTTGAATTCCTAAAAATCAGTTTCACTGTCTATTCTGGGTTGGCAGTTCTTTTCCTTCAGCACTTGAAAAATGCTATCCCACTTTCTTCTGGCCTCCCTTGTTTCTGCTGAGAAACCTGTAGTCATTTGAATTTTTTTCTCTTACAAATAAGGTATCATTTCTCTTCAATGTCTTCAATATTTTTCTTTTAGTTTTTAGAACTTTGACTATGATGTCTTAGTGTGAAATTCTCTGGGTTTATTTTGTTTGGGGTTTGCGCAACTTCTTGAGTCTGATGTTTTTTGTTTCTGCCAAATTTGGGGAGTTTTCAACCATTATTTCTTTTAGTACTTTTTCACTCTCACTTTCTCTCACCTCTCCTTCCAATATTCCTGCAACATGAATATTATAGTTGCACAGGTCCCTGAGGCTCTGCTTATTTATTTGTAATCTGCTTTCTCTCTGTTGTTCAGATTGGGTAATTTTTGTTATCATCTTTCAGGTCACTGATTTCTTCCTTTTTCTCCACTTCATTCTGTTGTTGAGCCCATTAGTAAGTTTTAATTTTAGTTATTCTGTGTTTTAGTACAATTTGGTTCTACTTTATATCTTCCATTTCTTAGTTGAGAATTTCTATTTTCCACTTGCTTGAAGTGCATACATGATCACTCTTTGGAGCATTTTTTAGGATGGCTGCTTTAACATTTTTGTCAGATGATTCTAACCTCTCTTGTCATTTCAGTATTAGCATGTATTGATTGTCATTTTTTATTCAGTTTGAACTTTTCCTGGTTTGGAGTATGACAAGTAATTTTCTCTTGAAACATTTTGGGTATTGTACTATGAATCTTATTTAAATCTCTTTTAACTGGCTTCTTCTGACACTTAGCTGCCAGGAAAAAGGGGTTGGGGCCACCTTGTTACTGCCAGGAGGGGATAGAAGTTCAGGTTCCCAATCCAGCCTCCATGAGGGTGTGTCCCTCATTACTACTGAAAGATTGGGAGTCCTGGCTCCCCACTAGGTCTCCACTCATACCTTCCTGGCTCAGAAGGGTAGGGGTGCCTTGTTACTGTCCCCCAAGTGACCTCCACTGACACCAAAGAGGAAGTGGTGGCCTTCTTACTTCTGGGCAGTGGTGAAAGTCCTGTATCTCCACTAGGCTTCGTCTGAACCACTTCAATGGGAAAGGGGAAAGGCATCTAGTTAGTGCCAGGTGGCGGTGGATGTACAGGTTATCCAGCTGGTTTCCATTCACACTGCAGGGGGTCAAGGGCTTGTTACCATCTGTCATGATGAAAGTCCCAGCTCCCTACTTGGCTTTCTCTGACACTTCCCCCACAAGGGTGTTGTGGTCTTCATTATAGACAGTAAAGGATAAAAGACTAGGCTCCCTACTTAGCTTTTGCTGGCATGGGTGTGGGTGACCCACAGCTTTTTTGTGGTGTTTGGCTAGAGTAGAGCAGTTATTGTCTAAACGTTTTTTGTCATGCTAGCCAGCCTCTTTCCTGGTCCTTTGCCTAGAGAGTAAGTTTTTGTTTGGGCTTTTTGTTTGTTTGTGGCTTTTTTTTTTTTTTTTCATCAGTGCCATTTTCTGAGTTGCTGGCTTCTTCAGCTCCAAGTCTGGGATATATAGGCAAAAATTTAAAATTTACAGAAACAATAAGAAACTCACCATTGGTGAGGTCCTAAGGTCCTCATCCAGCCTGCTTCTTTCTCTCTACCTTTAGGAGTGTTCTTACATTTGTTTTATGTATAACATCCAGGGTTATTAGTTGTACTTAGTGGCAGGAATAGGGAAAAGTACTTTTATTCCATCTGCCCAGAATGTAAGTCCTCAAGTTATCTTTTCAATATATAAAACAAATCACATTACTTCCCTGCTTAAAATGCTCCAGTGGGTTCCCATCAAACCTAAAAATCACATCCCTTCCTCTGATCTGCACGTTCATGAACTGCCCTGTACTCACCTCTCCGGCCTCATCTCTTACTTCACTTTCTCTCGCCCACTCAACTCTAGCCACGGCGACCTTCCTTGTCTTTCTCAATATCCACACTTGTTCTACATTAGGACCTTCACACTAGTGCCCCTGCTGCCTGGAGTGATTTCTTCCATATTTTCAGATTGCATTGTAAATATGGCCACTGCAAATACACCTTCCTGAAAACCCTATCCCTATCATATTCCACGTAAACTTGTTTTTCTGGGTAGCTCTTATTTCTATACATTGCACACTAATTTGCTTGCTTACTTCCTCATTAGAATATCAACTCCATAGAAACAGGGGTTTTGTCTGTCTTGTTAACTTCTGTATCCCATCCTCAGACCCTAGAGCAGTACCAGTGTGCTGTAAGCCTCGCACAAATAATTGTTAAAAGCAATGAATGAACAAATCTGCCCGTGTCAAGCACTTATGTTCTGCCTATGCCTAGAAAAGACAGATCAGAACCAGTAAAGAGAGGAGATGCAGAAGAGCCAATAACCAGGGTTGTGACCCAATTTTCCCTCAAGTCTAGTGGTCAGGTAAAAAAAATGATCTATTAGTAATATAAGTTAAAATAGATAAAACATGTTTAAAGCTTGTAAATTAAAAAAAAAATCCTCTGCAGAATTACATTTGGGCCAAATAATAGCAAATGCGGAAATCAATGAAAACAAAAACACTATACGTAAAAACCTCTGTTTTACAGCAAAGTCAGACTCAGAAATTAATTGTTCATTTTTTAGTCTCATATAATTTCATTTATCTGATTACAAAATAATACGCTCTCATTGTTTGCAGAAAACAGAGAAGCACAAACAAAATAAAAACTGTGAATAAGCACTGGTAAGACTTTGGTCTATTTTCTTCCTATCTTTTTTTCTCTATGGAGACATAGATATATATTCACAGAAATATGGATTTTTTTTTACCTAATTTGTATTTGTAATTCAGAGAAAGAATGAGATGAGAATCTGGTATCTTATCTACTTGGGAAACCATTAAGACAACCATTGAGAATAAATTGTGTCCTCGTGTTGGGTGCTAAGAATAGGTAAAAAATGGACGAAGCAAAGATTGTTAAAGAATCAGAGGGTCTGCATGATTTGAGTAATTAATGAGAGAAATAATAAATTGTCATCCACTTCAGCCTCTTAGTTACTTTAAATTATTCAATTATTTAAAAATCAAGTAAATGAAGTGAGCATTAAGTTTAAAAACATAAGAAAATATCTTAAGACATGCCTGATAGCATTAAACAGGAACTCTAGCCCAAGGGTAAGATAAGAGTTATATAAAAATAGAAAGGTATCCTCATGGAAGTACGTGGTAGGGAAGCATAGTCAGACCTCATGGAAACCAGAGGGATAAAACGTGGCTCGACTGTCCACCTTCATCTCCCCAGGATTACATGGCTCTTGGTTCATGCTTTTCTCCACACACGTGTCTTTCTTTCTATCAGTTTTCACACCTCAAGCTGATATCCTTCTTTCCCTTGATTTCAGCTTGCATGGGGCTTTGCTGGTGGCAATATTGGTCCATATACACTCTGACTTTGCTTATTGGCTCCTTACAGTTAACATCACAGTCTTTGGGGTTCTTTTTATTATTATTATTATTTATTTTCTTTTCTTTTTTTTTTTTTTTTTTGAGACAGAGTCTTGCTCTGTCGCCCAGGCTGGAGTGCAGTGGCGCGATCTCAGCTCACTGCAAGCTCCGCCTCCCAGGTTCACGCCATTCCCCTGCCTCAGCCTCCCGAGTAGCTGGGACTACAGGCGCCCGCCACCACGCCCGGCTAATTTTTTGTATTTTTAGTAGAGTCGGGGTTTCACCGTGTTAGCCAGGATGGTCTTGATCTCCTGACCTCGTGAACCACCCTCCTTGGCCTCCCAAAGTGCTGGGATTACAGGCGTGAGCCACTGTGCACGGCCGTCTTTGGGGTTCTTAATTGCACTTCGAGTGAGTAAGACTCTAATAATGAATCCTACCTTTTGGAAGACCTTTGCCTGCGTCAGCCAATTATCTCTGACTAGGAAAGGGGCCAGAGTTACATGGACAAGGGACACTATTGGCAAGGATAACAGCAATAGAAACCCTAAGTAACTAAGAAAGAAAAATATAAGTGACAAAATAAGAAAACCTAAACCAGTAAAGCCAATCAAAAACAAATTCAAATTAACAAAATTAAAATCAGAAAGCTAATATAACAACTGACATAAAATAATTTTAAAAATTATAAAAGAGTATTATCCAGAATTGTCAGATAATTTGAAACCTCAATAAGGTAGAAAAAAAATGTCCTTAAAGACATGGCATTCTAAACCTGATGCAAGAAAAAAATGGAAAACAGTGTTAGATTTAACCTGAAGATTATTTACAAAGGCCATAAAAATGTGCTGCTAATTATTCCTCATACGAATGATTTTTGTGTGCTATAAGCTATTCCAAAGCAAGAAAAATTTTTAGGGTGACTATATTAGTCTATGAGGTCAGTATGATACAGAGTCTGAAATCTGATAAAGATATAGCCACAAAGCAAAATCTATGCCAACGTAATATTTGAATACAAATAGAAAATATTGAAATAAAATATCAATAAGTAAAATCAGCCTTACATTAAAGGAATAATGTACCAGGAACATATATGATTTATTCCTGCAAAATAAAGGTGGTTTATAGTGAAGAAATCTATTCACATCAGCCATACTTGGTAATAACATATGCTGTTCTAAAAGCTCTTAACAGTTATTAATATTGCCTGTTCTACTTATTTATGCACACATTACTTGTAAACACAATTAACTATCATATTCCTACCAGATAAAACACTTAATGAGTTCGGAAAAAAATTTTGAGTCATGCAGTGTTGTCTGTGACTAAATATTCGTTTCCAAGGATACAAGTAGATCTGTCAAATGTCTGCTCATGTAACAGTCACAGAATCATATACAAGAAATCCTTTTCAGTTCAAAATAGGTAAGTTATTTAACATTACACATTGTAGAAATGCTAAGATTAATTTTCAAATATTAAGCAAATAAATACTCAAATGCATTAAATTATTTTAACTAATACTTGTTGCTAGCCATCTATTATTGTCAGTTTAGAAGTTAATAGAAGTAGTTTTCACTTCATCACTTGGTTCTTGTCCATTCACTGGCTGGAGTACTCACATAACCTCCAGGCCCAGATAAACCTTGTCTAAATTTTCCTGCTGGGATGGTCAATTTGATGTGTCAACTTGACTGAACTAACGGATATCCAGATAGCTGGTAAAACATTATTTCTGGGTGTGTCTGTGAGGCTGTTTCTGGAAGATATTCACATTTGAATAAAGAAGATCACCCTCATCAATGTGGTGGGCATCATCCAATCCACTGAGAGCCCAAATAGAGCAAAAAGGCAGAGGAAGGGAAAATGTGCTCTCTGCTTGAGCTCTGTTATCCACCTTCTCCTCCTTTGTTCTCGCTAGTTCTCAGGCCTTTGAGCTTGGACTGGAACAATACCACTGGCCTTCCAGACTGCAAATAGCAGATTGTGGTATTTACTGGCCTCCAAAATTACATAAGCCAATTCTTATGTTAAATGGGCCTGTTGTGGGGTGGGGGGAGGGGGGAGGGATAGCATTAGGAGATATACCTAATGTAAATGACGAGTTAATGGGTGCAGCACACCAACAGGGCACATGTATACATATGTAACAAACCTGCAGGTTGTGCACATGTACCATAGAACTTAAAGTATAATAAAAATATATATATATAAAAAATAAAAATAAAATAAATCTCCTCTTATATACCCTATTTGTTCTCTTTCTATGGAGAACTCTAAGATACCTACCATTTACCTTATGTGTAGAGATTACAGGCAGAGCAGGAAAAGGACAACAGGAACAAAAATCCAAAGGAAATCAAAAGAAATGATTAGATAATGCACACATCATTTCAATAGTTAAGCAAGAAACAACATAATCATTTCAATGGGTGACACAAAGTATTTAATACAATCTAACATCTATTCCTTATGTCAAGAATTTTTAAAAAGGGACAGAAATGTCCACTTTTGTATAAAAAATAATACCCATTGTACACAAAAACCCAATTAATGACAATTATAAAAACGTATCAACTTTAAAATAAGCAACAGAACAAATATGCCAGATAAGCTTTTAATAATTTATTATTGTGGGAATTTTAGATAAAGCAATAAGACACGAAATTTAATTACTTCAAAGGATTGATTCTCAGACTTTGGCAATGACCCAGTGTATCGGAGAGGAATAAAAATAAGGATGATGACAATGACAATGACACATGTAGGACTTAACTTATTTAATTCTCATGACAAATCTATGGTTTAGGAATTACTATCATCCCCATTTTATAGCTGAGGAAACTGGCACACAGAGGGTAAGTAACTTCCGAAATATAGCTAGATAGAGGTGAAGCCGGAATTCCAAGCCAGGAAGTCTATGTCCAAAAACCATGCTCTCTACCAATCCTGTAGTATGTTAGGTACTGAGCTAAGCACCACATACCTTTATAATCCCCTTAACAACTCAGAGAAGTAGATAATTATTCTCTCCATTGTGAACTCTGCCAACTGCAGAGTAAAATATAATACATAAATTCAATAGGCTTTTATGGAACTCTTAAAATTATAATTACAAAGGTGTAACTACATGGAAAGAATTCAGCAATAAAATTTGAAATAAAAAGGTATGTTTGGTATAATTACAAATAAGGAAAAATATATTCATTTGAACAAAAACTAAAAGGGATTCTGCTAAAATGAAGATAGTTGTTGAGGCAGGGTGATGAGAGTATGGGTACTTTTGTCTTTACCAAATGCCCAAAGTGAACATTTAATAAATAATCTGAGTTTGCAAAAATGATATATAAATGATGAATAATGGAAAATACTGCAAGGATTTGTGTTGAAACAATTCTTAAAGCATTAAACCAGAGTAAGAAGATTTTTAGGTATAAATCAGTATATACTTAAGGTGGATGTTGGAGAGGATGGGAAGAGAGACAGAAATAATTACCTATGCAAGCAACTGCATCCTCTGCCACTCTGGGGGCTTCTTGCCTTTGCTCAAAGCAATCTCATTAAATCATGGTGTCCAACTCCCTAACCTAAGGCAAGACTGCACCTGAAGCAAACCAGATGGATTGGGAGCTCTCTGGCCTCCAGCATTCAGAGTCCCCTTCTTTCCTGGCAGCCAAGCTGTTGACCACCAGTCTTTATACTGAATTGCTTCATACACATGTTAAACCTAGGTGAATCCAATTATATCCAAGAGACAAGAAGAAAAAGTTGAAGGAGAGTGGAAAGAAATAAGCATGTCTTAAAACATATTTTTAATAGAATAAGGTCCTTAATGGCAATCCTTAACAAGAGCATGACCAAAGAAACAGACATCTTTCAAAGCTAGAGAAAATGCTGGCTGCACTGGATTTATTGAGAGTCCATAAGAATATTTTTAATATTAACGGTTCTTACCTTATGCGCCCTAACTATAGAAACAAACCCCAATTTAAGATGCAATTCCACTGCATAGTCAAAAGTGAAGTAGAGATGGGGGTGGATGATCCAGTTTGTAATCCATCTGGTCAAAAAAAAGAAAAAAAAAAACAAGGCATATGCCCAAAATGATGTCATCCTTTCTGCACATATAAAGCCTGGGTAATTGCTCTCTTGATGCTTCGTAGAATGCAGTTACATTAATTAGGGTAAAACTGCTCAACTGCCGTAACAAAAATACCCCGCAACAGAGTGGCTTACATAAAGTAGAAGTTTATTTCCCACTGGTGTAACAATCCAGACAGCCTAGATGATGGGCAGCTTCGCTTCATGAAGTCAGTCAGAAACCTCAGTTTCAGGAAGGGTAAAATAGAGCCACATCCAGGAAAGTTGGCTTGTCTTCTGTTGGAAATGACCCTGAAGTTATACATATCACTTCTGCTCACATTTTATTGCCCTATGCCTAGTCATGTGATCACAACTACCTGCAACTTGGCAAACTGAGTTTTCATTTAAGCAACTTTCTAAGCAGAGATGGGATATTTTTCAGGCCCATAAAACTGACATTGCCAGGAAAGTGGCCACTGAAGCCTCCTCATTCATGCACAGCCCTACTCCTATCTCCAAGCTTCATAAATAGATCAAAGATTACAGTGGCCTCTAGGCTTGAGACCTTTGGGCTAATCCAGCCATCCTAAAGGGACTTATACAGCAGTCTAGTAGTCACCTGTGTGCATGTATAAGCACACAGACACACACACAGGCATACTCGGGAACGTGCTGGTAGCAACTCATCACAGTTTCCTTGCAGACGCCCTCTGACGGTTGCCTCTGATAGGACAGGGGGCAAGCCAGAAGATTATCATCAGCAGATGGAGGAAGAAATGTTTGCAGAGGAATTGGAACTGGGGAAGAATTGCCCAATTCTCTGCAGTCACTAAATGCAGAATACAGGTATCTCTGGCATTGAGGAGGTGGGATTCACTATGGACATAGGGTATTGACAGGAGGGAGGAAAAGAACTATGGTTGTGTGCTATGAAGGGAAGGATTGGCTGGAACTCTCTTTACAACTATTTTCTGAGGAAATTGCCATAGAAGAAGCAGAAACTTTGAGATCACATGGACTTGCGTTACAAACCCTTGCTCCATGACATACTAGCTTTGGAGTCTTGGAAAAATCACTTAGCCTCACTTGATTTCTTCATCAATAAAAATGAGATGACCATGCCTAGCTGCACAGTTCAACTGATCCCTTGCATGGAGCCTAGAATCAAAAACACGTCTCAATAATAAGTATTTATGATTGTTGATATTATTATTATTACCTCCTTGGGTTTCTGTGAGGCTCAAATGAGATACCATGTGAAGGCACCTCGGGCAGTGCCTAACATAAGAATGTGATTTTCTTTTGTTGGAGCTTCTAAGGGATCTCCTAGATGTTCTAATATTAAAACCTGTATTAGGAGATTTCCTCTTTACTAGGACCTTCAGGGTGGCCTGAGGGGTCAGCACTTGGGATTGATTGAACAGGGAGGAAAAGAGAAGGGGCTAAACCTTTGTTAAATGCCCATGCCATGGTCTGAATGTTTATATTTCTCCCCATATATATATATATATATATATATATATATGGAAATCCTAACCCCCAAGATGATGATGTTATTAGGAGATGGGGCCTTTGGAAGGTGATTAGGTCTCATAGATGGGACTAGTGTCCTTATAAATGAGGCCCCAGTGAGCTTCCTTATTCCTTCCCATGTAAGGAGGGCACAGCACTATCTATGAGAAAGTGAATCCTCACCAGACACAGAGGCACCTTGCTGCTGGCACCTTGATCTTGGACTTCCCAGCCTCTAGTATTATGAGAAATACATTTCTGTTTATTATAAGCCACTCAGTTTATGGTATTGTTAGTGCAGCCCAAACAGACTAAGACAGCCAACTTGTCAGTCATGGTACTGGGCATGTGGGCACACCAGAGACCAGCTTTGCCTTCTGAATTTTTGCTCTGAGTTGGCCTTGCTTCTTGCATGTTTCCTCTTGCTGCTGTAACAAATTACCACAAACTTGAAACAACATACATTTAATATCTTACACTTCTGGAGATCAAGATCACAAAGTGGGTTAACAGGCTGCATTCATTCTAAAACCTCTAAGGGGACAATCTATTTCCTTACCTTTTCCAGCTTCTGGAGAGCCTCCTGCATCCCTTGGCTCGTGTGCCACTTTTCATTTCACTCTGATCTCTGCTGCCTTCATCACATTGACTTCTCTGACTCTGACCCCTCTGCCTCTCTCTTATAAGGACCTTGTGATTACATTGGGCCCAGGGTAATCCAGGATAATGTTCCCATCTCAAGATCCTTAATTTAATCACATCTACAAAGTCCCTTTGCCATGGAATTTAATGTATTCCTAGGTTCCAGAGATTAGGAGTGGATATCTTTGGGAAGGCCATTATTCTTTCTATTGTACTTATTCACATAGTATTTGCACACAAAGATCCAAAAAATCTCAGGAGTGACTGAGATGGATGAGGGCCAAGAACAATATTTGTGTCCTCTAAGATATCTTTACAACATATATAGCATGAGTAAATTTCAGGTGACCTTCGAGACCAATTTGGCAACAGCTAGTAGGATGTGAAAGTGCACACACACTACAACTCAACATTCACTTCTAGGTGAATGCAATAGAAGCTTGTGTACATGTGCTCTAGGACACAGGCTCATGAATCTCCACAGAGGCATCTTTTTACTTGTGGAAAAATTGGGCTGAGCTTCACCACGAGGATGGATATCTAAATTCACATAAGGAAACATCACATAGACCAGAAGAACCCAAAGCTACCTAAAGCAGTCTGGTGGATTCTAAGACACATTACAAAGAAAACAAGTCATGAGAATACATACCACATGATATCATTTATATAAGTGTATATAAAAGATTCAAAGAAATATAGTATTTAGGAATATATGAAGAGAAGATACTATACAAAAAATAAGCATGAGAAGATAAGCACCAAATTTAGGAAACTGTTTTCTCTTGAGGAGGGAAAGGAAAGTGCTATTAGGAAAAGGGATGTATTTCTTAAGCAGGATGGTGAGCACTTATTCTGTAGGTCTGAAATAGTTCATACTAAAATTTTTAAATTGTGATCTTGAAATTTTTGGGCAAAATTGTAAATGCTTTCATCCAAGTATCTTTAAGACTTGAGAAGATGGGATTTTTCATGGGGATTCCTGGAGTGGAGGACACTATTTCTGAAAAGTGTCTACCAAGGAGGCAGAAACAGTGACTATGTCAAGAACGGTGATTCCTGGGAGGGGCCTGCAGGCCTTAGGTGAGGCTCTGAGGAGGGAACTTGGGAATGAGAAGGTGTCCTGTTTTAGGAACTGTCAGTCAGGATTCTTTCAACTGCAAATCGTAGGAAAACCAACTGCATATTAAAACAAATAAAATAAACACATTGGCTCATATGATTGAAAAGTCCAGATACAGTTTTGGTGTTAGAGCATGGTTTTTTAACCTCATTGCTACTGACATTTTGGGCTGGATGATTCTTTGTTTTGGGAGCTGTCCTGTGTACTGTAGGATATTTGGCAGCATCCCTGATCTCTACCCACTAGATGTCAGTAGCACCTCCCCCACCTCCCAAGTTATGACAATCAAAAATGCCTCCAGATATTGTTAAATGTCCCCTTGGGGAGAAGGAGCAAAATCCCCCCCAGTTGAAAACTAGCTTTAGGAGACCTGACCTGGTGACTCAATTGATGTCACCAGGACCTGATTTCTCATGATCAAGGCACAGATAAGCCAAGACCACAGAAGGCTGTGGTCTTGGCTCATCTTCAGGGTACACATGGTGGACCCTGGTAGCTCCACACTCTCCCCTTGTGTCAGTAAAATGGCCATCAAAATTGCAGACCTCACAGTCTCCCCTAGACCTGACTGCCTAGGGGAAGAGAAGTGGTCTTTTTTTGGTCATTCCCACAGAACAGAGACTGCATCTTCCCACGCAAAATCCTCAGCATGTTTCCTCGCCTCTCTCTGTGCTGATTGTTTGGGTGCTGTCCTAGTCCACTTTGTGCTGCCATAACATAATACCTGAGACTGGGTAATTTATAATGAATAGAAATTTATTGGCTCATGGTTCTGGAGCCTGGGAAGTCCAAAAGTGAGGGGTCAGCATCTGGCAAGGGCCTTGCTGCTGCATCCTCCATGGCAGAAGGGCAAAGAGAGAACAAGAGAGAACAAGAGATTGAACTTGCAGCGTTATCCTCTTTTATAATTCATAACTAGCATTAATCTATTTATGAATGTGGAGCCCTCATGACCTAAACGCCTCCCATTAGGCCCCACCTCCCAATACTGTTACATTGAGGATTAAGTTTCCAATATATGCTTTTGGGGGATACATTCAAACCATATCATTTCACATCTGGCCCCCAAGATTTATGTCCTTCTTACATATAAAATATATTCATTCCATCTCATAGCCCCAGAAGTCTTAACTCATTCCAACATCAACTCAAAAGTCCAAAGTCAGAGTCTTATCTAAATCAGATACAGGTAAGACTCAAGGCAGGATTCATACTAAGGCAAATTTCCTTCCAACTGTGAGCCTGTGAAACCAAGAGAGTTACCTACTTCCAAAATAATGGTGAGACAAGCATAGAATAGACATTCCCACTCCAAAAGGGGGAAATAGGCAAGAAGACAAGGACAACTAGTCCCAAGTAAGTCCAAAACCCCAAAAGACAAATAACATTAAATCTTGGGGCTCCAGAATAATCTTCCTTGATTCCATGTTCCACCTCTGGGCACACTGACATGGGGGTTGAGTCCACAAGGACTCCAACAGCCCTGCCCCTATAGCTTTACCAAGCTCAGCCCATATAGCAGCTCTTACTGGCTAAAGTCAGGTATCTGCCACTCTCCCAGGCTGGTGTTGCATGCTGGTAGCTCTACAGTTCTGGAGTTTTGGGGGTGATCCCATCCTCATGACTCCACTAAGCATTGCCCTCATGGGACTCCCTGCAGTGACTCCACCCCTGGGATGAGTCTCTGCCTGAGCATCCAGGCTGCCTGAGATATCCTTTGAAACCTACATGGAAGAAACTGTGCTCCACAGCTTTTGCATTTGCACACCTGCAGACTTAACACCACATGGATGCTACCCAAGATTTGCTGTTTGCTTCATCTGAAACTGTGGCCTGAGCCACACCTGACCCCCCTTGAGCCACACCTGGAGTGACCTGGGAGCATTTTGCCAAAATTTCAGGAGCAGAGACTTGAGGCAGCTCTGGACAGTGAGCCTCAAGGTCCCCAGGGTGCCCTAGGCCTCTTTTTTGGCATACAGTCATACATCACTTAATTCAGGGCTAAGTTCTGAGAAATATTTTATTAGGCAATTTTGTCATTGTGTGAACATCATAGAGTGTACTTGCACAGACCGAGATGGTCCAGTTACTACACACCTAGGCTATAAGGTATAGCTTATTTCTCTGCTACCACCAGAAGTCATTTGACTTTGGCATTCTGGGCCTCTGGTAGGAAGAACAGCACTAGTAATCTACAAAGTACCTTATGGTTTGTTCTTCCATTGTCTTGAAGAATAGCCTCTGGCTTCATTTTATGCATACTAATCTTGTTATCAGTCAGTGGCTTGGCCACAGCGTTGGTTTTCTCTCCTGAAAATGCTCTTTCATTCTCTATCACATGACCAAACTGAGCATCCTTCAAATCCCTAAGTTCTGTTTCCTTTTAATTATAAATTCTCTCTTTAAATCATCTCTCTCATTTTATTGCATGCAGTTAAAAGAAGCCATGCAGCTTCTTAAATATTTTGCTTAGAAATTTTTTCCACCAGATACTCTAGTTCATCGCTCTTAAATTCTGCCCTCCATAAAGCCCTGGGGCATAGACACAATTCAACCAAGTTCTTTGCCACTTCATAACAAGGAAGGCCTTTACTCCAGTTTCCAATACGATATTCCTCTTTTCCATCTGAGACCTCATCGGAATGGCCTTTGCTGTTCATATTTCTACCAACATTCTGATCATAGCCACTTAAGTAATCTCTAAGAAGTTCCAGATTTTTCTTCCAGTTCTTCTTTTTTCTGAGTCCTTACCAGAATCCCCTTTAATGCTCCATTCACTGCAATACAGGGTTTTTCTAGCCTGCTCCTCCAAACTCTCCCAGCCTCTGCCCATTACCCAGCTCCAAAGCCATGTTCACATTTTCAGGTATTTATCATAGCAACACCAACTTCTCCAGTACCAATTTTTTGCCTAGATCCACCTTGTGCTGCTATAACATAATACCTGAGGCTAGATAATTTATAATGAATAGAAATGTATTGTCTCATGATTCTAGGGGCTGGGAAGTCCAAGACTGAGGGGCCAGCATCTGGCAAAGCCCTTGCTGCTGCATCGTCCTATGGCAGAAAAGCAAAGAGAGGTCAAGAGAACAAGAGATTGAACTCTCAATCTCAAGCCCTTTTATAGTTTGTAATCAGCATTAATCCATTCATGAGAGTAGAGCCCTTATTACCTTAATACCTCCCATTAGGCCTTACCTCCCAATACTGTTGCAATGGGGAGTAAATTTCCAACACATGCTTCTGAGGGAACACATTCAAGCCATAGGAGGTGCCCATGGCTGAGTCAATCCCTGTGGTTAGAGGGAGAGAATATGCTGATTGGCCTACACCCATCAGGACCCACTGCTGGAGCTGGGATGGGGCCACCTCTCTGTCAAGCCACATGGCTGAGGAGGGAGGTAGAGCAGCTTCCCAAACCTGCCCAAGCACCATTCCCAGAAGGAGAGAGTGCAGCCACTGGGCATCCAATGAGTGTCATTACAGGATGTTAAAAAGGCAATTTCAACATAATTGATGCTGCCTACCAAAGTGAAGAGGCTGAGAACAAATTTCACAATCCTTAGACCTCTCAGCAGGACCTCTGATCAAGATGAAAATATGCAAGAGAGAGTTAAAGAGTGACTAGAGTTGAAAAACAAAAAGCCAGTGATGGTGGTCTATATTACCTCCTTCACCTGCAGCTATAGAAGTACCATTAATGGGACCCATAGAGGCCCCACAATGTGGCCCCTGGAGTGGTGGGAACACTTAAACTGATGTCTGACTCCCACACAAACTACTGTGGAATCTCAAGTGAGAGGCAGTGCCTGTCAGCCTGAGAAAGCAAAACAGACAGAACAATGTAGGCAGAGATGGGAATCCCTACCTCAGCAGGACAAACTGAGCCCCACTTTCTCAGCAAGGACAGTGCACTGTCCTGCAGCCACCCAGATTTTCTAAGAAGCAATCTGAACCTGGGCAAAGATATTCCAGTGAGTTGATTCTGCTGTGTGGCAGATAGTGCTGCAAAACTGGAGGTTAAGGGGTCTTCATGAGGCTGGAAGAAGGTGTCCAGAGAGGAAGCCTCAGCCTACAGACCTATGTCTGCTTCCTGGAGACACTCCCTCTTCCTCCTACCCCACCTTCTACCAGTCAAACCCTGAAAGGGTCAGAAACCTCGGAAACTCCCAGGTCAGCTGGCAGAGAAGGAGAAACACTGGGCTGGGAAGCCAAAGACCCCGCTGCTTCTCCACTGTAAAGGACCCCTTTAGCTGGCATTAAAACAAGTCCAGAATTTTTATTATCTAGGAATAGACCATTTTAATTACTGAATTGAGACTATTTGCGGTTTAAAGTGACCAGAGATCTTTTTATTACCTTAAAGCCGGGAGAAAATTATGGGGCCTGCCTGACACAGACATTTCATCCTCAGGCAAGGGAAAAAATGGGCCTCACTGAATAAATTTTAAAAGAAGAATGGGAGCAAAAATAAAACTGTTCTTCGGTCGTATCTTCAGGTTGCGCTCACTCAATGAGCAGGCTCCATGTCCTTTAATGGAGCCCACGGAAGAGACTCCAGCAGGACTGTGAGCACAGATGACAGACTGGGGGGCAACCCCACTGCCTCCCACCCAGGGAGGCTGAGTCTGATTCAAGGGCTGCAGAAACTCCTGCAGTGGCAATCAGAGCAGGACTGGGGTTCAGGGAACAACCCCCAGTGCAAGGTCAGGTAAGAGCAGGGGTAGAGGCCCAGCAGGCAGCAGCGATTGCAGACAAATGTCCCCTAGCAGAGAATAGTGCCCCGGCAGAATAATTTAAAGACCACCCTGGGACATGCCTAGGGAACTCTAATTTCCCATCTCCCCACAGGGCCTCATCTAGATTACCAGGTTAACACTGTGATTGTTTACTTTCTGCCCTGATTTTCTTGGCCTCTATCCCAAAGCACTGCGATCCAGGAAGCAAAAGTTACAAAAAGTGCTGGTAGACTAGAGGTTGAAGGATCCTTGCTGAGGCCCTCATTTCCCCTTTCTCCAAACAAAATCACACGCAGGTACCTGGTTCCTCTCTCACCTCCATGAAGACCCTCAAGGGCATGGCATGCTGCTCCTAAACGCTCTCCACTGCCTTCCTGTTTATTGTTCTGCTTTGGCCATTAATGGGGCAAACAGCAAATGAAACTGTAATAATCAGTCCAGTCTTAATAAAACTAAGGCAATAAAGGGCTCACAGAGCCATCTCCCGTTCTGACAAGTGTATGCTAATTGCATTCTGTCTCCTTGCAAATTACAGCTGTTCCTCGGGTTTTTAAAAATTTGACATTTCATTTTGATTGCAGTGGCTTTATGTTTTCTCTAGCACTGGGAAAGGGGAGGGGGCTGGTAGGGCTGAGCACAGACGCTGACCTCATAAGGGGAGTGCAGATGCTGCTATAGGCTCAAGGCCTTTGGGAAGAGTTATATTTTTGAACTTACAGCAACAAGTTTGAACCTAGATGATACACAGGGCATTTCTGCTTCTGGCAGATTTAGACGAAGTGGATCCAAATCCTCAAATTTCATACCTCACGTGGATCCAGGGCCCTTTCTGTGATTTCCCCAAATTCCTGACTGTACTTCTCTCTGGAGCCCTCTAGTTTTGTGCCTCTGGCTGAGTGAATCATTCTGACTTGTTTGCACATTAACTGGTACACATAGCTCAAGAAATCCAATCGCAGTTGTGATCACATGAGGTCACCGCCTT
This sequence comes from Homo sapiens, assembly GCF_000001405.40. NCBI lineage: Eukaryota > Metazoa > Chordata > Mammalia > Primates > Hominidae > Homo > Homo sapiens. Next base: position 34,407,375 of record NC_000001.11, read on the forward strand.
GTCTGAGGTCTTGAAGAGTTACAGCAGGATTTCCATCTGGTGTAACATTCTGCCACGTCTGTAGTTCAGAGGTTCTCACAGGGTGGGCCAGGGAGTACACAGGTGTCTGAGAGATCTAAACTGTTTTCATAACCACGCCAAATGTGGTTTGCATTTTCCACTCTCATGCTCTGTCAAGTGCACAGAGAAGTTCTCCAGCATCTACCTGATGCCTGATGATGTCACTGATTGGAGGGCCAATGAAATGTGTGCTTGCGCATTCTGGTATCTTAAAATGTCCTCAGTTTGAATTACCAATATATTTTTTTAAAACCAATGGGTTTAAAAAAACATAAAAGTTTTTGGAGTCTTCCACAATTTTTTTTTTGAGACGGAGTCTTGCTCTATTGCCAGGCTGGAGTGCAGTGGTGCAATCTCGGCTCGCTGCAACCTCTGCCTCCCAGGTACAAGCAATTCTCCTGCCTCAGCCTCCCAAGTAGCTGGGACTACAGGCGCTCGCCGCCATGCCCAGCTAATTTTTGTATTTTAGTAAATACGGGGTTTCATCATGTTGGCCAGGATGATCTCGATCTCTTGACCTCGTTATCCGCCCGCCTTGGCCTCCCAAAGTGCTGGGATTAGAGGTATGAGCCACTGCACCCGGCCAGGGTCTTCCATAATTTTTAAGGGACCAAAGACTGCATACTGCTGTTCTAGTGCACTCCCTCAAGCCCTGCTTTCATTCAAACCTGCTGCTCCTGCCAAGAGACCTTGACCTAAACATGCAGCCCCACTGGGAGGGATGGTCCAGTTAGCCCTGTTCCAATTGCCTCTCGAATCAAGAGCCCTGTGAGGCTGCTCTGCCTTCCACAGCCTTCCTGGAAGTCTGGCAAATTAACTATTTCTCCATCTCAGTATTAAGCTGTCCCAAATCTTGCAAAACAACTCACCAAGACTCGTGACATTCTTGGGAAGGAATGCACCACATTCTTGAGATCATGCCTAAATCCTTCTTCATGGCAAAGTTTAGCGTGAAGGGCAAGTTTGTTACTGCCCATTTTACAGGGGCAAAATTGAGACTCTGAAGACAGATGGTAGAGATTCTTTTAGAACCCTCTAATCTGTGATTTCTTAACATCCACACCACAAAGCCTCTTGAAGTCAGTTTGAAATATTCTCTCTCCCTTCCCCCATGCTTTTGCTTTTTCCCCATCTCCTCTTCTCTCTTCTCCTTCCTTTCTTCTTGCCCCCTCGCCTTCTTCCCTTTTGTTCTCTTTCCCTCATGACCTTCCTCTAAACTGGTTAAGGTGCTACCATTTGTATCTTTGTCATGCTTTCCCTGGAAATAAGAGTGAAATTCAATAAATGCAAATGGCAGAGAAATCCGGACAATGATGCTTCGACAGAATCAGGGGGCCGGCCCTGTCAACATCATTGCATAGCTGATTCTGGGAAGAACCATAGCCCTGATATGAATTCCTCAGCTCCCTAAGTCCCCAGCTCTCAGTGGAAATGCAAACTGCCACTCTCCAATCTCCACTCAGCCAGCAGCCATGAGGTTTATCTGCCCCCCTCTAATCCCCTTAATTTTTCCCACTGGCCCTATTTCCACCTCGTGCCTGAGCAGAGGTTTCCCACTAATGTTGCAGATAACTCACCCTTTCATTGAGTCCTCTGAGTTGGGATCTGAGGAGAGAAAGGTAAGTAAGATCCAATCTTTGCCCGAAAGGAGTGAACAGGCCAGTGAAGAGACAGATGCACCATCAGATATAGATGGTGCGGTGGGATCCATGAGTGAATAGAAGCCTGGATCGATGGTCACAGGAAAGTGGACTTGGCTCTTCAGTTTTGTTTTTTTTTTTAATTCTATGTCTGCTGGAGGACTGATGGAGGGGGGTGAGAGAGTAAGACAGGCAAACAGAAGATTAGGAATTAACTGAGGAATTAACCGGGTTACTTGAGAGGACTCAGGAGCCCAAACTGCAAAGTTAAGGTTACCACAGACTCCAAACTACAGTAATATCTCAGGTGCCTGAAAGTGTTTTTTTTTTGTTTGTTTTTTTGTTTTTTTGTTTGTGTGTGTGTGTGTGTGTGTGTGTGTGTGTGTAGGAGGGGCAGGTGGCAGAGTGAAATAGAGACAGGACTATCTAGGCTGTTTTGTGGAGGCTATATGGGGTCATGGCTAAGGACATTGGCCATGGAGTTAGAAGAACCCGGATTTATAAACCAGCTCTGTCACTTACCAATCTGTATGACTTTGGACAAGTCTTTTAAGCTCAATTGTACAATGGGAACAAGGATAGTACCTACTCATAGAGTTATGATGGTTATGTAAATTAATATATATGAAGTTCTTAGGAAAGTGGCTAAAATGTAAGAGGCAGTAAATCTATAAATGTTAGCTGAAATGATTCATGTACAGCATTTAGCATAGTGCCTAAAGCATGGTGGCTCACCCATTGGAGGAAAGGAGCTTCAGCTCAATCCAGGGGCTCAGGTCCTCAGGGACAACAGACACCAGGTGTGATAGGACCAGGTTTCCAGACCCCCTTCATCCCACTCACCAAGCAGAAAGGGGCTCTAAATACACTAACAGGCAGGACTGTAGGATTTGGGGATGGCGTTTGGAGGTGCATGTTAGGTGGTGACAGCTGAGGTAGGCTGCAAGTGGCTAAGTCTGTCTCTGGACATCCGTCATCAGTGGTCACCCTGTGATGAGGCCCATAACCAGGCCTGGGCACATTAGGGCAGCCTTCACCAAGGACGCAACATTTCGGTTACATGTGAGAAGATAAGTAGGCGTTTTCCAAGATTATGTATGAAACAAGTCACATAAATGTCATTCCTACCACACTTCTTGAAATAGCTTCGCATAACTTTCTAAAATACTGATTCATGCTTTTTAAGGTTGAGCTTTATTATTACATTGTTGAAATCTAGTTTATTAACAAAGCTAAAGCTGATTGGTAATAAGTGAGGAACACTAGTCTTATAAGTGAAGACATTTAGACCTGGAGACAGATACGTATAAATTATTTTATAGTCTCGATCAGAAACTCTGATACATATGTATAGCTGCAGTTTACAAGTCATTTCTAGCTCATTTAATCCTCAAAAACACCCTCTGAAGTGGGTATCAGTACCCTCATGTTACACCTGTGGCAACAGGGAGCTCAGTTCTTTGCAGCTTCTGCCTGGGGCCATGAAATTCTTCTATGGACTTTTGGGCAAATGAGTAACAAGCCACCCATGCTCCCTCAGTTGGCTCCTTGCTACTTTAGGTAGTGACTGACAACCAGCCAGTTGGAGCTTGCTATGCTATTGTGACCAACATCAAGGCACAGCCAAAGAGCCCCTCTAATAAGTCTTGTTCTAAATTATTAGGGTCTCTGTTATACGGAGAATGGACAAAGCGCTTTGGAGTGGTCATTTTATGTGTCAACTTGGCTAGGCTGCAGTCCCCAGTAACTCCATCAAGCACAAATCTAGGTGGATATTTTGTAGATGTGTAGTCCATAATCAGTGGACTCAAAGTAAGGTAAATCACCCTAGATATTGGTGTAGGCCTGATTTGATCAGTTGAAAGGCCTTGAGAACAGAGCTGAGGCTTCCCTGAGGAAGACAAATGTCTATCTGTGGGCAGCAGCTCCACCCCACACCTAGGAGTTCCAGCCTGTCCTTTCCAGTGGTCTGCCCTGCAGGTTTTGGGCTTACCTAGCCAGCCCCCAACAGTCATGTCGGCCAATTCTTTGCAATAAATCTCTTACATACATCTTCTACCAGTTCTGTTTTTCTCTTCAAGCCCTGACCGATGCACACCTTTTCCCAAGCATCATCTCTGACTTGGATTTTGCGTAGTCTTCTAACTGGGCCCTTTGCTTTCAACCCTGCTCCTCCAAACCATCCTTCAACCCTGCTCCCCCAAATCATCCTGAGTAGGTACTACCCTTGTTCCCATTGTACAACTGAGCTTAAAGGACTTGTCTAAAGTCATACAGATTGGTAAGTGACAGAGCTGGTTTATAAATCCAGGTTCATCTATTTGGGTTCATTCTATTTGGGTTTTTTGTTTGTTTGTTGTTTATTTGTTTTGTTTTAATGTTTTTGCTTTTTTGACGGGGACAGGGTCTCATTCTATTGCCCAGGATGGAGTGCAGTGGTATGATCTCAGCTTGTTGTAGCCTTGATCTCCTGGGCTCAAGGGATCCTCCCACCTCAGCCTCCCAAGTAGGTGGGACCACAGGCATACATCATTACACCCAGCTAATTTTTGTAGTTTTTGTAGAGATGGAGTCTTGCCATGTTGTCCAGGCTGGTCTCAAACTCTTGGGCTCTAGTGATCTGCCCATCTTGGCCTTATAAAGTGCTGAATTACAGGCCACCACATCCAGCCAAGAGGGTTCATTCCAAAACACAAATCTGATGTTTTCTGTTTCCTGTCCTGGGAGTGTCTTAACTCTTACCCTAATCATGGTCAGAGATTACAAGGCCAGTACAGGGAAGACAGAAACCCTATGGCTTGCAGGCCTTGAGAACTTGTTAATGCTGCATGCTGGTACTTAAAAGTGCTGATTACTAACCCTTCCTCTTTCTGAAAAGGGACACAAATTGCCAAATGGGGAGCCAATTATTGGCTTCATTGTGGGCTCTCTAGTAGTAGCTACATTGAAGAAGATGGCTTGGACCTAAGGCCAAAATGAAATGTCTTACTCCCTATCCTGTGAATTGAAGATAGCCAGGTTCACATCACAGGACCAGCTCCAGAAGGGAAGACGGCATTCTTTGAGGTCAAGATCTGCCCTGGTGAGCTAACAGCATGGAGGAAGAAGAGAGGGGGCCTGGCTCTTCTCATCTCTCTTTGAGATAGGCTGTGTCTGTGTGAGAGATCGCGGCATGAAAGAGAGACCAGCACTGCCGTGTGATCCTGCTCCCTAGAACCCTGGCCAACAGTGTCAAGCTCACCAACAGAAAGAATACAGGTACCAGAGGAAGTGAGCACAGTGATGTAGGCAAGAGGGAGGTTATCAGTGTTTTCTCCAACATGTGTCCCTCTTGGGAACCAGAACTGAAGTCTTCTTTCATCTGTACAAGCAGGAGAGAGAGTGCTAAGGGTTCTCCCCAGTGGGGGCACCGTCTGTGAAAACTCCTCTGTAGCAGTGCAATGTTTCAAACATGGTTCCAAGGACTCAACTTTGACAAAGGTATTTTAGACTAAGCCCTTCCCACATTGCAACTCCTTCCACAGCTCCCTCCCTGCCCAGCCTCCTCTCTTTATGTTGACGAGGGAATTATCTAGAGAGATGGGAGATGGGAACTTGAAAACGCAGCTGTACACCCTCTTCAGAGACATTTGTCCTCAGAAGTCTCATCACAAAATCATATTGCCCTCCTTCGGTCTTGTGGCAACTTGTGATGTACAGCCTTAATGAGGGCTCTAAGAACGACCTCTGATACATCCGGGAGCTGCCAAGCTCTCAGCGCCAATGATATCATTTATATATGTTGTCTCCACAGTCCAACAAAAAGCATGATTTCATTCACCCAAACTGCCCCAGTCACAACAGCAGGTTTTTAAAATCTTTAAAATAAGAGCAAGTACTGGATATTGCAGAGTTATAAAAAGCATTATCCAGGGAAACAAAGACAATGAAGGCTGAGGCCAGCTGACTGCAGGCCTCTGCTTGGGAAGCTGAGTGCCCGATATAGCTCTCCCCAAATCCTCCCGGGCATTTCCTTTTAAGCAACCCCAGCACTGTGCTGCTCAGAGACGTCTGCTGCCTGCACATTGCTGGAGGATAAACTCCAAATCGCCAAGTAAGGCTCACAAGAAGCTTTACACTGAGGCCACCCCTCGCCTGTCTCCCTCCACCACCCACCGCCCTTAGGCTTCCTGGAACACACCTTACATGTTTTATGTCTCCATGGAGCCTTTGACCCTGGAAGGTCCTTCCCTTCTCTGCCTCATTGCCTACTTCTTCATTAAACCCCATCCCAAAATTCTTCTCCTCTGGGAAGAATCTCCAAAGTTCTGTGGCATCCCTGAGTGCTGCTCACCAGATTTTTCATTTTCCCCATGTGCTGGGCACACTATAGGATTGCATGTTCAAGCCCTGATGTAAGTCATAGGTGAGAGTGACAGTTGTCAGTTCTGGGCCTGAGCATTTGCTCGCCCATATGAGGCTCTCTAGAATTCTCTTTCCCCCTGGCATGGTGACTAGCAACAGCCAAATGCCAGCTGCTCTTTTAACCTGGGTCCCAGAGTAAGACAGAGTCCCTGCTAACCCACAATGGAGAAGGAAACCTTGGTTTTCTTTTCTTTTCTTTTTTTTTTTTTTTTGAGATGGAGTCTCGCTCTGTCACCCAGGCTGGAGTGCAGTGGCACAATCTCGACTCCCTGCAAGCTCCGCCTCCCATGTTCACGCCATTCTCCTACCTCAGCCTCCCGAGTAGCTGGGACTACAGGCGCCCGCCACCACGCCCGGCTAATTTTTTGTATTTTTACTAGAGGTGGGGTTTCACTGTGTTAGCCAGGATGGTCTCGATCTCCTGACCTCATGATCCGCCCACCTCTGCCTCCCAAAGTGCTGGGATTACAGGCATGAGCCACCGTGCCCAGACAAAACCTTGGTTTTAAACCTTAAAAGTTGAGGTGGTTTGTTGCTGCAGCAGAACCTAGCCCATGCTAGGACTCCCTGTGTGGACTTCCTGCCCAAGCTGCCTGGTCTTGCTTTCTCTAGGTTCAAACAGCACTCTGTCTTTCATCCCATCTCAGCGTGCTGTGTTTAGGTATCTATATGTGTGGACCCTGTCCTCAACCAGACTAGCACCAGTTCCAGGACATGCATTTGTGCATCCCATTGTTCAGCCCAGGGTCTGCTACATAGCAGGCATCGATACACAATCGTTGTGTTGTTATTGGCTTGGTTTTTTCTCCTCTTCCCTGTTGTGCAGGTGAGAAATGGCCTTGATGGTTTCCCATTACTCTTGCCTGCTTTCTCCTGCTGCTCAGGTTACCAGAATTGATTTCACTTTTCCTGTTGCTAGTTCAATGGGGGGTCAAGGAGTCAAACTTGTTCTGGTTCATACATTCTCATCACCCATAAAACTCCCAAAGATCTGGCTCCTGAACAGTTGTTGTAAGTGAGGGATAGGGCCACTGGGACTACCCATAACTCTGCAGTGGCATTGGCAGGCAGCAGGGGTAGCCCAGATGGTTCCCACTCTCCAAGAAGGAGGGAGGAAGGGAAAGAAGTAGAGGAAGCTCTCGCCTGGATGTCCAGCCTTCTATAGTACCTACCTGCCTCAGCCTCATTGAAGTACAATGATAAAATACACACACACACACACACACACACACACACACACACACATATACACACACATGCATGAAGGCTCCATCCCATGGCCCTGGGCCAATTGAACTTGGACTTGAAGCTGACTCCTCCCAGCTTCATCAGCTGGATTCTAACCCCTGGCTCCACTTCATGCCAGTCCTTTCTTCCTCCTAGAGGGTGGTGCGGTGTTGGCAGGCAAGGCTAATAAGGTGTGGCCCTGTCACACACAGCCTGAGCTGTGGGTCTTGGAGAAGAGGCTGACAGAGTGCAGCCTTGTACACTGTAGACTCTGTCTTTAGAAAAGCAGCCAACAGTGTAACCTACTGCAGCCTAAGCTCTCAAAAGGTCTGTCAAACTCTTAGGTTTCCATGTATTTTGAAGTCCACTGGTTCAGGTCAGTAACTCATATATGGGGTCTGATAAGATGTGATGTAATAATCCCAAAGGCAGAGGGAGTTCACTCTGAGCTCTTATCACAGCAGCACATATATCATTCATGTAGCAAACCATATAAGTGTTTGGAATCGTTTTGAAGCTACACAACACCACAGCTTTGGAAAGCGTGTGCACGATTAGGCTTGTCGTCTTGCACTTTGCCACTCCCATGAGAATAGCAGGCCTCGGCTGGCCCATTAGTCCCAAGAGGAAAACGAGAGAAGTGTGAAGCTGAGTTGCCACCAACAGAGTCCAACCTAGATCAGACAGTCCCCAGCCAGCCAGATGCAAGAGTGAGCCTTGATGAAACCAACAGAACCAACTGGCTAAGCCCATCCATATCAGCCAATTCCAGTTAGCCAATAGGTGCACAGGCTACATAAATACTTGTCATATGACACTGAGATTGTCTGGGTGTTTGTTATGCAGTATTTTTGTAACATTGGTAAGCTGATACTATTGTCAAGCAGTGATTCTCCCCATTTCTGTTTGTTTTCAAGTTCCTCGTGACCTTTCCATTTCTACTTTGCTCTGCTCTTCCGCCTCATCCTTGTCTCTAAACATCAGCTTCTTTGCTTTCTCTTCCATTTACACATTGCCTCATGGATGCTATACGTAAATTGATTCTTAGGACTCCACTGTTAGCCCAAGAGTGTCTCCCAGCATCAGACCAGTTTATTTGTCAAATTCCAGAACACAGAGGACTTCTTCTGCCTCTCTCTTCCACAGTGGAGTAGCCAGTCATAAAGAAACCAAATCTTAGACACACAAAGGAGAATTTTCCCCTTCCCAACATAGGGTGGAAGGTGAGGGAGCACCATTTCTTTCTGATTAATCCCCCCAAGGAAATTTAGGGAAATGTCTTTCTACAATAGTGAAAAGCCAAAAATAAGTTCTCTGCAGTTTACTCTGCTAGTTATGCAAATGGTCATCCATCCTAGGGAGGAGAGCATTCTGAGATTCCCACCTAGGTCGGATGGCGTGTATGAGGCAGGGAGGAGGAATAAGTAGCTGAGATTGAGAGGACTGGGAAAACTGAGGCCCTGAAGGGCTGGCACTGGAGATGAGAAAGAAGCACAGCTATCTTTGGAGTCAATTAAGCAAGGTCTGGGAGGAATATTGATACAGTGGGCACATCCTCAGACACAAGAACACCAAATCACACAACTAATTCTGAGTTCTACCTGATGCTGACAGTGGCTCTGATTAAACAGGGCAAGACAAGTCAAGACAGACAGAGAAAGAGGGAGATTCACACATGCCACAGGGCAGGGCACGGAAGGTGTGTGAATAGTTCTCAATGCCAGCAGCTAAGGAGGAGCTGTTACCCTGGGGTAGGTGATGGGCTTGGCCCTGTGGTCTTGTAGCTCCCCTCCTTTGAGTACCAATCAATCTCACAATTAGAGAAGTAGCTGAAACTACTTCACAGGTGTTGTGAGCTCAACCTGTTGTGAGCTCAACATGTGAGCTCTACGTGTTGGAAGAAAAATGGAGAGATGGGAAACTTTGCTACTAACAAAATAAGTGTCCAGAGCCATTCTGAAAATGTTGTGGAAATATTTAGTGAAACTAAGTTTGTCTAAAGTCTATGACCCAAAAATATTCTCCTGGGAAAAGAGTCCAGAGCCATTTCGGGAACAGATTCATAAGGGACATGTTTCAGAATGATCACCCAAGCACTGTTCCTGTTTGGCTGAAGCCTGGGAGAATGGAAAGGAAAGAGATGGGGGAAGTGGTTGAAGCTATGGACTAGCAGTGTAAAGAGCAACAGGGATAAATCTTAAAAACCTAGTGCAGAGTAGGAAAAAAAAAGTAAGAACAGAACAAGATTTATAGCACAGCACCATCAGTGTAAATTAAAAACACATACACACCACAAAACAACATTAGATTTTAACAAGGATCCATGAGTATGTAGGACCATATATCAAATACCCTATGGTGAGTACCTAGGGGAGGAAAGGGAATTGGAGTGAGGACTGTGGATAAAGTGGGAAAGGAACCCATAAAACAATGGAAGGCTTTGCACAGACTTTTTATGATAATGAGCTACGAGACAAGGAGTATGGTTAACATAATTTCTGTATCAGAGATTTTTTTCTAAATCTCATTGAGCCTAGCTCTGGGGTTGATTTGGGGATGGGAGCATCCCACTCTGACTGATGAGGTCACGAGGGGACATAGTGCAACAAAGATCCCTGATGGAGCAGTCCACGTGCAGTCAGGTGCTGGGAGACAGGAAGTGGAGGGATCCTCAGCACAGGCTTTAAAATCACACAGACCTGGCTTTGCATCTTGACTTTGCCACATACTAGTCATATAACCTTGGGCAAGTTGTGTGACTGTGGACATGTCACTTAACTCTCTGTGCTTCCATCACCTCATCTGTAAAACAGAGAGAGTAATACTCAGGGGATTGTGGAGATCAAATGAGATGATGCATGCAATTCTCTTTGCACAGTGCCTGGCTTCATAAATAACAACTCCAATTATCCTGGGTTTTTTTTCTCCCAGGATTCCAAAACCTCTCTAATTCTCAGAGTCTAAAATGTAACTTCATTTCCATGTTTCTTGGTCAGCTGCTTTCTGCTGGGAGAGGTGCTGGATCAGCAGCTGGGGTTGGGAGAGAGGGTTCGTGGGACAGGAAGGGAGTGCCTGTGACCAGGTTGGGAGGCCTGTAAGAGCACCTCAGGAGCTAGGCAGACCTGGCGGCTGCAGTCCAGGGACAGGCAAGTCAGGCCAGCCTCGGGTGGGACATGGGGAAAGGGACAGAACAACCATCAATCCAGAGCATTAGGTGAGGGAGGTGGAGGAGAAGGGAGATGGGCAGGTGTTGTGAGCTCAAAAGACCAGAAGCAAATCATGTGGGATGGAGACCCAGAGCTCCTTTTACCTAACGCATGCCACGGTCCCCTCCAATCCCTACCCACCCATGCAGCATTCCCTCGTTTCACCCCAGTCTTAAAGGTAGGTCCTGGATTGGGATTTTTGTCTTTTAATCTTGCTTCCTCCAAGTAATGTCATAATTTGTGGCTGCTCCATGTTGGTGGAAACCTGACTACAGCTTTCTTTGAAGAACAACAGGCCCCTCGCCTTCTGGGCGTTTGGCTCCACACTGTGTAAATGCCATGAGCATTTTACATCAAAGCCCAAAACATGTCTGTACATGCTTTATGTAGGGGGCCCCCTCCTTGGCATAAGCTCCCCTGGGAGGTGTGATCTGTCCCCTCTGGGAACCCCCTGGGCCAGAGGCCTGCCTGAAACCCCCGAAGCTATGGACTAGCAGTGTCTCCCCACACCCCTTCAATCATATGGTCTTGTTGATTCCACTACATAAGTATCTCCCCAGCCCATTCTCTTCTCTCCACTTCCTATGCCCTGACCATAATCTAAAATATCTTCTTTAGCTTGGACCATAATACAGGCCTCCTCACCTGTCTCCCTGTCCCCAGGTGCCCTCTCCCATCAATTCTACTTATAGCCACAAGAGTGATGTTTCTATAATACAAATATGACCATGTCAGTCTCTTCCATAAAGGTTTTCAGTGGCTTCCCATTCCCCTGAGGATAGAATCCAAGTCCCTTAACATGCAGCATGGGGTACCATTAAGCCCTATTTCCACCCTGTATCACTCCTACTGCCAATCAATGCCAGATTGCAGGTTACCTTTATCATCTGAAATGCTCCAAGCCCTCTCTTGCGCCTGGACTTATCACATTTTTCCCTCTTCATTCTTTACCTGGCTAACTCCTATTCCCTCTCAAAGGTTCATTTTACTTCCTCCAGGTAGCCTGCCCTGATGATCCAAGTCCAGGTTAAGGACCCTATTGTAGGTTGAATTGTAAACCCCCAAAAGATATGTTCAAGTCCCCAAATCCCAACTACCTGTGAATGTGACCTCATCTGGAAATTGGGTCTTTGCAAATGTAATCAGGTTAAAACGAAGTCATCCTGGATTGGTGTGGGCCCTAATCTCATGACTGGTGTCCTTATAAGAAGAGGGAAATTTGGACACAGACACACAGGGAGAATGCCATGTGCCTCTGAAGACAGAGATGCAGCTGCCAGCCAAGGAATGCCAAGGGTCATCAGCACCCACCAGAAGCGAGGAAGACACAAGAAGTGCCCTCCCCTGGAGCCTCTCCAGGGAGCAGGGCCCGACCAACACCTTGATTTTGGATTTCCTGTCTGCAGGACTATGAGACAATACACTTCTGTTGTTTTAAACCAAAATTGTGTTAATTTGCTACAGCAGCCTTAGGAAACGAATGCAGGCCCCAACTCGGTGTTCCCATAGCACCCCTTGCTTCCATATATGAGTTAGAGTATAGAATATATGCCCTTTATGTTTTTATTGTTGCTTTACTCATCATTGACTGTTTCAGTTAGTCAATGGGCTATGCAAGGGCGGGGGTCTTATTTGTTCCTTCTTGCAGCTCCAGCACATTGTTAGAATCTGTGTGCTGTATTTGTTGAGTGAATGAATAATGAATGAACTGGCGGGAGTGAGCTAAGGCTCGAGCAACATACATAGGAATATGGTGGGAAACACAGAGTGGGAGACAAATCAGGAAGTCCTCATAGATCCCCAGGGAATTCTGGACCCATCTGGGACCTGCAGGAGGCCAGCGAGGTCTTTATGCTTCCTGCAGACAAGAGGGCAGGGCCAGATGCTATGGCATCTCTGGCTGCTACACTCTAGGCCTATCACGTGGTCCCTGATGCAGGAGAAAAAGCTTCTCCCACAGGACCTGCAGGGATGTCTCCCTCTGGTGCCCTTCGGAGGCAAAAGCTTAAGCCAAGGGAGGATGAGACAGGGCCACATTTCAGCCTTTAACAGGGGTTTGCAAGAGAAAAGGATATGAGGCCCTCTTGGAGTGAAGGAGCTCAGCCGTTGCACTGGGGACTCTGTGCCCTAGCACAGCTGCTGGCTTGAGAAAGCTCTTAGCAGCCAGACCACAGCAAGCCCTGCTCCAGGGGAGGCAAAGAAAGGCGGCCTTGCTTGAGATGAGGCAGCTGCTCTCAACCTCTGCCTGATCTGGTTTCCTCCCTGCTGCATCTACCCACAGGGCTGCTGAGAGTTCATTTAGTGTCTTCCCTTCCCCAGCCCCAAGTCCTTCCACCCTTATCTGTATGACTCCTGCAGGGGCCAAGGGAAAACTTCCCTTTCACCCTCTGAAGTTTCATTGAAAAATCAGCTCACAAAAGGCAGATTAATTGGAGAAAAGGCACATAAATTTTTTAACACGTGCATCTCCAATGGTGTGCAGAACCTTATATACCATTTTGAGATTACAGAAAGAACAGGGGTCAGAGCCTGACCCAAACCAGGTTATGGTGGTGATCAGGTTATTGGAGGGAAGAGAAGAGGAGGCCTGGCTAGCAAAGGTGGTCTTGCTCTGTAGATGGAACCTCAAAGGTAGCAACCCTCAGAGAGAATAGACGGTAAATGTTTCTTTCAGACCTTTAAAGATGTCAGATTCTCAGTTAATCTTTCCTAGATCCGGACAAGGGAAGACCTGGCTGCATCAATGCACATTCTGTACAGATGCAAATCCCCCCGACAACAGACAGCTTTGCAGGGCTACTTCTGCTGGCTGGCTCTTTGAGCAGCCACTTCAAAATATATCAAATAAATACATTTTAGGATAAAATATGTTGATGTTTTCACCTCATTTCCTGGCTTGTTCCCTCCCCAGCATTATAAAGTGAAAGTTTTCAAAGGGAATGCAGGGGACCTTGAGGCAAATGGAAAAGGAGACTTACGAGGTTTGCCGCACCTTCCTAACAGGCACCCAGGACCCAACCCTGGATCCAAGCAGGTGGGAATTGGTGGAGGGTCATGGGATTGGACTGAGGAGCTAAATGGGGTCCCACGACAGCTGCTCAGGGCTCAGGGAAACCTTTCGAGTCAGGACTGGGTGTTCTAGAGTGGTAGAAATGTCTGTGATTTTTCTAATCAAGTTTTCAGGGACATGAAGCAAGCCCAAATTCAGCTTCGATTTTTAAGGATTTTGGTCGAAAGGGGATGGGATGAGGAGGAGTGAGTGGCGGCTCCCCAGAGTTTCAAGCAGTGTTTGGGATCATCCTAGCATAGGAGATTATTAGAGCCTGAATTGTGTCTCCCCAAAATTCCTATGTTGAAGCCCCAACCCCAATATGACTGTATTTGGAGCTAGGGCCTTTATGGGGGTAATTAAGGTTACATATGGTCATGAAGGTGGGGCCTTCTAATAGGACCCCCAGTCCAATAGGACTTCCATCCAATAAGACCCCCATCTGATAAGACAGAGGTCCTTATTAGAAGTAGAAAAGACACCAGAGCATGCTCTCTCTCTCTCCCCACATGCACTCACAGAGAAAAGGCCACATAAGGTCACAGATAGAAGGTCTGCAAGTTAGAAAGAGAGACTTCACCAGTAACCAATCCTGCCCGCGATCTCAGACTTCTGGCCTCCAGAACAGTGAGGACATACATTTCTATTGTTTAAGCCACCCAGTCTATGGCATTTTGTTACAACAGCCTGATCAGACCATTCTAGAGACTAACTTCACTCTACTAAGTGTGTCCTGGTGGGTAAAGGAAGGGCCCTAAAACAGAGTCCGGCTCCAGCAAAGGGGGCCACTAGGATCTGGAGCAAGACCAGCATCCCAGTCTTCTTTGGGTAAGGGATGGCAGAAGGGAGGTGCAGAGACCCATTCTTTTGGGGAGGGGGGTTCATCAGAAGGGCTGACAGGCAGATGGGCCAGTGGTTTATCAGCTGATGGGTTCATTCACAGGTACTTGGGTGCTCCAAAGCCTGCTTCCTAGAGGGGAGGAAGCTTCAAATATTTCCTCAGGTGGGCTGGACAGGGCTGTCTGGTTATGGCAAGCAGCAGGGGCTGTGCAGCAAATGTAGACATCTATAGCCACCCAGACTTGGGGGCAGCATCAGTCCAAACCCTCCTTTCCCCAATTGCCAGCCTAAGGTTGCTGCTCCTACCTGGCCTGCCTCAATCTCCCACTGTCACCCCCCATGGGAAGAGGAAGCTTGGTCAGTTACTGCTGATGTGAGCTAGATTTAACATCTCAGCAAGTAAAAGCTGTTCCAGGTTCCAGTGGAAGGAGCCCTGGAGGTTATTCTGAAAGGCACTGAGAGAATCTTGAGTTTGAGAGATGATTTCCAAACTCAGGTCTTAAAATGGGAGCATGGGGAAGGGGGACAGTTATGGCAAAAGCAATCATTTCCAGTGCCAGGGTGGAGGAACCTCCCCTAGTAAGAAGTTTTGGGGAATCCATCACATCTTCAGTATCTAGGGATGGGCGTGTGTCATTTAAGAGCTGCCTCAGTCTGTGCAGCCCAAGCCCAGCCCCAGGCAGAGCCAGGAGAAACAGAAAAAGGTGCATTGGATGCACCCGGTGTGTGTTTATTTATCCCACTAGAGCCTCAAGTCCATTGTCATCAGGAAGCTAACTGAATTCTGCATAATTCTTGCCTAGGGCCAGAGAACAGACAGCGTAGGGATGAGATTTTGGTTAAGTTCCTGACACAGGAAGCAGCATCAAAGGTTTACTGTTGGTCAATTCTGGTACATCATAGGTGCTCAGTAAATATTAGTGAAATGTGCTGCTCTCTTTCTGAAGACATTTACCAGCTCTGACATCTTGGCCTTGAATAGACTCATATGGGTAATGGGTATTGAAATAAATGTTTGGAAAGGGGTAGAGTTATTTTTACATTTAGCAAACTGTCCAATCCCAAGACTGCCCTAATCTGCTCTGCTATGCTTATCCCCTTGTTAGACGTCCATGTGGTTGATAATTGTCAGTGACTTGCAAATAACAGATAGGAAGCAGCTCTCACAAGACAGCTGAGAACACAGAGCAGGGGAGCTGGGAGCTGGGACAGAAACCTGTGAGTTTCCTCCAGAGCTGGGGCAGGAGGACCTGCACTCTCTATTAATTCCTTCTTCTCTTCCTCAAAATTGGAGTATGTTAAAACTAGAAGCTTAATTTAAAACACAAAGAAACACTCTTTTCCCAAATTTTTAGAACTACCTATGACCTGATTCTGCTTAATTTTGACCATGAGTTTGTGATTCTAGGAAGATGCCCCCAAAGAAGGAGAATTTAGAGGAGATATGGGATTTCCTTTCCTTTTTTCTCCCAATGGCCTTGTATTGTTGGCACACTTGTCCCAGAAAGTCACCCCAAGCCTCACTCTAACCATGCCTTCCCTGCCTGACCTACATACCCTCCCTGGGGCAGTGCAGAGCAGTGGATGGCTCCTGGGTTTGGTTGTTCAAAAGAGTTGGAAGCAGGGCTACACCATTTCCTGGTTGTGTTCAATGTGAGTAGGGCCTGAATCCTGGGGGAGCACAGTGAGATCCCAGCTAAGTCTACATCTGAGTCTCTGAGCTTCAGTTTCCTTATCTGTCAAGTGGGCACAATAATACTGACCCTTCAGGATTCCTGTGAGCAATAAATGAAGAAAAAGCAAAGTATATGGTGGAGCACAGTGGCTCATGCCTGTAATCCCAGCTACTCAGAAGGCTGAGGCACAGGAATTGTTTGAACCCGGGAGGCAAAGATTGCAGTGAGCCAGGATCTCGCCACTGCACTTTATCCAGCCTGGGCAACAGAGTGAGACTTTGTCTAAAAAAAAAAGAAAAGAAAAGTATATAATGCACCTGGCACAGTACCTGGCCTATAATAGGTCCTACTATCATCACTTTCTTCTAGATGGGAAGCCAAACTTTAACGAATGACTTCCTCCTATCCCAGAACCTTTGCAATCACTGGTGACAAGAACTAATTAAAACTAGCTTTAGCAAAATAGATAATCTGTTGGCTGTAACTGGAATTCTGCGGACTCCAGGCCTCAACCAATGACATCGTCATCATCATTGTTGCTGTCTTCCTCATCATACCATTCTCTCAACCTCTCTCCCTCCCTTCCTGTCTCCCCACTCTTTTCTGAACATTTGCAGGACTGTTTCATAAAGCAGATGAGCTTTTGTGATAGGTGGCTTAGAGGAGCTCTCTGGCTATAGACATCTTCAGGCTCATGTCATCCCAGCCACCTAGCCCCCAAATAAAGAGGGAAGCATGTCTCTCCTTTTGCCCATATATTAGATCTCAAGGAGGGAGTCTTGATGACTCAACTTTGGTCATGGTGCCTATCCGTAGGCCAACTGCCAAGATGGGGCTTTTAGGGGAGAGAGTCATGACAGGGAACTTTGATTGTCTAGGTGTGGACCAATTGCCCATCTCTGTGAACAGGGGTCTAGCGCTCTGACTGGCAGTTTTCCAAAGTTTGTTATGGTAGACTAAAAAGCCTAAACTTTTTTGGCATCCTTGCATAGAGAGGTGGAATATGTTCCTCCCCCTCTTGATTCTGGGCTAGTTTGTGACTTGTTTTGGCTGGTAGAATGTAGTAGATGTGGTGCTATTTTATCACCAAAGCTGGACTTAAGAAATCTGCAACTTGCTTTCACTCACTTGGAATGCTCCCTCCTCCAACCCAACCACCACGCTGTGAGAAGCCTAAGCCACATAGAGTGGCCATATGGAAAGGAACTGAGGTGCTCAGGTCAGTAGCCACAGCTGACTTCCAACTGACAGCCAGTCCCAGCTACTATCATATGAGGAACCACCTTGGACATTCAGCCTAGTCAAACCACAGATAACTGCAGCCCAGCTGATACCAGGAGGAGTAGAAGAACCACCAAGCTTAGCCCAGTAAATCCACAGAATCATAAAGGATAAAATGGTGTTTCAAGCCACTAAATTTATTTCATTTATGTGTTCATCATCGAAACAGAAGATGTGGCTGTACAAGAAGGGAAAAGGAAAGTTGAATAGACAAAAACAAGAGATGTTTGTTACATACGGTAAAGAAAGCTGAGGATCTACCCTTCCTAGCCCCATGACTCACCAGAATTAATAGTAAAACTGTTGGTCATCTGTTTAGGCACAAAATTTCTCGGTACCCACAGCACACAGGATACTGTGGCAGGTACTCAAGGCAATAAAGTGGTGTAGCCAGGCTTTAAAGTCAGATTTATTAAACTCCTGAGCTGGAGCTCTCTCTGCCTCTATAGCAGCCCAGAAAAGCCATATGCGGAGATAACTATGAGGTTCACTGGCAGCTCTGTTTTGGGAAGCGTCCAAGCAGCTCTTATCTCGCAGTGAACGCAAGAAAATGATGGAGTTTCTTCCCTGATATTCCATAGAACATCAAAACCAAAAGAATGTACAATGAGAACAAAGAAAAGCTGAATTCTGAAACACAGAGAGAGATGGGAGGAGCCACCAAACTGCAGGGCCCAGAGCAGGTATGAGTGCAGGGGGCAGGAGACCAGAATCTGTGATGGAGAGGATGAAAGCCCAGGGGAAGGGGTTCAGGCGGCCCAATGTCCAGTGGCTCTCCGACATCTCTAGCATGTGGACAGCATCTTCTCATCACTGTGCTGACACAGCATCCTCCCTATGTTTGTATCTTCTTCTGGACACACCAGTGGGAAGGTCACGCAGGAGTTACATGCATGCATACAAGCGGAGCATTCAACCCAGAAGACACAGCTTGCTTTCAAATCAACTGCTTATGAGACCTCATGAGTTATAAACATGCAGCCCTTGCATCAAGCTAGTGATTGTCATATTGAGTTAAATTTGATCACATAGTAAGAGGATTTGTATTTTCGTACTAGAAAATGGACACCTCCAGAATTAGGAAACAAAAGGATGATTGGAGAAAAATTCAACTAACACAGTCTGTTCTAAGCAGGAAGAAGTCTGGGATGACTCCTCCATGCCTTGAGGATATGACATGAGGTAAGTGTTGGCAGACACTGAGATGGGAGGAGTTGCTGACCCTGGCTGAAGTCCTGATTGTGATCCCCAGGGTCACGCTTGTATGATCAGTAGGCAGAGTGTGCTATCTGTCCCCTCCCCTGCCTGCCACCTTCATGGTTATCTTTAGATTCAGATGACTACCTGTCTGGAGATCCTACCCACATAGACTCTGAGCTCATCCTGCCCTATCCCAGCCTGGGTGAGAACCCTACAAGCAGACATATCCAGGCCTAGCCATGCTGCCAGCAGTCCAGGATCCTGTACGCTTAGGGTGGATTTCGAAGCCCAGAGCCCCTGCTTCCTGGTTGGAATGTGATGATCAACCCTATGTTCGGGCTTGACATGGGTGAAGAAGAGTCACCTGATAATGCATCTCCCTTCATCACCTCCCACCAAAAAAACTACTTGTGCTGGGCACCATTCTATAAACACATTGGGCCATGCAAACAATACTACCAAGACTCAAGGCAGAGGCCAGTTGTGTAAGCTGGGCACACAGGAGGAGGGTCAGGGGAGGGTGCAGTTCCATGGGCACATGAGCACATGCTACATTCCAGAACCAGGAAGACATAGTCCAGGTCCAAGCCCTGTGGCTGGTGGAACTCACACAGGACCTAGATGGGCCAGCTTGGACTCAGTCTATTGGGGAAAGGTCAACAGAATTTGCCAATGGTCAGAAAAGGGAGGGGCAGGGACTGACAAGAAGTTCTGGTCCTGGTTGGATGACTCACTGGTTCCCAGAGGAGACTTCAGTAGTTTCAGCAACTCCTCTCTTCCAGGTGTTTGCTGACACCCTGTGCTGTGTCATAGCCAAGACTCCTTTCCTTCTGATTGGATTGATTAGGTTTTTTTATCCAGTAATCCTCTCATGTGTTCTTTCCAATATTGTTTATTGTGTAGCACAAAGATGGAAATCTATTTACTAATCTGTTCAATTTTAACTCAATGCTGCAATCATCCCAGGAGGATCTGGGAAGGCTGGGGCCGATGTGAATCCTGGGGGAGCACAATGGGTTCCCAGCTGAGTCTACATCTAAAGACACTTCAACACAATAGGTTTTGGTTGTTGTTGTTGTTGTTTTAAAGCAACTGAAGTAGAGAATGTAGGATTTTAAAAGAAGGTGCCACTTGCATCTTCCCTATCTCAATGGCCACTTTGTGGGGACTTTTGCCTGAATAATCTGGGTAATTGCTTCAGTCCTCTGCTTTGCTCAGGCTAAGTAAGGAGGGGGCCTCCTGCTGAGTCCCTAGGGGACCAAAGGAGAACATTCTTAACTTGTCAGGACTCCAATCAGTAGACAAATGATAAGTCTCCCAACAGCTACTCACTTACAAGTCCCTTGCAGTAGACCTTCCCGAGCCCGTCAGCTATGTGGGTGTCTGTAGGAACATACTGCCTGGCCCCAGCCAGCAAGAGACATCAGGTCATCTGCGTTGCCGCCTTGGCAGCCTGTGACTAGAAGGTGAGAGATCTCAGGAGGTGGACCCCCCACCCCAGGAGCTGGAGCATGCTGAGTGCTTCCCAGGCCCAGAGAGGACCCCTGAGCTTCCTGAGGTCACCCAGGTCTTCACCAGGGCCCTCAGTCTATCATGGGCATGGTGACCTGCCTTTGCCCCCCTGCTGCCACCTCAGCCAGAGCCACCTGAGTAGCCTCACCTCCAGGATGAATCCTGATTACCATCAGAAGGCCCAGGAGTTCAGGGGTCTCCACCTCCAGCCTGCGTGGCCAACATGGCCACTCTGACCCATGTCCAGGCTAGTGGCTGGACATTTGCTCTTCTTACTGTCCAGGGCAGGCAGGAGCTAGGACTGAGCAGAGCCCCTGGTACCTTGCCTGTTCTTCCTTATTTCAGCTTCTTACCTCTGCTCCTGACACCACCTCCAGCTTGCTTGCTTGATGGCTCTTTTTGGACACTTGTTGCTAGCTTTGGCTCCTCCTCCTGGCAACATGATTCTGGCGCCTGCTCCCAGGTGCTGCAGGTGTGCATGAGAAACACTCCTCCTTCCAGTCCGCTTGAAGGACTGCATGGCTGCACCTCTTTTCTCTCTCCTTCCCCATTGGAAAGAGGGAACTACCTTCTTTCCAAATAAATGGCCCCTCAGCCCCTCCTGGTTGACCAGCAGCAGCACCACAGTTTCTTGCATCAAGACAATAAAGTCCACTGCCTTGACTGGGAGTTCCACTGATGCCATCACCATCATTCTCATGGACACCCGAAAAAATTAGCAAGACAGTGTCCTAACCACCCTACTCCTTGCTCTTTGAAGGTACTGAGTTTCCCACTCACTGAGAAGATAAGGCTGTCATCCTAAGTGTGGCAGAGGCAGCAGAGATGAGGAGGTGCCTGACTCCTCTAGCTTTCTGAAACAACTTCTGTGTTTCCCCAAGCCTCCTGCTGGCCTTAGAGGAGAGGCACGAGGGGCCTGCTTGATACTGGAAGTGCAATGTGGTTGGCACTGAGATATACACAATCCACAGGTGTGTGTGTGCTGGGCCATCCATATATAAAGCATTCAGATGCCCTGTGTAGAAGTGTTCCTTATTTCAATCACAGATCACATCCACATCAGATAAAACAGGCTTGCTAAATTGGGTTCCCTGCACCATCCTGATGTGTGCCCTGGCATATAAAACCAATTGCTTAAAGGCAAATCAATGAGCCAAATGAAGTCTACAGTCTCAGGAATTAGGCTCACTGCCTGTGCCTTAATTTTTCAGATTCCAATTCAACTAACATTTATTGAGCAACTACATTTGCCAGGCAATGAGCTCAGTGCTTTCACATATGCTGTTTTATGAACAGTTGCAAAAACGCTGCCAGGGGTAATATTATGGCCAGAGTAAACATGAGGAGGGTAAGTGAAGGCCTCAAGGTCACCCAGCTCTCAGTGGCAGAGCTGTGGGTAGAGCCAGAACTTTTCCATCATTTTGTTCCTACTCAATACCCCTTTAAGGGATGGAGTACAGGCTTCTCATCAAAGTCTGGGGTTTCTGCTGATAAAACAGTTCTGGAGTGAAAATTGCATAGACAAATTCAGCTCCTAAGGCCAACCTGTCCGCACCACTAGGGTGTGGACAGATGTTCAGATGACAGATGCATGACCATCAGGGGGGCCCCGGCTCCATGGGAAGAACGAAACTTTGGAGGCAGACCAGGGCACTAAACTACAGCTTCTGGTGGCGACTTAACCTCTCCGTTTCAGTTTTCTCACACTGAGAATGGAGGTTTCATAGGTACCTCACCAGGGTTGTTGGAGGATCAAACTGAAAACCTGCCAAGCCCAATATAATGTGAGCTTCATGAGAACAGAGAATCTTCTTTCTGTTATGTTCATAGCTATAGCCTTAGAACAGAGGCTGGCACATAGTAGATGCCCAGTAAATATTTGTGGCGTGAATGAACACAGTAATGCTGGTTGCCTTCCATTCTCCTCCACATTGTGAATAGGTATGCTCTACAACCCTTTGGAATGTCCCCAGTGCCCAAGACACAAGAGGCTTGGGCCAAGGCTCTGTGAGATTTTTAAATTCACTACTGAGAACAGCTACTGCCCACAGCAGCCCGTGCCACCTCATCTCCTTTCCTTGATCATTACCCTTCATGCAAAACCACAGAAGCCCAGAGCTCTTCACCTTCCAAATCAGAGCTTAAATATAGGGAAACTTACAAACTTTTTTTTACTTTGTAAAAATTTCTTTTTCTTTTGGACAGGGCTTCCCTCCATTGCCCAGGCTGGGGTGCTGTGGTGTGATCATAGCTCACTGCAGCTTCAAACTCCTGGGCTCAAGGTGATCGTCCTGCCTCAGCCTCCCAACTAGCTGAGACTACAGGCCCATGCCACCCACACCTGGCTAATTTATTTATTTATTTGTTTGTTTGTTTGTTTGTTTGTTTCTAGAGATGGAGTCTCCGCATGTTGTTGCCCAAGCTGGTCTCAAACTCCTAGGCTTATACGACCCTCCCACCTCGGCCTCCCAAAGTTCTGGGATTATAAGTGTGAGCCACCACATTCAGCTCTAGGATATTTTTTTAAAACCTACTATTGTTGTTATTTCATGAAAAAAAGGACATTTTAATAGGAGAAACCAGGAGGGCATACCATCAGAATAAAGGACAATCCTTTCCAAAAACAAACAGCGGGTAAACTTAGATGAACATATCCATCCCCCAACAAGAAACGATGGTCTTTAAACTTTCTTTGAAAGCAGAAAAATGACAATGTAGAATTTTATTTTATGATATTACATGGGGGTTTTTTTCCTGATATAAATTTGTCACCTTGGGGATCTATATTCAAAACATAGTGATAATAATAATGATAGAAAAGACTCAGTGAGTACTCACTGTGGGACTTGTGCTCAGCAACTTGCAAACCTTACCTGGGAGGTGGAAACATGGCCCCAAGAGGCTCCTGCCTTCTCCCTGATGGGGGCTGCGGGGGCGTGTGGGCCAATGAGGGTTGTCCCACCCAGTGAATCCTGGAGCCTGGATCAGCCTCCTGGATCAGCCAACCCACAGCAGTCAGGAACATATCAGGGAAAAACACTGCTGCCGGGCGAGGCTGCATCACAGCCTAACAAAAGTCCACAGACAGGACTTGGAACCTTCTGCTCTAAGTAACCATCCACCAACAAAGCAAGGAAGGCAACAGCATTTTCCAGGGCCCCCAGACAAGGTGCATCAGGACCCAAGTACCCTGAGGCCTCCAAATATCATTCTGAGGTATTCTGAGGTAAAAGCTAATATTTATTACAGAAAATCTGATCTAATCTCAAGTGAAGGTATCACAATGAACATATTGATTTTTTTTTTAAAAGAAAAGTTACCCATTTGGTGTGGGGGAGGGAGACAAAAAAAAAAAGAATAGTTACATTTTAAAAAGAAAAATACCAATTTCACAAGCAACCTCCAGCCAGATTCCAGGCCCTTAGGATAGCTCACAGCAATTCCGATATATTAAAAAAAAAAAAAAAAAAAAAGAACAAGAAGAAAGAAAGAAAAATCTTGAAAAAGGGAGGTTTTCATATAGAGACATCCAGGAAAGTAAATAAAATCAATTGAAAATACTAACAGAGAGCCATTCATTTTAAGTGTTATGAAAATGCCAAAAAGTGCATCCTTATTTTCAGGTTTTAGGGCTCAGGACATTCCTTTTTCTGAAAACTGACATCTATAAAGAGGAAAATATGAATAAGGAGAAAAATAATCAATGCCATTTTTTTTGAAGGCCCTGAACCGTCATGGAATGAAAAAGATGTAACCTTATTAACTATGCAATTTTCATTCCATCTCAGGCGCTGGGGCACAGCGGGTGTGACCTCTTTGCAGAGAATCTTTTGGAAGAAAGAGGATCCTCACTGGGATTCAAGGCTGAGTCCTGTAACTAAGGTCCTCAATCAGTCAAAGGTCCTGGGCTCTGTGTACCAGTCAGAGTCCCAGCAGAAAATACATGGCACCTTCAACTACAGGCCCATGCCACCCACTTCTGGCTGATTAATTTAATTTTTTTGGTAGAGATGGAGTATCACCATATTCCATACATAGTGATAATAAAAATGATAGAAAACATTCAATGAATACTCACTGTGGGCCTCGTGCTCAGCAACTTGCAAACCTTACCTCCTTAAGATATAATCTGGGAGGCGGAAACATGGCCCCAAGAGGCTCCTGCTTTCTTCCTGATGGAGGTTGCCTGGGCATGTGGCCCAATGAGGGTTGCAGGAAGGGGCCCTCCAGTGCTTGAAAATATTTTGGAAGCCCCTTTCCCACCCACGATATAGAGATTGGAATCACTCTTAATGTCTTAATCCTGAGGCATAAAGATTCTGGGAGACTCCTGCCTCACTAAGTCAGATCCTCACCTAGGGTCAGTGAGGAGCATTTATAGAGGCACCATTCGTAACGGAGAGGGCAGGGCATAGGGAAGCCCCAGGAGGTGGTGCAGGACCCTAGGAACAAGAAATCTGGAGACAGAAAGAGCTCTGGTTTTCCATCAAAGGTGTCAGCCAGCTTACAATGATCCCACAAGCAGAGAAGCAGGGGAAGATGTACCCGCCCTCACTCACCTCCTTCCTGGGATCATCTGCTGGTGTCCCCCATTGGCCAAACCCAGTAAGAAGTGAGAAGGCAGAAATCCAGACACAGAGCTGGGCATCTTGAAACCAAATATTTCTATTCACTGAGGCTGATCTATACAAGAGTTCAACGATCCAGATATTGACTTGACCTGGAAATAAATATCTCCAAATGGATGTGTAGTTTTTATTTAAGTAGGAAGTCATTTCAAATTTAGCTGTTTCTGGTTAAACTTGAAGAGGAGGGTCATAGGGCACTTTGGGTTCTAGTGTAGCACCACACAGACTGCCCTGAAGCCCAGCCCTGCATGGATTTTCCCAAGTTCCTAAAGAAAAGGGACAATCTGGATGTGCAAGTTCAAGTCCATTTGAAGTGTTTGAACATAAGGGGACCCTGAGAAGCTGAGAGTTGTGAGAGCCTCTCCCGGGCACTGAGAGCAAGATGGGCATTTCTCCAGCAGATAGAAGGGATGAGCAGAGGAGCCTGATGGCTGGGTCAAGGTCATGATGGGTCCAGTATCAGTTAAATCCAAAGGGTGCAGTGGGGCCAGCTCTATAGCCATTGAGCAGAATGTGTGGGCCACCAGGGATTCTGTGGGGGACATAAGAAACATGGATGACCCTGAAGCATGAGGGATCTGCGAGTGACTTTAAAACACTCTTCCATTCACTAACTATAGGGAAGTCTAACTGCAGTCACAGAGCTTTGAAAAAACATTTGTGTTAATTTCACAGGCCCTTCTCCTACTCCTCAAACCCATCCAACCCCAGCTGACCCTGAACTCCCATGGTGACTTCCAACATAAACTGACAACCTTGTCCAGCCATCCCCCAAACAACCAAACACACACACCGTGTGCCAGATACTTCCATACATTCATACCACAAAATGCTCTCACTGGGTTGATCTTTCCATGTTTAAGACAAGAAAACTAAGGCTCGGAGCAATTAAGCAAACCTGATCCAATTCTAATTCCCTCTTTAGTATTTTGTAGTTCCTGTTAAAATCAGAGGAGGAAGACCGACTCTAGATCCTTTAGGCTTGTCATTTTGAGCTCCCAGTCAAATTAGAGAGACGGCACACCATTCCCAAATTGCTGAATGGCCGAGCAAACCTTTTGCACCCTCATCTTCACACATCTTTCACGGACCACCTCAATCAGATGTGAACTGATATTCCTAAGAGACAAGTGAGGAAGGGGATGCTTCTGCATCTGTCTTTTG
Source organism: Homo sapiens (assembly GCF_000001405.40). Lineage (NCBI taxonomy): Eukaryota > Metazoa > Chordata > Mammalia > Primates > Hominidae > Homo > Homo sapiens. Next base: position 34,433,262 of record NC_000001.11, read on the forward strand.
AAGAGCAAAGCAGCAGATCTCTCTGACAGCATAATGTTCTGTCATTCCTTTCAACTCAGGAACTGAGCTGACAGCTCCCCCAGAAACTGTGCCTCCTCCATCTTTTCTCACCCCCAGAAAGCGCTCCTGGAAACAAAGAGGACAACTATAATGGGTGTGACCCAAGAAGTCTTAATGGGCAGGCCAAATGAAGGGCAGGCCAAATGAAGAGCAGACGGATGGGGCTGTATCAGATCTGAGACAAGGATTTGAGTGCAAGTAGTTTATAGGAGAGCTGATTCCAGGTAAGAGAGTGCAGAGTAAAATACAGGGCAGGGAAGGAAGCCAGTTGCAGGTTTTCAATATGGGCAACTGGGACTCAGCCCCACAGGGAACCTCTGGGAGACTGTGTGGAACATGCTCACATTTGTCATGCCCAAGGGCAAAGAAGCTGGGTATTTATGTTCTATTCTTTCCCTGGTTGAGAGCTATTCTCAGGGGTGCTAACTCCCTGGCAGTACTACCCTCTGGTTGAGCACGCTTCAAGTAGAGAAGACCACAAGGCAGAGGGATCAGGTGCTTGCAGAAGAAAACCATTAGCTGGGAAGGGAATGGTGAGTGCAGAGAGGATAAGTTTAGACACTCCAACTGTGTCTGCCACCCCCAGGTGATTCCATTCCATCATGATTTGATCCCAGGTCTGAGGAAGTAAAAGAGAAGCACGAAGAGAGAGGAAGGAGAGAGAGACAGAGGAGAGGGTAGAGGGCACCATTAGGAACATGGTGGGCTGTCTATTCATGGGCAGTCACTTTGAAATTATCTTCTTTGCCATCTATGAAACCAGTTTTCTCATCTGTTGAATGAGAATAATAGAATTCTGTATCCCATGAGGTGGGATTACATGAGTTAATGTGTGTGAAGCACTTAGAACAGTGTCTGGCACAAGTACATTCTCAATTATTGACTCAGCTTTGCCTTGTTCGTAGGCTTGAGAATATATTGGAAACCCCTTTCCCACCCATGATGTAGAGATTGAAATCACTCTTAATGTCTCAATCTGAGGCACAAAGATTTTGAGAGACTCCTGCCATACTAAGTCAGATCCTCAAGCTCTTGGATGGGCCTCACCTCCTAGACAATTCCTTTCCCGTGATTACCATCCAGTTGAGCAGTCTATACGACGAGCCTCTGTTTTGGAGTCCTGCCCAGTGTTCATGACCCCACCAAGGCTGGAGCCTTGCCCTGCACCCCTGTCCCAGTTGGCAAGAACCCTGGACTCTACTAGTCCCTCCACTAGGGATGAACATTAATCCATACCCCAGGTTGTGCCATGGTCTTGCCCTAAGGAGATAGCCCTACATCCCTTCTAGGGTCAACTACTACTGAATTGCTCATCTGTTCCTACCACTACACCACAGTCCCTCTTGCATGGGACACAAAAGGTGTGGGACAACAGAGGGACTGAATTTAGTGCAAGGAGAATTAACAAGGATCCACAATAGCTCCTACCCTTGAGCCCCAAACTGAGTGCACACAAACAGGATGGGAGAAAGATCAGCAATGGCCCGAGGCTTGGCGAAGACAAGGTGGGATGGTATGGTGAGCCCATGGTAAGGAAACTGGCAGACACAGTACCGTGTGGACCTCACCCAATTGAGCTCTGCCCACCTCACACAGAGCCAAGAAGAGTAGGAGAAACTGCCAGGTTTATTCTGTCCAGACCTCTCTGGAAACCAGAACTGGTCTGGGAAGCTACCCTCAGCTACCCTTTGCAGAAGTGAGACCCCAAGGGATCAAGCGCCCTGACGCACTGGGTGACAGGGCTGGGGGCACCTTCCTGAACCACTGGAAAGGGGGTAAGAGAGGGGACCTAGCATGAGCATCTGAACACCTTCAGACTCGTCCTCAGATCTCACTGCTGAAGTCCCCAGTCGCCAACTACACGGAAGCCACCTGGGCTCTGCTGGGTTTTTTTCCTTTTCTTTTCTTTTCCTTTTCCTTTTTTAAATTTTTTTTGGGCGGATGGAATCCCACTCTGTCACCCAGGCTGGGAGTGCAGTGGTGTGATCTTGGCTCACTGCTACCTCCACTTCCTGGGTTCAAGCGATTCTCCTGCCTCCCGACTTGCTGGGATTACAGGTGTACAGGTGCACACCACCAAGCCCAGCTAATTTTTGTATTTAGTAAAGACGGGGTTTCACCATGTTGGCCAGGCTGGTGTTGGTTTGTGATGCTCATGTCCTGCAAGCCCTTTCATAGCCCTGGACTGTGCCTCCCTCAGATACTCCTGACAAAGCCCTCTCTGTTTCTGGTGCGCTGGCCACCTCTGCTTTGCTTCCCAAGGGTCCCTAACCTTGGAGCTGCCTGGAATTGGGCTTCTCTGGGGTTGTTCCTCTCCTTTGGGCTTGGTGGCCACTATTACAGGTTTTCCCAGGATGGGGATGGCAGGAAGGCAAGGAGGCAACCTGGGGCACTGCTGCAGAGTACTGCTTCCATTTCTATGGCCCCTTTCCTGCTCAGATTTTAGAATAAATGTTTGCTGATGCTAGCCTTTTTTGAAAATCCATCCACATTTGCTGGGACATCATAATGGACTGAAATTAGCTGCAAAGTTGACGGTTGGGGAAATCTAAAGCATGATGAATTCTCTTAGGGGCACAAGGCCAGCAAGAGGCAGTACCCACACCCACAGCATTTAGCATCTTTATTAAGGATCTGGTTGAAGGAACACGAACAGTGTGCCTCATCATTTTTCTAACTTTAAAATATGTTTTTACAAATAATACATGTTTATTATAGATAAAAGCAGATAGGCCAAAGGAAAATTAAGAAAAATCACTCTTCATCCCACTACTCTGAAATAGCCGCCTCTTTTTAACATTTTTGTGCAAATTTTCCATACCTAAATACATATATAAATTAATGTCTAGCGGAAATTCTAGATCTAATGTGTTTTGGGGTTTTTTTTTTTAACCTTGATGGTTAAAGCTTTGATATAAACAGTTTTTGTCATGAAAGGACTGACTTTGATCTTAGGAGTAGACTATTTATTTTGGGAAAACCCTTTAAATGGGCTTTTTGTTACAAAACGTTAAGCAAATAACTCCCTCCCACAGCCCTGGAGGAAGAAACTGATATTGAGCTACTGTACTCAATGCCGTTGACTGCTTAGAGGCCATTAGACAGGCCTGCCCAGTTCGCTGAAGGAGTAATGAGCATTTGTAGCATCAGCAACTGCCAGAGAAGAAAAGATCCCAGGAAAGCAAGCCAGGCCTGGGCAGGTGAGCCTTAGAGGAGGCACTAAGGAACGCTTGCCTTACTCTTCCAGGTCCCAGGGCTATTGGGCCTGACCTTGGGAGCAGAGATGTCTCAGAACACTCCTTGTGCTGGGGGGTAGGGGGTGGGCTCCTACTCAGTAGGACAACGTGAGCAGGCAGTGCTCTGGAGCACCCTCAGAAATAACCGGATGACCCTTTGAGGGAGGCTCTGTTCCTGCAGCCAAGCAGCACTGGGAGCCTTTGTAATTTAGGCTATTAGTTGAAAGACATTCCCACAGGCTGATGAAGTCTGAGACATCCTAGTTACAAACAGATATTTGACAAAAGTGGAACGAGACTCTACCTGCTTCTTAGATATCTCCTTCCCCACTAGCACCTCATCAATGTATCCTATGCATCTTTCCATCTCAGTAGCCGTAGCCATTGTCACTTTAATAGATGAATCATATTTCTCTTTACACATACATAACCACAATTTATTTAAACAGTCACTTTTGTTGGGGCAACCTCAAAGCATAGTGGTTTTGAGATAAGCAAGGCAGGGATGAGAAGAAAGGCGAGCATTGACCTTTAAGTGTAGTAGCTTGTGACCTTGGGGAAACAGCCCATTTGGCTTGGTCTCAGAGTCATACCCATGTACTCACTCAGGTGCTCACTCTCAGCCATGCCCTTCCCTTGTTCTGATCCTGACCCTGCTGGTCTATGGCTCAGCCATGTGACACTCTGCTAGGCTTCTTCTTACAAGACAGGTAACACAAGTCAGCTGCAAGTGATTGCCCTGTATGCATGGCAAATCCTCTCACTCCAGGCAGTTAGGCACTCAATTTTATCATCTCTTCTGCTCATGGAATATCCCACACTTCCCTCAAGGTGAGCTGCAGGCCACCTTTTCTGGTTCTCTCTGTCTCTGTCTCTTTCTCTCAGTATGTGTGTATCTCTCTCTGTTTCCCCCCAAGACACACACACACACACACACACACACAAACATACACACCTCTTTTTCCACATCTCCTTGTTGTTTTGATCATAAAGAAGCGGTGTGGCACAGTGTCTACACCAACATCGTGCTTGCTGAATTCTTTCAGTTACAGAGGGTAGATTGGTCACATGTGTTGACTTTCTCTACTTCCCCAGACACCAAAAAAATGATAGCAATGAATTTTTTTAGAGAACAAAAAGTATAGGGAGAGAAAACACAAGTGAAATGTTTCAACAGTTTTTTAAAATGCAAAGCAAATGGAGGTGTAGTAACTTTTATCAGGGAGACGGAACCTGCACTGGAAACTCCTTCCAGAGGCAAATACGCATGAGAGTAAAGAAAAGAGAGCGATTTGCCCTACGCGAGGGTCCTTGGAGATGTCATGACTTGAAGGCCCTAGACAGGGTGGAGGGCAGTGGGGGAAACTCAGGGCTACAAAACAGATTAGTTGAAAGTCTCTACATTTAGTGGCCAAACTCTCCTGTGGATTGTATAGGTGGTTCACTGAAATTTCCATTTCACTCACTTCCTCCTTCCTAGCAGATCCCTGTTTTTGTTAGACTATCAATCCCTCTTCCATGAAGCATATGCTTCAAGGGAAGATGCGATCCTCAGATCTAAGGGATGGAGTTTGATTGTCTAAGTCAGTAAGCACATGACAGTTCAAATGGGCTCCGATGGGGTAGGGTGAGGCAGGATCATATCCCAGGTTAGTCCAATCACCTAGAAAATATGTACTAGGAGAGAGATTTTTCTCTAGTTATCTTCAGTTGAATGCAAACATGAAAGTATATAGCCCAGTGCTTCTCAGACTTTCGTGTGCATTTGAATCACCTGATTATCTCATTAAAATGCAGGTTATTCTCAGTATGCCTGGGACAGGGATTGAGATTCTGCATATATGACAAACTTTTGGGTGATGCCAATGCTGCTGGTTCAAGGACGACACTTGAATGACAGAGACATAGCTCAAGTCCTAGTGGCACAATTTTATGGTTGTGAAAGGAATCAGCTCATTCAAATCAGATGCTAAGGAGAGCAAAGCAAAGAGCCTGAAAAACCACTAGTGCTAGACGCCATCACTGAGCCACTCATCCACATCACACCGGGAGCACTTCCTATCTCTGAACTTCCAATTATGTGAGACAATATTTTTGCTGAAGCCAGTAAAAGTTAGGTCTCTGTCAATTACAGCTAGACTCTTGGTAAAGAGGGAGTTATTCTCTGGAGAAGGAAAACAGAAGAGGACCAAGATTCAGAGACATCAGGTATAGGGAAGCTGGGAGCCAAGTACAAGACTGAAAACAGGAATCAATTTGGTGAAACCCCATCTCTACTAAAATACAAAAATTAGCCAGGCGTGGTGTCGCATGCCTGTAATCCCAGCTACTCAGGAGGCTGAGGCAGGAGAATTGCTTGAACCTGGGAGGCGGAGGCTGCTGTGAGCTGAGATTGCACCCCTGCACTCCAGCCTGGGCAACAGAGGGATACTCCATCTAAAAAAATAAATAAATTAGTAAATAAAATAAAGTCTGCACACAAATGAGGCATCAAGGAATTTTCAGGGTGGTTGAAATATAAACATTTATCTAATGTACAATGAATATTTTTTCATTTACATTTACTATACATAAATTATACCCAAATAAAAAATGTTTTAACAGCCAACACATGGAAAGGTGATATCCCTGGGTGGGCCCATCCCTTGCCCCATGTCTAATTCTTTAGAATCTAAAACTCTACCAGCTAGGCAAAAGATAAAAGGATTCTTTTTCCAGTTAAATGAAATGGGTCCAAAGAAAAGACTTTACATATTGTCATTTGAGAATTTCCAAATGAAGCATCAGCATGGTGTCTGATCATCTTAAAGTGAATCCCACTAGCTGATAATCTTCCCCTCAGTCCCATACACAGAGATTTCAATCATCTATTTAGTACCTATTACATTAATGGACAATGAAGGACACTTAAGAAAAGACTAAAACAAAAAATAGAATAAAATAAACAAAATAACACCGATATCAAAACAGGAAAAAAAGAGCTGAAGAAAATAGAGATAATATAGGACTCAGAAAAAAACCTTAAAGATAATATAGAATTAGTAAACTCAGAGTCATAGGAGAAGATATTGATGCATTAAAGAATAGGGTTTATAAAAGAAGCAACAGTAAGGAGACAGGAAAGTACTATTAGAAATTAAGAACAGGAGAAAAAACAAAACACTTCAATAAAAGATATAGATAGTAAAGATAATAAAATCTATTAGAAAGCAGAAGAAAAAGATAGTGATGGAAAATATTAAAGAATACATAAGACCTTTTAGATAACCAATCCAGCAATTCAATATCTGACTAATGGGAGAAATATAAAATGAGAACAGAGAAAAAGGGAGAGGAAGAAATTGCCAAAAATCTGATTTGATATGAATAATATTTCCTGGAACTAGGCTGCATCTTCTACTTTAGGGCTTATATAAAATTTCAGAACACCAGGAAGAAAGAATAGATCCCAAAAGATTCCAAAGAGAAAAAAACTATATGCAAAATAATAATCAGAATAGCATTTAACTTCCCAAGAAAAAAACTGGACGCTAGATGCCATCACATTTTTAAATAAAATATTATTTTCAGCCTTAAATTTTACATTCAGCCACATTAGAAATTGTGTGAGGATAATATTTGAAGACATAAAAGACTCAGAAAAAAAATAACTTTTATGCACGCTTTCTTTATAAACTGCTGAAGGATGTGCTCCAGCAAAGTTAGGGAGGAATCTAAGAAGGAGGAAGACAAAGGATCAAGAAATGGTGGATCCAATCCAGGATAAGGGCAAAGGAAGTCCATGGAGGATAACTGTGCAGAAGGCCTATAGATTAACTGGTTCAACCGAAAATAAGAGGAAGAAATTCTTTACAATGAAGAGCTCCAGCAATTTTTTACATGGGGGAATGATAAAATATGTGATATGATGGAATTTTTGTAAAAAATAATAATAGGTAGATTATAACCTGATTAATTTTGAAAACTTTAAAGACATATATGTGGAAAAAAAATAAGCAAGTGAAATAGGCAACCATTAACTCTAAAGAAAATCAAAATCTGTTCAAGAAAGGAAATAGAGTAAACACTAATCACTTATTTTAGTAAAAACAATAATAGGACTATATTAGGATGCTGGGGTTGGGGTGAAGTAGGGTGTGGGGGGACAGTGAAATTCTCCCTCCCATAAATCAAGAAATAGAAGTCCTGTATAGGCATAAACCTAGAGATACAGAATTAAAGTTAATGCCAGGAAAAACACCCTAAAAGAGTTTAAAATGATTAGGCCAGGGACTGCTCTTTTTCATTACAAACTTTTTTATATTATCTGACTTGTTTTTAACCATGTACATTGTTTTAAAACACTTATAAAAGTCAAGATTTCTAAAATATTTTTTAAAGTTGCTGAATAAATAAATACATGAGAATATCATCAGGCCATGAGCCGAAGATCTGGGGTCTCTTCTGGTCTCCCCACTCATGAGCTGAGTGGCTGTCAACAGGGCATTGAATCTCTCTAGGTTTCTGTCCAAGACCGAAGCTCTCCGTCCTCCCTGACTTTCCTTGTTTCTCAATCACCTGAAGACCCACAGTAGTCAGACAAGCCTGAACTCCAGATATGGTCCCATTACTGTGTCACCTTGAACAAATTACCCCTTTCCCTTCTCTCAGCCTCTGTTTCTGTAAAATGAGGGTAATGATACCACCTTCAAAGAGGGCATTAGGGGGATGACATGAGGCTGTGCCCACCATGGGGCCTTTTAGATGCTCAGTGGATATCAATAACTTGAACCACAAGGGCTGGAGGGAAATCAGATCAAAACAGCAAGACTGGGTCAAGCTTCAGGAAGCCAGGATGGCAGGGGAGGGGCCTGACGGCACCGCATCCCCTTAGGCGGGACATACCTAAGTCCTTCTCCTCTGCTGTACAGGCCCCCGCACCACTGAAACTGAAATGAAATTTCCTCCCCACCCTCCTTCATTTTCATATTCAGTTATTTGCTTAACAAGAAGAGAAGGATTTTTCTTCCCGAAAGTTCAGTCTGTGATTTCTGTGCCCCCTGGGCCTCTGGAATCCCGTTCTGCTCAGGCGAGAGTGCTCTTTTCAAGCTGTCAGTAGGGGAAAGATGACAAGGCTTTAATGAAGTCAAGTCATCATTTTTTCATGGCGCACAAGACTGCAGGCCGGCGGCTCCGCAGGGGAGGGAAGATGGAGGTGGTTTCTTTTGCCTCGGTCTCCTCCCTGATGCCCCTACATCCTGTCCCCAACCCGCAGAGCTGCTTCACGTAAACAAGCCCAATGCTGCGGGGGTTCCCTAAGGTCACTGGCTGGACCGCTAAAGAGGGCACCGAAGTCTAATGCCATTAATCAGCCAGACGCAGCACTGGCAGATTCTTGGCTCAGCTGGGAGCTCCCTCTCCTCCCTGCCCCCAAGAGAATGAATCTGTCGATTTTCTCCCTGTGATTCAACCAGCAGCTAATATTAACATGGCTTAAATCATAGAGACTCCCAGAAGTCAGGTTTTTGCTGGTTTTCCTACAAATGAGCCACCAAATTTAGCCAGAAATGCTTTCTACTTAAATAAAGACTATGCATCCATTTGGAAAAAAAATATTTCAAGGTCTAGTTAATATATCTGATTCCCTGAACTCCTCCCACGGTCCTGTATAATTCAGAAGCCCCAGTGAAAGGAGATACTCATCTGCTGATAGAAATTCACATCCCTGAAAGCAGAAAAATAAAAAGCCTCCTTTTGTGCACAAGATTGCATTGGATACAGCTGTGAACATCTTTGGAAAATCTGCCACTGGCGTGGCATGGGTGGGGAGGAAGAAAATACAAAGGATTAGTCCATGACCCCAATCTTCCCAGGCAACCCCATGATCTCCTAGGTGAGGGTCTAGGTTCTTAAACTTCATCAGGTAGCAGAATCACCTAGAGGGTTTATTAGAACACAAATGGATGGACCTCCGTCTGAGTTTCTGATTCAGTGCGTGTGGAGTGGGGCCCAGGAATTTGCATTTGTGACGAATTCCCAAGTGATGCTGATGCTGCTGGTCTGGGACCATACTTTGAGAACCAGTGCCCCAGATCTTCCTGAATGGTCATGCCTGGGGGAGTTCCATCTGAGGGGACTCTGCTGCCAGCCTGCCTTCTCCTCCCCACCCTCCTGCACCACTCAATTGCAGCATCCTCCTCTGAGTTGGTGCTGAGCACAGCTGGGAACCCACGAGGAAGCCCAGCCCCAGCCCCTCACTTGCAGGCCAAGCTTGCTGCTGAGTTTAGCCCAGCACAGGAGGAGTCTGGAGGCCTGGGACAGGCCTAGCCATCTGCATGCCCAGTGAAGCACACATTTTCCCAGCCTCTGTAGAGTGGGTTCAACCCAAGTAACTGAGTTCTGCTTTGGTTTCCTGAACCAGCACCTGTCTTCTTGGGACCAGAGCCCTGTCCCCAAACCCATGACACTTAAAGGAGGCCCTAACACCCCACTGGCCCTTGTCAGCTCTACCCCATACCAAGGTCTTAGACCTGGTGTTCTGCCTCATTCACCCCTCAGGCAGCACCTGGGCAATACCCTCTCTGGATGGGAAGCACTGTGCCCATCTGACTTGAGGGGCTGCAGTCACACACAACCCCCAGCCCCTCCTAGCATGGGTTCTCTGGGAAATAACACCTTTAACACTGGCTCAGTCATACAGAGGTGCCCACAGAGATTCTGATGTTCACCACCAATTTCTGGATCGGCACCTCCACCCTTGTTCTCATCCTTCTTGGTACCTCAATTACTTCTATTTCCCCATGGTTGAGCTCCCACCATGTCTATCCCAGAACCTAACTTCCATGCACTTCCCCTCCCTGCAACATCTTGATTGTGACACCTGTAGCTGTGTCTCCTCCTTCTCTTCAGGGGGCTTTTCTCATGACAGTGTCTGTACCCAAGGACACTCCATGAAGTAGTCTCAATTTTGACTCCATGATTTCTTAGCCCAATCTTGCAGAGGCTGCCCAATTTCTTTGCCATCTTCATCATGGCCAATACTGAGTTGTGGTTGCAAGGCGTATAGCCTTATGGTGAAGGACATGAGATCCAGAGACAGACAGACCCGAGTTTGATTTTCTGCTCTTCCACTAGCTAGCACTGTTGACCTGAAGCAGCCACTTGGCCCCTCTGAACCACAGTTTCTTCATGTGTACATGGAAATCATAATAGTGCCTAATTCACAGGATGGATGAGGAGTCAATGAGCCAAGGTATGTATGTGTTTGGTTTCCTATTGCTGCTGTTGCTAATTGCCCCAAACTTAGTAGCTTAAAGCAACAGAAATTTATTCCCTTGCAGTCTTGGAGGCCAGAAGTCTGAAATGAGTCTTGCAGGGCTAAGATCAAGGTGTCAGCAGGCTGGTTCCTTCTGGAAGCTTCAGGGAAGAATCCACTCCTTTCCTCTTCCAGTTACTGGTGGCTGTGGCATTCCTTGGCAGTTAGCTACATCCCTCCACTCTCTGCTTCCATTGTCATATTTCCTTTTCCCCTCTATGCTAAATCTCCCTCTGCCTTCCTCTAATATGGACACTTGTGATTTCTTTTAGGGCCCACCCAGATAATCTAGGATAATCTCCTCATTTCAAAATCCTTAACCTAATTGCATCTGCAAAGTCCCTTTTGCCACATAGGGTAACATTCACAGGTTCATATTTTAGGGGGAGTATTATTCAGCCCACTGCAGGTGCTAAGCAGAGTGCCTACCATATAGAAGCTCCATAAATTACTGCTACTATTCTTATTACAGTTATTATGATTACAATGGTTAGCCCCTAATTCTGCACTAACATTATTCCTTTGATTGCCACACAGTCAACAAAGGGTTGGGTTTCTATAGGTCCAAAGAGCACAATTACGTGAGGCTCGAATAACTAACACTCAGACATTTAGCCATTTATACCATCTATAAAATTCTTCCTTCCCAATATGCACTCCTAGCAGGAGGTAGGAATTCTCAGTGGGGTGCAATAAAAGCCCCTCCAGGTGAACTTTTAACTAACAGCTTATCAGAGCAAGATGATGCTCTAATGAGTCCTCTGAACTCTCCAGATGCGTCCCTGCACACGGCTTCCTCTGGCCATTACATCTGCTATTCCTTTCAAGGATGTGGCTGGGCTCTGCTCTCTTCCCAGCTGGCAAGAGCTGAGCAAAGCCCCTGAGGCTCTTACTCCAGGGGACAGATATGCATCAACAGTCACTACCCTCACATCTGTCCACAGCTGTCCAGAGAGAAATTCCACAGGATTATTGGATGGAACTTTGCCCCAGCCCCTCTTAGAGCTCCCACAGCTGGTTGTCTCCTCTGAGCACTGAACACTGATGGGAGGAAGTTCCAGTGGCAATGACTGTGCTAAGTCGCAGCATAGGTGGGTCAGGCACTGGCCCAGAAGTGGCCAATTCTGAACCAGGTTGAGTTTATGATTCCAGAAAGTCATGGAGCTACCAAGGCCAAGGAGATGAGCCACCAGAGATAGAGACCAAAGGGTGCACCAGTCAAGTCCAAGAGCCAGGAATCTGCCCCTGAAGAAAGAGCCAAGACAGAAAGAGACTGGGGTGAGACCTGGGCGAGGGAGTCTGTGAACATCTGACTAATTCTGAATCTTTCTTACTGCACCCTCTTCTGAAGAGTCAGCTCCTACCCAGAAGAGTTTAAAGACCATGAATACTTTAGACTCGGCTTGCACAAGCATGCGGAGTCTCTAAATGCCCAGGACTCTTCTCATTAGGAAGCCTATGTCCGGGTGGCTCCCTGAGGCTGGAGGAGACCAGTGGTTAAATGTGCCAAGGCAAATACCCTCTCTCTGCCACCACCCATGTTGCCCTCAGGGACACATTCTTGGCGGTCTCTCTCCTGAGTTAATACCCTCTTAAACCTCACAGGGTCTCTTCTCTGTGCAAAGCCCCTTTTGTCCATCGGATGCTCTCAAAGCTAACATGGGGTCCCCATGACACCAATCAGCTCCTAGAGTCTGAGATCTAGGACTGCCTGGGCTGCATTCCCAATCACCTAGCTCAGGCCCAGGGGCATCAACTCTGCTGAGCTCTCTGCTGAGGACTTTGAAGGAAACTTCAAGCTGAAACAATCATGGCAGCTTCAACTGGGTCTGCCTCACAGTCCACCTTTTGTTTTGTCCCTTGCCCCTGCTCACACTGCGTAGGGAGGGTTCTCCCTATCCCCTCTACTCTCCGGAAGTCTGCTACCTCCATTTCCCACTAACCTACATCCCTCCACCCCACATCCATCTCCAGTAGATCCTCTTACCTCCATATTCACAGAAGCATCAAGGCCACTGGATGGGTACACGCCACCTCTGCTCCCATCTTTACACCACGCTCTCTTTTTAAAAGAAGAGGTCAGTGAAGCATGGATTAAGTGTTGGGATCTAAAGTCAGTCCATCAGAGTCAAGAGCAAAGTCTGCCTCTTACTAGCTGTGTGACCTTAGGCAAGTTACATCATGTGTAAAATAGGGACAGCAGTGGTGTCTTCCACCTCACAGAGCTGCTGAGGAGTAAATGAGTTAGCACACGTAAAACACAGTGTCTAGCACAGGGTATGAGGTGAATAATGTGAGCAATGATTACTGTTTTTTGCAAGAAGCTTAACACTTAAACAAATATAAAACAGTGGGAATGTGAGCTCTGAAGTCCTGGCTGTGTCATTTTTAACTCTGGAACCTTGAGGAAGTCACTTAACCTCCTTGGCCTTTGGGTTTTTCATCTGGAAGATGAGGACATGACAGTGCCCATCTGAGGCATGAAAAGACATGATCCATGTGAAGTTCTCAGCATGGTGTCTGCAGTGCAGTGAGCCTTCCATAAATATGGCTTCTTGGCTGGGTGCGGTGACTCACGCCTGTAATCCCAGCACTCTGGGAGGCTGAGGTGGGCAGATCACAAGGTCAGGAGATCAAGACAATCCTGGCTAACATGGTGAAACCCCATCTCTAATAAAAATACAAAAAATTAACCAGGCATGGTGGCACACGCCTGTAATCCCAGCAACTCGGGAGGCTGAGGCAGGAGAATCGCTTGAACCTGGTAGGTGGAGGTTGCAGTGAGTCAAGATTGCACCACTGCACTCCAGGCTGGGCAACAGAGCGAGACTCTGTCTCAAAACAATAAAATAAAATAAATAAATTAAATTAAATTAATTAAATAAATATGGCTTCTTATTAGACTGGTGGCCTTTTTCCCCTTCCCCTCTCCAGAGACGACCTCTAGAACATGCACCCTGGGTCCTATTTCCCATCCATCGATCACACGCACACACACACACACGCACACTCATGCACACACACATGCACACACTCGTGTATCTTCTACTTCTCCCTTTCCTCCACATCCTTCTCCTCAATCTCCAGGCAGGCTCAAGTCTCCCCACACAAAGAAAATCCTCCTTCAAGTATTTTTCAACTACCACCCTATTCTCCTAGTCTTTCCTCTAGGGAACTTCTAGAAAGGGTGGTCTACCCTCAACTGCAAGCTTCATTTGCTGACAATGGAGCCATTGTCGGCTTTTACTGTTTTCTACCAGATGTTTGGTATCTCTTAGGGACATCTCAGGATAATGAAGTCCTCGTGTGTTTGTGAGTTCTCTGTTGAGATGTTTGTTTTCTGTCTGCTGAGTTTATTTGGGTGGTCTAACATCCTGCACCTTCTGTGTAAATGGAGGTAGCAATCTACCACTGGCAGTTAAGACGGCAGTTTGCTTGGGGACTGGAATCAGCCCCAAGATAGAGTTAACTCTCCAAGCCTCTCCAAGGAGCCCTCTGAAGATAGACTGGCCTGTTAAAAGAATTAAGGGGTGGAGGTGGCACAGGGGTGACAGAAGTGGGCTGACTCAAGAGGGCAGAAAAAATAGCCAGGGAAAGGTAAATGCTGAGAAGCCATCTGACTTAAATCATGAACAAAATGGAGAGGCAAGAAGTCATCATAGTTTTTCCATGAAACTCTGAGAGAAAAAAAAGGGCCTCTAATGCCGGAAGCTTCAAAAAAGAAGCTGAGGAGCAAATAAAAGAAAGCCCCTTTCAAAGTGTTTTTCTAGAAGGGTGAGTGCAGGGATTGCCGAGCAGGCAGAGGAAATGTTTGTGTCCCTTGGAAGAAAACCTTGGAGGGGAAATCAGCCCCATCCTGTAAGGGCAAAGGCTCCCACACCAGAGATCCACTGACCTGGAAGGCTCCAGTCTACACAAGCCCACTTGTGGCACCAACATCTGGGTGAGACTGTCCCCCGGGCCCTTGCCAGTCAATGATGCCCCATTGCTTGAGGCACCATAACATGTTGAGATCATGACTTCTGGAGCCCTGGGGATGGGGCTTCATAAGTCCACGGCTGAGAGGAGCTTCCCTGTCCAGCCTGATCTCTTGTCACAAGACCTAGGGATCTCTTTACCTTCTAGACTGCCTTAAGGACAGAGTGGAACTGACACCTCCCAACCCACCCCCATGCAGCACCTCTATGTGCAACCCTCCAGCTGGGGCTGTGCCATCCTCATTCCTCCTATCCCCTTCTCTTCACTCATCTATGTCCACACTCGCTCTTTGGCATGCGGTGAGCCTGGGTCTGCTTCCCTTCATGCTGGAGCTCCAGAGCCTATCTCATGCATCTTTGACTGCTCTACAGGACTTGACACATGGTAGGTTCTTAATAACTATATCTTGCATAGATGAATAAACAGCTCTTTGATCACAATCAGCATGCATACCAGAATACCTCACATTTATAGAGTGCTTATTATGCATAGTCTCTCAAAAGCCCTAAGAGCAGTTACCATTATTACCCCCATTTTACAAATGGAGAAGTCAATCCCCAGAGAGGTTCATTAGCTTGTCTTTGGCTATATAACTAGAAAGTGGCAGAGCCAGGATTTGAACCCCAGCAGTCTGACACCAGAAATGGGGCAGTTAACTGACACATGAACTGCTTCTTAAATATTTAAAGTATTTTTTTTTCTCATTGGGATTGCCAAAAGCACCTGTGAGCAGATTAGCAAGAATACATTCGATGTTGGGAAGACTGGATTTTTGTTTGAAATGGCTTACTGTGCCCAGAAGACACAGGGGTCTGCTTGGAAGCTGCAGTGAGAAGGAGAGAAATTGAGGAGATCATTTACAGTGTCAGATTGATAGAAGGTCAGGGCAGTAGGCAAAGGACTTGGCCCAGAGTTAGTAGAAAGGGGAAAGAAGACACCCATCAAATCTTCCTTGGCCCAGAGGGAGAAACATGAAGGAGACTAAAGATGAGAAACCGGGATAGTTTGACCTGCATAAGCTCTATAACCAGAGAGGTTTATGTGTCAGTAGGCCACTGAGAAAAGAAAAGTTGAACCCATTGACTGTATCTTGGGTGCCTAACTTGGCAGAAAAAGAGTGACCATGTCCCAGTGCTGAGGTATGAAGAAATACAGCAGCTCTAGCCTAGAGGTGTTTATGGGTCCAATGTGTACATGGAGGTAAGTGGCAGGAGCCTGGGGGCATTGCGATTCTGATGGTCCCACCAGGAACCTGCTGGGATTACAGAGGCAGGGTTCAGCCCCTAAGTCAAAGAGCTGAAAAGATCCAGGTAAAGCTGGGCATGGTGGCTAATGCCTGTAGTCCCAGCATTTTGGGTGGTCAAGGTGGGTGGATCACTTGAGGCTAGGCCAACATGGTGAAAATCCCCGTCTCTACCAAAAATACAAAAATTAGCCAGGCATGGTGTCACATGCCTGTGGTCCTAGCTACTCGGGAGGCTGAGGCAGGAGAATCTCTTGAACCCGGGAGGCGGAGGTTGCAGTGAGCTAAGATCGTGCCACTACACTACAGCCTGGGCAACAGAGCACTCTGTCTCAAAAAAAAAAAAAGGATCCAGGTAGGCTGGTAGGGTTCTAGAACAGCAGGTGACTTTAAGGCAAGCTCTTAGTCCCTGCAGGGGACTAGTGAGCAATTGGGAAACTGAGGCAGCATGCAATCATACTGAGATGGTTAAGCTTGGAGAAGGTGGTTCAGTGGATAATGAGGAGCGCTTGGGGCTCATGGGGACTCAGGACCAGGCACTCCCTCTGCCTCCAGATACCACACTGAGAGCCACAGAACTAACCCCAGATCCCACTGCTGGTGTGGCTGCGCTCCTCACAGGCAGCCAAACTGTCATGATATTGAATCTGCATGTTGGAGGTTGTTAGTGTCTGCAGCTGAGCAGCCCCAGGGGCAGCAGGGATTGGCAAGAGGGCAGGGCGTATCTCTTTCATTCATTCACTCTCCCATTCATCCATCCATCCAACATTTACTGAAATCTAAGTGTCAGGCACTCTGCTGCATACTGCAGAAATTAAGATTTTTAAGATCCATTCAGTGCTTTCATAGAGCCCCCGAGTAGCAGACTTCTGACGTTCAGTTAAATTGGCAACGCTCAGTAAGCTCGAGGACATATATTGATAAGTGATGGAGAGAGCTAGAAGGCGGCTGTCATGATGGTGTGTGTAGCCAATAAAAGACAGTTTAGCACTCCATCTGCATGGGTATTCAATATGAGTTGTATAAAGATTAGGCTGATGGCTGCTTTCTAAAATAAGCTACATGGCAGGCCCCTCACCTGCTCACCCTGTGAATGAGTTCAGTGAAGCAGCTCAATAAGCCATTTCTCTTTATACAATGAATATCAGATGATCTTCACCCAGACTGAGCCATATTGCCATGACCAGGGCTGCAATTTACCAAAGGACAAAGTATCTCTTAGTCTGGAGGGAACCCAGTGGCTCTCTGACCAAGGATGGAGTTGTGTTGGGATGGGGGCTGATAACTGCTGACCCCAAGACTGGGCTGGCCCCGGGTGCTGCCCATCGATCTCACCTGGGAGAGTCCAAGGGCAGTTGAAGATCACACTGACTACTCCTCCACAGAGGATCCTCCCAAAACCCTGACCTCACTCTGAGTCAAGTCCTCCCTCATTGTAAATCACAACAAAACAATTGATCAAAATTCATGTGCATTTTAAACATATGCGAGTTATTGTCTCCTCCTCTTGAATTTCAGTTTCCTAAGAGCAGCCATCTGCACTGCCTTATTCATTGATGCATCATTAGGACCTAGAAAAGTGCCAGTAATATAGAAGATGTTTAAGAAATTTTTGTCAAACACATTCATTATGTATATACAAATGAATGAATGCGTATTTTAAGACTATAACTGGCTTGGGTTCCAGTCCCAGCTCAGCTACCTCTTAACTCTGCTTTATGTTACCTTGAGTCAAATACCTAACCTCAGTCTCCTCATTCATAAAATCAGGGAAATAGTAGTACCTTTCTTAAAGAGCAACTGGGAGAATTCCGTAAGATAATGCGTATTAGCACTCAGCATGGTGCCTGGCTTATAGTAAGGAGTCAATAGAGGGAACTTGATCATGATCCCTTTTGTTGAAGTTACCTAGGTGCCTCCCTCCTGGATCCTCATATGACAGGACACATACACACACATGCACACACACACCAAACAGGCCAGAGAAGCAGCCTCAAGCAGTGGTTCTTAAAGTGTGGTCCCTGGACCAGCAGCATCAGCATCACCTGGGAACTTGTCAGAAATACAAATAAATTATCAGGCCCACACTAGACCTACTGACTCAGAAACTCTAGAAGTGGGACCCACCAATCTGTGTTCTAATGAGCCTTCTAGGTAATTCAAATACATGCAAGTTTGAGAATTATGGGCCTAGAGCAAGGGGCAGATGAAGAAAACCAGATTCCTGGTCAGAATTCCAGTGGCTCTCTCCAATGCATAGAGAAAAGGCAGAGAAGGATCTGGATAGCTCCAGGTTCAAGGTCAGTGAACCTCACCATTTTGCAGCCATCAGCCTGGCCTTGCTTCTCTGTTGCTGGCAGAAGAGTTTGGCCTCCATGCATCACAAAGAAAGTGCCTTTGGCTATGGGATGAAGAGCATGTGCCGAGCCACTGTCACTGGGGCCAGTTCTCCACTCGGTGTCCTGTGCACCTGCTCTGCCAGGGGCCAACCAAGCAGAGATGCAACAGGAAGCTAGACTGAAAGCAAGAGGAAAAATACCATGTCGACCTAAGCATCCGTACGTGTTGGGGATCCAAGGCAGGAGTGAGGGACTTCTGCTTGAAGAGTGGTGAGACAGCCCCCATGGTCCACCAGAAGAGTTAGAAGAGTCAGAAGAGCAGCAGCCAAAGGCAATTGCCTGCTTAGTGCACAGCCCTCAGCTGCTACCAGAATCCCCAGAATGTCCATAGGAGAGAAATTTGGAGCTATAGCTGGAAGCAAGTGACGTCTGAGGGAGGTCTGTGACCGATGGGTTAGGCCCCCAGTCACCAACACTCTTTTGCTCCTCATGGAGTGCTGGGGAGTGGGGAAGCTGCCTGTTAGAATCACCTGGGGAGCTTTAAAATTGACCACTGCCCAGGCCCTGACCCAGTAGATTCTGAATCAGTTTGTCTGGAGTAGGACCCAGACATGAGTACCTATTTGTAATTCTTCCCAGGTGATTCTAACACCCAGCCAGACTCATGAACTGCTCTTCTAACCATCCTCCCTCCACTCAGGAGAGCAAATGTACCATCTCATCTATGTTTCTCTGCTGTGTCTTTGAACATTTGTCCATGTTTCTGTTTTTCCTCTAAGTGGGAATATTTGGTGTTGGAACCGGGGAATCGCAAGTTTGACACCAACTGAGAAATAAGGCCTCAGAGATAGAGGTGAAGATCAGAATGTCAGCTCTATTACTGGGTACAGTCAAGTAAAGAATGTGGCTTTGGATATGTAGCCAAAGGGTCTGCAAATTCTTCCCCAATGAATTAGATAGACGTGTCCATCGGCACTGGTCACACCAGGCAACTCCCCAGAGGGGCCAAGCCGACCCTGAGAGGCCACCCAGTACCAGAGGACTGATGAGAATGTTGTTTCCCCTCTGCAGGCAGGCAGGGTAAAAGACAGAGAAGCCCTAGGGGAGACTAGACTGAGCATGCTCTGTTCCTCCCCCAAACTCACCAACTCTCCTCTGGGGAGAAATGGGTGAGGGGATGGACAAGGGCAAGAAGTGTTCCTTCAATACTTTTCCCTCCTGCATGGTGCAATGGAAAAGACTTCCCCTCCCTGGAAACATGAGTTGTGGGATTTTAATGTTCCTCCCTACCACCTGGGCATTTATCTGAGCATTTGTGTCTTTCACACTGAATGTCTGAGTGTGTCATTCTGTAGGTGTGTCTATGAGTGTGGCCATGTGTCTGGGAGTATATGGGTATTAATGCAGGTGCCTGGGTGTCTCCGTGTATCCGTTGATTCTTTGAGTGTCTGTGTGGTGAAGCTTGAATCTGCTCCCATTGTGCGTCTCACCACCGCAGATATCAGGGGCTGTGCCACCTGCCTCTCTGCACGCTCCCTGTGTCTGTTGCCCATACACCCTGAGGAATCTTGTAGATGTTCCCAGCAGTTACTGTGCTAAGAGGACATGTTGTTTCTGATGGTGCTGACTGCCCTCCGATCAGCTAAGTTGATTCATCATTGCTGTCTATAGCATGATAGGATAGCAACGAAAACGGCCTTTGCTCAGATGAGACTCCTCTGAATGGGGCTTATCTCAGGCTCCTAGTTCATGAGCTCCCAGAGGGAATGAGAGAAAGAGTCTCAGTCTGTTTTGTGTTGCTATAACACAATATCAGAGGTGTCGTAACTTATAAGGTATTTGTTTATCACAGTTCTGGAGGCTGCGAAGTCCAACATAGTCTAATATGAAGGTGCCACCAATCATGGGATGATTCCTACATCATCCCATGGCTCACGGTGGAAGGGCAAGACAGCATTGTGAGAGAGCAAGAGAATGAACTCACATGCTCAAGACCTTTTATAATCGGCATTAATCCATTCATGAGGACAGAGACCTCATGCCCTAAACACCTCCCATTAGGCCCTACTTCCCAACACTGTTGCATTGGGGATTAAGTTTCCAACACATGCTTTTTGGGGAACACATTGAAACTATAGCAGAGGGCGAGGAGAGACCAGAGCTCCATTTCTCAGTACACAGCATCTTACAAACTCTAGGAGCAGACTCAGCCATGCGTTGGTTCTCCCATGTGCTGGAAGACCTAGCCCCTAGTGAAGTTTGGGTGCAGGAGCTAGTCCTCCTACCCATGTAGACTCCCTGAAGAGCTGGCCATGGCTCTCCCCAGCCCTAGGCCTGGCCCTCTACAGCCTTAAGGGGTCATTCACCTATCTAAGGCAGCCCATGGAAATCTGCCCTCTGTTTTTCTACAAATCCTGCTTAGGCACCTCAAGGAGCTGAGTCTTCCAAATAGTGATGCTTTGAGAGCACTGACTTTGAAGTCAGATAGAACAAAGGCAGAGCCCCTACTCTACTGCATATTAACTGTCGAACTCTGGGAAGTCACTCTGAGCCTCATTTGTCTCATCTGTGAAACTGAGATATTAATAATAAAGACAGTCAATATCTATTGAAGGTTTACTATCCACTGGGTATCTTAAGAATTGTTAATGTATTGTCTTCGTTATCTATCGCTGTCTAACAAATTACCCTAAAACTCAGTGGCTTAACACCACAAGAATTTATTCAATATTATCTCAAAGCGTCTGTGGGTCAGGAATATGGGCTTGGCTTAGCTGGGCCCCCTGTTTCAGAGTCTCACACAGACCACAGTTAAGGTGTCAGGTGGGGGCAGCAGTCATTTCAAGGCTCTACTGGGGAAAGATCTGCTTCTAAGCTCACGTGTGTGGTTTTTGGCAGGATTCAGTTCCTCATGGGCTATTGGATGAAGGCCTTATTCCTAGCTGGCTATTGACCAGAGGAGGCCATCCACAGTTTCTTGTAGTGTGGGTTTCTCCACTGGGCAGCTCGTAACACGCTGTTGGTTTCCACTGGAGTAAGAAAGAGAGTAAGAGAAAGTAAGCAAGAGGGAGTTCACAGTCTCTTGTAACCTGATCTTGGAAGAGACAGCCTATCAACTTTGCCATATTCTCTTCCTTACAAGCAAGGGCATGGATACCTGGAGACAGGGATCACTGGGAGCCATCCCCACAGCTGCCCATCACATCTATTAAATCATTTTATCCTCCCAGCACCACTATGTGGTAGTTACTCTTAATATCCTCCTCTACCAACATTCTACAGATGAGTAAACTGAGGCACAGAGACTTGCCCAAGGTCACACAACTGTATGTGAACAAGCCTGAGAGATGTGCTCTTAACCACTAACTTCCAGAGCCTAGAGATGGGGTCGTTGGGAGGATCAGGTGTGACACTGTAAATAATGACACCACAGGCCTCCTTGAATACAAGCTCGCTTTCCCCAGCATCCCCCTCCAGCACCCTCTCACTCAGTGTGTTGCCCTTGAGGAAAGAGTGTAAGCCATCCACCGGGTTTGCAGCTTTTCATAAGCTCTGAAAAGTGACTCTCAGCCCAACCACACCCTCTCTCATCTCTGATTGGTCACCATGCTTTATTTCTAACTTCTGCAGAATTGACTGCAGAACAAATTGGCCTCTGAGAGGAGAGAGAAAAGTGTGGGAGAGAATCTGGTTCTACACAATGAGTTCAAGTGTTCTGACCTGTGGGGACTCCATCCCAGGAGATGGCAAGAACACACAGGTGAACTCACGACACTCAGGTGGCTTGGTTCAGTCGGAAATGAGTGAAGACGGGTTGGGATTTGGGGATGAAGTGGAGTGGAGTTAGGTGTTCTGCATCTGGACTTGCAGACAAGAACAAGTTGCTCCAGGGCACACTAGGAGTGGCCTGATGGCCCATTTCTAGCAAGTGCATAAAGAAGCCCACACCCGCTGACTCAGTGATGGCAGCCGTCTAAATAGCATCAGTCCCATTTTCTAGATCACCGGGGTCATCCTTCCTCCCCACCTCATGCTGGTCCCTGCAACAGACAGCTTCCATCCCGGATTAGATGGGGAGGACAGAGTTCCATCTTTCCTTTCACACTTAGCTCTTCTCTCCTTCATTTGTGTGTAGGAGAAATTGGCATAATTGTTGAGGTGGCAAGAGGCTGACACCCACTGGTCTATGTTTCTCATGTGTAAACATCCCTCTCAGGTGTGGCCTCTCTCCTGGCCACAATTTTTCATGCATCTGGTTAAAAGTCCACCATGAAGACCCACAACTACCCTCAGGTGGACTACAGGATCCAGATGAAAAGTATCAAGGAAACCCCTTCAGCTTCAGGTCCAAGCTGTTCTCAAATTCATTTTTACTTATAAAGTCCATATTTTCATCCCCATCAAATTCCCATGTATAATTTTTAGTTGGTTCAGAACTTTGAGGAGAGGGAAGTGTGATTATTTGTGACTCTTACAAACTCCAAAACTGGGAGGCAATCAAGGGCTGGCTAGGGGCACCCTCCTTGCAGAACTAGGATGCATGACTCCCTGGGCTGCCTATGCACTTCACATGTTACTACTTTTCTTCCTTCAGTGCTACTGTGGGTGGTGAACAGAAGGCATCACAGAAGTCACAGAGGTGTTTGAGGAAACTTTTATTTTTTAAGGCTCAGCTCCAATGTTATCACCTCTGACAGACACAGAGACACAATTCCTAAGAGCACAGAGATACCCCACCAAGTGTCTAAATCAGGCTCATGACTACAAATGCTCTATGGTACATCATGGTGCTCATTACAGATTGACTCCCTCCCCTTCAAAATGCATTTCTCCACTCCACAGATCTTGGGCTTGGTAATGAAATTGACTTTGGCCAACAGGACATGGGTGGCAGTAACAGTGTATGAGTCAAAGCCCAAGTCTTAAGAGGCATCTGTCCTGAAGATCAGGCCCATGGTGGCCTCCTGACACCTGAAGAATGAGAGACATGTGAGGCCAACCTAGACTAAATCTAACCTAGAGCAAAACCCAGCTTAGATCAGCCACCCCCCACCTGGCCTCTAGACATGAAAACAAAAAATAAATGTTCATTGTTATTGGCCATTGAGTTTTTGGTTTTGTTATGCAGCATGATTGTGATTATAGCTTATGGATACACTTGCTAAGATGATCAGAGAAGAGAAAAACTGATGATGCCTAGGTTGTCAAGGAAGACTTCAGAGAGAAATGACTGCAGTGAGCCCAAAAGGGTGGGTTGGACTCAGAGTTAGGGGTCTTAGAAGTGGACCTCTATGGGTCACACTGTGGATGTGTCAGTGGGACAGGCACAAACATGCATGCACTAAAGCGAACCACATACATTTTCACATGCCACTGTTGAGGACAGAGTGTGATCCAGAAGAAATCCCCTTCTACACATTCTAAATGTTGACTTCTCTTTAAGCCAAGACCAATTTTCTTCTATTTTTCCCCAATGAATTAATCTTCTGTATTATTATGATGTTAGGTTTATCTTGAGTGAAACGTGGATGTGAATTTTATCTATGGCTTAAGACGTAATTGCAGGATGGAAAATTCAACACCCAAGGAAAACGTTGCTATCAGCATCGCCTTGCTGGGAGGTGAAGTGGTACCTACATGCAGGACACATGACACTTCCTCCAGCATCTTCTCCTCCTGTGAGTTTATCACCTCAGCCATTCAGATGAGTTATTTGCCCGGTTTAGGAAATCATCACAAATAGGCTAAGTGGGGCTTTTCTGTCACTAAGCTTTTACAGCACACTCACTCAGCCACGGGGCGAGAAGGAACACAGAGGATGTATTCCAGGCCAAACTTCCACAGAAGATTCCCCATGTGTTCAGTACAATATTACTGCCTCAGAGTGTTAAAAAGTGTCACTTAAAAAACAAACAAACAAACAAAAAAACCTGCTCACTAGTCAAATAAACATGGGCAACACTGGATTCAAGAAAGTCAAACAAGCATTCTTTTCCGGGGACTTCTTGGAATAGTTAACAAGCTAGGGTGCATTGTGAATCTTCAAAAGAGACTATTGGATGCAGCTTTCCAAACTATTTACTTAGGCCGGGCGCCGTGGCACACACCTGTAATCCCAGCACTTTGGGAGGCCAAGGCGGGTGGATCACCTGAGGTCAGGAGTTCGAGACCAGCCTGATCAACATGCAGAAACCCTATCTCTACTAAAAATACAAAATTAGCCAGGCGTGGTGGCGCATGTCTACAATCCCAGCCCCTACTCTGGAGGCTGGGGCAGGAGAATCGCTTGAATCCAGGAGGCGGAGGTTGTGGAGAGCCAAGATTGTGCCATTGCACTCCAGCCTGGGCAACAACAGCAAAACTCTGTCTCAACAACAACAACAACAACAAAAATTCAGAATTCCGCGCCCCCCCCCCACCCCCATAATATGTTTTGGGGGGATATAAAGGCTCTACAGCTCACTAGCACACATTTTTGTGTTGAAAGTTATTCAGTAATTTCCCTGGATTCCATGGGAACCTGCTTTCACTGTTGGAGAGTTGTCACAGTGAGTTCATGTCCACCTGCTCACGGCTCCTCCCTTGCCCAGAGCTCTGCTACAAGACTGTTCTTTCTACCCATGACTGACTTTCAGGCACTCAAACGCAGGGGCTCTGCCCTCTCAAGTCAGGCTTCTGCTATTTTAATTCCTAGTCTACAATTTAAGTACTGTCATTAGTGGAGTAAATGAGGGAAATGGAAAAGAAATGCGTTCATTTGACTCCAACACATATTGAGTTGTTTGATCTTTAGCAAGTTGCTTAACTTGTCTAAGCCTTAGTTTCTGTAAAGTGGGGACAAGAGGTAATGCATGGTATGGGCCTAGCTTAGAGGCTGGCACATGGAGGCTCTCATGAAATAGTAACTACTGTGGTTATCACTCTGGAATCTCTGCCTTCCAGTCCCAGTCCTTAACCCTCAATTTAGCCCACAGAGGTTTCCAAGAAGTATCCCCTCTTCTCAGGGCTGCAGATCCTTGCAAAATTCAATACACATCAACATTTACTAACACTGACTAGATGTCAGGCTCCATCCAAGACACTGGGAGCACAGCAACAAATAAGATAGGATAATTATACTCAAAGTCCTCACAGCCAGGTAGGGGACACAGCAAGGAACCTTCAGCTCAAAGTTCTTGGGGAAACTAGTGTCTCAGGTTAAGAGAAGCAGAGGGTCTGTCTGAGCTTGCCTGAACCATTGAAGAACACAGACACTTGTGCAGACAGGGCTTCAGCCACCAGAAGATGCTTTTGGTATCCCTCTGCAGCCATGTTTTGTCTGGAAGTAATGTACCTCAAACACCCACCGCCATTCCCAGCATACTGTGTACTGTGTCCCTGGAGGCTGGGTACAGAATCAGAAATCTGCACTTCAACCACTTCGAGAAGGGACATAGAAGCCAAGGCCTGGGTATAGAGATCCTCTCATTTCTTCCTCCAGCCATTGTCCCTGGATGAAAAAGAATAAAATTTTGAAAGCACAATGTCTCGTTCAAGAGCAAGAGGACATCTTCCTGCTGGATGGAAACGTTGCCCCTTACATACAAATGAACAACATTTGTTTTACCCAGATTGTACTTACTTGACTCTAAAGGTCTGCCTCCCTAAACCATAATCACCATATTTTTTTAAAGTCCTGTTTCTTCCTTGACCTGGCCCCAAAGATGGAGGTCAACGTGGCCTTCTCCATTCGGCAGGTTATTTTTCAGAGGACATTGAGAGTCTGCTCCCAATCGCTCATCTTCCCCAGGGAATTCAAGTCACACAACAGAAACAGAGTTCAGTGTTCGATATCGGAAAAAGCCTTGCCAATGTCAAGGGTGTGAAAAACATTGATGTGCACCCAGCTGAGGTCATTTATTTATTCAATAAATGTTTGTGGAGTGTCTACTGGGTGCCTGGCACTGGGCTGGGTACTAGAGATACAATGACAACAGCAACACAACAATAGCACAACAATAGAAGGCGCCAACTCTGATTGAATGCTCAGCACCTGCCTGGCGCTCATTTAATCCTTCAATATTTACAACAACCCTGTGAGATAGACACTATTATTTTGCACTTTTTATGCATGAAGAAACTGAGGCACAGCAAGTGGCCAGCTGTCATCATAATATCTGGTGGCAAAAAAAAAAAAAAAAAGATTTGCTGCCCCCAACCGTGGAGCCCTCCATCACCTACTGTTAGAAATGGGATCTTGTTGGAGATGCAGATCAACCCCAGACCTACTGAATCAGAATCACTGCAAGATTCCCAAGTGACTGTGTGGACGTAGTGAAATTTGGAGAAGCACCTTCAAAGGAAGGTTAGGACACATAGACCAGCTCCCACACAGCTGGTAAGTGGCAGAGCAAGGACTGGGGCCTGGCTGTCTCACTTCACCACGACACTTTGCCATCTCTCCACAGTGACTGAGACAGATGTTGCCCTCGAGTTGCCCACAGGCCAGTAAGAGAGACAGACAAGTAAATGGGCTGTGACAGGAGAGTGGGGTAAATGCCGCCGAGTGGGTGCTATGGGGGGTTTGTAGCAGCGTGGCATTTCATAGAGAGTGCTGGAAACGCGTGTCCTATCCAACTTATCCAACAAGACCCCATTTCTAACAGTCAGTGATGGAGGACTCCAGGGCAGCGGGAGGAAAACCTTTATTGCTACTAGACATTGTGATGAGGACAGCTGGCCACTCCCTTTCTGATGCAGAGCCCAGATAACCTCCTAGTTAATGATGTCACAGCTGCTGTCACACCTACCGAATCTCCTAGGATACTAAGCATGATGTTAGATTACTAACCTAGCTGACCTCAGACAGGGCTTGCTATAAGCCAGCCACTATTCTAAGTGTTTCACAGACATTTAGCCCTCACAAGGACCCAAGGAGGAAGTTTCGGTAGTCATCAGCTCCATTTTGCAGGTGAAGAAACGGAGGCCCAGAGGTTGTAACTTAGCGACTTGCCCAAGGACATACCACCACTAGGTGGCAGAATGGGGCTCTGAACTTCTGCCAGTCTTTGAACGTGACTGCCCAGGGCCCTTCTGCCAACTTGCCTCCTGGCTCTTACTTAACCCTCCACATTCCTAATAAAGGGGCCCAGGGTCAGAGAAGTTAAGTCATCTGTGCAAGGTCACGCAGCTAATGAGGGGCAGAGCCAGGATGCAGACAGAGGTGGGCCTGAGCCCAGGCTCCTTCTTTTTAATGGCTCTACTGAAAAGCAAGAATTTGAGTTTCTGCTCAGATCCCCAAGTGGTTGGTTCTCCAGCTGTAACAAGACTTAGAACCTTTTTGTGGCTACCAAAAAGAAAAGAAAAGCGAATGGAGCCACTGAGGACTGGGCCATAATCTAGGCCCCAAGCTCCCAAATGGAAGCGTGCTCTTTTCACCCTGGAGCTCTTCCATTTCTGATGCCTTCGCAGGATTTTGTGGTCTCTGATCAAAATGTGTCCATTCGCCTTCATCCTTCCTAGGCAGAAGGAACAAGGAATCATTCTAGAAATATCACCCTGCTGCAGACTTTGGAGGAAACTGAGTCCCCATTAAGGCCATGACTGCCAGAGACTCAGGGGGCTGGGACAGGGTTCGGGGAAAACGGGCTGTGGATGCTAAGGCAGCCCGTCTAGCCCCACCCTGCTTGCCTAGGGCCCTGCAGAGCTTCCTGACCTGGCAGCCCCACAGGATCTGCTCCCTTCAGCCTGTTAGAATAACAGTCCTCCTCCTCCTCCTTTCAGCCAACTCTCTGCCTGAGAGCCAACCACTTCGATTCACCACCGAGTCTCTTGCCGTCAGCACTCCTGTCAGAGCACTGATTGCTAATAAAAGCAGTACAATTGTTGATTGAGAATAAGAAATAAAAATAAAGCACTCGAGCTGACCAGCCACTGTGCCAGGCCCTGTTTCAAGCTTGTCGGTCTTAAAGCCAGGGAAACAGGAAAATTGCTGCCAGCTTAGACCAGCTCCCACGCGGCCCAACCCAGCTCCTCGAACCAGCATCCATCACCTTCTTTCAAAGTGTTTCTCCCTCCTGTACCAGCCCATGTTCTCGCCTGGGGATACCTGAACACACCCCTATCTCAGTGTGTCCTCGGCAGGTTATACCTGTCACCATCACCCACCACCGTGGGGACACATGCTCATTTATCTATAGTGAGATATTGCAGGGCCAGAGGTGGGGCAGGGGAGTCCAGGACCATAGGTGTGAGAAATATAGAAACACTGGGTGGTAGTGGTTCAGAGATGGGGGAGGGTAGAAAATACAGCAACAGAGGGCATAGCAGTGTCCAGTCCTGGTTCAAGCCTCGGGGTTGTCCCAGGAACAGTGGGCAAGGTTTGCTGATATCCAAGCAGGCATCCTCCATCAGCAGGGAGGTCAGTCCATACGCAGCAGGTGCCTGGTACAGTTCAGGGTTAGGGTCTGAGGCAAGGCCCAGCCTGAGTCCCCTCAGGCTCTGGGGAACTGGAAAAATCCCTGGGAATTTATTTCAAGAGGGCTGAAAGCTAAAGGTCAGTTGTACATTGTGGTGGTGGTGTCAGGGACCTTGGGGTCTCGAGAGGAAATAAACTGTGACTCTGGTAACATTTCAAGGGCTCTGGGTCAGCTCTGGGTCCCTGAGTCACACTGGAAGGTGATCTGAGAGTGATAAGAGTGATCATTACTCCCCACCCCTAACCCCTCACACCTGGGAGTGAAGAGGAGCTGAGGCTTCTTAAATAGTTCTTGCATTCAGCTCCGGCTGGCCTGGGATCTTTGGGAGAGATGGGACTGCACATTTAGGTTGGCTCAGCTGTAAGGAGGGCGAGAGGGCAGAGGCAGAGACATAGAGGGATGAGGGGAAAGACCTTTCCTATGTCATTCCTTCCTATCCAACTTGTAGGACACATATTATTTCCTCATGGTTTTGTGATCTCCCATTCGGGCAAAAATGATGTCACAAATGTTTTCCAGATCTTTCCTTCGGAGTTTTTATTATATACCTGGTGATATATAATAATCAAAGCTATTAAAAATAGGAGCTTTTGAACAAAGTCCTGGGATTTTTCTCTAACTGGACCAATTTGGGTCACATGGACATCCCTGAGAACTGTGGCTGGAAGAATGTGATGTGCAGGTGCGAGAGATCATGTCATTAGTGTTCAGCCAATCAGGGCCCACCCCTGAGCTGGAAGTGGTTAAATCCAACCTACATGGACAAATGGGAGATTTGGGATCCCTCTGTAAAGAAGGAAGGGGGAAATAGATGCTACGGAGGCAGGCAGCCATGGACTACTAAAGCTGCCGGAGATTGAGGACCTGCTATGTGTCAAGGACTGTGTGCTTTATACAAACTCTCTCATTGAGTTATTAGATTTTAAATGGACTTTAGAGATGTTTTGGCCCAGTGATTCTCACCAAGTTAGCATTCCACTTTGGGGGAGATACCAGAATCGCTGGGGGGGAAGTGTGAGATTTCCACATCTAACCAAAAGGGCAGTGGGTTTTTGAAGACTGGGAAACACTGCCCAATTACTTCATGAGTAACCTTCCAAAACTCTGACACAGCAGTCTAGCATAGCGTTAAAGTGTTTAAGTCTCTGAGGTTAGGCAGACTTGAGTTTGAAGAATCCTACTTGTGTTACTTACCAGCTTTCTGCCCTTGGACTCTAGTTTACCAGCCTCGGGCTTCTCATCTGTAGAATAGAAATGATAGCAGAACTCTCAGAAGCTTTCTGTAACCATTGAATGAGATCAGGAGCAAAGTGTACTCAGCACATGTCTTGAACAAAGGAGGTTCCCAGCAATTGGTAGCCTCTGGCACCATGTAAGTGTGGAGAACTGGCATCTCATGTGCCACTGAGAACATAGCGTGGGAAACGACAACCCAGCCCGGTACCCTCCTTTTGTAGATAAGAAAACTGAAGCCCAAATTGGAGAATATTGTGCCTAGGGCTCCACAATGAGAGGGTAGTTGATGCAGAAAAAGAGCTTGTTCCAATTCAAGGGAAGGCATGACTCTTGACCTTTGGTTCAGGGCCTCCTATCAGGCTGCATCTTGTCCTTCGATCCCACCTGCTCCTGTTCTCCCCACCACAGAATCCAGCACATGTCTGGCACAAACAGAAGTCCACAGCCTGCTTGAGTATCTGCATGGCTGGAGGCAGGGAAGTGAGCTTGTGTCTTACCAAAGAACTTTCCAGGAAATGGACTTCAAAGAGTTCAGCATCAACATCTGACCACCTTCTGTCCATGTTCCTCAGCTAGGTTCTGTTCCCAATTATCATTATTGATCTGGGAGGGAGGAAAACTGCTGAAGTATCACTCAGCTTCTTAAAGCAGCTGCTGCTGCAGCAACAGCAGATAAGGACTGGTTCTCTCTGTGCTGGCTAACTGGCTTCAATTGGGTGATCTCGTTACTAGGATATGGGGCTCCCTTAATGAACATCCCTCTGTGGGTATCTTTCTGATGGTGCTATCAGACACATGGCAAGTACACCTTTGAAGGCCCCTGCATCTGCCATTGCCTCTCCACACAAATACACATACGCAACACAAAGCACACAGACACACAAATACACACACACACACACACACACACACACACACGCCCCAAAGCTTCCTTGCATGTTTCCTTTCAAGGAGATTTACATAGCCTAATAGGTATACAATGACTCCCTGCTGTACCCCCACCAGGTCTAGATGGTGCTCAGTTAACACAAGTCCCTGCCAAGCTGATCTTACAGACACCTCTGTGCTCTACTTCAGATCCTCCTGGCCTTGTCTGTCTCCAATCATGGCCTCTGCTGCTGTGACCAGGTAGGCATAGGCTTTGGCCAGCTTTATGCAGGTACACATTGACAGTTCCTGGCTCAAGCCCCACTGTGCACCTCTTGGCTATCTCCCTTGAGCGTCTCTCTGATGCCTTGGTGTGTGATACCATGGGAAACTTTCCCAGCACCCCACACATGCACAACCAGGAGGTGCAGGGGAATCGATATCCTTGAGGCAATGCTGTGACCCATGGGTGACAGCAATCAGTAGATAAATGTCCCTCTTCTGCCTCTAAGTGTGTTGGCTGAGACACATTTCAGAGGACTTTTCAGATGGTCTTGTGGGACTGAGCGACCAGTTGCTTATGACCGTAGCCAGGTTAATGCATCTTTGCACTGGCTTGCTCTCCTGCCTGGCTCCACTCACTTGTCCTTCACTTCTGCTCCCTGGGATCATAGTCCCAAAAAAGTGCTTGTATATAAGCCTTTGTCTCAGGCTCTGCTTTCAAGGGTGCCAGCCTAAGATGGTTGTTTCCCACAGTGGCCTGGAACTCAGCCCCTCAGGATGGGATCTTAGGGCTTGATCACTCGCCAGTCAATGGCAATAAGGACCCTGGCATCAGTGAGAAGTAGAGGGGCACTGACCCCCTGACACCCAGTGGCATTCTGATAACTAAGACTTCCGCCTGAGGCTGACGGAGATGAAGAGCTAGTTGGAAGGTGAGGTGTGGGTTACGGTGGTTACGGTAATTGAATGTGCAGAGACAATAATAATTACACAGATTAGAGTGGGGTGGCCTTTTGTTAACTGCACTAAACACCTTGAAATGAGAGAACAAAAGGCACAAGATCTCCAACTGTATATTCAGGCTATGCTGTGAAAACCAGAAGGCCTTTATGGAAGCTTTGAAGTGACTTTGATTTCCTGTAGCCATGAGAGAGACTGGGCCAAAACCTGGCCAGGATCTCATTGAAAGGGTGACAAGTGTTACAAAGGAAATAGAATGTACAGCTTCAATAGGTCTTCTGCATCAAAATCAAGGCCTGACGGAAAAGGCGTGAAATCTTGCAATGTGGGATGGGAGCTTTTGAATGGAAAAACGTGGAACTCTTAAACCTCCAGATTTGCCTTAACTCTCTAGGCTGGCAGAGGTCTCCCTCTTCCCTTGTCTCAGGAGAACAGTTTCTCCAGTCTGGAGGTCCTGCAATAGCCTCCCCTGAGGCAGGTGCTTGCAAAACATGGCTTGTCCTTCTAAATATCTGTCCCTTCCACCCCTCATTAGCTTCAGACCAATAACGAGGGTCAGGTCTCAGCACAGCCTCTGTAAGTGCAGACCCTGCTCCTGGAGAAAATATCAAGGGGCCGGGCACGGTGGCTCACACCTGTAATCCCAGCACTTTAGGAGGCCAAGGCGGGTGGATCACCTGAGGTCAGGAGTTCGAGACCAGCCCGGCCAACATGGTGAAACCCCGTCTCTACTAAAAATACAAAAATTAGCTGGGCATGCTGGCATACACCTGTAGTTCCAACTACTCGGGAGGCTGAAGCAGGAGAATCACTTGAACCTGGGAGGCAGAGGTTGCAGTGAGCCGAGATTGCGCCATTGCACTCCAGCCTGAGTGACGAGAGCAAAAAACTCCATCTCAGAAAAAAAAAAAAAGAAAGAAAGAAAAAAAGAAAAGAAAATATCAGGGCCCAGATTACATGTATAAGCAGGAATCTGGGGGACATGTGTGGAATTGGATCTCAAAGGTATTAGACTGTAGGGGGTATTAGAATATAAGGTGGAATAGCAGAGAATTTGTTGACATGGGGGAACTTAGCTATAACTTGGAGTTCAATATTCTGAAAGGACTGGTGGAGCCCCTCCTAACAACCTACTGGAATGACTACTTGGAGCTTGGACATCACCATAGCCTGTAATAAATGAGACAAAAATTCTGGGATTGCCTTGGCATAGTATCAAGGAAGGGGTCAGAAGGCTCAGGGACATTTTTCCTCTATAGCCTATAAACTGTCATTACTGTAATAAGGATGAAGTGGAAGCCCCTAAATTTATACAAATGAAGCCATACTTGGTTATCTCTCTATCTATCTCGCCCATAAAAAAGCCTTGATATATAACTCCAGTATCCCAATACAGTAGTAAATCAGATGCTCTTCTGCACCCTTGGAGGAATTGCAGAGATCAATGCCACCACAAAAATGTAAAGACGTCCTCCTCTGCAATTCTACTTTCTCAAGAAAATGGATCATGGCAGATCAACGTGAACAGCCCTATACTTAACAAGCTGGGAGTCCCAATCCCAGCTGCCATGCAGTATCTTTACTGAGCAGATCAATATATTATCTAGTATTTGTATGTGATTATTAATTTGTCAAATACATTATTCTGGATATTTATCAGTTAGGATGATCAAAAGCAGTTTATCTTTACATGGGAAGGACAACAGCATGCCTTTGCTTGTGCTGGGACCATGCTGACCCTCCAGTTGTCTGTCACAGGGTAGTCCACAGACGAGATTTCATTTATCTCAACCTCCCACAGAACCCCACTCAGCTTTACACAGAGCAACTTAAGAGTGCCTTACCCTGAGCCTATGCCATGCACTTTTTGCCTCCCATCCTGAGGTTCTCTGTTGATGCTGCAGTGTGGGCTACTGTGGAAATGCACTCAGTACCTAGGCAGGTGTAACCTAGAAGTGTGGCAGAGTTAATAATGTCCCGTGAGGCCAACTTTTGAGCAATGAATAACAAGAAGATAATGTATAAATACTTCCCTCTTTCTATCTCTAGTCAGATGGTCTTAATCACATTTCACATGGCTTGGTGATGGTCTTGGGGGATCAACCAACTAGTCAACCATAGTAGTGGTCAGCCTAATAACGTATCTTTATATTGACTCTCTTTTCCCTGCCGCCTTTCCCCTATCTTTTTCTTCTCTGGCATCATATCCCTCACTAAAATACTCATATACATATGCCATGACTCAAGCTCTGCTTTTGGGAAAACCCAGACTGGGACAGAATTCCCTGGAACTGAGAATGAGAAGGGAGACAGTCTTCTCTGTTCCTTGACCTTGGTTCTCTTATTTTGGGATGAAAGCAAGGGAATCCTGAAGTTAGGAGATCCAGTGCCATGAAAGGATTCAAAAAGTGACCAGCTCACTTTGTCAGAGAGAAAGGATGTAAAGCTACCTCTCTTTAGGAGGGAGGAAGCAATGTTTACTTTGAAGGCTCTGTGAGAGGCAGGGCTAGTTACAAATGAAAAGGAGTAGACTCCTTGGGAGGCTGATACGCAGATTTGTTTGATCTACAAATGATCATCTCTATCGTATAATTTTTAGGGAGCAGAAAGCTCCCTTTCCATAAAATATTTTCTCTTCAGGTGCTTGAAATACCCACTTAGTAGTTTTCTTTCTTGTATTAAGCATTGCCACTTTTAAAATGCACACTCTCAGAAAGCAGACATCACTAGCTAAAATGCCTGATCAGGCCAGGCAAGTAACTCAAATGAAGAGTACTGGGTTGCAGGGAGGCATGCATGTCCAGCTAAAAGGGACAGCAGATCACCAACTGCAGCTGATGCTGCCATATAGAAAT
The DNA here is from genome assembly GCF_000001405.40 of Homo sapiens. Taxonomy (NCBI): domain Eukaryota; kingdom Metazoa; phylum Chordata; class Mammalia; order Primates; family Hominidae; genus Homo; species Homo sapiens. Next base: position 34,467,790 of record NC_000001.11, read on the forward strand.
ATGAACCCAGCGTTTCCTGCTCCTCTGATTTTTTTAAAGAAGCTGGAAATTCAGATATTAATATGAAACCTTCTAAATTTTTAGGGTTGGCAGCTAATTAAAAAGTTTTGAGAGCAACATGAAGGCAAAGAAAAAGTGTCCACGGGCCTGATAGAACAACTCTGTATTTTGAAAATTTGATCTCGGAAATTCCCAACCTCTCTTTACTTCCTCAACGTCCAGTCAGTCTTGTCAAATTCTGCATTGTTCATTCAGAGGCATTGACAAAGTACCTACCATGAATCAGAAACAAAAATCAGGCACTAACTAGCTCTCTGCTTCTGGTGCACAGAGTAGCAGGCAGACAAGTAAAGAAACAGTTACAAAACAGTGTGATGAAAGCGACACTATAAAAAACACAGGTGCTGTTGGAGCCCAAAGGAGAGGAACCCACGCCAGCCTAGGAAATCAGGGAAGGCTTCCTGGTGTAGATGACAAGACACGAGATGTAACAGATGAATAGAATGTGACTTAGGCAGGTGCAGCAGATGGAGAGGAGTTGTTCCTAATTGGCTTCTTCTTCCTTCCCACTTTCTCAACCTTAATTCAGACCCTCATCACATGGCACCAGTTATCAAAACACCCTTTTCATTGGTTTCCTTGATTCCAATCATTCTCCACACTGTTGCAAAACTCACCTCTCTAAGACAAAAGTATGTCCTCTCACTCCCATATGTTAATTTCCTTTAGGGTGACCCCATTGAGGACAGGAGAAGTTTCCCAGTTTCATGATCAACATCTCATCCATCAAAACTTTTTGATAATGCAACTTCAACATAAACATGTCTGCTTATTTGTTTATTTATAAATTAGATATCTGTAATGTGCTAAGTGTCATGGAAATTTTGCACAAAAAATAGAAAATTTTAAGGTTGAAGATACATACGGTTGAAAATTATAAAACATTTATATTTATATATATATATATAATTTTCAACCATTAAATAAAATAATGAGAGCTATGTACTTGCTCATCATAAATGCTTTGATACTTTTAAAAATCTTAGCTTAACACTTTTTGATATAATCATTTGAAGGTCAAGTTGAAAGTATGTTTATTTAGTACATGGTTTTCATGACTTAGGCTGAAAGGCATGCAAAAGACATGGAGATCACAGTGGGAGACATACTTACTGGCTGCACTTTGTACATGTTAGACCCATTTTCAATCCCACCTACCAATTATACAGACAATGTGAACATTTGCTTACTAGATCTCTGTATTCCACGTATCAATTGTTCATTTCTGCAAATGAATTGGAAGATGCAGCATTTCTACATTTTGAACAAATGTGTACAAAGTCCTCCAGGTTTTTTTATGTAGGAGATTTTTTAACACTTTAGGAAATTTTGTTTCCAAGTTTTTATAGAACACAGATATAACAATTTTTATAAGTGACACCCTGACAAAATTTTAGGCAATAGGATCATGTAATGGTGGAAACACTTCAAACATCCATTTTAAAATGTTCTTCCTTTTGTGCACACAAACCTGTTTCAAAAAACAGTTCCTTTCTCACTCATTGTTAAAAAAATATCGCCTTTACCTTGAAAGGGCAGATTACAGATGTTTACTTTTTCAAAAATATCTAATAGCAACAGCTACCTGTCATCATTGGAAAGGTCAGCAAATTTGGAAAACTTGTCTTTTTGTAAAAGAAAATTATATCTCTCATCTTTAAGTTCAATGAATTAGCCAGAAGCCCTCTGGATAGCACAAGATCAAGCACATAAGCTTGGTGATCAAGATCTTTCTTGCCTTCCAAATCATCTTTTGCTGAATGTATCCAGAACCCATTTTTATTTGCTTAAATGAATGAAGCAAACTTCACCAATCCACTGAGCTCCTGGAGCATTTCTTCCCACACCTCTATCAGAGTATTTGTCAGCTTGCACTGTGATCTTTTGTTTGTTTGCAGGTACGAGTCCCCTAGGCAGGTGTGGGTGCATACCTTGAATGTCCAGCCTTCTTCCACATCTCTCAGCTTCCAGTGCCCAGCACTGTGACCCAGAGCAGGTGCCAGGAAACACTTGCTGAGTACATATACAGATGAATGAGTTTCCCCAGGATGAGACAGACACATTCGGGTGCCTTCTTTGGTAGTGATCCATTCTCTATATGCTGATGTTCATAGCCAGAGCCATGAAAGTAGTATTTCTGAAAAGAAAATCCAGGTTGGGATTCTTAAAATCATTTCTAAAAAGACCTTTACTTGGTGAAAGCATAATCCATTAATAATGTGTTTTACACTAAAGAGATAATGGGAACCTCCCACAGGGGGATTAAAGCATGACTAGAATTTAGGGTCAATACTCCTCCAAAATTGCTTCATCCCTCTGAGATGCAAACAGCAGGAAACACACCAGCCCTCCCCGGGCTGTCAGGAGGAGCACCAGACAGAGGGGAGGACTTAAGCCAGAGAAGAGGTAACATCCAGGAAAGTCCACTAACCATCTTCTTTATGATGGCCCCGCAGGACACTCCAGCTGGTCTCCCTTTGCTCTGACCAGCAACCAGGAATTTTCCAGTCTCTGGCCATGGACAGTGATACCTTTATTGGTAAAAGCAGGGGTTGTGGGGGTGGGGGTGGGGAAGGAGCTGGCTCTAGAATTTGGGGTTGTGCCTCTGCAGAACATAGCCGATACACCAGCCCCAGACACAGCTAAGTCCCCAACTCTCTCCCAATGACTGAAGGAGGCTCTGTCATTCCTGATTCATGGAGTCACTGAGTCTTCGGGTTGGAAAGACCTTAAAGGCCATGTTATGCTTGAGCACCTTTTGTGACAGGAGATTTACTACCTCCGGAGGCAGGCCAGTCCATCTTGGAGAGCTCTGGCAGTTGGAACACTCTCCCCTACGCTGAGCCCCAACTGAGCTCTGCTTTTCATCGGGGTCACCCCTTTAATCAGAGCACATCAACGGTGGCTTTGGGGAGCAGTCCCCCCAGGTGCAGAAAATAGAGGGAATGTTGTCTGTAGAGAATGTGAAAACAATAATAAAACAGACTAAAAGCCAGTCTGCTTTTTATTATTACCATCATTCTCTGGCAGCTCTAAACAATGTTAGTGATAAAATACTCCTCTTTAACAAAAGCTTTTGTTGGTCAAGTACTAAGTAATTGTTATGGTTACTGTCGCGTTTTAATAATAATAATAGATGTAATAAGCTTCCATTTGGCACATTTTTATTACTTATCCTTTAATGACATTGTATTCTACATGGGCACTAATTTGGAGAAGTCCCAGTTATACAACTGGCCCCAACACATGCAAACTCAGCTATAAATGCTCGTTTCAAGAGTAAATTCTTAAGATTTGAATCTCTTCCAGTTTGTTTCAAGCACAGTTCATGTCTCCGCCTCCTGTGGTACTTACATATCCCTGATTTTAAATGGCAAATTTGAAATAAGTATCATAATGGTGAAGACAAAAAAAAAAAAACAAAAACGGAAAATGAGTTACTTCAATTCTGACATTCTATGTGAGCCCTTGAAATTTTTATTTTTATTTTTAATTTAAAACAGTGAAACAGTGAGAACTGCATGGTACAATTATTTTTTGTTCAGTAAGTGTGATTTTTAGTTTATCTGTATTGAATTTGAATAATATCTTTAAAACTGAAATTCATCATTCTTTTTGAAGTGCTAATTGTTTTTTAACTGAAGAGTTAATCAGGAAAATAAAACTGTAATGTTATTATTTATTACTGCAACAGAATGCAGATATGTTTTCCCTTTTCTCAAAAGCTATACTAACATGATAAAAATATTAATCCATTACTTTTTTCTCATTTATTCTGCAATATTTGTTGTATTTTTTACTGGTATGATTATATGTGTTAAGTTTAACAAAAGAAAATTTTCACTGCCTGCTTTTCCTTTGTGGCCATTGGCATTTGTTTCATTTTACATTTATTACTGAGAAGAGCCTTGTTGGGCAGAGGAAGGGGTTGTTAAGAGTGATCCTCTCTAGATGTCAAATACACCAGGCGCTCCATCAATTCTAATCGCTTTCTCTGGGCACAGTCCCACTGTTTGAAAATCCCCATCACATCTCCCCTAGACTTTTCTAGGTTGATCATCCCGGTCCTCCCAAACATTTCTAATAAAACTGGTTTTGAGTCTTTCTGCCACCCTCACTGTAATGGCTATCATTTATCAAACGCTTACCGAGTGCCACATAATGTACATATTCTCATCTGATCTACAACCCTCTGAAGCAGACGTTGTTCTTCCCATTTTATGGCTGGGAATACCAAGGCTCAAAGGGATTAATTAACTTCCCCAAATCCTATAGCTGGTGTGCAACAGAGCTGAGATGGAAAGTTAGGTGTGTGTGACAGCAAAACCCTGTGCAACCCTGCCCCCACTCTCCACTCCCCAATACCCTCACCATGTGCACTGGGCTTGTCTGTCTTGCTCTTCCTTTGGTGGCTTCCAAGACTAAATACCACACACCCTCCACAAGCACAAAGGCTCAGCTTGGAGAGAGTTACCTCCTTCATTCCAGAAGCTGTACTTATACTAATGCTTCCTCTGAGCTCACTGGTTTCATGGGCAGCCACAGCAAATAGAATGGATCCCAGGAGGAGGTTGACTTGAGCCACAGGGGATGAGCATATGATATTTGGGACCCATCAGTTCTGAAAGGAAAGTGGGGGGTGGGGAGAGCAAACACTAAGATGGCAGAGGGGTTCCTCTAGCCTATCCCAGTGAAAGGTCAAAAATTCCCAAGCCTCAGGGACAGTGTCATGCACAAGCCCCCACCTGTAGAAATGTTCAGGGTCTCAAGAACCCTGGTCCAGGAAGAGGAATCGGGGGCAGAGCAGAGGTGACCAGCAAAGCAGGAGCAGAGCCCCGCCTTGGTAGGCAAGTCTGTGTGAATCAAGGGAGGATGGCCTGGGAAAAGGCTGGGTGACCCAGGAGGGATAGACTATCCCTGCTGGTCTGAGAACAGTGGTTGGGCTTTCATCACCGAGCCAGAGGACTAGGCTGAAGGATTCCAGATGCCCATGCCAGCCCCTTCTACCCAGCCCCTTGCAGAACGCTGGAGGAGATTCACCTGATGTGCCACCGCCCTGTGGGCCCTGTGGCTTCCTTAAAACCTCACTTCTATATGAAAACAGCAGAAAGCATCTTCCCAAGGCCAATTGCTAGAGAGCAGAGAGGTCTGGACAGCCTGCTAGGTATTTTCTGCCCCCATTATCCCTATATGAGGTGGGCAGACTGGGATGAGCAGATCCTTTCTGCTCGTCAGCTGGTGTGCAACAGAGCTGAGATGGAAAGTTAGGTATGTGTGACAGCAAAACCCTGTGGATGGACTCAAGTTTTGAATCAGCTTATTCTCTCATCCTGGGCTTGTGCTGACCTCCAATCCTACCTCTGCCTTTCAACTCTGAGCCACTGCACCCTAATTGTGAGCATCTGGGCTCAGAACAGGCCTGACATGAATCCTTGTTCAAGTTCACTTCATTCAGTCCAGCCATGGATCCAGGTAGTTGGGACTTTTAGGGTCCCACATAAGTGGTGTGCATGTACTCAGTCAATGGGGCCCTGGGAATCAGCTGGATTTTCCAGCTTCAGGCAACACCAAAATGTGGACTGATGTTGTCTCTTCAGGGAAGAACTTCATCCACTGGGGCCATACCCCAGGGAAAGGAACTAGCAGAACCAGGTAGGGGATAGGATCTCTGATGACCAGCTGGTGAATCAAAGGCATGTAGGAGCTCCAGCCCTTAAAGAGGATTCAAATGTTGGCCAAGTCTCCAGACAGAAGTCAATCCTATAACATATTCCAGTAAGTGGAGATGAGGGGGGTAGTTTGTGGGTAGGGAACAATGAGGATTTGTGAACAGCCAGGCCCTGCCTCCACACCCATTGGAGCCAGGCTTAGAGCCATGAGACTAGACTAGATTCACACTAGTGGAGATGGCCTTCTAACATGCAGACTTGGGCAGGGTCTGGAGGGGCTGAACCTAGGGGTATGCATCCTTGGGGATTCTGGTTGATCAAGATGAGGAAGGCATTGAGAGGTTTGAGCACTCCCAAACACTATTCAGCTTAAGAAATTGCATCTCGGCCAGGTGTGGTGGCTCACACTTGTAATTCCAGTATTTTGGGAAGCTGAGGTGGAAAGATTGCTTGAGTCCAGAAGTTCAAGGTCAGCCCTGGTGATAGTGAGACTCTGTCACTATCAAAAAAAAAAAAAAAAAAAAAAAGAAGAAGAAGAAGAAAAGAAATTGCATCTTGTCATCTATGGAGTCTGGCATAATGAATAAGCCAAGCATGGACTTTCCAGGCCTGACGTTGCATCTTGCTGGCAACGTCCCTCCCATCTCCTTTAGATTAAATGTGGGGAAATGAGAGTATAATGATAAACACTGATTAGCTGTAGCAGTGGCAGGGGAGATAAGTTTCTCTTGCTGTATTACTCTTCCTCCCTCCCTTCCCCTCTCCTCTCTCTCTCTCTCTTTTTCTCCTTCTCTCTCTCTCTGTCTCTCTCCCTCTCTGAAGAAGCACTGCTCTTTGTCCTAACCTATGGAATGGTGGGTTAATTGGCTTATAGAGCTGCTGAATATGGAACAGAGCCCTAATGGAGATTTAATCAAAGGAGACAGTTATGTCGAGTGGGGTGTAAAAGCCATTGAAGATGAATGGAGACGGGTACAATCTTCCCCCCAGAGTTATTCAGAGCAATTTTAATAAAGTGCAAGTTTAACTATGGAATGGATTGTGTGACCAAGTGTCATTTTGCTTCAGGGCACAGCAGGGCAGGCGAGGGAAGGAGAACTTTGAAAGTTGTTTGAAAAAGGTGGAGCCTTTCTGTGCCTCACAAAATGGGCATGGGGTCAAAGTTCAATGCTCCCCTCCCCCCGCCCAAGTCTACCTTTTGCCCAGTGGTCCAACTATGTGACTCATTTCAATGATGCTTCCTGCAGCCTCTGTAGCTTGTGGCCAGTGATCTTCGTGGTTAGACCTGAAGACTCTCCACGCCTAGGTCATAGCTATGCTTTGGACCCAACCATTTACTAGGATCTCTGTGTCTTCCCCTGACAACCTCGCAATTGTCCTACAGTTCTCAGTTTAGCTGTCACTCTGTTTGGGAAGACTTCCTTGAACCACTCTTTTCATTTCTCTAGTGACCTCTATGCCATGCGATTCCATAATTGTCTTTTTTGTATGTGCCTACCATAACTGCTAGACCGTGGCTTCCCTGAAGTGCACATATGTGTGTGCAAATACACGTATATGTATACATACTTCCCCCTCCCCGCTACACATTTATGACATCTGTTTACTGGGATTATCTTAGACAAGCTATTGTACAAATTGCTTCTTTACTCAGCAATGTGGTGTGGACATCTTTCCATATTAATGCATGTTGCTTTATAACAAGCTCTTTAACAGCTGTACTGTATTGCTTTGTATGGATATAACATAAATTATCTAACAAATCCTATACATTTTTCTGCTATCAGAAACATTACTGAAGGAGCATTCTTTTGCATATATATTTTTGAAAATTTATTTGATTAACTCCTTGATAAATTCCTAGAAGAAAAATTGTCGAGGTAAAAATTTTGATACATATTTTCAAGCTGCCCTCCAAAAAAGGAAAAATGTGTGCTAATGTACCCTTTCATGAATGCTGTCTGAGAGCGTCTGTTTCCTTATACCCTTTCTATCCATTGCTAATCATGTTCATTTTTGCCAGTCTGATGGGCAAGACCTGATGTTTCATTCTTGTTAGCTCTGACAATTTAATAATCCAAGAAAGGCCCCATCTCAGGAAATGATATAACTACATGTCTTGGCAGGGCCGTGAGATTCCAAAAGCCCGTGTTTGGGGAAGAAGAGCTTACTGAGACTCTTCTTACAGTAATCACCTAGGACAAGACAGCTGGCTCCCTGGAGGAAGAGGCTGGCAGCCCAAACCATTAAATCCAAGAGCTGGAGTCAAGTGGAGTCTGATTCATTTAATATTACATTCTAGGGGTCTGGGTGGGCTTTCTAGATGACTGCACTTTTTGGCATCTGATAAGTATCTGAGTCATAGATTTGAAAGGGGACTCTACGTTAGTGGGAGGGCTAGCAGAAGCAATATGCAGGTCAGGGAGATGGTATATCCTGTATATACAATGCAAGGTATATAAGAAAGAGACGCAAGGGGCTTGAACAATGGGGCTGGCTTCTAGGACTAGACAACAAGCCCTGGGGCAAAATTAGGAACAACGGAGCAGAACCGAGGGCAGTTAGACTCAAGGTGCAAGCTACTGAGGTGGCAGCCTGATGCCTCCCTGGGTACCCAGGGGCTAAATACCCCGTGCACTGGGCACACTGGATGTAAGGGCAACTGATTATTTGAAGACCTGACTGACTAGTGGACAAGGAACTCCTGATGGCCTTTAAGGCTGGGCTGGGCCCTCACTGGCTCAAGGACTGGGCAGGTGACACAGTAGGAGCAGGCACGGACTCTACTCTTGACAACTGGGTCTACCAAGTAGGAAGAAAGCATCTTCTGCCAGAAAACATCCAGATGATTCCTTCCAACCAAGTCCTTTTCTAGTCTTGAGGTGGGAGTGAGAGTGGGCACAGCAATGCTCAAAGGAATGACGTTGAGCTAATGCTATTTCTACATTGATTGGCATGAAGTCCAGGCCCTGTTTCCCACGTTACCAATGACCAAAGGAGACCTCAGTGAAATCCAAGAACAATGACTGACTCAGGGTTGAGCAGTGTTTGGCCCCCATGAGGCCCAAGCCAGCCCAGGGGTTCTGACAAAGCAGGCTGATGCTTGGGGCTAGATCCTGAAGGTGACTCCAAAACCACACTCATGAATCAAATCAAATAAAGCCCAAACAGTCCTTACACTTAAGGGGTAAATGTGGTTTTGGATCTTGAAGTTAAAAAACATGTGAGGAGACCAGGCACACTGGCTCACGCCTGTAATCCTAGCACTTTGGGAAGCCGAAGTGGGTGGATCACCTGAGGTGAGGAGTTTGAGATCAGCCTGGGCAATAGACCCCATCTCTACTAAAAATACAAAAATTAGCTAGGTGTAGTGGTGCGCACCTGTAGTCCCAGCTATTCGGGAGGCTGAAGCAGGAGAATCTCTTGAACCCCAAAGGCAAGGTTTACAGTGAGCCGAGATGGCGCCACTGCACTCTGGCCTGGGGGACAGAGTGAGACCCTGTCTCAAAAAACAAAAAAAAAAAATGTGAGGAGCTGAGCAAACAAAGATGCAGAGCAAAAGGTAAGAAACAGTGAGTTGATGCCAGCAGGTTAAGAACTTCTGCTGTCAACAAGGCCAGGATGCCCAGAGCACCCTGTTAAAGGTCCCGTGGGTGTGAGAGTGTGGGCTGGCCTCATTTAAAGGCTCAGACTCAGGCAGACGTTTGCTGCCATTTTTATCCTCAGTTGCTAGGGCTGTGAGTTGGCGGTCAGCTCTTGGCGTAACAGGAGAAGATGATGTGTAAGTTCACCGGCTATAGCATCACTTGCAGTGTTATCAGCTCTCCCCTTTGCTGCAGGTGTCAGAGCGACCATGGGTCTGTTGGGATGAAAATGTTTTCATCTGCCTTGGGAAAGGGCAGTGAAGATGCTCCCCAGAGAAATTTCCATCCTACTGCCTTATGTGCAGAAATGGACAGAGTAGTCACAGTATTGTCAGACGCTGGAATCTCAAAGACCTGCCTCCCAAAGGGTGGCTGACCTAGCTGGAGAGCAAGGCCTGGGGCATTTGAATGGAAGAAACAGAGTCACCCTCCACTCCAGAAAACCCACCTCACTCTCCCACACACATACCTAGAATCACGTTCCATGCTAATTGACTAGGGGCTGTCCCATGGATTCTAAATCTTGCCTTTGCCTCCAAGGGCTCCTTTATTTCATGTCCAAGTAGGTATTAAATCCAGGTCACTCACCAGATTTTCTTTCCGCCCAACAAACCAGGCTTAAGCATCATAGCCACAGTCACACAGCTCTTCACCATCCCTGTCTAAACACTGGCTACTAAAAAGCTCAGAGGCCCCATAGCACAATGGCTAAGAACATGAGCTTTCAGCTGAGCTACTTGGGTTCAAATCCTGGCTCTGCTGCTAGGAAGCTATACAGCCATGAATAAGCCACTGAACCTCCTTCTGTGTTCCTCTGGGCTCAGTTCCATAATCAGTAATATGTGGATAAGAGTACCAGTATTTCATAGGCTTGTGAGGATTAAGTAAGTTAGAATATTTAAAGCCCTTAAATAGTATCTCACACACAGTAAGTGCCATTTAACTGTTAACATTTGCTATTATTGTTCCCCCACATCACCTGGCCAATTATTATGACCCGGATTGCGTAAGTAGAAAAATCAGGAGACAGGAAAGCTATATCTTACTTATTTACTTTGACAAAAATAATTTACTCATTTTAATATACAACAGGGTTAATAACTGCGACTTGCTGAGTGCCTACTATGTGCCTAGCACTATATATTCCTGTGATCCTTATAGCAACCACGTGAAATCAGTGTTAGTATTGCCACTTTACAGATGCAGAAACTGAGACTCAGAGAGGTTAACTCCCCATCCTGAAGCCACATAGCTAGGAAACTGAAAAACTCAGATTTCAACCCATGTCTTGCTGACTGCAAACTTGCACACACTGTTGTTCTTTCAGATAATAGTTCAAAAGTGAAATAACAAGAGTCCTAGAAAAAGGCTGACTCCAGTCTGGGATTGTCTGGGCATTGTAGCAGCTTCTATTCTTTGTTGGTAATTGTCTGTTCCCTAGCTTCCCTGTAAGCCGCCCTACTTCCTGCTCCTTTGATGTTGGGCTGAGCCACGTGACTTGCTTTACCCAGTGGTGTCCCACTGGGGGGACTCACTCCACATCTGAGCAGAGCCTTTCAATGTGCTTTCTGGTTGAGCTCTTTCTCCCTTGAGCTTCTGCCCTCTGCCACAAGAACAGCATGCTGCATATGTGGGCTGCCCCTTCAGCTGGGGTCCTGGAATAAGAGAAGACCCATGGTGCTGAGCCAGGCCCAGCAGATCCCAGAAGAACCAAGGACAGCTCCTGCTGACCAGCAGCTCTCACATAATGGGAGCAGGAAATAAAGGCTCACTGTTGTAAGGCATTGAGATTTGGCAGGAGTGGGTGGAGGTTGTTGCCACAGGAAACGCTGGCTAATGCAGACATGGTCCCAGAGGCAGGAGATAGACCAGGCCTTCTCCACTCTGATGGAACAGAAGCAGGAAAGGATAATATGAGCTTGCTGCATTGCAAAATAGTAATGCATTTGGCTGTAAAGGTGGGCTTTCTACTGCCCAATGCATTTTTATACATAATTGATGATCAATATATATTCTCTAAATTGAAATCAGAATAATGAAGCCACAGAGGACTCAGGAGTGAAAGGAGGGAGAAAGTGGCCAAGGTCTTTTGAGTTTTTCTTCCCTGTTGGGTGGTTCCAGCAGATGCAGAGAACAAGCTGAAGTCAAAAGTGTAGTAGAATGAATCTGTAGACAGGGATTTCCTGAAGGGAGAAAAGAGGGAGAAGCCACCAGCACCCGTGCAGTCCTATAGATGTGGCTCCCGTGGTGTTCTGAAAGGTCTTAGGGTAAATGGGACCTTGCCAAGTGACAGATAAGTGTGAAGCTCCCAGTTACCCAGCAAGAGCAGAAGCCAAACGCAGGTCCCCTGAAGTCTGGCTTGGGACCCCTTTCACCAAGACAAAGTGACCAGCAAATACAGCATTTGACTAAAACTTGGACATTTAGCAGAGGAAGGGGTGGCACAAATCAGCCTTATGGAGACCTCTGTGTGCACTGGGTGCTGGAGTGATTCCTTTTACACTGTATTGTGCACACGGTGCTCAGCAGAGTCTTTTGAGATTGAGCTGATGGTGCCAAGGAAGGTAACTGGTGCCCAATCTCATGCCCAAGGCCACCCTGGAGCTCTCCACAACCCCGTATGTTTCTGCCCTTCACACTTCCAGGGATAGGTGGCTCCAGCCTTCAGAGAGTGTGGTCTCTGAGAGGGAGAGGAGAGGAAGGAAATGCTGGGGCCACTTCATTAGGCTTCTCTTATTGGTCTTTGGCCAGCCGAGATCCAGGAAAAGGCTGCAACACCGGCTGAGGTGTTTCCATGGCAACAGCGGGCAGCACGCTCTTCAGGCATCAGTTAGTGCAGGCAGAGGGGAGAAGGGGTTGGGGGGATGGGAGGGGCAATGCAGGAGGAGGAGGGAGTGGGGGAGAAATCAGGAGGGGGGAAAGAAAGGAAGATGGAAGGGAGAGAGTAAAAGAAGGAAAGGGAGAGGAAAACTCAGTGGAAGGGGAGGGGGAACAAAAGGACAAGGGGGAGGAAAGCAGAAGGCAGAGGAAGGGGAGAAGGAAGGCAGGAAGAGGGAAAGAGATGAGAGAGGAATCAGAGGAGGCATGGGGAGAGGAAGAAATGGAGGGAAGGGAGCAAGAGGAATAAGGAAGGAGAAAAGCAAAAGGAGAACCACTTGTACCCTACTTCACGCTCCAGAGGCAAGAGTGCCCATGCCTAGCTGACTGCAAACTTGCACACACTGTTGTTCTTTCAGATAATAGTTCATTTCAGATAATAGTCCCTTGCTTGGGACACCAAGAGTCACCTTCCCACCCCCATTCCCCCACCCCCCAACACACACTGCTCCACCAGCAGCCCCAGAAGAAAGACCTGGGCTCCAGCCAAGCTTTACCTTTTAGGAGTTATGAGGTGGAACAGCAAGAAGTTTCAAGAATGAGTTTTGGTATCTGACAGATTCTGCCTCTAGCCACCTGAGCTTGGGCAAATCACTTAACTTCTCCAAACTTTAGTTTTCTCATCTAAAAATAAGTGGACCCAGGGATGCAGCTTTATTTCAGGGTTCTCTAACCTGTTCCATTAGTCTATGTCTGTTTTTGTACCAGTACCATGCTGTGTTGGTTACCGTAGCTTAGCAGTATAGTTTGAAGTCGGGTTATGTGATGCCTCTGACTTTGTTCTTTTTGCTTAGGATCGCTTTGGCTATTCGAGCCCTTTTTTGGTTCCATATGAATTTTATAATAATGTAAAAATGACACTGGTATAATAGCTTGATAGGAATATTACCAAATCTGTAGATTGCTTTGAGCAATATGGACATTTTAATGATATTGATTCTTCTGATCCATGAGCATGGAATGTTTTTCCATTTGTTTGTGTGATCTATGATTTCTTTCAGCAGTGTTTTGTGGTTCTCCTTGTAGAGATCATCACAGCACTATTTACAACAGCAAAGACATGAAATCAACCTAGGTGCCCACTAACAGTGGGTTGGATTAGGAAAATGTGGCAAATATACACCATGGAATACCACACAGCCCTAAAAAAGAATGCAGTCATGTCCTCTGCAGCAACATGGATGGAGCTGGAGACCATTAAACTGAGTGGATTAATGCAGAAACAGAAAACCAAATACCAACACTTCATGTTCTCATTCATAAGTGGGAGCTAAACATTAGATACACAGGGTCATACATACAGGAACAATTAACACTGGAGACTACAAGAGAAGGGTGGGAGACAGGGAGAAAGGGTTTGAAAAACTAATTATTGGGTATGATGTTCACTACCTGGGCAATGTTGAGTTGTACCCCAAACCTAAGCATCCTACAATATACCCTTGTAACAAGCCTGAATATGTACCCTTGAATCTAAAATACAAGTTGAAATTAATAAAAATAAATAAATAAATATATTTTTAAATGGAGAAAATAGCTATCACGCAATTGTGTAACTAAATGAGATGATAAATGTAAGGGCCTTAGCATGATGTCTGTCACATGGCAAGCCCTTAATTTAAAATTTTTATTTTTTTTTAATGTGTGATTTGGTCATCATTTAACCTCTCCAAGCTTCCATTTCCTCGTCTGTAAAACAGAGATATCCCCACCTCCGAGGATTTTTTAAATTATTATTATAAGTATTCAATAATTGCTAGCTATAAAAAATTTACCTCAATAATAAGAATAAACTTTATTTAGTACGTGATACTCTTTTCAAAGCACATTCTCCATCATCACTTCATTTGACACCTAAAGCAATTGTGTGCAGCAGACAAGGCAGTATTATTTTCCTTATTGTACTTGTGGTTTAGCTTTCAGCCCTGTGCTGAGAGCTTCACATCCATTTACCTCATCAAGTTCTGAAAACAACCTTCAACCTAGGTTTCATCCTTATTCCACAGCTGAGAAAGCCCAGGCACCAAGAGGTGAAGGGATCTGCCTGCTACTTGCTAGTAGGTGCTGGAACATGGATGCAGGACGGCAGGTGGAGGTAGCACCACTAATATGATTCAACTCATTTTTTCCCCCAAACCAACACTTCTGATTTGTGCTGTGACTTGCTCAGAATAAAGGGAAGAAGCCTTGAAACTTTGAGGAACCTCAACCACGTAAGACAATGCCCAGGACAGGCACGGCCAACCCTAGCCACTGGGCAGACTTCTTGGGGTTGCCTGACTCAGGGATCCCCAACAATTCAGTCCAGAGCCCAGAACGGAGTGAACACACTGAAAGAAAAAAATCACAGACTGAAGTCGCCAGTCCAGGCCAGACAAGCAACAGCAAATCTTTCTCTATGGGTCCGCAAAGGGCCTCACCCAGGGCCACAGAAGGAGGAAACCAGGCAAGCTAGATTTGTGTTCCTGTTTTGTTTTTCAAAGAGGCAGATTGAAGATACTCCACTCCTCTTCTGATAAAACTTAAAATATCTTTGAGTTTGTTTTAAGAAATTATGTGTGTGTGTGTGTGTGTGATTTTGAGAGACAGAAAGAGAGCGAGAGTGAAACTGGGGACAAGAGAGAAAAGGAATGAGGAGGATGAAGAACAGAAGTAGAGAGAGACACACACCATAGAAAGACAGAAAGCAGATGGCAAAAGACACAAGAAGGGAGGAAGACGATGCCAGAGGACAAGGGAAAGAAAAAAAAGAGATGCAGAAAAGAAGCAGCGGGCAGATGAATAGACAGACAGGAAAGCTTCAGAGACAGACGGAGAGGGAAGCAGGGAAACGCAGTGGTAAAAAGGCAGAGACAGCAGAAAGCAACGAATGAAACCTCCTTTCCCTGTTGTCAAAGAGAAATAACATGTGAACTCCATGAGTGAGGAGATACACATGGCTATGAAAATGCAACATTGGCATTTGCAAAGCTAGAAAAAGAAACCTCTCTCTCCCTCTCTCTCTCTCTCTCTCTCTCTCTTTCCACCTTCCTGCTCTTCTACTCCTTTTGGGGAGGGAAGGCTGAATCAGCTCTCTACAGTCTAAAAAGACTATGCTCAGCCAGCATTGTTTGTGATAAAGGTGTTCTAAATCAGAGCTAAAATTTGGCAGCACAAATGTTCTAGAAATCCTCATCTCATTGTGAAAGTAAAGAAACCTTAATTTTATATTCTGAGAATTGGAATCATCCCATCTCATCTCTCAAGGAAAAGGGTTTTTTATATTCACAAAACACTCCTATGCTACTAACCATTTAAAATATCAGTGTATTTTTACCATGGTGGCCCTGCTTCTGCTATGACCTCAGTTGGGGGGTGGATTCCATGTTTATTCAATAGGCATTAATTAGAAACCTCCCAGGTGCAGGACCTGGACTGAGCTGAGCGGAATGCTCTGTGGAAACAGTAGGCCTTGTGTTGGCTACATGTTGTGTAACCATATCCTAGGCAAGGGTTGGATCGATATCCCACCTCGCAGCACACCAACATGGCACATGTATACATATGTAACAGACCTGCACGTTGTGCACATGTACCCTAAAACTTAAAGTATAATAATAAAAAAAATCCCACCTCTCTCCAGAGAACTTGCCCCAACGCAGCCTTGCTTGTGTTCTCTAATTGTCCCTAAGGTCAGCCTGAGAGGTAAGCTCCTTCAGGGTAAAATGGGGCCTGGACCCAGGGCAAGCCTGTCCACTTGTCCTGATTCTTCAGTCAGTGGTAAAAGCAGGCATACTCTGAGGCCCTGGCACAAGCTCTGTTATTGTGCCCAGTTCTGCTGGGGTCAAAGTGGCTGTAGCAGATAGGGGGAGGGAAGAACAATTTCTGGAAGGAGGCTTAATCTGCATTGACACTGCACAGAGTGCTTTAACTTCACAGAGGTCACCAAAGGTGCCCCTCCCACCCTGGAGGTCCTCTGCATTCAGTGCCCTTATACACAGCTCTGGCTTCCTGAACCTTTCTGCCCAAAGACGTGCTCTGGAGACTGGAGAGAAAACGCCTGGGAGAGAAACCCCTAAGCAATGAAACACAGAAGTGGATGAATAAATAACCCAGCTTCATCAACCCTCACTTGGAAAATTCCATAGTAGGTTCTACATAGTTTCTCAGAGAGTCCCCAGTAAGACAGAGCCATGTTCCCCACAGTGTAACCTCCTCCTCAAGGCACCACCCTTTATGACTTTTGCTTCTTCCATTGTCTCTTTCTTTCACTTCTTCACCATCCTAGTTGGTATCAAAACAAAATAAAATTCTTGGACCTAAATCCTTGTTTCAGAAGGAGCCCAAACCAAGGCACCCTTACCTTAGCTCATTTGGCCCTCACAGCAGCCCTTTAGAGGTAAGTTTCATTACTCTTATTCTCAATGAATGAGAATTCGTTCTTCAAGCACCTACTCTGTGAAGGACTGGGCACTGGGAATACATCCATGGCCCCTTCCATGTAAGGAAGAGTTTATATTCTAGACTGAAGGAAGATGCTAAGCAATAATCACATAAATAAATAATAAAGTTATTATTGTGGCAATTGCTGTAAGTGAAAGGTACCTGGGGCTTTCAGTATGTAAAATAGGCAAATATGACCCAGTCGAGGGGGTCAGGGAAATGACACTTCAGTTTAGATCAGAAGAAAGGGTGGAATATAACTATGGAAGATGGAAAGGAAAAATATTTAGCAATAAGAACAATTTGAATAATAATGAAACTAGGGCAAACAGAGATTAAGGTTACACACATACTAAGTGGTTGAAAGAGGGTTTGATTTCAGATTTACCTGACTCTAGTGTCCAAGCTCTTTATGTTATACTCAACAGTTGGAATGGAGATGGTTGTGTAGGAGTAGAGGGTGACTTGTTACTCTCACTATTCATATTATGAAAGGATTAACAACAAGATTCCTGTAAATAGAAAACTCCCATAGGGCATTTAACAACTAAGTCAATCACAAAAGAAATCACAAATAGCAAATTCTGTAAAATTTGCAAATTTATATAAATGCATCTGTTAGGTATGAAGAGGGAGTAGCTGAAACTGTGCAAAGTGGATGTTCTGAAATGACTGAGAGGTTAGACATCTTCCCGAGCCCATTTCATGGCATCTAGCGACAAGGTAGCATCAGTCTTTGCATGAAGATCTGGGCAGAAGAGTGGTGTTTTCTTACATAACTGATACATAGGAAGTGAGTGATCTCTGGGTGTCCAGGGTCATAGGTCTTCCTTCCATCTCTAAGCAGAGACTCAAAAAGGGAATATAATACTTTGCAATGGGGAGAGAGGGACAGTCATTTTTCTTTCTGGTTAGTATGTAAAAGACCTATATTCCCATGATAACAAGAAAAAAAACAAACAAATAACAAATTATGCAACTATCAAAGAGCAGTAGATGCAAGGAAGTCTTGATAAACTGAATTCCAGAGAGGAGTAAGTCCTTCATAGGTGAGCAGAAAGTAATGGTGGCTTCCATACCTGAAAGCAAAGACCACATCTTGATGAAAGTGGATGGAGCCGGCACAGTGGCCCACACCTGTAATCTCAGCAACTCACATGGCTTAGGCAGGTGAATCTCTCTAGCCTAGGAGTTACAAGGTGCATTGAGCTATGATTGAGCCACTGCACTCTAGCCTGGTTGACAGAGCAAGACCCTAACTCTATTTTTTATAAAAGAAAGAAAGTGGATGGAGAATCAGGTCTGCCATAGACAGAGAGAATTTTTAAGAGTAGGAGAAACCAGCCAAGATTCAAATGTCAATGTGATAAGGCAGGAAATATTGGAATCTAGAGGAGTTCCAAACCAAAGATAAATCACTTGGCCACATTCTGAAATTTTGCTGAATAGTTAGCAGAGGAAATACAGCTGGAAAGTAGAGAAGTTTGTGAAGACTTGTGATTCTTGAATTTTGGGGCCGTGCTGGAGGATAATCCCTGGTCAAATCATCAAGTATCAAAGAGATCACTCCCTTGGAAGGTAACAAATTCAGATAAAAGGCAAAGAGACGTTCTGGGTCCTATTTGAAACCAGAAGTGAACTCAATATAATTAAAGCTGTGTCCTGGCTTCAGCTGAATTTAATTCTTAATGAAATATGAATTTCACCTGACAGAGAAAATGACTTGTGCCCTCTGCAAAATTATTTCATTAATTTAATCAATCAATCCATCAAAAAACCCACAAAATGTATACTTAAACAGTAAAAAATTACAAGACATGAAAATGTGATCAACAATCAAGAGAAAAACAACCAATAGAAGGAGACTCACAGAATATCAATATATCACAGTTGTCAATCAAGTGTTAAAATAACTATTATGAACACATCAGAAAATTTGCAGAAAAAAAGATGAATAGAATGCATGAAGTAAAATAAAACAGCAAGAAAGAAATAAAAATTATTATTATTTTGAGACAGGATCTCACTTTGTTGCCTAGGCTGGAGTCCAGTGGCAGGTTCATGGCTCACTGCAGCCTTGACCTCCCCAGGCTCGGGTGATCCTCCCACCTCAGCCTCCCGAGTAGCTGGGACTACAGGCATGTGCCATCATGCCCTGCTATTTTGTGTGTATGCCTGTGTGTGTGTGTGCATGTGTGTGTCTTTTGTAGAGACAGGGTTTTGCTGTGTTGCCCAGGATGGGTAAATTATTTAAACATTTAAAAGAACCAAATGAAAATTGGATATCTGAAAATTTACTTATTTGAAATTTAAAAGTTAATTTACAGGCTTAACATCAGATTCAGCACAATGAAGAAAGGAATAGTAAACTTAAAATCAAGTCAGTTGAGATTATCCAAACTGAAACAGGGAAAGAAAATGGCTGAACAGAACATCAGCTACATGTTAAGATAATATAAAATAATTTAACACATACATAAGTGTAGTCTCAGAAGGGGAGATGAAAAAGAACAGTTATTTTTTTAAATGTATGAAAAGGCATAATGTCTAAATTTTTTCAAATTTTATTTTGAAAAATTAATCCAGAGATCCAAGAAGCTCTGCAAATCCCAGACAGGATGAATATAATAAAAACCACACCTAAGTATCTCACAGTGAAAAGAAAAAGAAAATATTTAAAGCAGCTAGAGAACACACACACACACACACACACACACACACACACACACACACACACATTTTTGCTGACTTTTCATCAGAAACAATGAAATCCAGAAGAAAATGGAATGACCTCTTTTAATTGCTACACAGGAGAAAAAAAGCAACAACAACCTGTCAAACTAGAATAGTATACGTAGAGATAACATCCTCCAAAACTAAAGGTGAAATAAAGACATTTTTAAGAGCAATTATAACAGACAGAAATTTAAAATTAAGAGTTTAGGAAAAACAAAATATGTGGATAAAGTTAAGATCCTGTTTTTTATTGTATTAATTTCTTTAAGCATTAATATAGGAGCTCTCTCTTCTGTCCATCCTTCATATATGCTGAGCTACCTGAAAAATACAACCAAGTTATTTTCCTATTTTAAACTCTTCTATGGTTCACTATCATCTACAAAATGAAGTCTTAAAGTCCTAAATTTTTACCATGAATTCAAAACTCTTCATTCTGAGCTTCATTTTATTTTTTCATACTCATCTCTGGCCACCACCTCTGGTACACACACACACACACACACACACACACACATGCACACGTACACAGAACTTTCACCCTAGACAGACTAAAATATTTGAAATTACCTATCTATGCCAGGTTCCCCAGGCCACCAAGCCCTTGAATATGCTGTTCTCTATGTTTAGCATGCCCTATCACAATCTTTTAATTTGACACACTTCTGAACTTTCTGCAAAACAAAGCCAAAGGATCACACTACAATGGGGATTTGTCATTATTTGGGCTGATTAGATCTTTGAACATCTGTACTATGTTTGGAGAGTTACTCATCTTCTAAATCCTTTAGTAGAAGCCAGATTTTCCCCAGCCTCTCTTGCAGCTAAGATACTAAGATGTGACTGAGGCTTCAATAATCAGATACATCCAACTAGGCTTTGAATAAGAAGCTTGTGACTTGTAGAATAAAGCATTGTGTAGAATTTAGTGGCAGCAACTAAATTCAATTGCAAAAGACATCAGCAGCAAGAAGCCTAATGGCAGTGTCTAATGCTTGGCATCAGCAGAGTTGGTCATGAGTGACTGCATCCACAACCAGTTGGACAGCCATGTGACTCAACTGAACTAGCTTTGCAGCACAATTTTGGGTGTTGCCTCTGAATGCATACTCTCTAGGCCCTCCTAGAGGCTCTTCATGCTTTCTAATACCTCTTCTAAATTCTTCTTCTGTTTAACTAGCTGAGGCTGATTTATGTTTTTTGTGATTATAAGCTCTGACTGATACACCCTCCCTGCCCTGAAATCTTCCCACATCTCCACCTTCCTGCCATCTTTCACCAACCATCCCTTCTATACACACATATGCAGAATATTCACTCCCAATTCTTGAATTGCATAGCATGCTGTGCTGCCTCATCTTCCAGGGACATTATGGTCTACTGTGGTTGTTTGTTTATGTGTCTCCTAATTAGGTTGTGAACTAGTTGAGGGCAAGGTTATAGTCTCATTCATTACTGTCCTTTCACAAAGTGCTTAGCAGGGTACCTGAGCTTGCACAGAAGAGATGCTCTGGAGGTACTGATTGATTACATGTACACTGAAGGCAATTTCTCCATATAACTGCAGTGGAAAAAAATGTAAAACCACTTTTTCTCAAAATTCACCTCAAGAATGAGTCCACAGGACCTGAACTCAGCTCTGGATAAAGTGGATCTAATAGATATCTACAGAACTCTCCACCCAAATTCAACAGGACATACATTCTTATCATCATCACATGGCAGTTACTCTAAAATTGAACACATAATTGGAAATAAAACACACCTCAGCAAATGCAAAAGAACTGAAATCATAACAGTCTCTCATACTACAGTGCAATCAAATTAAAACTCGAGATTAAGAAATTCACTCAAAACCACACAACTACATGGAAAATGAACAACCTGCTTCTGAATGGCTTTTGAGTAAATAAAGAAATTAAGACAGAAATCAAGAAGTTTTTTGAAACTAATGAGAACAAAGAGACAATGCAAAAGAATCTCCGGGATGCAGCTAAAGCAGTGTTAACAGGGAAATTTATAGCACTAAAATACCCATATCAAAAAGCTAGAAAGAACTCAAGTTAACAACCTAACATCTCAACTAAAAGAACTAGAGAACCAAGAGCAAACAAACTCAAAAGCTAGCCGAAGATGAGAAATAACCAAGATCAGAGCTGAACTAAAGGAGATAGAGACACAAAAAACACTTCAAAAAATAAATGAATCCAGGAGCTGGTTTTTTGAAAAAAAAAATGTAATAGACCACTAGCTAAATTAATAAAGAAGAAAAGAGAGAAGATTCGAATAAACACAATCAGAAGTGATAAGGGGTATATCACAACTAACCCCACAGAAATACAAACTTCCATCAGAGAATACTATAAACACCTCTATGCACATAAACTAGAAAATCTGTAAGAAATGGATAAATTCCTGAACACATACACCCTCCCAAGGCTGAACCAGGAAGAAACTAAATCCCTGAATAGACCAATAATGAGTTCTGAAATTGAGGCAGTAATAAATAGCCTACCAACCAAAAAAAAAAAAAAAAAGCCCAGGACCAGACAGCTTCACTGCTGAATTCTACCAGAGGTACAAAAGAGAGTTGATACCATTTCTACTGAAACTATTCCAAAAAGTTGAAAAGGAGAGACTCCTCCCTAACTCATTCCATGAGGCCAGCATCATCCTGATACCAAAACCTGGCAGAGATACAACAAAAAAAGAAAACTGAGGCCAATATCTTTGACAACTATCAGTGCAAAAAATCCTCAGTAAAATACTGGCAAACCAAATCCAGCAGCACATCAAAAAACTTATCCACCATGATCAAGTCAGCTTCATCCCTGGGATACAAGGTTGGTTCAACATACACAAATCAATAAACGTGATTAATCACATAAACAAAACTAAAGACAAAAACCACATGGTTATCTCAATAGATGCAGAAAAGGTCTTTGATAAAAATCCAACATCCCTTCATATTAAAAACTCTCAATAAACTAGGTATTGAAGGAACATACCTCAAAATAATAAGAGCTGTCTATGACAAACCCACAGCCAATATCATACTGAATGGGCAAGAGCTGGAAGCATTCCCCTTGAAAATAAGACAAGGATTCTTCTCTCACCACTCCTATTCAACCTAGAAAGTTCTGGCCAGGGCAATCAGGCAAGAAAAAGAAGTAAAGCGTGTTCAAATAAGAAGAGAGGAAGTCAAATTATCTTTGTTTACAGGTGAACTGATCCTATATCTAGAAAACACCATTATCTCAGCCCAAAAGCTTTTTAAGCTGATAAGCAATATAAGCAAAGTCTCAGGACATAAAATCAATATGCAAAAATCACTAACATTCCTAGACACTGACAACAGGAGTGCAGAGAGCCAAATCATGAATCAACTCCCATTCACAATTGCTACAAAAAGAATAAAATACCTAGGAATACAGCTAACAAGGGAAGTGAAAGACCTTTTCAAGGACAGCAACAAACCACTGCTCAAAGAAATCAGAGAGGACACAAACAAATGGAAAAACATTTCATGCTCATGGATAGGAAGAATCAATGCTGTGAAAATGGCCATGCTGCCCAATGTAATTTACAGAATCAATGCTATTCCCATTGAACTACCATTGATATTCTTTACAGAATTAGAAAAAAACTATTTTAAAATTCATATGCAACCAAAAAAGAGCCAAGAAAGTCCTAAGCAAAAAGAACAAAGCTGGAGACATCATGCTACCTGACTTCAAACTATACTACAGGGCTACAGTAAGCAAAACAGCATGATACTGGTACAAGAACAGACATATAGAACAATGGAACAGAAGAGAGAACTTGGAAATAAGACCACACACCTATAACCATCTGATCTGCGACAAACTTGACAAAAACAAGCAATGGGGAAAGTGATTCTTTCTTTCTTTTTTTTTTTTTTTTTTGAGATGGAATCTTGCTCTGTTGCCCAGGCTAGAGTGCAGTGGCACAATCTGGGATCACTGCAAGCTTTGCCTCCTGGGTTCATGCCATTCTCCTGCCTCAGCCTCCTGAGTAGCTGGGACTACAAGCACCCACCACCATGCCCGGCTAATTTTTTTGTATTTTTAGTAGAGACGGGGTTTCTCGGTGTTAGCCAGGATGGTCTCCATTTCCTGACCTGGTGATCTGCCTGCCTCGGCCTCCCAAAGTGCTGGGATTACAGGCATGAGCCACCATGCCAGGCCATGATTCCTATTTATTAAATAATAAATGGTGGTGGGAGTGCCATATGCAGAAAATTGAAACTGGACCCCTTCCTTACACCATATACAAAATTAACTCAAGAGGGATTATAGACTTAAATGTAAAACACAAATCTATAAAAACCCTAGAAGAAAATCTAAGCAATGTCATTCAGGACATAAGCACAGGCAAAGATTTCATGACAAAAACACCAAAAGCAATAGCAACGAAAGCAAAAATTGATGAATGGGATCTAATTAAACTAAAGAGCTTCCACATAGCAAGAGAAGCTATCATCAAAGTGAATAGACAACCTACAAAATGGGAGAAAAATTTTGCAATCCATCCATCTGACAAAGGTCTGATATCCAGAGTCTACAAGGAACTTAAACAAATTTACAAGAAAAAAAAACCCATTAAAAAGTGGGCAAAGGACATGAACAGACACTTTTCAAAAGACATACATACAGCCAACGAACATATGAAAACAAGCTCAACCTCACTGATCATTAGAGAAATGCATATCAAAACCACAATGAGATACCATCTCATGCCAGTCAGAATGACTATTATTAAAAAGTCAAAAAACAACAGATGCTGGCAAGGTTGCAGAAAAAAAAGGAATGTTTTACACTGTTGGTGAGAGTGTAAATTTGTTCAACCATTGTAGAAGACAGTGTGGCGATTCCTCAAAGACCTAGAGGCAGAAACACCCATTTGACCCAGGAATTCCATTACTGGGTATATACTCAAAGGAATAGAAATCATTCTATTATAAACATACATGTACATATATGTTCATTGCAACACTATTCACAATAGCAAAGACATGGAATCAACCTAAATACCCATCAGTGATAGACTGGATAAAGAAAATGTGGTACATATACACCATGGAATACTATGCAGCCATAAAAAGGGGCAAGATCATGTTTTTTGCAGGGGCATGGATGGAGTTGGAAGCCATTATCCTCAGCAAACTAACACAGGAACAGAAAACCAAACACCGCATGTTCTCATAAGTGGGAGCTGAATGATGAGAACACTTGGATGCATGCAGCGGGGACAACACACACTGGGGTCTGTTGGGGATGGGGGGAAGGAGAGCATCAAGAAGAATAGGTAATGGATGCTGGGCTTCATACATAGGTAATGGGATGATCTGTGCAGCAAACCACCATGGCACACGTTTACCTATGTAACACACCTGCACATCCTGCACATGTACCCCTGAACTTAAAAGCTGATGAAAAAAGAATGGGTCCAACAGAATCAATCTCTTCTCTCTTTCTAATAGGATCGTGAGGCTGGTACAACAAAGGAGTGTGTAGACAGTTGTAACTCAACAAGGCATGTGACAAGGTCACTGATGCTATCCTTAAGTACAGGTTTACCTGAGGATAGTGCATCAGTAAGTAGCTGTGTTAATGTAAGGATCTTCCTACTGCACTCAATGTAGTCCTGTCCTGCCCAGAATTTTTGGATGGCCCAGAAGGCATTATGAATCTACGCATGCAAGACAGAAATTAGGACCACTATTTTATGGATAAAGGTGTAGTGGCATACTGGTTAATGCTTAACAGCTGGCTTTTCAGAAGGAGAAAAGCTCATATTTGTAGCATTTGCCAATTTCCATGTTATGTTGTACATACCCCTACCATAACTCATTTCAAGATGCCAGTGTAACAGCTCTGAATGTGGAGTTGGGAAGAGACTGGCACAACATTATGTAGAATTTTTACCATACAGATACAACAGACATAAATAAATAACTACAAGAGCATAGATGATAGTAAAACATACTAAAATAATTAGAAATTGATGAGTTTTGAGTATTTGTTACTTTTGTTTACAAATATAATTATTATAAACTTATATAATTAATTTTTAGTTGTCTGTCTTTAATAATCAACTTAAGGGATTCCTAAAAATGTAATGGTAGACTTGAGTGAGCTAGCATGAGCTGGCTTAGTGTACCACTAATTCTGTGCCAACTCTGTGACCTCATCCAGTCTTTACAACCTCGGTCTGATGCATTAGGAAAGGTACAAAAGAAAGAAAACCAGAGGATTGTAAGTAGATGAGAAACTTGTCTAAGATCATGTGGCTAATTTCTGGTCACACTCGGACAAATATAAAATTTGGGGATGCCTACCACATGTCAGGCACTGTGATAAGCATTTTGCAAAGACTCATTTAATTCTCACTATGGAATAGGTTCTATAATTATTCCCCCTTTTTAGATTAAAATAAGAAATAAATAACTGGAGAGAGGCTAAGTAATTTGCCCAGTGGCACACAACCAGGAGTACTGGAGCCAAGACTCAAACCCAGGCAGCCTGGTATCAAAGCTTGTGCTCATATCTATTATCTCTAGTGCCTCAGGTTTACTGACTTTGCAAGACACCATCACCCACTTCATGTTTAAATGGGGACTAAAGAACCCACTTACTTCCACATGCTTAACTTCACACTGTGCATTTTGGATCATTCCATGTCTTTTGCTAAAAACTCGAGGACCAGGCTTTGTAAGTTAGTTTTACAATGGAGAGGAGATATTCTCTCAAGCCACCGTAATCCCTTAGCAACCAATGGCCTTTACTTTCAAAGGGATCAGAACTGGGAACTAGAATGGAATCTAGAGACATGAGATAAGTTCTTTGCTTCATGGAACTGAACTTTATAACACATGATATTTATTCATTATCTGATGTCCTTAATGAATTTATTCTGTCATCAAATATTTGAATGAAAGACTCACTGTGTGCCAGGTAATGTGTGAAGTTTCAAGGGTCACTTATTCTATCAGACAACATTAAAACAGTTCCTAGGATTCATGAGCTTTTCAAGTGGTCATGGGAATATTTGAGACTGAAAATAGTCATCATCTCCAAAATACAAAGACTGCAAAATTAAATTTAAAAAATCTACTTGAATGTCTACAAAGTACAACCTTATATCAACCAGTTAAATACCTTTCAACACAACTCTTATAGGGTTATATATAAATTACACAGTCTTTCCTTGGTATCTGTGGGGAATTAGTTCCAGCACCTCCCTGGGATACCAGAATCTGAAGATACTCAAGTCCCTTATATAAAATGTTGTAGTATCTGCATATAACCTACATATATCCTCCTCTGCACTTTGAATCATCTCTAGATTACTTATAATATCTAATGCAATGTAAATGCTCTGTAAATGGTTTATAATTTATTGTTTAGGGAATAATAATAAGAAAAAAAGTCTGTAAGTGTTCAGTACAGACACAACCATCTAGTTTTAAAAAAATGTTTTAAATCTTTGGTTGGTTGAATCCAGAAATGCAAAACCCATGGATATGGAGGCCTGACTGTATATTTAGTATGGCAGTGGTATTATAGTGTGTTTTATTTTTTAATAAGACAGCCCTCTAAAACTGAGTACCTAAGGCCTGTGAAGGTTATGAAACAACCTAGGGAAACAAAGATGCACAAGACATAACTTCTGGCTTCAAGGGAGCCTAATCTTATGTTTTTCTGTTTACTTGTCTATTTTTATGTTGTAATCATGAGCTCCTGGAAGGCAAGGATTTGCCCTGTGTTTTCTTGTTAAACTTCATATTCCCTGCACCTGGAGCAGGGTTGCGTTCAGAATAGTATCTAACGTGTTGACTAGACAAACACAATCAGATTAGTGCTGTGATCTACACTCTAAATTTTGAGCAATCCACAAAAACACAGAAGACAATTTCTTGTATCCTCTTGTATGCACACGCCCCGCACACACACCTCCTCCATTTCTTACCCACTAAATTTCAAAATGGATGGAAGGAAACAAGAAAATCAACATTGGCAACAGTAGCTACAAAGCACCAGCTACTGTGCTGGGTTCTTTTCATACATCATGTAGATATTCCACTACGTTGCAGTGGGCATTGCAGATAACTAGGTATTTGCAGTCATTTTATTTTCTTGAACTGCCCATTTTTTCCCAGCTTCTGTTTGTGATCCTTTTTGCATAGCCTCTTGCATGCCAAGTGTAAGATGCCTGGTTATGAAGGGGAGTGACAATTTCAGGCAGATTATAAAGCAAGCAGGAAACAGTCACCACAAGAGGGGCTAAATTTCTTGAAATTCATCCCGCTGCTCACTTAAATGAAATGTTTATCTCTCCCACACTTATCAGTTCATTTGGATTCCTGGACCAATCTTGTCACTTCAGGCAGCTTTAATGGTTTTTATTTATGCGAGCTCAACACTGCCACTTCTGAACTGGTTGTCCACCACCAAGCCTTAGCCTTTCTCATTCCCACAAAGCCAAAACATTTCTGTGCTCCAGAGAAATTGCACTGTTGGGGAGCTGCATTATTCTCATGTCAGCATTCCACGTTCTAAAAGTGATTATTTCACAGGGGTGGACTTAAAGCAGCTCAAAGCTCAGGAGAAGATAGAGAGGGGTGTGCAGGTGTCAGAGAAATGGGAATATAGTCTAAAGACTTGATTCTATCTGCACCCTTCCAGATTTGACCCACATAACATTACAGGATTAGTTCAGAATGTGGTTTTTAGGAAACGTTGCTTAGCATTAAATAAACATGAATTTAGGTATACAGTATTGAGGCTTTTTCCTTCCTTGACTCAAGGGTTTTGGTTTTTTTGTTTTGTTTTGTTTACTTTAGCATTCACTGGGCACAGATTGCATTGCCAGGCACTGTGTGAAGAGATTTCTGTTTATTATCTCGGTTGAATCCATGCACAAATCCATGACGTAAGTATGAAAATACCCATTAAACATTAGAAAACCAAGGCTCAGGAAAGTGAAGAGACTTACCCAAGGTCACACATCTTGTAAATATCACAAGCTGGGTGAGTGCCTAGTTCGTCTTTCTCCAAAGGCTTGCTTTTAGCACTTAAATATTATTGAACCCGTTAGTAGTGCCAGAGGGAAAAACAGACATATACATTCGTAAGTTCCACATAATGTGCTAAACTGCTGTAAAAGAGATTCATGAACAGGATTCCAGAGGAGAACAAGAGGCTAGGAGTGGGTAGCCACAAATTTCTTCTGGAGGGAAGGCACAGGGAGGTTGCACAGGGGCGGTGGCAGCTGAGCTGGCCTTTAACACAGGAGTTTTCTTTTGCCAGAAAAGGGGAATGGGCTGGGCGTGGTGGCTCACCCCTGTAATTCCAGCACTTCGGGAGGCCGACGTGGGCGGATCACAAGGTCAGGAGTTCGAGACCATCCTGGCTAACACGGAGAAACCCCATCTCTACTAAAAATACAAAAAATTAGCCAGGCTTAGTGGCACACATCTGTAGTCCCAGCTACTTGGGAGGCTGAGGAAGGAGAACCGCTTGAACCCGGGAGGCGGAGGTCACAGTGAGCCAAGATAGCACCACTGCACTCCAGCCTGGGTGACAGAGGGAGACTCCATCTAAAAAAAAAAAAAAAAAGAGGGGGCTTGGAATGATGTCTGGTGCAGAGGGAAGGTTATACACAGCAGAGTAGATCTGGGGAAATAACCCGAAATGTTTAGAGAATGGATGAGAAAGACGTCCGGAATGGCTCGGAGCCAGGATGGGTGAGGAGGCTGGAGAGCTAAATCTGAGGTAGAATTTCTGGGCTATTAACATGAGAAGATGTGGTGGAGGAAAGGACTATCGCTGGCGGAGAACAAATTGAGATGGGAAGACCAGCAAAGAGGCATTTGGAAGTGCCCGGGTGAGACATGGTGAGTCCTGAACAAAGGCAGTAACTATGGGAAATGGAAAGAACGAAACAGCTTTGGGAAGTGGTTCTTAAATGTCAGTGTACATTTTTAAAAATCGCCTGGGAAATGATCTAAAATTGCAGATTCTGAGAACCCCAAGATAATGAAATTCACTACATTTGAAATAGGACCCTAAAACCTGCATTCAGCAGGCCTCCAGGTGATTCTGATGCAAGTGCTGTGCAGGCAACTCCTTGTGAGGTATTTCTAGGATAGACATGCCCAGTGATGGATTGGGTATGAGGGTGAGGGAAAGGAAAAATTGAGTTTATGTTTCCCTCACCCCCCAGCATTGTTCCCTATTTCTCCTGATAACTGCTTGATTTTCTTCTTGGAAGTTCCCTTTCCCCACTCTTAGCCCATCTGGTTTATGGAAAGCCCCCCATGACCAGCCTAAGCTAATCAGGTCGTCACACCCTACTCTTTCAGGGATGGGCAGGAGACGCACTCAGAGCCAATTGTGGGGCTTCTGGGAAGAGAAGCAAGTGATGTTCCTTGTTGGCGTTGAAGCTGGCAGGAAAAAGATGCTGCAGCTGCTTCATTCAGGTAGCACCTGAGAACAAAGCCAAGTGAAGGCAGATCTGAGAGATGGAAAAAAACAAAATCCTAGGTCATTTTTTGGGTCCTGAATATAGCCCTGTCTAAAGCCAGTGTACCCCTATACCTTTTCACTGCATGAGCCTGTAATTTGCTATTTTTGCTGTTGTTGCTGTTGTTTTACTTACACCATTCTGTGTTGGGTTTTCTACCGATGAAATGAAGACTCTGCTGATCTCTTTAAGAAAATCTGATACATAAAAATCTTACCTTACAAATCAGATAAATGAAGAGCTGATTACTTCTATTAAAAAGGGATTCACTCACAGTTTCCTTTGAAGAGAGAGCCTCCCCAAGGTATGAAGTGTGGAATTTGATTTATTAAATTTGATTTACACATGACCTCTTCAGGAGGACAATGTTAAATGCAAAGTAAGAGCCGTTTTACCAAGAGAATTGCTCTCAAAGCCACCGCACTGTGACTTTCAAGGGGTCATCTGGAGTGGTTACCCAAGAACCAGCCTCCTTGCCCTATTTTGGGGGTATAAATTTGATCTTACCGAACCCTAGTCCCCATAACTGTACAATCCAACCCACATCCAGCAAGACCTGGTATCACTGTTACACAAGTTTGATCAGATGTACAAGTTGTCCTCAACTATAAGTTGGTGGGATTTGCATAGCTCTTCTTCAACTCCTAGTAGAAAACAAACTCAAATTGTGCTTCCTTAATATATTAACTAATGTATTCATTATTCTTTATCAGTAACACAGATGAAAAGGCTTTCTGCTAAGTTATGTGTTTTTCTGGGTTTACAGTGAATAGATCACTGGGGTTTCTATTCTATAGGTAGATGATTACCTGCTGCCAGGGAGAGAGGAAATTCTGCACAGCCCCAGCTCAGTGTTCAGGCAAATTGAAGGATGCTTCAACATCTATATCTGCCTTGTCTGAAACAAGGGACAAGCCTCACCCTTCTCTGTACACCCATTGCCTAGGACATGGCAGGCCTGTAGCATCAATCTTAGTGGAATGACTCAATGATTAGATCAGTACCTGAAGAAGTCTAAAAAGAGGCCCTAGTTATGGGTCAGTCTATCAGGGAGAGGATATAATTTCGCTCTGGAAACTTCCTTGTTCTGAAACTTAGGCACGCCCAGAATGTTAGGAGGAACAGAGCCTTTCTCCCACCTGGGTGAGCAGCAACATCCCTGAGTCTTTAACATAAAACTTCTTTCTAGACCTAGAAATGCAATTTCTCCACTCCAGCCTCTAAATTGCTCCCCCTCTGTCTCAGGGCTTTTGTGAATACTTTTATTTCTAACTTGGCAAGCCTTTTTCATTTCCTCTCCCAATCCCTTACAGGGAGCAATAAAGCTAGATTTTTCTTTCCAGCCCAGGGCAGGTTCCTGGATCTCTTTCCTGGTTCCCGGTTCTCTTTCCTGGTTCCCAAGGTCTCATTTTTCTTCCTAGAGTCTCCTGTTCCCACTTGTAGACCAGTCAGGGCTCCCTCTCTCTGTCTAACTCTTGCTCCCTTTCCCCCTTTGCAAGGGGCAGAGAGCTAAGCTAATCATACTTCTTGGTTCACAGCAGGTATCATCAGCAACTGCCTGTTTAAAAGTCTTGATAGAGTTTGTTTCAATATTTTTCCTTCATCCCCACTCCCCAGGCCCATTTCCCATAAGCATTTACTATATTGTGCTTGGTAAATGCCCTTGGATATGAGTGTATCCATGAAAAATCTGTAATATTGCTTTATGAATAAATTTGTTTTAAATGTACATAAGTGGCAGTGTGCTTCAGATTTCAAGCTGTTTCCTTTTTTATCACTCTATTTTACAGTTCTAGTTATGTTGCTGTGTATATACCCATTTTGTTGCTCTAACTTCTATACTGTATTCGATAAAAACATCATCTACATTTTGCTTATCAATTTTTTAGTGACAAGTTCCTGGGTTGCCTAAAGCTCCCTACCATCACCAACAATGCTGCTCTGAACATCTTTGTTCAGTTCTGATGGACCTGTGCCTGGAGTGTTCCGAGGTGTGCACACAATAAGATTGCCAGGTCACTGAATTCTGGTACAGGCCATGTGCACATTTAATTTCATTAAATGAGCTCTTGAATGGCTGCACCAGAATTCAGGGTATTTCTTTTGTTTCTCTAGGCTCTTCCAACCATATATGAATGCTAATAATTTTTATTTGAAATTTTCAACTTTCACTTTATTTTCTTTAATTTTGTGATAAACTTGTTGAGACAAATAGGGAAGATTTTTGAGATAAAGATATCTCTACTCTACATTTGGGGAAGATGAGGCTGCAATGCTGAGTTTGGCAACTCCTATGCTGGAAATCAATAAGTTAGAAACTGGGTTCAGTCTGTGTTCCAACAGAATCATAGGTAAGAAGTTGAGATTAACACCAGGGAGACATCAGGAGATAAAAAAAGATTCATCTCTAGACCAGTGGTTCTCAACCTTGGTGGCACGTTACAGTGACCTGGGGATCATTTAAGAAATACTGATGCTTGTGCCTCTCCCAGGATAAAGACAAATTAAATTATATTATCTGGGGTGGGGGTTGCACAGACATTTTAAAAGCTCTTGAGGTGATTTTAATATGCAGCCAGTGCTGAGAATCTTACCCTAGACTAAGAGGCTGGGCTTAGAAAGAGGAGAACCTGGTGTTAATCACTGGGCACACCAGTGTGATGATTTAAAGACCTGATGGCAAAGAGGACATCCTGGAGGTAAAATACATAAAGAAATAATAAGAAAGATATTTTAATTTTTGCCTAATAATTAGAAACTCAAAACTTTCAAATGATTGAATAATTACAGAAATATATGAAACCCTAAGGCCATTAACAAGACTGCCACGGATCATTACCCAGGCCTAGTGAGCGCCCAGCTGACAGGCCTGGACCTCTGGGTAGCTGTCCACGGTGCTGACACCCGCCGTGCTTATTGCTGGCTGCCCTCTGCCAGCAGGAAACAGATTTCCAGGGCCACCCGGTGTTGAATGAGTGGTCCCCTGCAGAGTCCATTTCTCTCTGCAGTTTGTAGGTAAGCCCATTACTATGCTGATATTCTCCAACCATTGAGAAAGTTTAATTTCCAAATTGGCAGCAATGAAGCTGACTCTGAAAATGACTCCCCTTCCAAGCCTGGCTCTTTGTTTTCTGATATATTTCAGACTAATCCATAATATGCAACGGTAAAATGGCCTCTATTACAGAAAGAAGACATCTGAAGGGAGGTTATTAACATTAGCTGAGCATCTACTATGAGCCAAAGTGCTAAGCATTTTACACTTTTTATCTTGATTAAAGTTTATAAAAGCCCTGATAATCCCTCTTTTACGTATATCATAGCAGAGGCTCAGAGAGATTAAGTGACTCATTTAGAGCAGATTACCTTTAAAAGAGGCAGAAAATTATTCCAACCGTGTTCTCTCTGATTTCAGAACTCCGTCTGCATTGAGGAAAATCTAACTTGTTTTCAATTATTGCCCAGATGAGAGATGTAATATCTTCTCTTAAGCCCTGTGGGTATTTAGCAGTTTTCATTATCAGCAGATTCTCTTGGTACCTAATCTAAATCCTCCCCAGGATAATCTAACATCTTGGGAAGATGGAGATTATCTGATGAGCATTACGTCTATGAATTGGCCCATTCACTTGAGATGGGGAATTTCAGTCTATTGTAGATGAATCATAATGTCAAATTCTACTGCTATGGGATATAAAGACCCATTGTCTGAAGACAAGCATCACTAGGAAAATTGTCTTGCTATATGCCAAGGTAAAGCTCTGAGTCTTACCATGAGCAGAAAAAAAAATGTAATTATTCTCAGTGGCCCCTCATGGGCCCCATGCTGCTGCTTGCTTCTCATTAATGAAGAGACGTCAGGAAAAGATTCATACGTGGTTCTCTAAAGCAGTGGTTTATCAAGTGGGGTCCTTGGACCAGCAGCATCAGTATTACCTGGGAATTTGTTAACTATGCAAATTCCCAGGCCCACCACCTCAAGCCTACTGAATCAAAACCTCTGAGGATGGGTATTATTAATAATCTATACTTTAACAGATCATATACGGAGAGAGAGAGAGAGAGAGGAGTTTAAAGCTTCTGCTAGTCAATTAAAAAAAAAGAAAACAGCAAGTGCCAAAATGTACATCTGCTTTGGCTATGGGAATCCAGGAAAGCAGTCACCTGGACTGATTAGCACCATCTAAAGACAAATAGAAAACATGCTACCACTGCATTACCTCTCTGCTTAAAAACTGCAAAGGGTTACCTATTGCCTGCTGTACTTAGCCTGAATGTCTTTTTTCTAGGCTACTTCTGCCAGGCTGCACCTCATCCACTCCATCCATCCAATTTTAACCCCTTCTCCTTCCCCTCAGGCACTATGTGCTCTAGGTTAAGATGTGGAGATTTGGGTGGGAAAGTGGTTGACGGAGAGGAGTAAAACCATTATTTTTCTGAAGATTTTTTTGTCAAGAAGTAACACATTCCCCCCACCATTTTTTGCTTCTTTATAAGCTCTACATCCCTAAATACACAAAACATGATCATTTTCTAGCCAACCAAGTCATGCATAATGCATTTTTATTGGCACCTTGAATAAAGATATGGCAGACATGAATATGAAATGTGCAGATGAAAGTGCTGAGAGGAGAACTCACAATGGGTGAACAGGGAGCAAGAGAGCACCTGGCTGCTCTTGCAAAGCCAAAAAAGATTCTGCTGGAAGAATTTCACCCCACAGTCCTGGGGAGACTTGCAGATGCAATCACTAAGCCACTGTTGGCTTTCTATGAGGTATCAGGGAAAATGGGTGAGATGCTGATGGTTGCAGATGGAGAAAGGTCTTTAACATAGACAAGAAGAAAAAGGTGGATTCTCAAACTATTAACTAGTGAAAAGTTTAATGAATACTTTAGAGTTACAGAGTGGAGCCTGGAAATCAGTGTGGATTTACCAGACAGCTTTAGTTAAGGAACCAGGAATGTTTGGCTTGAAATGGGAGAGCAGATAGATAGATAGATAGATAGATAGATAGATAGATAGATAGATAGATAGATAGATAGATAGAGATAGAGATAGAGATAAATAGAAGATAAATCATCTCGGAGATCATCAAGCCTTTCCCTTCACTCGTAGGTGAACATCAAAGCTGAGAGAGGTAATGTGGCTTCAAAGCTGAGATTAGTGCTCCTGGTTCGCAATGAATTTCCATCATACTAAGCAACTCATAAAGAAAAGGTCATGAAAGATGAAACTCATTTCCTATTTTGCCAGAATCCCTAAACTGGTAGAAAGCTCTATAACCTGTAAAGTTCTATATAGATGTAAGTTGTTATTATTATCATTCAAAATATCAGGTTCTATTCTTGACCCTTTCCCACTCAAGAGCCTTATGAAACATCTGAAGAAGGGCATTGATTTTCCAATAATAAGCATGTGGGGCAGACAGCGAGTATATGTGGATGGATTAAAAAATGAGGCAAATCTAACGTGATGAAATCTAACCAGACTGATGTTAAGTCAGGCACTTAATGCACAAGCCAATGGACTATTAGCAAAACCTTCGAGAGAGTACTTTAAACTCTCTTGGAAGTTAATCTTAGTCAATAGTTACAGCATGGGTCTTCAGCTGTATTTATTATAAAAATAGTATCTATAGAATAAGTAAAGTAATAGTCCTACTTCTCTGGCCAGCACCCATCCTGCTTCACTGTGGTGTTAGGTTCCACTCTACTCATTACTCTTTTAAAAAGGCCTCCCTCTGATGGACATCTCTGCTCTGAGGAGGAGCAGTTGAAAAGAGAACTTTTCACTTGAATAAGAGAAGTTTTCAAAGAGCTTTCACTGTTCCCTGAGGTGTACAAAGACTATGTATTCATCAGCTCAAGCTGCCTTAACCAAATAACACGGACTAGGTGGCTTAAACAGCAGAAATTTATTTTCTTACTGTTCTGGAGGCTGGAAGTACAAGATCAAGGTGCCAGCAGGTTTGATTTATCTGGAGGCCCCTCTCCTTGGCTTGCAGATGGTCACCTTCTTACTGTGTCCTCATATGGCTTTTCCTCAGTACACATGCCCATGGCGTCTCTTCCTTGTATTATAAGGCCACCAGTCCTATCAGATTAGGGCCCCATTCTTGTGACTTTATTTATCCTTAATTAAAGGCCCTATCTCCAAAGTAGTCACATATCTAAGTCAGTCCTGAGGTCAGGACTTCAACATATGAATTGGGGCAAGGTAGGGGAGATATACAATTCAGTCCATAACAGACTCTTAGGTGGGAAAGAGTTTTAGTCTCACTCTCTGATGCTCCAGAGACCAAAACAAGGACCATTAAACAGCCAATTCAGGGAAATGTATATTCAATATATGGAATATATTTTTAAAAATGTATAAATTGCCAGGCATGGTGGCTCATGCCTATAATCCCAGCACTTTGGAAGGCCGAGGTGGGTGGATCACTTGAGGTTGGGAGTTCGAGACTGGCCTGACCAACATGGTGAAACACCATCTTTACTAAAAATACAAAACTAGCCGAGCATGGTGGTGGGCGCCTGTAATCCCAGCTACTCAGGAGGCTGAGGCAGAGGAATCGCTTTATACAGGGAGGCGGAGGTTGCAGTGAGCCGAGATCGTGCCATTGCACCCCAGCCTGGGCATTAAGAGCGAAACTCCTTCTCAAAAAATAATGTATAAATTTAAGGGGTACAAGCGCAATTTTCTTACAGAGATACATTGTATAGTGGTGAAGTCTGGGCTTTTAGTCTATCACCCAAATAAAGTACATTGTACTCATTAAGTAATTTATCAGCATCCACCCCTCCAACATTTACCCTTCCAAGTCTCCAGTGTCTATCAGTCTACACTCAATGTCTGTGTGTACATGTTATTTAGCTCCCACCATGAGTGAAACATGCGGCATTTGTCTTTCTGTTTCTGAGTTGTTTCACTTAACTTTCCAGTTCCATCCATGTTGCTGCAAAGGATACAATTTCATTCTTTTTTATGGCTGAATAGTATTTCATTGTGTATCTATACCTCATTTTCTTTGCCCAATCATCTGTTGACGGACACTTCATCTGTTGATAGAATCTGTTGATTCTATATCTTCACTCTTGTGAAGAGCACTGCAATAAACATGCAAGTGCAGGTATCTTTCTGATATAATTTCTTTTTTTTTTTTTTAGGTGGGGTATATACCCAGTAGTGGGATTACTGGATCAAATGGTAGTTCTATTTTTAGTTCTTTGAGAAATTTTTTTCATGGAGGTTGTATTAATTTACAATCCCACCAACAGCATACAAGTGTTCTCTTTTCTCCACATCCTTAACAACATCTGGTTTTGGGGGTTTTTTTGTGGGGGAGGTCTTGTTAATAATAGCCATACTGACTGGTGTGAGATGATATCTCACTGTGGTTGTAATTTAAATTTCTCTGATGATTAGCTATGCTGAGCATTCTTTTCACATGATTCTTGGCCATTTGTATGTCTTCTTTCAAAAAATGTCTATTCATATCCTTTGCCCACTTTTTAATAGGGTTATTTGGTTTTTGGTTGTTGAGTTGAGACCTTTCTGGATATTTGTCACCTACCAGATACATCGTTCACAAATATTATCTCCCATTTTGCAGATTGTCTGTTCACTCTGTCGATTCTTTCTTTTGCTGTGCCTTTTAGTTTAGTTAAGTCCCATTTGTCTATTTTTTGTTTTGTTGCATTTGCATTTGCAGTTATTCATAAATTCTTTGCATAGACCAATGTCCAGAAGAGTTTTATCTAGTTTTCTTCTAGTATTTTTTACAGTTTCAGGTCTTACATTTAAGTCTTTAATAATATAAGGAAGATATTTCTAATAGTCAGCCTTCTACAATTTAGTTGGGCTTCCTTATGTGGAAATGCATTCTCTAGTATTTAGTATTTTAGAAGCCAAATGGCCACCTTTTAGCTCCATGGTACAGGACATTCTTGCCTAAGGTAAGAAGTCTAATGAAATGGAATCCTGGGTCCCCTGGGTCTATCAAATTTTATGATGCCTTAAGAAATAAAATTGTTTCAGATTTTTACCTGGTGATGAAAGAAATAAGTATTGAACATGGCCCAATAATACTCTACATTCCCCAATTCCACACCCTGCAATTTTTAAATTTGATTTAGTGTTTCTGGGTATTTCAGAAGTCTTCTTACTCCCCCACAGAAATGCTCTACTTTTTCCATTGCCACATTTTTGTCAGCATTCTTCACTCATTAACTTATCCTAATCCTAGCGCGGCTCAGCTGGTCCCTGAAAACTGCAAGCCAGGCTAATATTTCCTTCTCTGACCCATCCACTGTCCCTCCAATACTGCTAGTGCTACAAGCCAGGCTAATATTTCCTTCTCTGACCCATTCACTGCCCCTCCAATACTGCTAGTGCTACAAGCCAGGCTAATATTTCCTTCTCTGACCCATTCACTGCCCCTCCAATACTGCTAGTGTAGCAATTCTAACAAAGGTGAGCGCAGCTGGGGAGGTAGTCAGGGCTTGGAAAGGGAAGGCAGGGAACCAGGAGCTCTAAACATTGTTGACTCTACCAAATGTAATTGAGATGAAGTTCTATGTTTTTCCTGAGCCCCAAGCCTTCCGCCAGATACCTAGTGCTGCCATAGGTTGATGAGGGAGGCAAAAAAAGGCCAGGGGTCATCAAAATTGTGGTCATTATTAAAGGCTCTGAACCTCACTGTGATCTGATGAGTTCAGCTAGACCAAGGGTTACTATTAAAAGCACCTTGCCTAGATAGAGACAGATTTGGACAACATATACTAAAACAAATGAGTGGTCTGACTTCACACTCAGGAGGTACTTGTTGAACACTGATTGTATGCCATAAGGGATTCTAAGTAATGAATTTATACAGAGAATAAGAGAGATACTGTCTCTACTCTCAGACTTACAATCTAGTGGGGAAAAGAAGAGAGACAGAAAAAATAACTAGATTATCATCAGATAGTAAAAAGATGCAATGAAGAGAGGTAAAATAAGGTGATGTGATAGAAACCAGATGGTTAATTTATATGGAGGAATCTCTCTAAGTTATTGACATTTAGACTAAGAGAGGAAAGGAAGATGGAGCCTGTCATGATAAGATTGGGGGGAAATTGTTCCAAGCAGAGGGAACAAGCTAGTGCAAATGCCACAAAGCGGGAACAAGTTTGGCAAGTTTGAGAACCAGAAATCGGACCAGGATAGTGAGAGCACAGGGGAAAGGGGAGAGTGGCATGAGATACACTCAGAAAGGTAAAAACAGTCCAAATCACATGAAATTTTGGAAACCAGGATAAAATGTGAAATGTTTTTCTCATGTTATGGGAAGATGTAGGAACATTTTTAAAAGAGGGTTTGACATGAATCAAATTTGAGATTTACAAATCTAATTATGGTACAACCATGCTGTTGCAAATGATAGGATTTCCTTCTTTTTAAAGGCAGAATAGTATTCCATTGTGCCACATGGATAAACTGGAGGACATTAGGTTTAGTGAAATTAGCCAGGCACAGGAAGACAAATATTGCATGATCTCACTTATAGGTAGAATCTAAAAAAAAAAAAAAAAAAAAAAAAAGTACAAACTCACTGAAGAGTAGAATAGTGTTTACCAAGGACTGGGGTGGGGAGTGGAGATGGAGAGACAGAAAATAGAGAGATAGTGATCAGAAGGCACAACATTTCAACTAGACAGGAAGAATAAGTTCTGGAGATCTATTATACAGCTCGATGGCTATAGCTAGTAATCTATTCAATACTTGGGCCGGGCGCGGTGGCTCACGCCTGTAATCCCAGCACTTTGGGAGGCCGAGGCGGGCGGATCACGAGGTCAGGAGATCGAGACCATCCCGGCTAAAAAATGGTGAAACCCCGTCTCTACTAAAAATACAAAAAAATTATTCGGGCGTAGTGGCGGGCGCCTGTAGTCCCAGCTACTTGGGAGGCTGAGGCAGGAGAATGGCGTGAACCCGGGAGGCGGAGCTTGCAGTGAGCCGAGATCCCGCCACTGCACTCCAGCCTGGGCGACAGAGCGAGACTCCGTCTCAAAAAAAAAAAAAAAAAACTTGAAAATTGCTAAGGGAATAGATTTTAGATGTTTTCATAATTAAAAAAATGATAAAGCTATGAGGTGATGG
This sequence comes from Homo sapiens, assembly GCF_000001405.40. Taxonomy (NCBI): domain Eukaryota; kingdom Metazoa; phylum Chordata; class Mammalia; order Primates; family Hominidae; genus Homo; species Homo sapiens. The sequence goes on from NC_000001.11 coordinate 34,507,889, forward strand.
ATATGTTAATTAGCTTGATATTCTACCATGTATACGTATATCAAAACATTACATTGTGCACCATAACATACAGTTCTCTCTTGGTAGCCACAGGAGGTTGGATCCAGGACCCACTCAGATACCAAAGTCCACAGATGCTCAAGTACTATGTATAAAATAAGGCAGTATTTGCATATAAACCTACACGCATCCTCTCATATATGTTAAATCATCTCTAGATTATTTATAATATCTAATATAATGTAAATTCTATGTAAATAGTTGCTAAACTACATTGTATGATTTTTGTTGCTATATCTTTTATTTTTATTTTTCAAATATTTTTGATTCACAGTAGGTTGAATCCACAGATGTGGAACTCACAAATATGGAAGACCAACTGAAGGCAATTTTTTATTTGTTAATTTTTAAAAATCTAATTCTGGCTACCAAGAAGACCAGTTACAATATCACTGCGGTCAGTACTCAGGCAAGAAATGAAAAAGGCTTGAACTTTGTGGAGATGCTGCAGACTGGATAGGGAGTCTGTGAAACTTGCTTATTACTTGAATTTGAGAGGTGAGAGAAAGGAGTTAAGGATAACATGAACAACTAGGAGATGTGCTATTTGCTGAGATGATGAAAATGAGGAGAGATTTGAGAAACAAAACAAGAATTGTATTTGCACCACTTTCAGTTTGAAATACCGTTATTAGACATCCATTTGGATGCATAAGCAATTAGATATAGCAGCCTGGAGTTCCAGAGAAAGGACAGGGCTACCACTAAAGATTAGCGTCATCAGCATATAGGTAAAATTTAAATCTATGCAACTAGATAATGTCACCTAGAGAGTATGTAAATAGAGAATGAAAAGGCTTAGCCCTGGAATGTTCCAGCATTTAAAGGCAAGACAGAGAATGAGGAACAAATGAAGGAGGCTAAAAAGAAAAAGCTATTGAGGTAGGAGGGAAACCAGGAAAATGTGGTCCCATGGAAGACAGCAAAAGAAAGTCATTCAAAGAGGAGAGAGGATCAATTGTGTTAAATGTTGCTTAGACAACAAGTTAGAAAGAACACAAAGTGACCATTGAATTTCACTGGTGACTTTGACAAGGACCATTGCAATTGAGTGTGGTTGGGGCAGAATGCTGGTGAGTGTAGGCTGAAAGGAAGGGCATTTTTGAGGATATGGAGGAAGTAATCAGAATCAACTCCTTCAAGAAGTTTTTTGCAAAAGGAAGTAGATAAAGAGAACAGTAACTGGAGGGACATCTGGGGTCAAAGGATAGTTTTGTAAATAGGATATATGAAATAGAGATGAAAAAGCAGATCATTCAGGAAAGGGATGTACTCCTAAAATCACCTCACATTCCATATTTGGACCCCAGTCCTGAGTATAGTCCTCACAGCCTTAACATTCATATAGACCCAAGAAAAAGAAAGCTTTCTCCCCAAGTCCTGGAACACATACTCTCTAGAAGTCAGACAATGATTTGTCATCTTATATTGTTGACATTCATTCACTTAAATACTCTTTGGGAGCTCAATAAATGCCAGTTACTGTGCAATGGGCTGGTGATACAGCTGTGAATAAGAGAAGCAGCAAATCTCTGAACATCCAATGTATCTGTCAGTCTGTTGGGGAGTGGGAGCTGGAAATAAATTAGTATACAGATGTCTACTATAATTCAGATAAACTATAGGAACAAGGACCAGGTGTTTTAAGAGTGTAACATAGTTGAAAAAACTAAATGTGGGGGTTAGAAAAAGATTGACAAATATGAGATATGGTTGTATGGTACTGGACAGCTTACAAAGGACTTTCTTATTTATATAAGTATTAAACTTAAGAAAAAAAACAGAGAGATGAATAACATATCCCAACTTTGCAAATAGAAAAACTAAGTTCCAAAGAGATTAAATAAAAAACTAAATGTCTCTGATATGATTTGGATATTTGTCCCCCCTAAACATCATGTTGAAATGTAATTGCCAGTGTTGAATGTGGGGCCTGGTGGGAGGTGATTGGATCATGGAGGCAGATCCCTCACGAATAGTTTAACACTATCTCCTGGAAGATAAGTGAGATTTTGTTCAGTTTGTTCACAAGAGATCTGCTTGTTTAAAAGAGTATGGGACTCTGGGAAAGTCTTCATTTCCTCCTGCTCCCTCTCTTGCCGTGTGATGTGCATGTCCCACCTTTGCCCTCTGCCTTGAGTAACAGTTCTCTGAGGCCTCATCAAAAGCCAAGCAGATGCCAAAGCCATGCTTCCTGTACAGCCTGCAGGACTGTGAGCCAATTAAACCTCTCTTCTTTCCAAATTATTCAGCCTCAGGTGTTCCCTTATAGTGACACAAAAACCAGACTAACACAGTCTCCAAGATATTGAATATATATTTCCCTCTGTCTATTGACTGGCTCTCTCAGCCAGGACTCTAGAAGACAGAAACAGAAGCCCAACTCCAAACTGATGCACATAACTGAAATGATCATGCATTTTTCCCTTCCTCTATAGTAATGCAATTTAACTGGGCACAAGGCCTAGCTAGACTTCATTATTCAGGCTACCTACTTACAGCTAGGTGTTGCCGAATAACTAAAGTCTTATAATCCAATATTAGTGGAGGTAAGGTGGGAGACTTCTGAGTCTTTCCCTCAAAAGCTTGACCCTGGAAAACTAGTGCTTCTGACCATGAAGGATTAAATGCTACAGAAATTGCCATCTCACCATAAACAACCAGAAAAACATACAAAATATATTTTTTAAAACTTTTACAAAACACTGGGCAACAGATGCATTAGGACTGTGATCCCTGAGAGTAGGGGAATAAGCGAAGACAAAACAGTGATAACTCTTGCTTACTGTCCAGAGTCAGTTTCCATGATACAGTATAGGAAGGAGCAGGCAAAGCAGAGCCTGGTGGTCTTGCTGAGTTGAGGAGACACAGCAGAGATTGGGAAAGCTGAGGAAGCCAGCTTCTGTAGGGCAGAGTACCAGAAAGGAGGAAGCCACACTCAAAGAGAGTTCTAGAGATCTACAAAGGGGTCCTTTTAAGTCTTTGGTTGAGTACTAATCTGTGAATCCTGGGGTGAGACTCCTCAAGGCCAGAGAAAGAACTTCCAGTAATCAGTAGGCAATGAAAATGCCCAGATCTCATACAGAGCTGGGAATAGTTCACATTCCCAAAAGCCAGAGTGGAGAGAAATTATGGGTAGAACCCTCAGAAAGTTCAGGCCTTCACCATCAGCTTAAATTAGTTTTAGAGTAAATGTTTCTCTGGACTTCCACTAATAAAGCTTAATATAATCCTCAAAATGTTTAAACTGATCCTCAATAACTTAAATTTGTATCAGAAAAAGTCCAAAACTCTTTGAAGGAAAGCAAAATTTAACATTCAAAAGTGTAGTATACCCAATATCCAGAATCCAGTCAAAAATTACCAGGCATGTGAGTATAACTCATAACCATGAGAAAAATCAATGAGTGGGAAAAAAACCCAGAAATGAAGATATTATGGGATTAAGAAAAGAACTTTAAAATTGCTATTATAAATTTTATAAATATGCTGGGATATTTAGAGGAAAAAATACATATAAAATGAGAAATAGAAGATATTTTCAAAAACTCAAATGGAACTTCTACAAATAAAAGTAAAGTATAAAATAGAAAGTAAATTGGACAAAATTAACAAGTTAATTTTGCTAATTTTGTTAATGTGCTAATTAGCAAAATTAGCAAACTCAACAACAAAATAAAATTAGTTAACTTGAAGATATACCAATCAAAACTATATCTCAAATAAAGCACAGAGAGATAAAAATACTGAAAAAAGTAACAGAGCTTAGTGAACTGCGAGACTACAGTTAAACAGTCCAGCAATCCAGACTTACCAAAAATGAGGGGAGTAGGACAGGGCAAAAAAAAGAAAAAAGAAAAGTCTATTTTTTTCTAAATTTGTTGAAAAATCCACAGATCAGGAAGTTTAATGAACACCAAGAAATGTGAAAAAAAAAAACTATACCAAAGAGCATAATCATCAAATTGCTTAAAACCAGTGTGAAAGAGAAAATCTTTAAATTGACCATAGCAAGAGAAAAGGCACTATGAAAATAGAAACAAAGATAAGAATGACAGCAGACTTCTCAACAGAAAAAATGCAAGCTATTGAACAGTGGAACAGTGTCTTTAACATACTGGAAGAAATAATGTCACTGTACCCAGTGAAAATATCTTCCAAAAAATAAAAATAAAATAAATATTTTTCAGGCATATAATAGCATAAAAAAATTATCAACAGCATAAGGACTAGAGAAATAGTACAGAAGGCCCTTCAGGCAGAAGAAAAATAACAGAAATAAATCTCGATCTATATAAAGAGCCCCATAAATGGTAAATACAGATGAACATTAAAAAATTCTTATTTTTAAAGTCACTTTAAAAGATAATTGACTGTTTAAAGTACAAACAATAATGATACATTTCTGGTTTATATCGCACATAGAAGTAAACTATATGACAATTGCAGCTCAAAGGTAAGTAGTTCTTACATTAATATGAAGTAACATATTACTTAAAGGCAGCCTATGATAGGTAAATGTGTGCACCCTTAAGACAATCAGTAAAACAAAACATAGATATATGGCTAATAAGTCAAGTCTGGAATGAAAATAGAATCATAAAAATTATTTGATCTAAAAACAGGCACAAAAAATGAGAGGAACAAAGAACATATGAAACATACAAAGAGAAACAGAAAAATGGGAGATTTAAATCTTGTCTTAATGAATTGACCCTGTCAACCACGTTGACAATTATATTACATTAAATGACCTGAACACTCCAATTAAAAGGCAGAGATTGTCATCTTAAATAAAAAAACCAAGACGCAATGATATGCTGCCTAAAACAAATCCACTTTAATTATAAAGACACAGATAGGTTAGAAACTAAAAGATGGAAAAAGGATAGACTGTGGAAACTCTAATCAAATGAAACGTTGGGTGGCTATATTCATATCAGATAAAGAATACCTGGGGGCAAAGAATATTCCAAATATGTCCTCCAAAATGTGACAATCCATAGTGATAAAAGGGTCAATTCAATTGAACATGCATGCACCTATTGGTTGCACTTCAAAATAAACTAAGTAAAACCTGATATAACTGAAAGAAAAAACAGACAAATTAATAATTATAGTTGGATATTTCAACACACTAAGCTGAGTAATTGCAAGAACAAATAAATCACAAAAAGGGCAGTGTAACTTGAACTTGACTATCAAAAATTTGACTTAATTGACATTTATTTTTTTTCTTTTTTTTATTATACTTTAAGTTTTAAGGTACATGTGCACAATGTGCAGGTTTGTTATATATGTATACATGTGCCATGTTGGTGTGCTGTACCCATCAACTCATCATTTAGCATTAGGTATATCTCCTAATACTATCCCTCCCTCCTCCCTGCAACCCACAACAGGCCCCAGTGTGTGATGTTCCCCTTCCTGTGTCTATGTGTTCTCATTGTTCAATTCCCACCTATGAGTGAGAACATGCGGTGTTTGGTTTTTTGTCCTTGCAAACATTCCTCTTGACAGTGACATACACATTCCTTTCAAGTGAACAAATTATATTCATAAATATAGACCATATTTTAGGCCATAAAATAAACAATAATAAATTTAAAAGTGTAGGAATCTCTGACCATACTGAAGTTAGACTAAAAATCAGTAACAGAAAGATATCTGTAAAACCTTAACTACTTGGAAATTAAATATCACATTTAAATAACATATGAGTCAAAGAAGAAATCACAGGGATATTGAAATTTATTTTGAACTTAATGAAATTTAAAACATAACATATTAAAATATATGAAATGCAGATAAAGTAGTGCATAGAAGAAAATCATATTTAAAACGCTTATATTAAAAAAGAAGAGGGCTGGGCGCAGTGGCTCACTCCTGTAATCCCAGCACTTTGGGAGGCCGAGGTGGGCGAATCATGAGATCAGGAGATTGAGACCATCCTGGCTAACATGGTGAAACCCCATCTCTACTAAAAATACAAAAAAATTAGCAGGGCTTGGTGGCGGGTGCCTGTAGTCCCAGCTACTCGGGAGCCTGAGGTAGGAGAATGGTGTGAACCCAGGAGGTGGAGCTTGCAGTGAGCCAAGATCATGCCACTGCACTCCAGCCTGGGCGACAGAGTGAGACTCCATCTCAAAAAAGAAAAAAAAAAAAAAAAGAAGAAAGGTCTAAAATCAACAGTCTTCAACAGTCTAAGCCCCTACCTTAAGATACTAGGAAAAGAACAAAAAAGATAAGGACCAAAATCAATTAAAAAGAAAACAGGAGAAAAAGGAAAAATCAATAAAACCAAAATTTGTTCAGTCTAAAGATCAACACAATTGATAAACCCTGACAATAATAATCAAGAAAACAGTAAATACATAAATTACCAATATCAAGAAAGAATGACAAGACATTACTACAGACACTAGAGATGTTAAAAGCACAATAAGAGAGTATTATGAAAAACTTTATGCCTATATATCAACAATTTAAATAAAATGGACAAATTTTTTGAAAGATGCTTACTACAAAAGCTCCCTCAAAAGAAAATATGCGTTCTGAAAATTCTTATATCTATTTTTAAATTTAGATTTGCACTTTAAAACCTCACTACAAAGAGAATTCCAGACCCAGATGGCTTCATTGCTGAATTCTACTAAACACTTCAATGAATAAATAATACCAATCTTAAGAAACAATATTGTTAAAATGGCCATACTGCCCAAAGCAATTTATAGATTCGATGCTATTCCTGTCGAACTATCAATGACATTCTTCACAGAATTAGAAAAAAAACCTATTTTACAATTCACATGGAACCAAAAAAGAGCCTAAATAGTCAAAGCAATCCTAAGCAAAAAGAATAGAATTGGACCATCACGTTACCCAAATTCAAACTATACAACAGGGCTAGAGTAACTAATACAGCATGGTATAAGTACAAAAACAGACACATAGACCAGATTATGGATATCCAGATTATCCACATAGAAAATCCCAAAGAATTTACAAAAACCTAACAGAACTAATAAACAAGTTTAGCAAGGTGCCCTAGTCTGTTTGCTTTGCTATAAAAGAATACCTGAAGCTGGGTAACTTATTTTAAAAAGAGGTTTATTTGGCTCATGGTTCTGCGGGCTGTACAAGAAGCATGGCTCCAACATCTGCTTCTCATGAGGGCTTCAGGAAGGTTCCACTCATGGTAGAAGGCCAAGGGGAGCAGGCATCACATGGCAAGACAGGAAGAAAGAGAGGGAAGGAGTTGCCAGCCTCTTTTCACCAATCAGGTCTCATGGGAACTAAAAAGCAAAAACTCACACTCACTCTTGAGAGAATGGCACAAACTCATTCATGAGGGATTCACTTGCAAAATCCAAACATGTCCCACCAAGCCCCACCTCCAACAATAAGGGTCAAATTTCAACATAAGACTTGGTGGGGTCAAAGAAACCATATCCAAACTATAGGACAAGGAAAATGTGCAAAAAAAAAAAAAAATACTTCTATATGCCAATAATGAATGGTGGAAATTGTAGTTTTTAAAATACCATTTAAATAGCACCATAAAATCTAAAATATGTGTATATATAAATATCACAAAATATGTGCAAAATTTGCATGCCAAAAGCTACACAACACTGGTAAAAAAAAAAATGAAGACCTAAGTAAATGGAGATATGTATCATGTGTATTAATTAGAAGACTCAATATTATTAAGATGTTAGTCCTCTCAAATTGTTTTATAAATTAAACACAGTTCTAACCACAATCCCAGCATAATATTTGTAGAAATTCAGAAGCTGTTTTCAAAATTTACATGGAAAAATGAAGCAGATAGAATAGCCAATGCAGTATTGAAAAGGAAAATGAAGTTGCAGTACTCACGCTACCTGATTTCAAGACTTACTATAAAGCTACTTTAATAAAGAATTGTGGTATGTAAATGGCATGTAGGCCAATGAAACACAGTAGAATCCAGAAACAGATCTTCCATATATGGCCAATTTAGTTTCAATGAAAGTGCCAAATAACTCCAGTGGACAGGGTAGTCTTTTTAATAATAATAATAATAATAATAATAATAATAATAATAATAATAAATAATAATAATAATAAAGTGGTACTGGAATAACTAAAAACCCATTTGATCCATTTTGAGTTCATTTTTATATATGATGTGAAGTATGAATGGAGCTTATTTTTTGTATATGGTAGAAGATTTGAAGACCAAAAACATATGGATGTAAAATAAGCACATAAAAAAGATGCTGAATATATTTAGTTTTAGGGACATGAAAGTTAAAACCACCATGAGATATGACATACCTATAAATTATTATAATAATATTTAAAAACTAAAAATACCAAGTGTTGACAAATATATGGAAGAGCAATCTGAACTTCTATATATCAATGATGGGTATGCAAAGTTGCACAGCTAATTTGGAAAACAATAAGGCAGTATCTTACAAAGTTAAACATACACTTAACTATGGCCAAGCAATTTTATTCCTAGGTACATATTTATCCAAGGGAAATGAAAGCATATATCCACACAAAGACTTGTACTCAAATGTTCATAGAAGCTTTATTCATAATAGTCAGAAAATGGAAAAGACCCCAATGAATATTAACTGGTGAATGGAAAAACAACTTATGGCATATACATAAAGTGGAATATGTCTCAGCAATTAAAAGGGACAAACAATGACTGACACATGCAACAGTGTGGCTGAATTTCTCTTTTTTTAACTTTTATTTTAGGTTCAGGGGTGCATGTGCCGGTTTGTTATATAGGTAAACTTGTGTCATGGGGGTTTGTTGTACAGATTATTTCATCACCCAGCTACTAAGCCTAGTACCCAATAGCTATTTTTTCTGATCCTCTCCCTCTTCCCACTCTTCACCCTCAAGTAGGTCTCAGTGACTGTCGTTCCCTTCTTTGTTTCCATGTGTTCTCATCAGTTACCTCCCACTTATAAGTGAGAACATACAGTATTTGCTTTTCTGTTCTGCTTGAGTTTGCTAAGGATATGGCCTCCAGCTCCATCCACATTCCTGCAAAGGACAAGATCTCATTCTTTTTTATGGCTGCATAGTATTCCATGGTGTATATGTAGCACATTTTCTTTATCCAGTCTGTCTGGCTGAATCTCAAAGGCATTTTGCTAAGTCAAAGAAACCAGACAAAAATAATGTGTATTACGTGATTCTGTTTATATGTAATTCTGGGAAATGCACAACTATAGTTCTAGAAAATAGGCTGGTGACTATTTACATTAGCATAGTCATGGGGCCAACGCAAATGCCCATCTATGATAGACTGGATAAAGAAAATGTGGTACATATCCACCATGGAATACTGTGCAGCCATAAAAAGAATGAGATCATGTCCTTTACAGGGACATGGATGAAGCTGGAAGCCATTATCCTCAGCAAACTAACACAGGAACAGAAAACCAAACACCGCATGTTCTCACTCATAAGTGGGAGTTGAACATTGAGAACACATGGAGATGGAGAGGGGAATAACACACCCCAGGACCTGTTCAGGGGTCAGGGGTGAGGGTGAGGGGAGGGAACTTAGGGAACGGGTCAATAGGTGCAGCAAACCACTACGGCACATGTATACCTATGTAAAAAAACCTGCATATTCTGTATACATATCCCGGTTGGTTTTTTTTTGAAAAAAATTTTTAAAAAAAGAACATAGGCTGGTGTTTCGTGGGGATGGGGTTCGGGTAGGAAATTGACTGTAAAGAGCGGAAATGTCTTATTATCTTGATTGTAGTGAGTGTTACATGACATTACGCACTTGTCAAAAATCATAGCACTGTACACCTCAATAGGTTAATTTTATTCGATGTAAATTATACCTCAATAAAGCTGATTAACAACGGTGAAAAAAACTTCCCTTGCTCCCTTTCTTTCTCCAACTAGGGAGAAGACAAGTTCTAGAGCAGCCACCTTGGACCTAGGAACAGAAACCATGAATTGAAGATGGCAGAGCTGTTTTATTGTCTCTGGACCACATATCTCTGGGCTATTACCTGAGAGTGAAATGTATTTTGTTTACTTCATTGCATATGTCAATTTCTTCATTATAGCAGCTTAGTCTGCAGACAAATTAATATGCCAGCTCCAGGCAGAACTGGTTTCAGAGGCTCAAGCAATGTCACATGTTCTTGAGCTCCACCTCCAGCCTGACTCTGCCCCTTGCCATGCCTTGGCTCTACGCTCAGGCTCCAGGTGGGGACACACTGCCTATGGGACCCAGCCTCTCATAGTCCATGTCCAGTCGGGAAGCAAATACCCACCTCCCAACTGTTCCAGCCAAAGCCTCCTTACATCTCACTGGCTCTGACTGAGTTTCATGCCCATCTCTGAGCCAGTCACTGTGGCCAAGGGAGTACAATGTTATGATGAGCCATGCCTGAGTCAAACACTCTATCCAGAGTATCAGGGGAAAAAGCACCACCAAGCGTACCATATGGTGAGGGAGGAGTGAGTCTCCTGAGGAAATCTGGGCTATAGTTATGAGAAGTACGCAGGGTGGCCACTGGAGAGCCAAAATAACAGATGGCCCTGTCAGGGAGTGAGTAAATGAACAAATGACTTACCCACTGTCACCCAGCAAGGAAGTGACAGGTGCTTGAGGCTAGCCTCCTGAGCAGATCACAGCAAAGGACACATGGTGGTTTCCCTTCTATAACACTCACAATAACTGGCACAGAGCTGGCCCACAGCAGCTATCCATCAATAGCTCCTGACCTGACTTTTTGCCTTGATGTGTTTGCCCTCTATCGGAGTCAGAAGCACCATGGTGAAGGAGAGATTGCCAAGGAAAACATGGGAGAAAAAAACAGGACTTGAGTGGGGATGTGTGAGTGGAGTGAAAGCATGGTGATATGACCCGTCCTAAGGCTGGGGCTCTTGCTCAGACATCATATGATTGATGCAAAATCTTATCCCCCAAACTCCACTGCAGCTCCAGCAGTTGACAGCTCTGTGACCTTGAACAAGTCACTTAACGTCTCTGAGTCTCAGATTCGTCACCCATAAAATGTGAACCATACTTCCCAGGATTGTTGTGAGAGCAAAATTTGGTGCTTTATAAACTACAACCACAGCTTGAGGAGCAATCACTTTCAGCTGTTCCCGTGGGCATACACCACTTGTCCTTTTCCACCACTTCTTCCTACGCCATACTCCCTATATGGGATCCCTCAAACTCACTCTCAGCTTCAATCTCCAGCTCTCCATCACATCTACAGAATGGAGAAAATCTCTCATTTGGAAAATGTGTGACCTGCTTGTTGTGCCTAGCCTGTTGGCAACACACTAAGATGGTTTAGTATGCTGCAAACAGTTGCAGAGCAAGACAGCCATGATGGAGGAACCAGACGCCAATCTCCACTTCTGGTGATCCCATGGATGCTGTAAGGCACCAGGTGAAATGGAGCACCCTTTGTGGATCTGGTATGCACAGCGGCATCTCAGACCACAAGGCCCTGGAGGAGGGCTGCTCATAGTATTATGGCCAAAGGAAGAGTTTAAATCAGCTGCACAACCATGGGGTTGGGATATAGGGAACTTGTGGTCCATCTGTCAGGATCTTTTGCTGAATAGCCTCGTTATTTGGGCATCATATAAATTGTGCCTGGGATGCTCAGTCATAAAACACCAGCAAGCTCTGAGAACAGGAGCTAGAGAGGCAACCCTAAGCCTGTTTTGCCAGGAGAATTCACTGAGATGCAGAAGCAGGTACACACCTTCACATTCACACCATTCATATGCACATTTAAGCTCATACTCAGGCACATATGGTCACATAAACCCTCTCAGCATTCGCATAGCACTCTAATACCCAGATACACCTACCTTTACTCCACTTCAGTCTTCACACAAGATACATACTCACTGGCATTCAGAAAATATGGTAAGCAGATATTCAAATGCATACCCATGCAGACACACCCTGAAATAATCCACCCACCAACAGGTTCACAATTAGCCTCAGACTTTATACACCCCACAACACAAGTGATCACGCAATTCACATATGACTACATACTCAGACACATTCCAACATACACTGTCAAGCATACATTGCACACTCACACACACATACACACACACTGGAAGTCTACATTCGAAGGCTAATGGCTCTTCTGTGCCTATTACAGCCTTCACTTCTTTGCTGACTTTGTTTTCACTCGAAATCTTGGTTCAAAATGGGTCCCCACTGAGCACGTTATCTGAGGGTTTTCAGCCATATGCTTGCTACTAAAATTCTGCCTATGTGTCAGATTCTGGCATGAATGAAATGCAGCCCACACACGTGTATACATTGCAAACAAGAGCCAGAATGTAGATCTCACTGCGGGATAGATGGAAACCTTAGAGAGAGCCCTGGCACCTCTCCAGGAAGTGCATTCTGGTTGAGTATAGTTTTCAGACAGCTCTCCCAAGGCTGGTCTCTGTGGCCCACCCAGCTCCAAGGTCCAGTGTCATAGCACTGGAGTTCCTTCCTGGGGTTCCTTCCACTGCATGCAAGAAGGGCACAACTGGAACCTCTGAGAGCTGAGCCCAGCATCTGGGAAAGGCCCCAAAGCTAAGGTTCCTCCAGGTTGGAAAGAAGATTAGAAAGAGACACAGGGCTGCTCAGAGGATGTCAAAGCTTTAGCTTAGACAGTTTTGCCCCAGGATCAGTCAAAGCTTTGCTGCAAGAATAAAACAGCTACAAGGAAGCATTGAAGCTCTGCTCAGAATACAGGGAGGGCAGGCAGGTGGAATGTGTAGAGGCAAGCCTAGGAGGATAAACAGCAAATCCACCATGCGAGACAAGCTTGCAGCCAGGTGACTTGCTAGTTGTATATCCTCGGGCAAGTGACTAAACCTCTCTGTGCCTCAGTTCCCTCACCTGTAAAAAGGGTCTACTGACACTATTCACATGATAGAGTAGTTGTGGGGATGAAATGAGTTATTAATAATAATAGAGAACTCATTTTATCTTTCGTATAGCTAAGGCACTTAGAGCCTGGCATATAGCAAAGGCTTATATTACTTTCCAACTGCTACTGTAGCAAATTATCCCAAACTTCGTGGCTTAAAACAACAGAAACGTATTGTCTCACAGTTCTGGAGGTCAGAAGTGTAAAGCGAGTTTTACAGGACGAAATCAAGGTGTTGGCAGGGCTAATTCCTTCTGGAGGCTCCAGGGAAATATTCGTTCCTTTCCTCATCCAACTTCTAGAGTCGGTCTGCGTTCCCTGCCTCACGGCCACATCACTCTTCTCTGTTTCTGCTGTCACATCGCCTTCTTCTCTCATTGGTCCTCTTGCCTTCCTCTTATAAGGACGCTTGTGGTTAAATTGGGCCCACCCAGTTAACCTCCCCATCTCAGGATCCTTAACTCAATTTCATCTACAAGTCCCTTTCGCCAAATAAGGTAAGTTATTCACGAGACGTGGGTATCCTTGGTGGTGGGGCATTAGTCAGCCTTCCACAGGCTCAGTAAACGTCAGTAATGTTATTATAAAGTCCTCACAGCTACCTTGCCCAGAGCTACATAGATGGTAAGTACCAGGGCTGTGAGCTCAGATCTCTATGATCTCATGGCCCTTTTCCCTTTCCACAAAGCCACTGGGCTTCAACCTTGGGGAGCATCAGAATCACTCAGAAGGCTTGTTAAAGCACAGTTCCCTGGGTCCACCCCCAAAGGTTCTGATTCTGATTCTGGGGTAGAACCCAAGAATTTGCATTTCTAACAAGATTTCAGGTGATCTTGAAGCTGCTGTTCTGGGTGTCAAGCTTTGAGAACCCCTATCCTACAACATGCTGCCCACAGAGAGGAGTGAGTTCCCTGTCTTTGCAGGAGTTCAAGCAGAAGCTGAATGACTGCTGGTCACAGAGGTAGGAGGAGGGAGGATACAACCAAATGCTATTTGCCTTGCCACCAAGAGGCTCTCAGAGTCTGGGCACTCAGTAGGAAGGGTGTCCCGGATCTTGTGGGGACAGGTGGGTTCTGTTCAGCCTATTAACTGAATGCCTGTTAGAGCTCCAGTCTCTATCCCCATTAGAGGCAACCTGGAGCCATCAAAAGAGCCTGGGCTCTGGATTCTGATGGGATTGGGTTTCAGACCCCTCACTCACCCCTTACTCCTTACTCACTCACTCACAGCATGGCCTGGGGCAGGCAAATGACTCAACTCTTCAGAACCCAAGTTATTTTCCTCTGTAGGATGGAGAGCTAAATGCCTGCCTCCTAGGGCTGTTTTATGGATTAGAAAAAAAGTAGTAACATAACATGACTTGCACAGCAAATGTAAGGTCCCAAAAATGTCAGGTCACCTCCGCTTGAAAGGAAGAAGAGTAGTCATCTTTTTAGATCTCACATTATCATTATCAAGGCCGTGCACACAGTAGGGCAGGGGATACAGAGCACAGACAGGAGAAAGACAGGGTATGATGAGAATAGCAGAAGGGATGCAGGCAGTAAACGAGGGCTCCAGGCTGGGAGAGCAGGGGTATTCCAAAAGTGGAGGGGAAGGAATTTGGATGAGAGGGATTCCACCAGCATTTGGTGGCAGCTTCAGAATCTTTTTCAGTGGGCAAGTTTAAGGGACCAGATCAAACCCAAATGCCTTTCCTTTGAGATTCTCTTCCTTCCTCTGCTGAAAAAGCATTACTGGTTCCATCTCTGGCTTTGGGATGGGAGGACAGTGTGGACTATTATTTATAGAGGGTCTACTATGAGCCAGGCTCTGTACTAGATGCTTGACATATGCCATCTCGTGCAAGCTGCCCCAAAATTTATGAGGCAGGCATGCTCATCCTGTTGTATAGATAGGGAAACTGAGGCTCAGAGAGCCTCATCTCCCTTCCCTCTCTGTTCCAGATGTGATGTCACCTGCTTATCCTAGCAGCTGCTTTCACCTCCCAGTTGCAGGACCCCTGAGCAAACCTTCTCAGCTTCCCTCCTTTGCACCAGTATCTGTGCTGTGCTTGTCAGTGGAATTCTTGCAGGACTGCAGGGAAGTTGGGTGTATGTGGTTGGCGGTGGTGGTGGTGGAGAGATGTTATGGAGTCAATAGTCATTCATCAACCACCTTCAAAAAGCTGTCTCCCCTTGTGCTGTTTATTATTATTATTATTTTCCAGGCTACATTGCCCACAATGGTTATTGCCTCCAACTCCAGAGGGCCACATCAGCTGCCACTGACTTTTATTCCTGCAAATAAAAATGTAAGCTCCACAATGAGAAAAACACAAGCTAAAGAGACAAAGCCCATAAACTTGAATTTTAAATGTGGAAAGGTGATGCCAGTAACTCTCAGGATGCTGCCTCCCACATCCCCTCTGCACCCATCCACACTGTGTATGACTCCCCTTAAGGATGAGAAGGGCCCCAAGTAAATAGGTGGGATGGGTGACAAATTAGGAAGAATTAAGTTAAGCTTGAAGTGGTTTGTGCTGCCCCCTGTCCCCAGTACACACAGACTTAGGTTAAACTCCTAACCAAAAAAATGAAAACAAGTTTAAAACCATCATGCTTTCTGGATACTATGTCTTTGAATGTTTTCTGTGTATGTAGACATTTTCAACTCCTGTGTATTACATTTCCCATGTATTGGCCTCAGTGGAAAGTCTGGTCCCTCCTTAAAGCAGGCTGAGCTTTTCTGGCAGCCAGAGGCAGGAGGAGCAGCCTCCTATCAGGCTGAAGAAGCCAAGACGTCTTCCAGGCAGGAAGCGTAGGTTGACAGCCATGAAATAGTCTTTTCTTCAATAGCCAAGTGGGAGTCTCCATCTTCCACTGCAGGGCAATGGGTAGGGGGGAGGGCAAAAACCAGACTTGGAACCTGTGGCAGGTCATGGCCAGGCCCCTGAAGATGCTGAGAGAAATAGCGGGGGCCCTGCTCTGGAGGAGCTTAAGACCAGTAGGAATGACATATGGAGAAACAGATGAAGTACAACCCAGGCACTGTCGTGGGGGGTCATACTCAGGAAAGCCTGAGGAGGGAGGAGGAAGGGAGGAGTGTGCAGTCTCCTGGAGAGGTCAAGATTGGCTTCTCAGAAGCAGCTCTTGAACATGATCAGGAAGAGGAAGCAGATTGTACAGACTGCCCCAACCTGGGCCATTGTCTCTCTTCTTTCTCTCAACAAAGTCCTGAGGGTGCCTCTGCCATCTCCTCACCATGCTCTTCTATAATAATTATTTATCTACCCCAGAAAATAAGCTCTTTAGGTCCAGGGCCATGTTATTTTTTTCTCTATGTCTTCTGCGCCCAATACAGTACATGGTAGGCACTCAAAAATGTGTTGGACAGAGCGTAGAAGTTGGGAGGCTCCCTTAGGTCTGGCTATGCTATCGAGTACTTGGGGAGAATGAGAGCCAATGGAGTGGTGAGGAGAGCAGGGGCCAGATCTCACGGGATTTGAGTGACAAGAAGGACCTTGGACTCTATCCTGCTGGAAATGTGTCCAAGGCCCCAGGACAGCTTTGGAATTATCCTGGTTGGATCACAGAGCTGGCTTCAGAGTCTCTCTGAGTAGCAGCCATTAGCCCTGATTACTGATGACCAGTGTTGGGGTGGTGGCACCATGAGCCAAAGCCTACCTCTGACCCCTCACTTTCCCATATCTCAACCTCCTCCACCCCAAGAACCCCTGTTTTGGTAATGCTACCACCATGCACCCCATTGCTCAGGCCCCAAGCCATAGATTCATTTTTTATTCTTCTCTTTCTCTTCTCTCCATTTAATCCATAAAAAGATCTGTGGCTTTCTCTCTAAAATATACCCCAGTCCACTTTTGCCCATCTCTCCCTCTACCTCCCCAGTCCAGGCAGCCATCTCTTCCCTCCTGCATTGTTGCCATGGCCTTTTACCCAAAACTTGGGCTCCATCCTCACCTTTCTTCCCCATCCACTGTCTGGCCATCCTCCAGGCAAACATGGTCTTGTAAAAATGCATGACTGATCATATCATCTCCATGTGCAAGTCCTAATTCCTTTGCACAGCCTTCCCAACTCTGCATTGTTCCATCCCCATATCTGTGACCTCACTGCACACCACCCTTCTACTCACTAGCTTCTGCCACTCTGGCCTCTTTCTGTTCTGCAAACAAGCCAAACCTGCCCTCTTCTTGGGGCCTTTGCACTTGCAGTCCAGGTCCTTGTTTCTCACTTAGAACATTTTTTTTTTCCATCTCTTTGCAGGGTTCTCCTCATCCTGTAGGTCTCAGTTAAACCCTTTCTCTACAGGGACTTCCCTGAACACCCTTTCTAAATGATCTCTGTCTGCATCCCTAATCTCCATCCCATCTCCTCTCATTACCCAATTTATTCTCATCACAGCAATTATTAAGATGAAAGTGTCTTTACCTGCTAGTGTTTATCTCTTCTGCTGGAATTTAAGCTCCATGAGAGCAGAGACCTTGTGTGACTTGTTTACCTTGATGTTCCTAGCACATAACAGGCACTCTATGCATGCTGCTATTATTATTATTGTATGTGTTGTTATTCTAATTATTACATACAGCGTGTTCCTAGCACCTAGAACACTGCATGGCCTGTAGCAGGTAGGCTATAATAATAATAGATAATAATAACAATAATAGATATTATTTGAACAGTTAAATAAACAGAGAAATAAGGCCCCCCGAGGCTTGGGTGGAGGATGAGATTGAACACAGAATAAGCCCCAGGTGACCCAGGGGAGGAGGGGCTCACTGATTCCACCCAATGTCGTTTAGGAATGAGAGGAACCCTGCCTCCCGTAAAATCTCATCTCTAAGCCAGAGAGTCTCAGTGACTTGAGAATCAGAGGACCTGTAAGTATTAGAAAGCCAACCCCCCCGCCCGGACTACCACCCCTCCAGAGTGTTGTAAATCATATCTGCCCATCTCTGCAAACCTGCTTCCCAGGATGGGGAGAGGGGGTATTCCTCTCTCACTCAGAACAGCCCAGCTAGAGAGCTGGTGCAGAATTAGTCTATGTGAAGCCCTAATTCTGATGCTGAAGGTTGGATGAGCCCCAAGGACACAGAGATGACATTAGCTGCCCTGGAATTTCTGGCAATGCTCTAAGACCCACCCCACCCCACCCATGAAGCTGACAACCCTAGAAGCAGCCCTCTCGTGCTTCTTTTGGCCAGGTTAAGTATTGCCAATCGCTACCTTTTTCCCCATATGACCCAGTATTGAGTCTTCTTACCACTCTAGTTATAACCCTGTGAACACATACCAGTCTTTCATCGCTCCTTTAAAAACACCCTGTCCAGATTGAAGACCATTACCAGAGACAGGGTCTGCCTACAGAGCAGAAACATGAACTCCCTTTCTCTAGCTACTAAACCTCTATTAATGTAGCCCTGAGGGTAATTAAAAATCACTAAAGGTGAGTGCTGAGATGAAGACAGAAAGAGGGCAGCACTTTGGGAGAATCCTGTAACTATGGGATGGGCTAAAGAAGAAAACCCAGAGAAGGAACCTGAGAAGGAACAGTCCAAGAGGTCGGTGGAAAGCACGTTTCCCAGGTACAAGAAGGATGGGAAGAGACTGTCCCACAGCTACAGGCAGCTAATAACCATACACACAGAGAGACCAACAGAATGAGATGAGACCGTGTGCTTTCTCTAACGATTCCTCTGGTCAGATCCTTCGAGGGAGATTCTCTATGGCACGGTGGGGTAGAAGTCAGACTGCAAGGGGCAGAGGAGAGAGGGATGCGGGGGCAGGAAGTGTAGACAACACTTTTAAGATTTAAGGGCAGGACTTTGGTGCTGGGAAGCTGGGGCGGCAGAGGCAGAAGGCAGGATCAGGCACTGTGGTGGACATCCGCAGTTGGTGTGTCCAGGCCCTTCCTTCTTCTGGTAACCACACGCCCATTTCTTTGGGGATCATTTCCCTCTCTCAACCCCAACCGTTTCATTTCAGTGAGACCAGAAGAGGGCATGAGTCAAGCTAGGGCAATCAGAGTCCCCCCCTGGGATTTCTCCAATTAAAACCAAGGAAATAGAGTATTTATCTCTAGCGATGACTCCCAGGATTTGTCAGGAGTAGCTGATGGAGAAAGCCCACCTGGCAGAATTCAGTTGACATTCCAGAGAGACAGAGGTTATTGGGGTGTCTGAGCCCCTGCCAGGCCTGAGATTTGGTAACTTCAGCATTTGCCAAATAGGTTACAAGAGCCACTAGTAACCTAAACGAAATCGAATTGGGTTTCTGTCATTGGCAATCAGAATAATTCTAATATCAGAATTAAAGCCCAAAGGATGAGTTCACAGTGAGTCTGGTATCTAAGACAGTTTGATGCTAAGGCCACTCACATGCAGGGCCAGGGCCGCCCTCGTGGGCCTTATCCTTCTTGAGTCTGACGTCTCCAGTCTGGTGACCAAAGCCAATTGCACCTTGCATCTGCCCCTGCTATGATAACACAGCTGGACTGGCTGCCTTATGGAGAAGGTGATTTATTTGCTTCATAAGCAGGAAGGCTAGAGGCACATCGTGGCAGAGCCCAAGCTTGCCTTTCTTTCCTATTTTACATTATATTTCACCCTGGCAAGAGTGATTCTTCTTGGCCAGAAAATTGATTTTAAATCAAACTTCTTCTGACAGCCCCACACAATCCTCCCTTCCTGGGGCCTTTGCCCTCTCTCTCTCTCCGCAAAGCCCTCCTTCCACTCCCACCTTTCTGCGTGCCCCTAGACACACACTCCTGTGCATGCATGTGTGCGCACATGCACACACACACACACCCACAAGCTCTTCTCTATGCCAGGAATTTTCTCTTTCCCCAGTTCCTTTTGTTTTATTTTATTTCACTTTATTTTACTTTATTTTATTTGGAGATGGAATCTTGCTCTCTCTCCCAGTCTGCATGCGGTGGTGCGATCTCGGCTCACTGCAACCTCTGCCTCCCAGATTCAAGTGATTCTCCTGCATCAATCTCAACAAGTAGCTGAGACTACAGGTGTCTGCCACCATGCCCAGGAGGTAATTTTTATATTTTAGAGATGAGGTTTCACCATGTTGACCAGGCTGGTCGTGAACTCCTGACCTCAGGTGATCTGCCCACCTCAACCTCCCAAAGTGCTGGGATCACAGGCATGAACCACTGCACCCAGTCCCCAATTCCATTTATTGATGCACTTTTATAACCAACTCCATCTGTGGCTCTCCAGTGTGGAGTGACGGGGCCCAGAGGAGGAAGTAGGCTGGAGGAGATCTGGACTTCAATTCTTGGCACCTGCCTAGAGGGAGCGAGCTGGCACCAGGAAAAAGGAGGCTGCCCAGCTGTTCTAGGAGGAACTGGGCTTCACAAGGGGATGGAGACTCTGATGCAGAGGCCCACGAGTGCTGCAGACCAACAGCCTCAGCTAAGACATCAGACACTGAGTAGGAAGGGGACAACACAGAGAGGTGAGTAGGGAAGAAGGAGGAACGCAGCTGACAGAGCTCAAGGTATGTATGGTCCTTGTTCCTACCTTTCATATTCCTGTGGCTACTTTGTGTAACCTGTCCCAGCACCTGGCTGCAGGGAGATGCCTTGGAAGTTGGTGTGCAGAATTTGGAAGTTCTGGAATCTGGAGCCTGAAAGGTTTCTGTCCCCATCCCAGCTCAGCCATTTACTAAGCATATGGGGTTGTCTGACAGGGGTCTACAAAGCTTTTCTTAAAGGGCCAAATGGTAAATATTTTAAGCTTTGCAAGCCATAAGTTCTCTGTCACCATTCATCTCTGCCTTTGTAGCACCAGAGCAGCCACAGATAATGTGTAAATGAACAGATGTAGTTGTGTCCCATTAAAACTTTATCTATAAAAGCAGGTGGTCCATGCTCAGGATATAACTTGCCAATCTGGAAGGCCTTCCAGTGCAGATGCAACTCTAGAAATTCTGTTTACAGCTCCAGGAGCTCATCCCAGCTGCTCAAAGGAAAACTACATAAATGTAACAAAGCAATCCTCTCTGCTAGTCACTTAACACACATGGTACAGCATAGTGGTCAAGAGCATGGGCTAAGCTCAAGCCTGACTTTGTCACATACAAGTTCTGAAACCTTGGGAAAGTCACTGAACTGCTTTGTACCTCAGCGTCATCATCTGTAAAACGAAGATGCTAAACAGAAGATGGGTATGAGCATTCAATTAGTCAGCTCATGTGCTAGAATAGCGTCTGGACGAACCTTATTATTAAGGAGTCTGATGAGATTGCAAGATGGATAATGTCAGGAGGCTTCCTTGTGACAGCAGAGGAAGACCTCTTTAAGCTAGCCTTAGAAACGCTTCCTAGAGGAAGTAACGCTGCAGCTGAAGCTCTCACAATAAATAGGAACATGTTCGAGCACCTACTGAAGGCAAGAAAAAGCAAGTCTTATTTAGGGACTCATAGGGAGATTCAGCTGTCTCAGAGATCAGAGTTGCTGAAGAGCAATGAGAGACAAACGGGGAGAGAGAAGCAGGGGCCTGGTCATGCAAGACCGTGCACACCATGCAGTTGAATGTGGATTTTTTTCTTCATGACAACGGGAGCCATAGAAAGGTTTTAACTGGGGGAGATGTGTACTGAGATGAGTGCTTGCTCTGGCTGTTTGTAGAATGTAAACTAGAGAGGATGTGAGTGGAGACAGGAGACCACCAGAAAGTCCTGACATCAATTCAGGCAGAGAGGAGGGGGCTGCCTTAAGGCAAGGGCCCTGGGAAGAGAGAGGCACAAGCAGAAGATGTTAAAGAGATCAAATTGTTAAGATAGGGAATCCTATGGGACGTAGGAAATGGGAAGGAAGGAAGAGTCAAGGGTGACTCCCAGGTTTTGGCCCACCACTTCCCTTTATAGTTCTAAAATGGCAAAGCTTTATCACTGACTGATTCTGGGTCAGAACTCCAAACCCATCTTGTGATCCAAACTTGTGACAGGAAGGAGCCTGTCAGAGGTTATCTCACGCATCCCTCTGCCTCTGGGCCAGTCTGCATTCAACCCATCTAAGCAGTCAGCTGCAGGTGCAGCAAAGGACAGGCATGCCCTGAGCACACAGGTTGGCTCTGCTGTCCACAAGGAAGCAGCACCAGTGTGGAGGTGAAGGCCCTGAGGCCCCAGAGACTCGGGGCCTTGAGCTATTAAGAGGAACGGACCCCTGCTTCCTTTTTTCTTTTCGAAATTAGCCAGCAGAGTCAGCCTCCTTGCTGGAAGGGGAGGAGGGTCTGGCAGCTAGCCACCCCAACCACATCACAGCTAGAGCTCCACAGCCCCAGCCACGACAGATGTGATTTATCTACAGCCCAGGAAAAGCGGGAAAGGAATGCTTTTCTTCCCTTCCTTGCTGTTTGGGGCCATTCATCACCTTCGTTATTTTTATAGTCGTGTGGGAGTATTTAGCTCTCTTCACCACCCCCCAGGAAATGTGAACAAATAAGGAATCAGTACACATGCTATCAGGAAGGCATCAAGGCACAGAGCGGTGATTAAGAATGGGATGTCAAGTTTCCACCCCACTGCCCTCTCTACTTCTTATTTTAACTCCCTCCCATCCCCTAGAATTCCCCAGATAGGACCTGAGACTGTATCTGAGTTATAGATGAGAATGGAAGAGTTGCTCTAAAACAACTGGAACATCAGTAGACTTTAAAAAGGGGGATTATTGTAAAACTCTTGCCAAGTGACCTCTGATTTAAGCTGGTAGAGTAAACAAAAGAGTGACTCTGTGAGGTCAGTGTGAGGACAGTAGGAATTAAAGGTTTGCTGGAAAGATGGAAAGGTGGAGAAAGAAAATAGAACCCACTCTCGCATGGGTAAAGGTTTGCATGTTGCTCAACTCAAAGCAGAAGTGAAAGCTTTAATGCCTGAAGAGACTCTTTGCCCTCCCACAACGGGGACGTCGTGTTGCACAGTGGAGCTTTGTTCCTATTTGAACCTAGATTTGAATCTTGACTCCTCCATTACCTCAAGAATTTATAAAATGAGGATAATAATATCTATTCATGGGGTTGTAAAAAGTCTAAAATTTTAGTGTATGTGCTTATTATCTGGCTTAAAGTCCAATACCAACATTATTATTTTGCTTCTCAAGTTATTTCAGCTTCAGCCATTAGGAGCTCCAGCAGGCTGGCTCCTCTGTTCTTTTGACAAGCCTCCAGATATTCCAAGCTCATCTTGTATTTTCCATTCTCAGCCCTGGAATCAGCTATTTCCCCTAGGAACCCTGGTTCCGTTTAATGGAGAACGTTGTTTAGAGACCAAGATTGGGGTGCTGGACATGCTTATTGCTACTGAGGTGTCATTGCTTGTAGCATCATTGCTTTCATCAGACAGAGCTAGGAAATAAATGTATGTACACCAACGATGTGTTTTTGTAAGATGAAAGTGAGGTAAGAAATACACAAAAATGCTTTATCCTATTTTTGCAACTTTCCTATTCTTTCAAAATTAAGTTTTTATTTTAAGTATATAAAGCACCTAGAGCAGGCGTGTCCAATCTTTTGGCTTCCCTGGGCTACATTGAAAGAAGAATTGTCTTGGGCCACCATAAAATACACCAACACTAATGATAGCTGATGAGCTAAAAAAAAAATGCAAAAAAAAATTTCATAATGTTCTAAGAAAGTTTATGAATTTATTTTGGGCCACATTCAAAGCTGTCCTGGGCTGCAGGTTGGATAAGCTTGATCTAGATTTTAATAGGTATGCAATGGCTGTGAATTGCTTTTCCATCCCTCCACTTCCTAAACTTGACTCCTCTATTAACCTCAAGAATTTATAAATGGGATAATAATATCCAGTCCATAGGATATTACAGACATAGTAGGTAAAACACACAGGATGTGTTTCAGGCTGTGAGCCATAAATGTACCCTACAGCAGCAAATTAGCAGCAGGGACCCTCTGGCCAGGCTCTTTGGGTCAGAGCAATTAGCTGACTCTATCTAAAGTTTGAAGCAGAGTCTTTTATAATATGGAGGGGGATAGAGTTTAGATTCTCCCAGAAGCCAACCCTGAGACAGAATTTAAGTACTAATAATTTATTTTGAGAGGCCCCAGAAACACCAGTAGAGGAATGAGAAAGTGACACAGGAAAAGGCAAGCAACCAACATTTGTGTGTTATTAAGCCAGCTCCCACAGTGAGGGACCGCTGCATAATCCCATGAGGAAACTCTGGAAAATGCTGTAAAACACATGCCTCAAAACGATCACAGGTACACACACCCAGCAGAGATGCAGGGGTGTTTTATATACAAGCCCCACCAATCATTGGTTGAAGGCTGCTCCCAGGGGTTATTGCTCCTCCAGTACTTGCAAAGTGGCCTCCCGTAGTTCTGGGGAAAGTCCCAGGAACAGAGCTGCAGGTGTCAGCAGCTGTAAGCCATAAGCAGCACCCTCAGCTACAGAAAGTCTCGGGGAGAAGGGCACAGATCTATCTTAGCACTTTGCCCCAGCCACCCATGACCACACCAACTCCCAGTTCAGGCTGCTTGACTCCACTTCCTGAGCTTCTCCAGCTCTCCTGAGCTACCTTGATGGTGCCATGTAAAGGGAAGAGAATTATGGCATCTCCTGAGCTTTTGGCTTAGGAGGAGGAAATTTGGCAAGGAAGAGCCAGTTTCATCTAAACAAATATTCATTAACCTGTGGCAAGGTAGCCAGGTCTACAAATTTCCTCAAAGTGATATTAAAATGTATTTATATATAGAGCTAGGTGGTATTTCTATATACATGAATATGTAAATTTCTGGGTTTGTAAGTATCAGTAGTTGAGAATGAGAATGAGGCAGTGAGTACAGAGCCATGAATTCATAAAATGTTTAAAAGGAGCTCTCTCCAACCTTTTGGTGTGTTATCTTAGTAAGGTATAGTAGACTTGCTAAGTGTGCTGTAAATTTAAAAGTTTAATGCATCATTTGCTGAAGTTTTTCACTGAGTTTGTTCTAGGAAAGGGCAATGAGGAGAAAGGGATGTCATCTCAGCCTTTCTCCTTGAGAACAGTGGCATGAATGGCTGCTCCAGTCAGAGCTAGTGTCCCACCCTCTTTCCTGGGCATCCAGAGCTCCTTGCATTGGCACAGTCACCATGTGAGGACATGCAGGTTGTGCCCAGCAAAAGCGTGCCTAGTCTAGGGGCAAGGAGCACTGGAATCTAGCCCATGCTTACCTCACCAAGCCAAGCATACCAGGGCAAAACTGCAGCCACCTGGGAGAAGGGCATCTTTCTTTCTTTTTTTTTTTTTTTTTTTTTTTTTTGGAGACGGAGACTTGCTCTGTCGCTCAGGCTGGAGTGCAGTGGCGAGATCTTGGCTCACTGCAAGCTCCGCCTCCCGAGTTCACACCATTCTCCTGCCTCAGCCTCCTGAGTAGCTGGGACTACAGGCGCCCGCCACCATACCCAGCTAATTTTTTTGTTTTGTTTTTGTTTTTTTTAGTAGAGACGGGGTTTCACTGTGTTAGCCAGGATGGTCTCCATCTCCTGACCTCATGATCCACCCGCCTCGGCCTCCCAAAGTGCTGGGATTACAGGTGTGAGCCACCGCGTCCGGCCAGGGCATCTTTTTTTAATTTACACAAAAGCACCACGTGTGTTAGCAGCAGCCATATGTGCAATATTCATCATGATATCCATTATGTGCACACACCATACCAATGAGGTACCATCTCCGTAAGCACTGCAAGACCAGAACACATAGAGGGTAAAGACTTGTCCAGGGTATAATAGTTTGCTGGGCTGCCATAAGAGTACTATAGGATGAGTGGCTTAAACGATAGAAATTTATTTTCTCACAATTCTGGAGCCCAGAAGTCCAAGATCAAGGTGTTGGTATGATTGGTTTCTACTGAGGCCCCCCTCTTCTTGGCTTCCAGATGACTGTCTTCTCCCTGTGTCCTCACAAAGTCTTCCCTCCATAGGTGTCTGCATCCTAATCTCCTCTTACAGGGAAACCAGTGATATTGGATTAGGACCCACTCTAATGACCTCATTTTACCTTATTGCCTCTCTAAAGCCTTTGTCTCCAAATAAAGTCACGTTCTGAGACACTGGGGTTAGGACTTCAACATATGAATCTTGGGGGGACACATTTCAGCCCGTCACACAGAGCAATACAGCAAGTCATTGATGGTTACAGAAATATAACTTGATATTCTCTGGCTTCCCGTCTCTGGCTTGATATTCTCTGGGGCTTCATTCCAGAGTCATCGTGTCTCTGTCAACTCTTTTTGACAGAGGTGTAAATGGAACTGCAGACGCTAAAAAGAGAAGCAGCAGCTCTGCCTCACTATTCCTCCTTAGCGAGTCATGTTGCCGTCCCCAAGTGCAGCCAGATTTCCTGTGACACCCCCATAATACTCACTTCCATTGGCTCCTTCAGCAGAAGAAAGGAGCATCACACCAGAGCCAAGAGTTCACAGATGCCAGTTAGACCCCCTCACTGTAAGTGGCCACCTCCCACCTGACCAACACAAAGAATGAGCTCCACAAACCCAGCTTCCAGAAACATCTGGGTCATTTCTGTATGATGAAGAAGTGAATATAGTGAAGCCCTTTCCATGTCAAATTTCTGCCAGGAAGATGCTGTGCTTGTCTTCACTCAGGGCACCTAATATATTGTCTGTGTAAATGGAACCTCCTAAAATAGTGCAGTGCGCAACTAGCCCAACTGTCTGGGGCAGCCCTGCCGCAGCCTCCACACCCCTTACTCCATGAGTTCTTTCCATGTATTCCCTCCCTTTCCCCTTCTCTCAACCTCTTGCCTCTTCCCAGTTATTTGCTCCAATATTAAAACTGTCTCTACCTCATGGCCAATCAACCCAGGGGCAGTGCAGTAGTCAGTTTCCAAGATTGCCTCCCACCAAAGATGACTATCACCTCCTGGAATTCACACCCTTCTGCAGTCACCTCCCACATTGTACCAGGTGACTGATAGAATACTGCTGAAATGATGGTATGTCACTTCTAAGGTCAAGTTATAAAAGTCACTGTCTTCTGTCTTGGTTGCTTCCCCTCTCTCTCCCTTGGATCACTCCATCTGGAGGAAGTCATGTCATCAGAAGCCCTAGGGTAAGACCCACATAGCAAGAACTAAAACTTTCTGCCAACTGACACATGAATGAGCTTGGAAATAAATCCTCCAGACTTAGGCAATGTTCAGATGACTGCAGCCCTGGCTGACCTGCAGCTAAACTGCTCCTGGATTTCTGACCCACAGAAACTATGAGATAATAAATGTCTGTTGTTTTAAGTCGATAAGTTGGGAGTCATTTGTTACACAGCAGTAGATAACTAATACAGGGAGACTACATGTTGGACCATATTAAGGTCAGCCCCTCACAGAATCACCTCCACTAAACTGTGTTTGGACATTCTGCCCCAACTTTTTTCAGCAGTGGTGATGAGAAACAGCCATATAAAATGTGCACCAATTTTGCTGTACACCTGCTGTTAAGCATATTGATATTGTTTACTGCTTTTTTTTTTTTTTCTGGAGACAGAGTCTTGCTCTGTTGCCTAGGCTGGAGTGCAGTGGTGCAATCTCAGCTCACTGCAACCTCCGCCTCTCCGGTTCAAGCAATTCCCCTGCCTCAGCCCCCCAAATAGCTGGGACTACAGGCGTGCACCACCACACCTGGCTAACTTTTGTATTTTTAGTAGAGACGGGGGTTTCACCATGTTGGTCAGGTTGGTCTCAAACTCCTGACCTCGTGGTCCACCCTCCTTGGCCTCCCAAAGTGCTGGGATTACAGGCATGAGCCACTGTGCCCGGCCTGTTTACTGCTTCTTTACCTTGGTGGTCATCTTTGTAAGGAGCCATGTGAGAAACACTTTAAGAGTTTAGTACAGGGGTTGCTCTTATTTAGGCATTCATTACCTGAACCCCTGCCATGACTAGGTCATCTAGGGCAGCAGAGGTCGCCACTTAGGACATGAGTCCTCAGTCTTTCACATCCCTCCCACACTCCCACTAGGGTCTATTCCTTCCTGTCCCATCAACGTCTTCATTGCTCAGTGTCTCACTGGTTGACAGATGATCAATACCCTGGGAATACAATGCAAGTTGATTGCAAAAGTATAATTGAAAATATCGCCAAAAAATGGGGGGGCAGGATTTCATAAAATCTATGAAAGTGAAGGGGAAGGACTGCTGGCGTCACATGCAAAGGCTTTGACAAATCAGTATTTGGGAGAGTTCGAGCAGTTAACAACTCAAGAGGAGAAAACAGCAAGGGCGATGATACTGTGAAGACTTTGAAAGAGAATGGTTTGAATATCAAAGGAATAAGAGACGCTCTTGAGAAAATTGATAGAGTGTTCAAAGAGTTTTGGAAAAAAAAACACCCTTTTTATGATCATGCTGCCAAAGTCAAACATGAATTTGAGAATGTTATTTCATTCTATTATATACTTTTGTTGGAAAAATTCTACCAAAAAAATTCAGCAGTTGGTTCACCCTATTCATCCAAAGAGTGGGCAGATAGTTACATATACAACTTCAATTTTAAGTGTGAAATAAAATAAACTTATTTTAATAATATTTTATTTTTTAAGATGCATTCTAACTTTGATCCATTTTTGGAGGGGTTCCCTTTTTTAAGGGCAATTTAAACTACCCTTTTCTACTTTCAAGCATCCTGAGGTATCAAAGGCCAACTCTAGATGGGGAAAAAATGCATATCTTGAGGAACAGGCTTGTGGCTTTCATTCTAATTATCTGAGCTTTACAGCTTCTGTATTTCACTTTTTGCCTGGAATTCCAAGAGGCTAAGCTAAATTTTGTTATGATCATGTTTTATTAATAGTTCCTCTTTTATCCTTGGTGCCAATTTTTCCTTGGGATCTATCCTTTACTGAACCAATTGAATAATATATTTTATATATTATATTATATGTAAATTATCTGTGGATGTATATTTATATATATAACATATATAAAATATATCAATTATCTGTGGATAAAATATATCAATCCTACTGTAGAAAGAGGTGAATTATTGACAGACTCTGAAGCTGCTCTCTGGAAGATCACTAGGGGCTTTCTACTTGCTTCATTAAGTGGCCTTTCCCTGCTTCTCGTCGTGCTCAGCCTCTTGAAAGCCTTTCTCTGCCCTCTTCCCTCGGCTTTTTCTAGCACATAATACTCTGGCTAGTTTTTCTCTTACTTTTCTGTCCTCTCCTTCTCGGCTCCCTTTTCCCAGTGTAAAAATCTCCCTGCCTGAAATGTTTGTTTTCTTTCCAGATGTTTCCAGATGGTGTCTAGAAAACTAGAGTGGCCCAAGAGCCATAGTGTCAAGTCAACAAAGTTGGCATTAAGACCATGCTAGGGTTATGTATTCTGATGCCACTCTCCTTACCCCACCCTGGCATATACTCATTTTGGTTTTTTAGCTTATTATGAAATATTTGAGGTATACAAAAAGCTATAAAGAATAATGCAATGAATACCTGTGTGCCCTACCCATCTTAAGCAATAAAACATTACTAGAGGTGAAGCCTTCCATCTCCAGCTCATTTTCAATTATTACAAAAAGCTGGCAAAAGGGATCGTATTTGAGGGATGGCTGGGGGTATTATAAACAACAACAAGCATAAAGGCTGTAATTCTTAGCTTACATGTGCTTCCACATTCATTTACTCCCACCTACAGTCTGAGAAGGTATCTATTGTTCTTCCTATCTAAGGATGAGAAAATAGATTCCTAGACATCTGATGTGGTAGTGTGCAGGGGTTAAGACATGGACCACGAAGCCAGATTACCTGGACTTGAACCCTGGCTCCAGTACATGCTGATGCTTACATATTTTCTGTGTCTAGATTTCTCATCTCTAAAATGGAGGTGATGCTAGATTTACTTTTTGTAAAGATGAAATATATGTCAAGAAGAGAGACTGTCACATTGTAAGTGCTATATAAGTGTTTGCTGCTGCTGACACTACCACTATTACTATCATGATTATTATTATCTGAGTTGTCCAGTAAAGAGAGCTGCATTCTTCCATATAATTCTCTTCCACTAAGGGTCTTGAATGCTTATAGCTATAGCTAATCAGCTCTCACCTCAAGCTCTAGATCCAATCATTAGGTACTTGGGAGAATTGAAGATTCCTCTAGCTTATTGTTCATGATTCATCCTTGCCAGCCTGGTGCTGGGTCCTATTCTGACTTTGTGCCCCATCAACAATGGGATCTGGCTCATGCCTCAGTCTCCATTCTCCTAGGGCTGTGAAGAATAGGAAACAGCTGGATGTCCCTGGAGCTGACCACCTGCCAAGACTACTCATCATTCTTCTCTCCCAGCATCTCCTTGCCTGGCTGGTGGGATGCCTTTGGCCTTCTAATAATACACATTCAAATACCTTTGCCCAGTAAGCATGTCTAACCTCTGGATCTGAGACCTCCCCAGCCTACATCAGCCCACCACTACATCTTCTTCTGACAAGCATCACCCAGTTTGAGAATGGCAGTTCTTTATTTATTTATACAAAGTTCTACTTTCCCTTTTAACTACATAATTAGAATTCAAAAAAAAAAAATCTGTGGTCTCTTGCTAATCAGACTCTTGCCTTGGCATTTGCCCACAGAGCTCATAAGCAATCCAAAGCACTGAGCTGGGTTAGTCCTTCACACAAATGCAACTGTGCTTTTATTGCTGCCATAATTTTGAGTTGCTGAGTAATGAGATTGATCTCTCAGAGAAGTAAAAGGCAAATATGTGGCCACTCAGCAGCCAAATCTTACTTCTTTAAAATTTGGTACTGCCAAGGTCTATGTCTTGTTTTTAGTCATTTCTGGAAATGGCAACCTCAACAGTCAGGAGGTTTAAGTGGTATTCAAACTAAACAGACTCAACCTAGTCCTATTTATTCTTTTAAAAATTTGTCATGGAGGGCTGAACTTTCAGAGAGGCAGGGTAAAAATCTTGGCAGACTTTCTCCCAAAGAAACAAAAATTTGGTGAAAATTGTATTTTAGAAATAATCTGGAAATTGCCCTAAGAGTATAAGGCAAAGGGGGAAATAGTCATTCAGGAAAATCTACCTAATCTTCGTAAGAACAGTGAGAGTCTATGGCATCTGAGCCAAAACCCATCCCCTTCCCTGTCCCCCGACAACCTCATACCCAGATCCATATTACAGAAGCTCTACCCCAAACTGGTGTGGCCAAGAAGAAGGCTCCCACTCCCCTCAGCTGCCAGTCTGGGACTAGGATTTCACCCTGGCAGGGGCTGACCACTGGCCTTTCTAATCTCTAGCCCCATGTTGCAGAATTTCTATTATGGTTGACACTGCAGAGAAGACCAGCCTCCCTTCCCCCACCCAGACCCATTCATAGGACAGAAGCTCTACACTAAGCACAGCAGGCCAAGACTACTGGGGCCCCAGCCCCAGCCCTAGCTTACTTGTAGAAAAAAGTTTCCCTGTTACTAAAGAAGAATATTTTATATTGGCAAGAGTCTCTCCATCTGAGAGATATAACAATTATAAATATGTATGCATCTAACAACAGAGTCCCATCCGAAATACATAAAGCAAAAACTGACAGAATTGAAATAGGCAATTCAACAATAATGGTTGGAGACTTCAATACTCTCAACTTTCAGTAATGGATGGAATGACTAGGCAAAAGAGCTAGAAGGAAATAGCAGACTTGAACAATACTATAAGCCAACTAGACCTAAAAGACATCTGTAGAACACTCCGCATTATGGCAGCAGAATACACATTCTTCTCAAGCACACATTGGAACATTATTCAGGATATACCTCAAAGTAAGCCAAAAAATAAGCCTCAATAAATTTAAAAGGATTGGAATTATACAAAGTAAAATATGTTTTCTGACCACAGGGGAATCAAATTAGAAATCAATAATAGAAGAAAATTTGGGAACTTCACAAATATGTGGAAATTAAACAACACACTAGCAAAATCACCTGTGGGCAAAGAAGAAATCACAAGGAAAATTTAAAAATTCTTCGAGATAAATAAAAACAAATACACAACATACCAAAACTTATAAAATGCAGCTAAAGTAGTGGTCAGAGGAAAATCTATAGCTGAAAATGCCTAAACTTTAAAAATATGAAAGATCTCAAATCAATAAACTTTCACCTCAAGAAACCAGAAAATAAAAACAAACTAAACCCAAACAAGCAGAAAGAAGGAAACAAGAAAGATTAGATTTAAAAAATGGAATAAAGAATAGAAAACAATAAAGAAAAAAGTTAGTTCTTTGAAAAGATCAACAAAATTGATAAAATTTTAGCTAATGTTACCAAAAAAAAAATGGGAGGGGGGAAGGAAGGCTCAAATTATGAAAATCAGGAATGAAAGAGAGGACATCACTACCAACCTTACAGAAATAAATATATATATATAAAAGAATCCTATAAACAATTAAATGCCAACAAATTAGATGAATTAGGTGAAATGTGTAGAAAGACATAAATTACCAAAACTTATCCAAGAAGAAATAGAAAATATGAAAACACCTGTAACAAGTAAAGAAACTGAATTAATAGTTTTAAAACTTTTCATGAAGAAAAGCCCAGGCATAAAAGATTTCACTGGTGAATTCTACCAAACATTCAAAGAAGAAGCAATACCAGTGCTTCCTAAAATCTTCCCAAAAATAGAAGAAGACTACTTCCCAACTAATTCTGTGAAGCCAGTATTACCCTGATATTAAAAATAAAAAAAAACACACAAAAGAAAACTATAGACTAATATCTCTCATTAATATACTTACATAAATCCTTAACAAAATATTAATAAACTGCAACAGCATATGAAAAGGATTATACACTATGATTGAATGGGATTTATTCCAAGAATGCAAGTTGATTTAATATTTGAAAATCAATTCAGGTCATATACCATATTAATAGAAAAAGGGACAAGAAATTATCATTTCAAAAATGCAGAAAAAGAATTTGAAAGAATTCAATGCCCTTTCAAATTAAAAATACTCAACAAATTATGAGAAGAAAGCCTCCTCAACATGACAAAAGACGTGTAAGAAAAAAACACAGTTCACAGTACATTTAATGGTGAAAATCCGAGTATTTTTCCCCTAATATCAAGAAGAAAACAAGGACGTCCACTTTTGCCATTTTTATTCAACATTCTACTAGGATTCTAAAGTTTTAGCCAGAATAAATAGGCAAGAAAATTGGGGGGAAAGGTAAGTACATTGGAAAGAAAGAAGTCAAACTATCTCTATTTCAGATGACACAGTCTTGTAGATAGAAAATCCAGAAGAATTCACTAAAAAAAATTAAAATTAAATAAGTTCAGCGAAGATACAAGATCAATATTTAAAAATAAGTTTTCTTTCCATACACAGGCAATAAACGTCCTGAAAATAAAGTTAAGAAAACAAACTCATTTACAATAGCATCAAAAAAATACTCAGGAATAAATTTAACAAAAGAATTGCATGATTTGTACACTGAAAACTATAAAATAGTGTTGAAAGAAATTAAAGAATATCTAAACAAATTGAAAGACATCCATGTTCATGGATTGAAAGGCTTAACATTGTTAAGATGGATTGCCATCAATCACAATGAGATACCGCCTTACAACGATTAGGATGGCTGTAATTTCAAAAGACAAGCAATAACGAGTGCTGGTGAGGATGAGGAGAAATTAGAACCCTCCTACCTTGCCAATATGATTTGTAAAACAGTGCAATCACTTTGGGTAACAATATGACAGTTCGTCAAAATGTTTCACGTAAGTTATTCAGTAATTTCGCTCCTATGCATATACCTAAGAGAAATGAAAACATACATTCATACAAACACTTGTACAAAAATGTTCATAGTAGCATTATTTATAATAGCCAAAAAGTAGAAACAATACAAATGTTCATCAACTGGTGAATGGATAAATAAAATGTGGTATATCTATACAGTAAAACATTATTCTAATTAAAAAGAAAGAACGTACCAATATGTGCCACAATATGGATGAACCTTGAACACATAACAATGTTTCAAAAAAAAGAAAGAAGCAAGTCACAAAGACCATATATTGTATTTATATAAAATGTTCATTTATATAAAATGTCCAGAAATGTCCAGAATAGGAAAATCGATAGACACAAAAAGTATGTTAGTGGTTACCTAAGACTGGAGTAGGAGGCAGGGACATATAAGGAGAGACTACTAATGTGCATGGAGTTTATTTGGGGATACAAATATATTCTAAAATTAGATAGTAGTGATGGTTGTGCAAACTTATCAACATACTTCATTCAATGTACAAAAAACATTGAATTCTATAACCTAAATGGGTTAATTTTATGGTGTATCAATTAAGTCTCCATAAAGCTATTAAAAATTATCATGGTTCATGGGTAAGAAGACTCAATATTGTTAAAGTGTCAGCTCTTCCCAACTTAATCTATAGATTCAACACAATCCCAATGAAAACCCCAGCAAGTTATTTTGCAGATATCAATGGACTGATTCTAAAGGGAGCCAAAAGACCCAAGATAACCAAAACAATATTGAAGGAGAAAAATAAAGCAGAGGACTGACACTACTTAACTTAAAGACTTACTATAAAGCAATAGTGATCAAGACAATGTGGTATTGGTGAACGACTAGACAGACTAATGGAACAGAACAGATAGATCCACCTAAACACAGTCAACTGATCTTTAACAAAGAAGCAAAGGCAACTCAATGGAGAAAAGACAGTCTTCTCAACAAATGATGCCTGAACAACTGGATATCCACATGCAAAAAGCTGAATTTTGACACAGATCTTATATCTTTCACAAAAGTTAACTCAAAATGAAACACAGACCTAAATGTAAAAGACAAAACTATAAAACACCTGGAAAATAACATAGGAGAAAGACTAGATGACCTTGGGCTTCACAATGACCATTTAGGTACAACAAAACAGTATAATCATTGAAAGAAAAAAAAAAAAGATCAGTTGGACTTCACTAAAGTTAAAAACTTCTAATTGACAAAAGACACTGTTAAGAGACTGAAAAGATAAGCCACAGACTGGGTGAAAACATTTGCAAAACACATATCTGATAAAGTAATTGCGTGTAAAATATGCAAAGAACATTTAAAACTCAACAATGAGGAAAGAACTACCCCAATTAAAAAATGGGCAAACAATCTGAATAGACACCTCACCAAAGAAGATATATAAGTGATAAATAAGCTGTTCATTATCACATATCATTGGGGAATTGCAAATTAAAACAAAGCGATAATATATCAAATGTTGACAAGGATGAGGAGCAACAGGAACTCTCATTTATTGCTGGTGGGAATGCAAAATAATACAACCACATTGGAAAACAGTTTGGCAGTTTCTTACAAAACTAGCTATACTTTTACCATATGATCCAACGATCATGTCCCTTGGTATTCACCCACATAAGTTGAAAACATGTCCACACAAAAACCTGCACACACAAATGTTTATAGAACCTTATTCATAATTCCAAAAACTTGGAGACAACCAAGATGTCTTTCAATACCTGAATGGATAAACAAACTATGTCATATCCATTCAATGGAATATTTTTCAGTGATTAAAAATAAGTGAGCTACGAAGCCATGTAAAGACATGGACAAACCTTAAGTGCATATTAATAAGTGAAAGAAGCCAATCTAAAAATGTTTCCACAATGTATGATTCCAACTACTGTAAATAATATTCTGGAAAAGGCAAAACCATGGAGACAGTAAAAAGATCAGTGGTTTCCAGGAGTTTGGGAGGAGGGAGGAATGAATAGGTGGAGCCTAAGAAATTTTAAGGCAGGGAAAGTATTTTGTATGGTACTATAGTGGTAGACATATGCCATTAAACATTTATCAAGATTCATAGAATGCACAACATAAAGAGTGAACCCTAATCTAAATTACAGACTTAGCTATTAATAATGTGTAAATATTGGCTCACCAATTGTCACAAATGTACCACACTAATGCAAGATGTTAATAATAGGGAAAACTGGGGGTGGGAAGAGGGGATATGGGAATTCTTTATACTTTCTACCCAGTTTTTCCATAAACCTTGAACTACTCTAAAAAATACAATCTATTATATTTTAAATGTTCCCCAGTTATTTCTTATATGCAGTCCTGTTGCATATCACCAATCTAAGCACATAAATATTCTTCATTCTTCAGAGTTAACATTTGTTCTTGTCACTTTTCACAAATAAAATAAGCAGATAATGTTTTTAAATTATCATATAATATTTGGTGCATCCAAAAGATTTCACATAACCTACATGTGAATTATACAGCATGATAATAAAGTGAATATCCATTTAAAAACTAGAATATTATCAGTATTGTTGCATCCACCTGTATGCTTCTCTTACATCCCATCTTCTTCCTTCCCTCAGTGGGAATAACCATATTCCTGAATTCTGCATTTATCATTCTCGTGCTTCTTGGCATTAGGAGGGCAGCTCTGGAGCCTCATTGTCTAGATCGTTGCTACTGTTGTAGGCAGCTTCTAAAATGGCCTCCAGTGATCCCAGCCACCTGGTATTCATGCCTTTATATAATCCCCTCCCCTTGAATGTGGGTTGGACCTAAGGACTTTCTTCTAATGAAAAGAATATAGCAACCTTGATGGGATGTCACTCCCAATATTGAGTTGCAGAAAGATATCTTAGCAGCCATCTTGCTCTCTCTTCCTTAATTGCTCTTTTATTCACTGTAGTGGAAACCAACTGCCATGTCCTACAGAAAGGCTGACATGGCAAGAAACAGACAGACCCTCCATCAAATAAGCCCAAGGGACTGAATCCTACCAATTGCCAGTAAATGAGCTTGGAAGTAGATGCTTCTCCAATCAAGCCTTAAAATGACTGCAGTCTCTGAAGACACTTTGCAGCTTTGTGAAAAACCCTGAGTTAGAGAACCCACCTAGCCACACCTAGATTTCTGAGCAGCACAGACTGAGATACATGGTGTTATTTTAAATTGCTAAGTTTGAGGGTAACTTATTATGTAGCAATAGATAACTAATATGGGCATATATCAGCTATGTGATCTTGGGAATTACCTATAAACTCTGTGTGTCAATTTCATAGATATAAAATAGGTAAAATAATGGTACTTTCCTTGTGGGTTTTAGAGAGGAAAAAATAAATGTATACATAAAAAAGCTTGCTATGGTTTGTATGTGTTTCCCAAATTTCATGTGTTGGAAACTTAATATTCGAATTCATATGTTGATGGCATTTGGAGGTGAGGCCTTTGAAAGGTAATTAGAATCAGATAAGGTCATTATGGTAGGGCCCCCATGATTGAACCAGAGGCTTTATAAGAAGAGAAAGAGAGATCTGGGCTAGCATGCTCTGCCCCCTCACCATGAGATGCCCTGAGCTGCCTTGGGACTCTACAGAGAGTCCTAACTAGCAAGAAGTTCCACACCCATGCAGCCCCTAGACCTTGGATTTTCCAGCCTCTAGCGCTATAAGAAATAATTTTTTTCTTTATAAATTACCTAGTCTCAGGTACTCAGTTATAGAAACAGAAAATTGACTAAGACAAGCCTTAAGATAGTTTGTGGTGCAGAGTAAGTGCTCAGTTCATGTTAGCTATCCAGTTTTTGTTACATGATATATGTATAGATTCTCCATTGAATATGTATCCAAGACCCACCATCTCCTTACATAAAAGCATAAGCACACAGTGCTGATGTTGGGATTTTGGTCTACATTTGTTATGCCTATTTATAGGAGCTCTTATTTTATTAAGATAGGGGGACTAGTTTCAGGAACTGAACCCCACTGATGAGATGGGATTTATTAAAATGTGTCTAAACTAACTGATTTTCATGGGATCCTTCATGTCAGGGATGTGGTGAGACTACTCAGAAGACATTCATGCTGCACAGGAGAGATCCCATTCCTTCTCAGCCTTTGGTTTTCTGACTGACAAATACAGACCTTTGTGACTTCTTCATATGGTTACATGTACCATTCCTCTGAGGCCTCTCTAGATCATCTTAAACCAGATGTGGCAGAAGCAAGACACAGGGATCTGAGTGTGGACAAGTGAAAGTTAAACAAGATACTGAGAAGTGTATTTCTAAAACTCAGTGATTTGATCATTCTCCAACACTGATATGTTCATGGGACTCCAGCTAGGACTTCAGAGTTTATACAAAGCCCTCACGAAAGTGTAGGGGCCTGGAGTCCTGCCTGCCTGAGTTTGCCATTTTTCCCTTTCTTCCCCCAGGGTTGGGTTCTGATATTCCATCTTTCTGCATTTCCTTCTCTTAAGTAGGGAGTCCTGGAAACCCACCCTCCCTTAGAATAATGTTTCCAGACTTGCTTGATTCTATGACTCATGTAGGTGCTTGCTAGGTACAGATTTAAAGACCTCACTCCAGACCCCTTGGATTCGAATCTCCTGATGAAGAATCTGGAATCTATTTTTAACAAGTACCTCCGGGTAATTCTTATCATAAGCCAAGTTTGGGAAACACTGTCTTAGAACATTTTACTTTCATCTTTCCTCTGGTTCTGGGATAGTGAATAACTGCCAGTGGCAGACATCATTAATTGATCACAGGACTCTTTCACTCTGAGCCTGGAGAAGGCCTCAGAACCCATAACAAGCACTTGAGGCAGCCACCAGTCATCAGGGGGAGCTACAATGGAGGTGAAATATAATTGCCATCCCTGCTCTAGTGAATATGTATTCTTGTGGTGTTGACATTTTCTTGATCTGTTGATGGATATACAAGAAGTCCAAATGAAAAGACTCTGGGAGAACCCAAGTCCATCTAGGACTTTCTGCTGACCTGTTGACACCTCCACAGACAGATATTTTCAGAGAGAGGTCAAAGGTCTCCTCTTTGACCCCTCTAGTGGGTATTTTCCTCCTGTTTTTCCAGAGAATAAGTTCACACTGGTCATGGGGCATGGTAGATAGTGATAAGAGTATATCTGCTGACCATACTGGAGGATACTAGGAGAGTGTGGGGTGAGGAAAGTTTTGTGGGGTGTTAAAACTTTTGAGTCTTGGTCACAATGTAGCACTTAGAGTGGGGCTTAGATGCCTGTGATGATGGCAGATCCATAAAACTTCCTTGATTTCTTCCACGGTGCCTCTTTTCTCTCTGTATTACTCCAAGATGCTAAAGTATCACCACTGTAAAGGAATGGGCCAGACCAGGACCAGATAATAGAATAACAAAGCTCCTTAAAAGGCTTGAAGGTTAGTTAGTATGGGAGACAAGCAGGAAATCGTGCTATTGCAGAGTGTGATTCCCATGGAGAGCCACTAGGTGCTGTGAGGACAGACAAAAAGGAGAGGCTGATCTGCCCTGGAATTGGGAGCAGGGGAACAAGTGTGGAGGCAAAAGAAGTGATTGCAACAGAGCCCTGTTACGTAAGTAAGAGTTGAAAAGAGAGAAAAGGCATTCCTGGCAAATATCCACACAGAAGCTTGCAGCTGCTCACTTCCAGGGGTCAAGTAGGAGTGGGAGCATGGCTGGAGGGCAGCCTGTGTACTTGGGTAGGGGAAGGGGCAGGGAGGGCAGGGTATGGCTGGCCCTGGGGCTGGAGAGGGCAGCAACTGACCAATCTAAGAGAAGAGATCTTAGAGGCTCCTACTTGAACAGTTTGGTCCTGTTTGATCATCTTACAGAAACTCACCAGTCCATAAGCCTGCACACATGGAGCTCCCATTGAGCATTTCAGTGCCTCCTTCTCAAATATGAAAGGTAATCAGTGTCGCCAGATGTTTGAGGAACCACAGTATCATGGAAAGAAAACAGAAAAAAAAATCAGAGGAAATAGAAGCAATGTACAAAGGAAAAAAACAACCAAATAATTAATATTCCCAGAGATACAGGGGGAATATTATATCCTTAAACAAGAATACATAACTATTTAAAAATAAATATTAACAGAAAGCTCTTAAAAATTAAAAATATTGTAACAGAAATAAACAACTCAATAAGATGACTGTAAAAATAAGTTAAGAAGATCTTCAGAGAGAAGCACCCAACTCAAAGAGATGGAAAACGGAAGAAAGTGTAAGATTACATATAACACCAGTATAACAGCCAGTATTTATTTGAATAGCAGGAGTTCCAGAAAGAGAGAAATCAAAGGGGAAAATTATTGAAGTAACAAACTATGACATGAGTTTCTAGATTGAAACGGCCACCAAGTGCCAGAACGATGGATGGAAAACGTCCCCTACTCACTGATATTCAAAGAATCAAGGATCAGAAAAGCATCAGACTTCTCAGCATCAACACTGAAAGGAGGAAGCAATGAAGAAATACTTCAAAGTCCTGAGGGGAATGGGGGATGATTACCATTTTACAATTTTATATTCAGTCAAACTATTAATCAAGTGTGAGAATATAATAGAAAATCATCCCTCCTGTACAAGATCTCAAAATATTGCTTCCTGTGAATCCTTATGCAGAAAGCTACTGAAGGATATTCCCCACCAAGATAAGAGAGTAAATCAAGAAAGTGGATGTCCAGAATCCAGCAAACAGGAATTTAATACAGGAGAGGGCCAAGGGAATTCCTGATTTAATGATGAAGAGAAGTTCCAGAATGACAGATGAATGGCAGACCATGTTAGAGCAGGAGAACCAAGGAAAGAATTAAACCAATACATAATTTGATAGATGTCAACATATTTGAAAGACAATTATAATTCTTCCAGAGAGCTCAGGCATGAAATAGCAATAGATACATACAAAACCAAGGAAGTGACAAATCAGGGCAATGAAAAAACCCAAGGAAAGCAACAAAGTTGTACAATAGAGGAAATATTAATATAATCATGGCACACCAAGTAACTCAACTTGAAAATAATATAATCATAATAATTTAAATACTGAATACTAATATTGTCCCCAAAATGATGTTATATTCATATTGAGAGGATAAGAGGATATGTGTTTGTGGGGGATAAGAGAGCTATAATCCTCTTCTTACATAGAAGGTCATTAATAAATGATAAGTAATTTTAAAAAACAGTAGAATAAACATGTTTCTTAAAAATATGGAGTTAATACTGGAAGAAACAACTAGAAGATCTGAAAATGGTTGCTTTGGGGAAGAAGGAACCAGGAGAAATAAGAATGCTGCCTTCCCTTCAAAGTCTTACGTAAATATTTATTATTCTAAACTAGGTAGGGAGAGAGTGCCCGATGGCTGAGTAGATGCAGCCAGGACAAGCATCTCCCACTGAGGGACAGGGCATTGGGAATACTGGCACACTCCTAGCAAGTCTTCAGAGGGAAGACACTGAGAACAAATGGAGGGAGGATGCAGATGCTTGGCTGAAGTGGGAGGAAACCCCTGCATGGGGCTACTATGCACCAGAACTCATTTCTGGCTCCTGGTGACTCCTGGGGAAGGTGGGAGCTAAATAGACAAGGAGCAACTCACTCTCTCCACGGGCTTCTGGAATCCCAGCAGGAGATCCCTTGACCACTGTGGACACTTGAACCGGCAGGGGGAGCTGCTCAGAGAAGTGGTAGGAGCAGAACTCCAGCCAGAGCAGAAACCGAGTGCTTGGTGTGGGAGCATCTGTAGTGGAGCACAGCCACGGTCGCCCATCTCCCTAGGTTCAACTCACTCCTATAGGAGACTTTAGCCCTAGGGGAACCATAGGACCTGAACTCTGCAT
This sequence comes from Homo sapiens, assembly GCF_000001405.40. Taxonomy (NCBI): domain Eukaryota; kingdom Metazoa; phylum Chordata; class Mammalia; order Primates; family Hominidae; genus Homo; species Homo sapiens. The sequence continues at coordinate 34,549,584 of NC_000001.11, forward strand.
GGTGGTCTTGCCTATGAGAGGGGGCCCATCCTACCTGAGCACCTCTCAATCTGCTGTCTTCTCTCAGGCACACCAGCCTGGCTGCACCTGCTTGCAGTGTGGCCCCAAGGCACCTCCTGGGAGCCCACATCATAGCTCCTGTGCTGGTGGACTGTGTCTGATGGGCACAGTACTCCAACAGAGCCATCTCAGTGGACAGGCACCAGCTCACCCCCCACTGCAGCCTGCCTTCATGCCCCTTTGCCCACATGCACTCACCCATGGCTAACCCACAAATTACTCTGTGGGTGGGTGTGTGTGCAGGCATACTTTGCCTTTCCTCCCCCTCCAGCATGTGTGGAGGGGCACCCTGCCATGCCACTGCTGCCTGTGTATGTGCATCCCACCCTTCTCCCCGCTGCTGAACCACCACTGTAGTTAGAACATTGTCGGGGACAGAGCCCACCAGCCCCGCTCCTGCCAGGGCCCACTCCTGTGCTGAAATTATCACCAGCATGAAACTAGACATGAAGAAAAGCAGACCTAGCCCTTCCCTGAGTGGCCACTCCTGCCCATGGGAACACACACAGAGTGTGCACACAGTCCTGCACCAACCAGTGCCCCACCCCTGCACTAACATCACTGCTGGTTCACACACCCACAGTTATGGGGAGGGGCGTTTTCCCAAGCCAGTGCTGTCAATGCCAGCCACTGCTGCAAACACCCACATGGAGGTTGGCACCCCGGAACCCACTAGCACCCTGCTGCAGTCAACAAGCATACAACCCACAGTGCTGCAGCTGCTGTTACTAATGACATGTAGTGAACATGGACAGATACCTCTGCCACCACCCTACAAAGTACGGTGTAGGTTTGGCTGGCACTACCCATCGGAGTGTTGTGACCAGTGGTCCAGGAGTAACTCATCCCTTCCCGCACAGCAGGTTCCTAACCTTGAGGAGCCAGAGAACAAAGTGGGGGTCTGATACTAGTTCCCCAGTTCAGTCCAGGAGTCCCAAACTGAGCCTTGCCCCCCTAAAATCTTTCAAACATGAAGCCAGTCAACTGAACCCACCTTATACCACAAGGGTCACCAAATGGAATAAAAGAAAAAAAAAATCCAAAGGACAGAAAATGTAAAGACTGAAGGAACATCACCCTCACAAAGATGAGAATGAACCAGTGCAAGAACTCTGACAATTCAAAAAAGTCAAAGTGCCTTTTTTCCTCCAAATGATTGCACTATTTCTCCAGGAAGAGTTCTTAACCAGGATGAGATGGCTGAAGTGATACAAATAGAATTCAGAATAGGAATAGGAATGAAGATCACTGAGATCCAGGAGAATGTTGAAACTCATCTAAGGAAGCTAAAAGTCACAATAAAAAGATGTGGAGCTGACAAAATAGTATAGAAAAGAACATAACTGACCTGATAGAGCTGAAAAACACACTATGAGAATTTCATAATGCAATTGCAAGCATTAATAGTAGAATAAACCAAGCTGAGGAAAGAATCTCAGGGTTTGAAGACTGACTTTCTGAAATAAGACAGTCAGACCAGAAGAAAGAATGAAAAGAAACAACAAAACCTCAGTGAAATATGGAATTATATAAAGAGACTGAATCTATGACTCATTTGACATCCCTGAAAGAGATGGGGAAAATGGACGCAACTTGGAAAACATAGTTTAGGATACCATCCATGAGAACTTCCCCAATATAGCTAGAGAAGCTAACATTGAAATTCAGGAAAACAGAGAACTCCTACAAAATACTTCACAAAATATTGTCCCAAGACACATAATCGTCAAATTCTCCAAGGTCAAAATGAAAGAAAAAAACGTTAAAGGTAGTTAGGGAGAAAGAACAGGTCACCTACAAAGGTAAGTCCATCAGAGTAACAGCAGACGTCTCAGCAGAAATCCTACAAGCCAGAAGAGATTGGGGCCTATATTCAACATTCTTAAAGAAAAGAATTCCAACCAAGAATTTTCTATCCAGCCAAATTAAGCTGCATAAGTGAAGGAGAAAGAAGATCCTTTCAGACAAGCAAATGGTGAAGGAATTTATTACATGATCTGCCTTACAAGAGCTCCTGAAAGAAGCACTAAGTATGGAAAGATCATTATCATCCACTACAAAAACACACTTAAGTACACAGACCAGTGACACTATAAAGCAACCACACAAACAAGTCAGCATAATAACAACCTAACAACACGATGACAGGATCAAATCCACACATATCAATACTAACCTTGAATGTATTATAAATGGCCTAAATGTCCCAATTAAAAGGCACAGAAAGGCAAGCTGAATAAGGAAGCAAGACCCAATGGTATGCTATCTTCAAGAGACCCATCTCACATGCAATGACACCCATAGGCTCAAAATAAAAGGATGGAGAAAAATCTACCAAGCAAATGAAAACAGAAAAACAAAGAGGTTGCAATCCTAATTTCAGACAAAACAGACTTTAAACCAACGAAAATTTAAAAAGACAAAGAAGGGTATTACATAATGTTAAAGGGTTCAATTCAACAAGAAGACATAACTATCCTAAATATATATGCACCCAACACAGGAGCACCCAGATTCATAAAGCATGTTTTTAAAGACCTTCAAAGAGACTTAGACTCCCACACAATAATAGTGGGAGACCTCAACACCCCACTGTCAGTATTAGATCATTAAGGCAGAAAATTAACAAAGATATTCCAGAGCTGAATTCAACACTGGACCAAATGGACCTAATAGATATCTACCAAACTCTACACCCCAAAACAACAGAATATGCATTCTTCTCATTGCCACATGGTATATACTGTAAAATGGATCACACAATTGGACACTAAACAATCCTCAGCAAATGCAAAAAACCAAAATCATACCAACCACTCTCTCAGACCCCGAATGGTATGAACAATATAATTGGAAATTGAGATTAAGAAAATCATTTGGCTGGGTGAGGTGGCTCACGCCTGTAATCCCAGCACTTTGGGAGAGCGAGGTGGGCGAATTACCTGAGGTCAGGAGTTTGAGACTAGCCTGACCAACATGGAGAAACCCCGTCTCTACTAAAAATACAAAATTAGCCAGGCGTGGTGGTGCATGCCTGTAATCTCAGCTACTCAGGAGGCTGAGGCAGGAGAATCGCTTGAACCCATGAGGCAGAAGTTGCGGTGAGCCAAGACGGTGCCGTTGTACTCCAGCCTGGGCAACAAGAGTGAAATTCCATCAAAAAAAAATCGTTCAAAACCATACAATTACATGGAAACTAAACAACATGCTCCTGGATGACTTTTGGGTAAATAAAGAAATAAAGGCAGAATTCAAGAAATTCTCTGAAACTAATGAGAACAAAAATACAACATACCAGAATTTCTGGGGCATGGCTAAGGCAGTGTTAAGAGGGAAATTTATAGCACTAAACAGTCACATTAAAAAGTTAAAAAGATCTAAAATTAACAACCTAACATCACAACTAAAAGAACTAGAGAAACAAGAACAAACCAACTGCAAAGCTACAGAAGACAAGAAATAACCAAAATCAGAGCTGAACTGAAGGAGATTGACACATGAAAACCCATTCAAAAGATCAAAGAATCCACGAGCCAGTATTCTGAAAAAATTAAGACAGACAAATAGCTAGACTAATAAAGAAAAAGAGAGAAGATCCAAATAAACACAATTAGAAACGACAAAAGGGATATTATCATTGACCCACAGAAATACAAATAACCATCAGAGAATACTGTGAACACCTCAACGCACATGAGCTATTAAAACCTAGAAGAAACTGATAAATTCCTGGACACATACATCCTCCCAAGACTGAAGCAGAAAGAAACTGAATCCCTGAACAGACCAATAATGAGCTCCAAAATGGAATCAGTAATTTTAAAAAACCTATCAACCAAAAAAATCCCAGGACCAGATGGATTCACAGAATTCTACCAGATGTACAAAGAAGAGCTGGTACCATTCCTACTGAAACTATTCCAAAAATTGAGGAAAAGGGACTCCTCCCCAACTCACTCTATGAGGATAGCATCATCCTGATGCCAAAACCTGGCAGAGACCCAGCAAAAAAAAAAAAGAAGAAGAAGAAAGAAAAGAAAACAAACCTTCAAGCAAATATATTTGATGAACATTGATGCAAAAATTCTCAACAAAATACTCGCAAACTGAATCCATCAACACATCAAAAAGCTTATCCATCATAATCAAGTAGGCTTTAACCCTGGGATGCAAGGCTGGTTCAACATATGCA